>NC_000001.11:220059587-220684587 GCF_000001405.40 Homo sapiens | reverse complement strand
AGTACATCTTTGGCTGATAAGAACTGGTTATAAACCATGAACTAGATAGGAAAATATTTTTAATTTTCCAAAGATTGCAACTTAAAAGGAAGGTGGGGGGCATAGAGGTGGTGGTAGTGGCAGTCTTGTATACCAGCTAAGCCTCAGTTTTTGGTGCAGCCTAAAAAAAAAAAAAGGATGGTAAAAAATTATCTTTCCTTAGGTTAAAAAATTTATTTTTTTAAAGATCATTTTTTATTGGGGCCTTCCACATTAAATACCTTTTAGTTCAAAAAGTGATAAAAGTAGATGATGTAGTAGAAAAAGAAATTTAACATTTACATTTAAGTGTTTTTCTCCTCAAATACATATCTGTGGTAATCATGCAGGCCCCATAAAATGCACAGTTAGAAATCTCAGGCACAGCACTTTTTTTCTTTCTTTTTTTTTTTTGAGACAGATTTTCGCTCTTGTTGCCCAGGCTGGAGTGTAATGGCACAATCTCGGCTCACCGCAACCTCTGCCTCTCTGCCTCCCAGGTTCAAGTGATTCTCCTGCTTCAGCCTCCCTAGTAGCTGGGATTACAGGCATGCACCACCACACCTGGCTAATTTTGTATTTTTAGTAGAAACGGGGTTTCTCCATGTCGGTCAGGTTGGTCTTGAACTCCCGATCTCGGGTGATCCGCCCGCCGTGGCCTCCCAAAGTGCTGGGATTAGAGGCGTGAGCCACCGTGCCCGGCCAAGCACAGCACATTTTTATTTCATCTGAAGGGTTAGAGTTCTTACACTGAAGATAAAGGGCAAAGACTTGACATAAATACAATGTATCATGGAATTGCAGTTAAAGGGTATTTCAACTAGAATTTGCTACAAACATGAAACAAGGGTCTTCCATATATTGTTTCTTGTGGAATATGAAGAATTTTTAAAATTTAAGAGCAAGCCTTTTTGTTGCTGGTGGCTGTCCTGAGGGACTGACCATTAAAACCTACCAAGAGTTAGCTCAGCTGTGGTGGGGCTGGGCCGGAGCGCTAATCAGAGTGCATTCACCTCTGGCTAGCTCAAGCCTGGACCTTCTGGGCCATCATGGTCCAGGGCCCAAAGCCTTTGGTCTTGTGGGGCTTTCAGCTGGGAGGAGATGGAGTGCAGCGTAGGCGTTTGGGTTCACTTTTGGCTTCAACTTCAGGAGAGCCGAGGCACCAACCACTGTGCGGATGCACAAGCAAGCATGCAAGCTCTGCTTGGCAAGGCTTCCTCCCGCGGCTTTCTCAGCATAACTGCAGGAGTGAGGGTGGCATCACGGGGCTGTGTGATTTGTTTATTTTCTTATTTGGGGCTTTTGCAAATTCCAATCTGTCCTTCCAGCCCACACCGTAACTATTATAAAAGCATGGCTGGCGTCCGCTCACGCCAGAAGAGGCGCCTGAGTGCCAGGCTCACTTTTTCAGAAAAGAGCCCACTTTATGGAAAAAGCCCACTTTCCGCCCAGCCCTGCCCAGATCAGTGACTTGCCCAGGCGTGGAAACGGCTGCAGCTCGCTGCTCACCCGTGAAAGCCATGCCCTTCTCTGGAATCCCAGGCACCAAGGCTGTCTTGCACTCAACACTCTTTGATACCACAATATAATGCAATTTTAATTTGTGTGTGCACAGATTTACATCTGTGTTACCACCAGATTGAAAAGTCTTTTGAATCATTCTATATCAGAAGCAGAATCAGAAGTCTCCCCTGGATAAAGTTTTAAAGCATAATACCTAACATTTAAAAGAATTATTTAACAATGTAACGGAATTATGTCTTATTGGACTGTACATATCCAAAAGCCACTGAAGATTAAAAAAACGATGGAACTATCTGCCTTTAATAATATTGATAATAGAAAAATACATGTGTAGAGAATTCAGGTCAGAATTACAGCCTTATAAGTTAAAAGGACATTTCTGACAAAACCTGAAAACCCTGCATTGGTCTCTATCTCCCTTGCCAACAGTATGCCATTCTACTATATACATTTACATCCCTCTAGGTAGATTAAACTATCTTAATAATTACTACTATATTTAGAAAACAGCAACAAGGGGTCGGGCACGGTGGCTGATGCCTAGCGCTTTGAGAGACCGAGGCAGGCAGATCACCTGAGGTCAGGAATTCAAGGCCAGCCTGGCCAACATGGTGAAACCCCGTCTCTACTAGAAATACAAAAATTGGCCAGGCGTGGTGGCGTGTGCCTGTAATCCCAGCTACCTGGGAGGCTAAGGCAGGAGAATCGCTAAAACCCGAAAGGTGGAGGCTGCAGTGAGGTGAGTTCGCATCACTGCACTTCCAGCCTGGGCGACAGAGTGAGACTCCATCTCAAATAAAAAAAAAAAAAAAAAGAGAGAGAAAACAAAACAAAACAGCAACAAGGAAAAGTGTCTTGGCATATACAAGTAAACATATTGTAAAACTAACTATTATAATTTATAACTGTGACTTGATATGATGATACTTAACATGTATACTGTGTTAATTGGAAGGGAATGCTGTCATATATGACAGAGAAAAAAGAAAAACTGGAAGCTGGGGTGCAGGGAGGAAGAAGATAAATCATAAAGCTCTCAGGACCGGATGTAGTATAATTAAAATTTAATTGAATACACAAAACTGTAGCTCCTAAATATATTCAGAGGAATATTGGAAGTCAGAATGGATTTGTACAGCTTTTTATGCACATGTAAATCTTGTACATGTAACTTCTGGGCAATAAGTCATTGGAGGTGAGGCAGACAGTGAATAAATGAAATTTTTTCTGGTACTTTGAACATTGAACTGTTAGGATATTTCTATTTGTCCTCGTGATAAAACTGACTTACCCTTTTGCCTCCGACCCCATATAGACTCTAAGCAGAAAGTGAAAGCTAAAATCCTAAGAACTCAAACGGAAAACGAACGGAAACATTTGGATAGACTTCTGTAACCCACAGAGTGAGGATTTATTTCAGAGTACTCTAGATCAAAGTAATTGTACTCTGTATCCTATACCCTCTGTATCCTGCACTCTAAGGACAAAGGCAATTTACAAATAAACACTGGAATTCTACTTAGTGGCTTTATAGTTAGTACAGTATCGCTATTTTGGACCTATTTATTTTATTGGACCTACTTTGGATCTAAAATAAATAAGTGATTACGTTAGCTTTGTTATGAATCAAGAGCTTCAGAATGGCAAATATGAGTCATCCATTAAAAAGAAAATGAAGCACAATTATAGTTTGAGTATAGGATTAAGAATTTACGTATTATGGTTGTGAAGTAATATTGGGACTAACTTGAAAATGGCTGTGAACTTCTTAGACATATGTTTGTCTGTGTGTATGTATACTTTTCCCATGACCGTCCATTGAAACGGCCCATAAGTTCTATCATCCCAGCAGCACGAAGCCAGATAAGCACATCACAGTGCTCATGGTTGGGTCTCTAATATCACGGCAGGTGATCCGCTTGCCGTGGTCTCCCACAGTGCTCATGGTTGGGTCCCTGCTTTCTTTCTCTGAGAGAAATTGGGACTAGGAAAATTGGTAGATCTCACATCTGGGACCAGATGTACAAAATGGGCCTGTGGCATCTTGTTGCCGAAAAGCAAAGATACTTTAAATATTTTGTGCATTTTTTGTAAAAAGGCTACGTGGGCCAGTTAAAAGTTTCCTTTGGCTAAATTGTGACATTTTGATCACTGAAAAAGAACTGATGACTACAAATAATTGAAACAAATTGTGTCAATGAAAAGCCATTGGTTCATCGCAGTAACCTGAGAAAAAAGTATGACATTAAAATAATATAGCTGTGAAACACTATGTCATGTTTAGAAGTCATTTTTATATCTCTAAGGCTTTGGCCCCATCAGATTTACATTATATGAAAAGAGTGCAGAATTCCATCAAATTTTCATCAAAATTCTTCAGATTTCATCAACATTATCATCAAAATTTGTATCAAAATTTATCGAGAGAATTTTCATCAAAATTTATCAAATTTGATTAAAAACGTATGAAAGCATTTACTTTCGGGATATAAGGAATCCAATGGAATGGAATTAAGGTGCCTTTGTAGCCAGATGGAAAGATGTTTAAATCGCATGAGCAGATTAAAAAATGTGCAAAATCCAACTTAAGCAGGGAAGGATGTTAGCCTCAAATCCATGAGTAGGCAGAAGAAAAAAGACATGCTATTAGTTAAGTATGTGGGACACAAGACCAAGTGCTTCTTGGGAAGGGGGCTTTGGGGTCTCTGTTGTACAGACAGATCCAGAGGGTTCCGACTGCTGCAGGTGGTAGGACAGAAGCACTGTCCTGGGCAGGGGTTTTCCCTGACCTCTAGTGGTTCTCTCTGGTAATAACAGAAACTAACAATTTGAACATGTCAAAACGTTTAAAAGAAATGGTAAGTATAGCCAGCTAACAAACCTGCCCATGTCTTCCCTGAATCTAAAATAAAAATCGAAATAATTTTTTTAAAAAAGAAAAAGACAATAGTATTACCCATGGGACAAAATTTGTACTATTAGCAAGAATCATTTTGTGTCTCATTTAGAAACAATTTGACTTTTGTTCCAGGGTTTAAACTTTGACAAAAATGGTTTTGAATAGATCTTTATAACCTGATGCCATAAATACAAGATTCTCTGATACCTTCATTTAATATATCAATATTGGGCCTAAAACATTATTCTGTAAAGCTTAAATTGGTATTAACTATGATCATCTTGATATCTATGATAGATAATAAACAAGGTCGTACATACCTTACTAAACAATCTTGGTTTTTCACCAACATTTTATTCTTTAAAAGATTTAGACTAACAGAATTATTTAGCATTTCGAGGCGTGTGCTTTATTTAACAAGTGAGTAAAAATATTGGAATATTGAAGTATTTGCATAAAAAAATCAAATGGTGGTGTTTTGTAATCTCTATTATATTTCCTATTAAGGTTTCATATATTATTTTCCCATTGTTTCTGAATTTGTTATCCTATATATAAACAGAAACATGGATGAGTTAAAAAAAAAAAAGAAAGAAATGATATGGCATTTCTGTCCTTTTGGCTGGACTTATGTCCGTTCAATAGGGTAGCAGAGATTATCTGATACCAGAATATTTAATTGACAAAGGATTATTATTTAAGTGCAGCTTGATGGAACAAACCTTTCTAAAGTTAGGTCCACAAAGAGAAACGTGGGTGTTGGTAGGTGGTTGTTGATGATGATGTTGGAAAGAACCAGCAGCGCAGCAGGCTGGGATTCTGAAAGCCAGGGCTGAGACCTTGCTCAGAAAGACTTTGGATCAAATCACTTAAGACATCTTTGAACACAGTTTCCTCAGGAGAGAAATGAGGGCACGGCTGAAATAGTTTCTCAGGCCTCATCGGTCCCTGATCTTCTGAGAACACTAAGTATGGAAGAGTTTAAAAATTGGAACCAGTTTTCCAGTCTGGATACATTTATTTCCATAGTTAAGTAAAATTCATTTAACAAACAGGATTATACCTTTAAAAAGGAGCAGATTGAAGAAAAATACTATAACTCAAGTTTACATCCCATTTTGTACTCAACATCTGAAGTAAAACTACTTGGATTAATCTAACCTTTTCAGCTCCTTTACAAATAGCTGAAAAAAACAAGTTATGTCTGCTGTGTGCCTATTTTGGGGTCATTTAATTTTCAAATAATAACAACAATAAGAAGAATGCATTTTTATGATTAGAACATCAAATTTTAAAATTTTTACGTAATAGTTGTTTGATGAGGAGAAGGGCTGCAGGGAAGCTGCCAGGAAAGTGGGAAAAGAACTGTTTTCATAAGGAGAGAACAGAGGCCACGTTGATGCTCACGAAACTGAGATGTCACCTGGCATGGTGGCTCACACCTGTAATCCCAGCATTTTGGGAGTCCAAGGAGGGTGGATCACTTGAGGTCAGGAGTTCGAGACCGGCCTGGCCAACATGATGAAACCCCATCTCCACTAAAAGTACAAAAATTAGCCAGGTGTGGTAGCTCATGCCTGTAGTCCCAGCTACTCAGGAGGCTGAGGCAAGAGAATCGCTTGAACCCGGGAGTTGGAGGTTGCAGTGAGCTCAGATCACACCACTGCACTCCAGCCTAGGTGACAGAGAGAGAAAAAGAAAGAAAGAAGAAAGAAAGAAAGAAAGAAAGAAAGAAAGAAAGAAAGAAAGAAAGAAAGAAAGAAAGAAAGAAGAAAGAAAGAAAGAAAGAAAGAGAAAGAAAGAGAGGAAGAAAGAAAGAAAGAGAGAAAGAGAGGAAGAAAGAAAGAAAGAAAGAAAGAAAGAAAGAAAGAAAGAAAGAAAGAAAGAAAGAAAGAAAGAGAAAAGAAAAGAGAAAAGAGAAGAAAAGAAAAAGAAAAAAGAAACTGAGATGTCATCAGGGAAGAATCTTTGATGGCTGTCCTGTTTTGCAGTACTCGCCAGGTATTCTTTCTCCAAATCAGCCTGCTCTAAAGGGAGGGTAAAGGAGACATTAAGATGCAAAGTCACTCAAAAGTATACAAATTTGGAATTGCTATCTTGAAAAGAGAATATTGGAAGAGGCCCACGAATGAAGCTGTAGGCACTGAATTATATCTGCTAAGTTTAGAAAATAAGAGGAATAAATTATGTAAGAGAATATGTGTCTAGGGTGAGGGGATGGCTCCGATAAGCGTGGGTTGTTTCTGCCCTTTGTTGGTATCCTAACTCCTCATTATCCCCTCTCCCCACCCCCTGGCAACCACCATCCTTTCTGTTTCTATGAAATTGACTAGGTATGTCATATAAGAGGAATCATACTGTATTTGTCCATTTGTGACGGTTTATTTCACTTAGTATAATGTCCTCAAGGCCCATCCATACTGTAGCATATGTCAGGATTTCATTCCCTTTTCAAATTTAATAATATTCCATTGTACATATACATCGCATATGTTTACCCATTCATTATCCTTTCATCTGTCAATGAACACTGAGTTGCTTCTACCTTTTGGCTATTGTGGACAATGCTACTATGAACATGGATGTGCAAATACACTGGAGTCCCTGCTTTCAATTCTTTCATGTATATACCCAGAAGTAGAATTGCTGGAGCATACGGTGATTCTATTTTTAATTGTCTGAGGAATCACTATACTGTTTTACACAGGGGCTGCCCATTACATTCCCATCAGCAATTCACAAGGGTTCCAATTGCTCCACATGCTTGCCAATACTTTTTGTTTTTGTTTTTTATAGTAGTCATCAAATCGGTGTGAGGTGGTATCTCATTGTGGTTTTCATTTGCATTTCCCTAGTGATTAGAAATCTTGAATATCTTTTCATGTGTTTATTGGCCATTTTTATATCTTCTTTGCAGAAATGTCTCTCCAGTTCCTTTGCCCATTTTTAATCAGGTTATTTGTTGTTGTCATTGATGCTGTTTCTAAGTAACACGTCTTTTTTTTTTTAGACGGAGTTTCAGTCGCCCAGGCTGGAGTGTAGTGGCATGATCTCAACTCACTGCAACCTACGCTTCCTAGGTTCAAGCGATTCCCCTGCCTCAGCTTCCTGAGTAGCTGGGATTACAGGCATGCACCAACACACAGAGCTAATTTTTGTATTTTTAGTAGAAACGGAATTTCACCATGTTGGCCAGGCTGGTCTTGAACCCCTGACCTCAGGTGATCCGCCTGCCATGGTCTCCCAAAGTGCTGGGAATACAGGCGTGAGCCACCGCACCCGGCCTAAGCAACATGTCTAACAACAGATTTGATTTTGGTAAGGACTGCTGAGAAAGTTCTTGGAGGGAACCATGCCAAGTAGAAAACACCACGAAGAGCCTGTGAAAAGTGGGCCCAATGCAGGACATGGGCAGGGTTTGGGCTGTTATCTTTCAGCACTGCTGTCTTTCGTCTGGTCGAAGATGACTCCTGTCCATGCACAGTGGCTCACGCCTGTAATCCCAGCACTTTGGGAGGCTGAGGTGGGCAGATCACTTGAGGTTGGGAGTTCGAGACCAGCCTGGCCAACATGGTAAATCCCTGTCTCTACTAAAAATACAAAAATTTGCTGGGCCTGGTGGAGTGCGCCTGTAGTCCCAGTTACTTGGGAGGATGAGGCACGAGAATCGTTTGAACCCTGAAGGCAGAGGTTGCAGTGAGCTGAGATTGTGCCACTGCTCTCCACCCTAGGCAACAGAGTGAGATTCTGTCTCAAAAAAAAAAGATGACTCCTGTACATTACTTTACACTTCCTCAAGCAGCAAGAGGAGGTGGGGACACTCTCTTTATGGAGACACATAGGGCACAGGAAATGAACAGCCTTTATTCAAAGAGAGCTGCAGGTAAATACTGCCTCTCAGAGGAGGCAAGTTAAGACTGGGAGGTGGAAGGGAAGTCCTGTGCAGAGATGAGGTGGTGAGTGCCCCTTTGGAGTGGGTTTCCAGAGAGCTGGAGAGAGGACTGGAACAGAGTAGAGTAGTGAGAGCATGAGTCTGAGGGGGACAGAGCATCCTTGGACATGCAAATCTGTTAATCTGGAACTTTTTAAAAAAGCTATGCTAGTTTAATTAGTTTAATATTATATTTCTTTAATATTTAGAGGTATCACTGAAAACTACAGCAAGGGCAGGGGAGGTCAATAAATATGTACAATGCACTTTGCCAAACCAGCTCTGTGGTTTGAACTTTCAATAAAAGTTCAAGGACTGGATAAAAGTAAAAGGACTTTGAATAAAAGGCAATTCCTTGAACATGTTATTTTACAAGCATGTTCCTGAGGACGTCTTGTCTCTCTTTCCCCATCTTCAGCCCTTTATGAAAGTATTCTTTCCAACCACCCACTGAGACTTTTTCTAAGAGGAATTCTGGTGAATCTAGTTTTTCCATCTCCTTACATTTTGGTGTTGTCTTGGCCCCTCCTATGAACTGGAACCCTGGAAACTGCCCACCTGGCCCATCTCTTAACCTGTGTTTTTGTGACAGAGGCAATAAATTCCCAACTAATTTTTTATTTCATTCTCTTCTCTCAAGGAAAATTATTGCCAGCTTCAGGGATAGAATATAACCATAGTTAAGAAAAAATAAAAATCCAAAAACTATAAAAATAGTCATGTGTTTTGAAAAAAATTTACCAAAGAATAATTATGGAAATATGTATAGATTTGATTACAAGGACATTCATGGCAATGTTATGATATGAAGAATTAGGAAAAAAATAAAAATGTCTGTCAAACAGGTCATTAAGTAATCTTATTACACAGAATATCATAAAACCATTAAAATATTTTATAATAGCAGAGGCTTATCGCCTTAGACTTTAACAGAAAGCCAGAAGGGGGTAGCTGGCAAAAGCAAGCAGAATTTCACTCTTTTCTCTCCAACACACACACACACACACACACGTATATACATATATATAATGTATATATATAATTTTCATATAGATATGTGTGTGTAGTGTGTGTGTGTGTGTGTGTATTTTTTTTCCATATATTTATTCCATGAAACAATGCATTGGGGGAAAAAAATTCCACTTCATGCATTGGGGGAAAAAAATTCCACTTCATAAAAAAAAGCTTGAAGAATGTTGAAGAATATAGACATAAAGACCCAGAAAGAGGTCCATAGAGCTTAAGTGGAAAAGGTGTGTTGCAAAGCAGTGGTCAGTATGAATCTCATTTTTTGTTATTATTGAATACTGGGCATGGTGGCTCACACCTTTAATCCCAACACATTGGGAGGCTGAGGTGGGCAGATCACCTGAGGTCAGGAGTTCAAGACCACCCTGGCCAACATGGTGAAACCCTGTCTCTACTAAAAATACAAAAATTAGCTGGGTGTGGTGGCACATGCCTGTAATCCTAGCTACTCAGGAAGCTGAGGCAGGAGAATCACTTGAACCTGGAAGGCAGAGGTTACAGTGAGCCGAGATCGTGCCACTGCACTCCAGCCTGGGCAACAGAGTGAGACTCCATCTCAAAAAAAATAATAAATAATAAACAAATTACTGTTGAATAAATGGGTTCAAGTCGGCCTCTGTGTATTGACACCCATGGTGTTTACTTCTGTACCACACCCCAGGATCATTAACTCAAGCCTGCCGGCACCAAACTCAAATTCTTGCACATCCAATTGCTGTAAATATAGCCCCCTTTTTTTTTTTTTACCCTTTTAGAGCCCACCTGCTTTGCATAACCTGTGAAACTGCACACAACACCTTCTTGCCATATATAAGACAAACTGTGGGGCTACAAAAGACCCCAGATGGCTGCTGTCCCTTAAGGATCTATGACCAAGAGGCTCCTCACTACGCTGCTAAGTGACATCCTCAAACCTGCAAAACCCTCTCTGATCCTCCTCTCCCCAGGGAGGTTGCTTGTCCTTTTTCCCTTATGGTGGTGGCCCTGCTGCTGTATCTGGAAGGTCTCCTGATGTGAGGACTTTCACCTTCCATGCAATCTGTCCAAGCCTTATCAAAATAAAGCTCTTGTGTGCTACTGTCATCTCATGGTCTGGTCTTTTTCTTGATCAACCCCCAACATTCAAACTCACTACAACTATATACAGATTTTGCCACTGAAATACACTGGAGGACATACAGCAAATTATTCACAGTGGTTTCTGGATAGTGAGGTGTTTCAGGTTTTTTTTTTTTCCTCTTTTGGCTTACCTATATTTTCTAAATTTTCATAAAACAGCTGTCATTTTTTAAAGAAGATGAATAAATGCTTTGATTTTTAAAAACAGAATAGCATATAAGGTTATTTTCATTGCCATTCTATTTTAGGACTCCTAGCTGCAAAAATAACATTCAAAGGCACTAGAACAGCTCAGAGTATGAAATTTCTTAATTTTTTAAATTGTAGAAACTAAGAGAATTCCTTCACCTCACCTTTCTAATATATCACTTCACCTCACCTTTCTAATATATTACTTTTTCCCCCACAATAGTTCACATTTGTTAGGTACTCAAAAAGGTCTTTTAGATGGAGTGGAATGATCTGGAACTGTATGGCAGTTATGGCTTAGCATAGTATAGTATATCATAGATGAAACTTTGGATACATAGGCGAATGGCAATATTAGCTTGAGAAAAACGTATACATTTACATAACTTCAAATGTCCTTGAAGTGAGAGGACCTCAATCTCTGACACTAGCTTGTCAACGTCAGCCTCTCGAAATGCTCTTAAAAAGGGGACCTGCTACATCAACCTGGCCCACCCCAAGTGGCATTTTAAGTGGCTGCAATGAGCCAGGCTGTGTACTAGGAGCTGTCGTGCAATGTGTTATTGCTCTGGTTTGCTTAGTGCCAATTATTGTGTATTTGTTTCAGAATTCTCCTGGCTCACCAGATGTTACAGGAGGTCCTATATTGATTTTGTGGCTTTCTTCTTTATGAGTCTCAAGTCCCACTAATGTGTTTGTAAAATAAATACTTCTGGCAAACTTCAGGAAAAAAAAAGTGTGAAATTTCTGAATTGCTGTTAAGTGTGCTTTGAGAAATTGAGCAAAACAGAAGAGGCACCAGACACTACCAAAACAGGTAAACATCAAAGATCTAGAAAGATCTTTGAGTGGCTTAGGAACTAAGCACCGAGGAAGGAAAATGAAAGGTAATTATTAGCAAGTAGCATGGATTCATTAAGAACTGCATTATACCATATAACCTTTCCCCTCCTCCTTCTCCTCTTTCCTCTTGTTATTATTATTATTAAATGTAATGGAAAGTATGCCTAGATTTCAGCTTTGTATCTGGAAAAATCAAAATGGGGAAGAGCAAGTTGAATGATCATAGATTTAGTAAGACTTGTAACTGGCCGAGTGAAATAAATGCAGATCAGGAAACTGTCCACACGCTTGTGCTTCATGCCCCTCCCAGTGGAGGACTGAGCTGGAGGGATGGGAGTGGGGAAGAGGGGTTTCCTTTGGGACTTCTTTGGTTTTCTTTGTGCTCTTGTGCCTGCCCTTGGCAATATTTAGGGCAGGCTGGCCTTGTCTTTGTTACTCCTGAAGCAGCAGTAGCATGACCAGTTTGGAGAGACAGCTTAATTTACAGCCAGCATCATAAGAGCTCTTTCAATCTATATTTTGATTCTTGGGCACTTATTATCAATTAATCTAGACATAAAGAATAATACTCTATATAAATTACTGTTGGGGTTGAAAAAATTGTCCACTGTGGGTACAGGAATATCAAACTTCAGAATGCCTCATGTTGAATAATTTAATTAATGATGGCATAAAGAAAAAATATTAACTCAATGTAACTCAGATTCTACTTTAATAAAATTAGCATTTTAGGAATGTATAAAGAATTCCAGTTAGATTTGTTTATACGTAAAAAGGTATGAGTTAGACATTATAAACATGTAAGAAAATTTGATTTATCGTAAACATTAAGGAGGAGGGGTTTTGTTGTTTTACTTGCTTTACTACTTTCACGGCCCCATCTATGTTAAAATACAACTTACTTAGAGATAAACTAAGACTAAAACTAAGAAATGCCAGCTTTTTTCAAAGTAAAAAGTTATAGTAATACTAAGTAAAAAGTAATACTTTTTCAAAGTCTTTGATTTTCAAAGTAAATATCACTAATTTTTTGAATTACTTTTTTCTTAGAAAAATAAAGATCAAGATTGAAGTATCATTTCCCCACACCTTGTCTATATTTCAAATGTATTAGCACCAAACCACTGAGTACAGCAGCAATTATTAGGAAATGTTACAGAACATGTCTATTTGCAATGAACATACAGTAGAGCTTTTGTTAAGTAGGTAGAAATTTTTAAAATATTGATGATTTTTAAAAGATGATGTTTCTAATATGTAACACTCCATATCTACAAATGGGTTTTTGTACTTATTGCCATACTATACTGTGTCCTAACAGCCTTGTAAAACAGGCTGTAATTTTTTAAAGGGGTAATTTTTCCAGATAATTCACTTTCATCACATATCCTTCTCTTTCACATACCTCTTGCTTTATACTCATGAAAATGTATTGTGGTGTTCTATTACACATACAGAAAATGCAGGCTGGGTGCAATGGCTCACACCTGCAATCCCAGCACTTTGGGAGGCCAAGGCGGGCAGATCATGAGGTCAGGAGATCAAGACAATCCTGGCTAACATGGTGAAACCCTGTCTCTACTAAGAATACAAAAATTAGCCAGGTGTGGTAGTACATGCCTGTAGTCCCATGTACTTGGGAGGCTGAGGCAGGAAAATAGCTTGAACCCGGGAGGTGGTAGTTGCAGTGAGCTGAGATCATGCCACTGCACTCCAGCCTGCGTGACAGAGCGAGACTCCATCTCAAAAAACAAAACCAAAAAAAGAAAATGCAAATGCTATTACCAACCAATATGATGAATGAAAAAAATTAACTTTTAACCATTCTGGCTTTTAAAAAAGTTCTAAATGTAATGTAGACAAGTTTCTACATAAATGCAAAAATCTAATTTTTAGCAATAAATAATTCAGTTATAATATTAATTTAGAGAATGGAAAATATTAAATTTTATACTCCCCAAATAAATAATTTATGTTTAATGTTTCCAAACCCATAGATAAAGGATATATGATTTTCACATTTGAAAACATTTATAAATTTTCTTCGTGTTCCCCCAAGTACCTATCATTGGATCATGACTATATATTCTTTATTTCAGTTACTGATCATGTCCTGAATCTACAACCATCATATGTTTACTGAGAACATCCAAATCTGCCTTTAGATCCAGCTTCCAGTTTATAATCTGTCTATAGGATATTTCATTCAGAGTCCATCACTTTAGCCTGCCATCTAAGTTGTTGCACTGAGCTGCAACCTATTTATGTGTTAAATAGAGGGGTAAAGCTTGATTATCTTTATGCTATGATTTAAAAATTCTAAGCCTGAAAGCAAACATTATTTTTACTTCTAAACTAGGCAACTCATGATTCTTTGATCCTTTTGCTTTTAACTTATTTGTGTCTATATTAAAAGTGGGTTTCTTGTAGGCAGCATATAGTTGGTCTTGATTTTTTAATCAAATCAGCCAAGTACAGCCTTTGCACTGGGGCTTTTAGACCATTTACATTTAATGTAATTTTGATATGATTGGGTTTAAGACTGCCATTTGTTGTTTGTTTTCTATTTTGTCATCTATTCTTTTGTTTCCTTTGTTTCTTTTTCTGCTTTTCTTCCCCACTGCCTTCCTTTGGATTGTGTTTTTTTTTTTTCTGGTTCAATTAAAACATTTTTTAACCGATAAGTTAAATTATTATATTTGTGTTGTACAACATGGTTTTGTTTTCATTTTTGTTTTTCAGACAGGGCCTCACTCTGTCACCTAGACTGGAGTGCAGTGACACGATCTGCGCTCACTGCAGCCTCAACTTCCCAGGCCAAAGTGATCCTCCCACCTCCATCTCCCAAGTAGCTGGGACTACAGGCACACACTACCATGCCTGGCTAAATTTTTTCTAGTTTTTGTAGAGACAGGGTCTCACTGTTTGTCCAGGATGGTCTTGAACTCCTGGGCTCAAGCGATTTTCCTGCCTTGACCTCCCAAAGTGCTGGGATTACAGGTGTGAGCCACTGCACCCAGCCAACATGATGTTTTTATATATGTATACATTGTGGAATGGCTAAATCAAGCTATTTAACATAGGTATTACCTCACATACATATCATATTTTGTGTGAGAACACTTAAAAATCTTCTGTCTTAGCAATTTTCAAGTATGAAACATACTATCTACAGTCACTGTGATATACAATAGATCTCTTGAATTTATTCCTTCTGTCTAATTTGGTATCCTTTGACCAATATCTCCCCAATTATCCTTTCACCCCCAGCTTCTGGTAACTACTATTTTACTCTGCTTCTATGAGTTTGACTTTTTTAGATTCCACCTGTAAGTGAGATCATAGGGTACTTGTCTTTCTGTGTCTAGCTTATTGCACTTAACATAATGTCCTGGAGGTATCACTCATATCACAATTGACAGCATTTCCTTCCTTTGTTAAGGCTGAATAGTATTCCGTTATGTATATATGCCACATTTTCTTTGTCCATTCATCTGTTTATGGACATTTAGGTTGGCACCATATCTTGGCTATTGTTAATAATGCTGCAGTGAACACGGCAGTGCAGATATCTCTTCAACTCACAGATTTCATCTCCTTTGGATGTATATCCAGTAGTGGGATTGCTGTATCATATGGTAGTTCTATTTTTAATTTTTTGAGGAACTTCCATACTATTTTCCATAATGGCTGTACTAATTTACTTTCCCACCAACAGTGTACAAAAGTTCCCTTTTCTCTACATCCCTGCCAGCATTTATTAATCATTCAGCAATTTATAACAGTCATTCTAACAGGTGTGAGGTGGTAGCTCATTGTGGTTTTAATTTACACTTCCCTGATGACTAGAGCTATTGAGCATTCTCCCTTCTTATGACTGTTGGCCATTAGAATGTCTTCCTTTGAGAAATATCTATTCAGGTCCTTTCCCCATTTTTCAATCAGGTTATTTGTTTTCTTATTATTGAGTTGAGTTCATTTATATATTTTGGATATTAGCTCCTTTTCAGACGAACAGTTTGCAGATATAGTCTCCCATTCTGTAAGTTGTCTTTTCACTCTTTTGATTGTTTCCTTTGCTGGGCAGAAGCTTTTAAGTTTGATGTAATTCTAAGAGAATTTTTAAAAATTCCATTTTGTCTTCTTTGCTGGCTCATTAGTTATAATTCTGTTTTGTATTTTTAGTGGTTGCTGCAAGGTTTACAGTACACATCTTTAACATACTCCATCTCCACCACATACATGATATAAGAGCTTTGCAAAAAACCTTGGTACTATGTTGCCATAACTTTTACTTTTACATGTTATACATCTTACAATGCATTGTTAATATTTTTACTCTCAACATAGTTGTTATTTTTGGTGCTTTTTATTCCTTTTTGTAGACTCCCATCTGGTATATATTTTATTCTGCTTGAAGAGCTTTATTTAACATTTCTTTCCCTGGCCTCTCAGCTCTAATGCAAGTCTGCTGGTGATAAATTATTTCAGCTTTTATGTGTCTGAACATCTTTATTTCACCTTTGTTTTAGAAAGATCATTTTATCTGGGTATGGAATTCTAATTTGATACTTTATATTTTTCCCAATACTTGTCTGGCTTGCATCATTTCTGCAAGAAGTCAGTTGTTGTTCTTATTTTTGTTCCTTTTTCTTCCTTATGTAATATGTCTGGTTTTTTTTGTGGCTGATTTTACTGTTTTTTTCCCCCCTTGCTGGTTTTAAGCAACCTGTGATATGAAAATTTAGTATAGTTTTCTTAATTGATATTTATGAAACATTTTAGGTCTGTTTATGGTTTCCTGAAAATTTGGAAAAATTCTGGTCATTATATCTTCAAACATTTTTTCTCTCCCCACCTCCTCCTCTTTGTCGGGACTTTACACATATACTAGATTGCTTGACATTGTCCTACGGCTCTCTAATCTTTTTTCAGCTGTTTTTTTGTTTCATTTTGGATTTCTATTGTGATATGTTCAAGTCCACTATCTTTCCTTCTGCAATGCCCAATCTACTAATTCCATTTGTGTGTTCTCCTCAGAAATCTTAACTTTTTTTTTTTCTTTTTGAGATGGAGTCTCGCTCTGTCCCCCAGGCTGGAGTGCAGTGGCGTGATCTCGGCTCACTGCAACCTCTGGCTCCTGGGTTCATGCCATTGTCCTGCCTCAGCCTCCTGACTAGCTGGGACTACAGGCACCAGCTACCATGCCTGGCTATTATTATTATTATTATTATTTGTATTTTTAGTAGAGACAGGGTTTCACCATGTTAGCCAGGATGGTCTCGATATCCTGACCTCATTATCCGCCTGCCTCGGCCTCCCAAAGTGCTGAGATTACAGGTGTGAGCCACTGTGCCTGGCCCCAGAAATCTTAATTTTCATTTCTAGATGTTTGAATAGTGTTTTTTTTTTTTACATGAAATGTCTCTACTTAACATAACCTTTTTTCTACCTTTCTGAACATATATAGTTATAATAATTGTTTAAATGTCTTTGTCCATCAATTTGATCATCTCTGCCATTTCTGGTTCAGTGTCAATTGATATTTCTCATTATGTGTTGTATTTTCCCGCATATTTGCATGCAGGATAACCTTGAATTAATGCAAGCTATGATGACTATTACCTTGTTGAGTGATGCACATTTTCTGTTTTCTTTTTCTTTTTTTTTTTTTTTTTTGAGATGGTGTTTTGCTCTTGTTGCCCAGGCTGGAGTGCAATGGTGCGATCTCGGCTCACTGCAACCTCTGCCTCCTGGGTTCAAGTGATTCTCCTGCCTCAACCTCCCGAGTAGCTGGGATTACAGGCATGCACCACCACACCCAGCTAATTTTTGTATTTTTTTCTTTTCTTTTTTTTTTTTTGAGACAGTCTCACTCTGTCAGCCAGGCTGGAGTGCAGTGGCACGATCTTGGCTCACTGCAACCTCCACCTCCCAGGTTCAAGCAATTCTCCTGCCTCAGCCTCCCCAGTAGCTGGGATTACAGGCATGTGCCACCACGCCTGGCTTATTTTTGTATTTTTAGTAGAGACGGAGTTTCACCATGTTGGCCAGGCTGGTCTTGAACTCCTGACCTCAGGCGATCCACCCACCTCAGCCTTCCAAAGTGCTGGGATTACAGGCGTGAGCCACCGTGCCTGGCACATTTTCTATTACTATATTCTTGAGCTTTGTTCTGGGACACAGTTGTTACTCAGAAACCCTTATCCTTCTGGATATGGCTTGTGTTAAGCAGTACCAAGGCAGTATTTAGTGCTAAGTAGTTCCCACTACTGAGGCAAAACTCTTCTGAGTACTATGCCCACTGCTCCATGAATTGTTTTCTACAAATGACTGGGTGGAACAGGCATTACCCTTGCATGAGGTTCGATGAATTGTTCCCTCTAATACTTTCAGGTGGTTCTTTCACTGGCCTCATTTAGTTTTCTTACATTCATGTGCTGATTTCTGCAGATCTCCAGAGCTGCTTCTTTGGTATCCCCCCACCCCGCTCTTCCCTGCAGACTCTAGCTGTCTTGGCCTCCCTGGCCTCTCAGTTCTGACTTCTTAACCAGAGAGAATGCCAAGCTCCAACTTGATTTTCCTCTCCGTGTGCCACAGGCTGGGCCAATCATAGAGGTCATTTTGTTTGTTTTCCTCTCAAGGATCATTGTTCTTCATTGACTAATAGCCAATATCTTAAAAATTGTTTTTATTCTGATGAAAACATTGTGTGAATTTATTATTTCATATATCTCGTTTCTTCATTGTCTTAGGTGGGAGAGTAAATCTGGTACTTGCTGCTCCACGTTAAGTGAAAGTGGAAGTCTTAAAATGCAAGCTGAAAACTTGAATCCTATGCCAGGAAGCTCTGCTCCCACCCAATCATCTTTCTTACAGTCTGTGAATCCTATTCATGACACCTTGTTTTTTTGGAGATGGAGGGGGGACAGGGACCACTCTGTCACCCAGGCTGGAGTGCAGTGGCATGATCTCAGCTCACTGCAACCTCTGCCTCCTAGGCTCAAGCGATCCTCCCACCTCAGCCTCCCAAGTAGCTGGGACTATAGGTGCATGCCACCATGCCCAGCTAATTTTTGTATTTTTTGTAGAGACAGGGTTTCACCATGTTGCTCAGGCTGTTCTTGAACTCCTGAGTTCAAGTGATCCACCCACCTAGGCCTCCCAAAGTGCTGGGATTACAAGCATGAGCCATTGCACTTGGCCCATGATACCAGGTTGATACATCTTTTGAAACGTCTCTCATATACCTTGTTGATACATCTTTTGAAATGTCTCTTTCCTTTTACCTTTTTCCACCCTGTGTTAACCACCCCACATCTATGCTATTTCATTCATGCTTTATTGTTTTAACCTCTGAAAAGATCTTCCTGCCTCTAGTCTTTAATCGAGTTCATACATTTCTATGATACATTTTTTTTACTGCTATTTCCTAGAACCTAGACACTAATGTACCCTGGCACTCAACAAACTTGCTGAATTAATAAGCCATTCTTTTTTTTTTTTTTTTTTTTGAGACGGAGTCTCGCTCTGTCGCCCAGGCTGGAGTGCAGTGGCGGGATCTCGGCTCACTGCAAGCTCCGCCTCCCGGGTTCACGCCATTCTCCTGCCTCAGCCTCCCGAGTAGCTGGGACTACAGGCGCCCGCCACTACGCCCGGCTAATTTTTTGTATTTTTAGTAGAGACGGGGTTTCACCGTTTTAGCCGGGATGGTCTCGATCTCCTGACCTCGTGATCCGCCCGCCTCGGCCTCCCAAAGTGCTGGGATTACAGGCGTGAGCCACCGCGCCCGGCCAATAAGCCATTCTTTAACAACCAATTTATTAGGTACTTCCTTGGCTTAAAAAAACCTCATAATTTCTCCCCTCTATCCATAGATCAAGTCCAAGCTGAGACTGCCAATTAATGCTTTACATAATCAGCTATTAATCAAGCTATGTGAACCCTGCCACTTCCTAGAATATGTGGTTTATTTTTTAACATGACTTAGAGCTATTACTAACTTGTAGCTTTTTTTCCATCTGTAGGATCTTTTCTATTGTCTCTTAAATTTTACCCACTCTTCAAATCCCTTAAAAGACCCACCTTTCCAATGTCCATACAGAATTCACTCTTCTCTGAATTTCTATAGCATCTATTATCTGTGCTTGTTTCAGCGCTTTCAGTTTCCTCTCTGTGTGTGTGTATGTTTTAGTTGTGCATATATTTACATCTATTTTTTCAAATGGACCAAAATCTCAGAGAGGTAGGAACCATCTTTTATAATTGTTTTTTATGTATCTTAAGACACAGTAGGTATTTCAATGGGTATTTCGAAAATGAAGGCAGAGGTCAGCTTGATTAATTTGCACAGGCTAATGGAATCACTAGTTTACAGTAAATTGGTGCCTTGCTGCTCACCGTATGCTTTTCTCCCCCCATGGTGCGAAATGACACTGTTGGTGAAAATCACCTCAAAATAAGAGCTTTTAGGTTTTAAATCAAATTCTATCTTAGAGAATATTATTGGATCAAGGTTCTGGAGTATATTTCATCTTATTCTTTTCATTTAACAAATAAAATGCTGTGCCCCAGTTTCTACAAAATAATTAATTTAATATAAGGGATGTCATATCAAATAATATTTCAACAGAAGCCAAGGAAATCCTGGTATCACATAGCCGGTGAACATAAACTGGTATTTATTTATGCAAACACATTGCAAAATTCCTCTAAATCTTTGAAAAATATTTATGTTGTCATGAACACATAAAATGAAAAATCTAAAGTGAGTATCAAGATTTCATTTTTAGTTCATAAAAGATATTGAAGTCAAATTCCTTTCTACAAACACAGAAGAGTTGGCCACAGTGAGAAAATGTAAAAAAATATCAGTTTCTACCGTGGAAAACACATGAGTCTATTTTTTTAAAAACGTATTTCAGTGACAGGAATTCCTATAAAAAGATTAAACTTTCTTGTCATAATGACAAGAAACCTTCATAGTTTCAATAATCTTGAAAACCTTCACAGCTTCACCCTTTGCCAACTAAATTTAGAACACATACAATAAACTCCTCATACAGAATACTTTTGTACCAGAAAACAGGTAATTCACATTCTGATAAAGAGCAAAAGACAAGTGCTTTATTATGAGAACTGTTCAAGTAAAATTTCAGTGTGCACCAGTGAAAGTGAATAAAGATTTGCATCAATTTTTTTTTGAATGAACACTAGGTTAAAAAGGGGCTACACATTTTTTTTTTCAAACACCACCCTTTGCTAAGGCAAAAAAAAAACTCACTTAATTTTAAAACATAACTGTTACAGAAGAAAGCTACATCACAGTACAGTACAGAACATAAAATTCACCCTAGTCTGGAAGCCATTATGGAATGGCACATCACCTACACTTAGACCTTCTAATGTAGGTTGGAATTACAGTATTTATCACAGCTTTATTTTCTTTAAACTGATAAAATTTGAATACACTTTCTGTTTTTCAGGAGTGTGCAGATGGGGCCCATATGTTGGTATTACAGTAATTACAACAGTAAATAACATTGCACAGTCAACCTCCAAGGCTAATTCAGTATAAAATAACAAGTATTAAAATGTACCTTTACTAGTGGTTTTACATCGCATATATCACTAATTATGAAAGAAAAGTAGGCAAATGCCCAATCACAAAGCGGCACATTATAGGCATAATGATGTGGAATAAATACAAGAAATCTGGCAAAATATTTAAAACAAACGAGTTACATGGGAACAAACTGAACAACCACATAAGCATAAATCAATCATATACTGTTATAAATAGTATGTTTTGCTCACAAGTCTCTTAAGTACTTATAGATATTACAGTGGCAGGGGTGAATGAAGAGGATAGCAGGAGAATGAGGCAAATGTTCCCAATGCCAGTTAATTCCTGAGGTGGCATTATTTCTTAACTGATGCATTGATCAACACTGTAAAGATGAGTTTGTGCTGTGAAACAGTCCCAATATTATTATATTCCCGCAATTAAATTGCGGTATTCTGAAGGCAGCAAACCTACGTGACAGTTTATGTTATAATAGCCAGATAAAGTATGTTTTTTTTCTTTTAAATTTTGTTGCTACAGTTAGCAGTGGGTCAGAAAACACTTCAAAGTTCAAAAGAAACTTGATGTAGATTTAACTTTTTTCCCGGTACTTCCTAGTTAGCTCAAGGCAATGCTATTACTGAATTTCATGTACTTGAATTTAAAAACTCTAAGTGCCAACACTGTAAACATTTTGTATCTTCTCAACTAAACCTTGCGGGATAACAAGGAAAAGAGCAAAGATAAGCAGTAATAATTTTGTGTATAATAAAGCTGATCTATTTTTCAGCTTCTGGTTTAAATTTAAATAAGATTTTAAAACAATTTTTAAAGGTCCATGCTACAATTGTAAAGGCTATTTCTATGCACTTTTAATTCTGGACACAATTTTCAAAATTGCATGATGGAGGTAAGAATTTTAAAAACCCACCAGAATGTAAATAACAGGGAAGAACATTTTCAAATCAAAGCATCAAACATACATTCAGGTGCAGAAATCTAGACAACTATACAAGTTTTTAAGCAATCATGTTTTATTATACAACTCTATGAACAGAAAATGAACAGAAATACACAATATACTTACCTGTACATGTGAACCTACTTTTTAAGCTACAGATATTTATTATAGTTCATACTGACTTTAATTTTACAGTTCATAACTATGTATAACCTTATTGCATTAAGGGCAAATTCTACATGGGGAGATTCACAGGCAGACCACATTAGGCATTACCAGTACATTCAAAAACTGTACCTCATATATGTATGTATCTTCCCTGAACCTGTAAATTTGGACTTCTTTACAGCTTAAGCTCATTTGCTATTTTTGATGCAATGTTCTTAAAGGCAATAGATGTCCCAGATATTCGCTTGAAGCGAACCCCATTAAGTGACAGTCGTGGCAACTTGCAGACTTCCATCTCCCACTGCACGAGGCTATCCTGTCTAGCGTCTCCATGGACACAGAAAAGCAAAAATCTCTCTTTTTGCTCATAATCACAGTTATTTGCATCTAACACTTTTCGGATTTCTCTCATCATGTCATTAGGGTCCATTGAACTAGTGGTCTTCATACTCCATGTGAACCGCAAAGAACGCGGCTTAGAATCTTTACCCTCTTCCTTGTCTCTTTCTTTTGGTTCCCCTGATGTACTTCTGGAACAAGAGGGCAAAGGGAAAGAATGAAAGCAAATATTTCACTCAGCAAAGAGATCAAAACACACATAAAATCTAAGTGGTCATAGTTCAGTGCCTAATAACACTACCTAATTTGCAGACCACCCTCAGATGGACGCAAAGATTTATGTTATCTTGCTGTTACAGAAACACACCCCAAGATGCCATCTGTTTTGACTTTTAATATTGTCAATCTAAAATAGCATTTTTCTTAAATATAAGTGGTTTGAGGGAAACAAGTCTGCAACTGAAAGTGAAGAACTTAATACCTTCTTCAGTTCCATATTTCTCTGTTCAAGCACACACACAAAATAGGAACCACTAATATTCTATTTGTAAATATACATTTTTGAAATATAAAAAATTTCTTTTTTCTGCCTTTTTGGATAGGAGGAATGTCGTAACTTCAGAGGGAAAGATAATTCGTTTACCTGGTAAGGTTGAGAAAGAATGTTGTACTGCAATTAGGTAAAGATGTTAGATTATACCACACATCTCAATGTCCTCCAGTGACTTCTCATTTCACTAAAGACATCCTTAAAACAGTCTACAACGTTCCCCATGACTTCCATTCCAACTCCTACTACCCCCAATCCCATTTCCTAGAATTTTTCTCCTTCCTCACTCCTATCAGAACACAATGGCCTCCATGCTGCTCCTTGAACACACGGGTTATGTTCTTGCCACAAGGCTGTTGCACAGACTGTTCCCTCTGTCATGAATGCTTCTCCCCAGATGGCTGCGACGCTAACTCCTTTGCTTTTTTCAAATCTTTGCTCATATTGTACCCTAACTCCTATCCTAGCATGGCCAAGCCCCCTTAGCCTGCTTTATTTTTCTTGATAGCACTTACACATTCTAACATATTATTTAACCCATTTGTTAGGGTGTTGTCTGAATCTACCATTAGACTGTAAACTCCAGGAGGGCAAGGAATTTTGTCTATTTCATTCACTGATATATCTCGGGCATCTAGAACTGTGCTGGGTACATAGTAATAATTAACATATTTGTTAAATGACTAAATCTCACTGAATTTTACTTATTGCAGGCATCCCCCAAGTAATATGGAAACAAAAAGCCTATTTCAAACAGTCATAGAAAGAAACCTTCATAGCTTCATCAAAGTTAATAGATTATTCGTGATACAGAAAATCCTGTAATTAAATTTCTTGAACAATTATCCAAATAGAGATGTTATAATTGCAACTTGTTAACCTATCTCACTTATGTGATTTAAGAAAAAAAAAGTCCCTTGAAAGGAGTTTATAATCTACTGCATACATCTTTTAAATTAATATATATACATTTTGTATCAATAGTATGATATATATTCATGTGTAATTTTATATATATTATCTACTTCATTTCCAGGTGTCTGAGCCTAGGTATCTGAGTCCCCAAAGCTCTGCAAACTATGCAATCTTGAGAAAATAAGGAAAGGAATACGTAGAGAAAATAAATTTCCAAAGACCATTAATAAGTATGGAAAGTATTTACTTCATCGTGTTCTCTATTTTTCTCTTTTTGCCCACTGAATCTAAGCCATTGCATCACAGGCCTCTTAGGGCTTGCAAGCCAACCAGAGTCATTTACCAAGGTCACATGTATAATTCTGGTGGAATCGGCATCCTGGAAGGGTCCTGAGAGATCAGTTGACTGAGCACTCATTTTAAAGATGGAACTGATGGCTGGAAAACTTAAAATTAGTTTTCTGTGGCTCACACCTGTAATCTCAGCACTTTGGGAGGCCAAGGTGGCAGGACCATGAGCTCAGGAGTTTGAGACCAGCCTGGCCACCATGGTGAAACCTCGTCTCTACTAAAAATACAAAAATTAGCCAGGTGTGGTGGCAAGCGCCTGTAATCCCAGCTACTTGGGAGGCTGAGGCAGAATTGCTTGAACCTGGGAGGTGGAGGTTGCAGTGAGCTGAGATCGTGCCACTGCACTCCAGCCTAGGCAACAGAGCAAAACTTTGTCTCAGAAGAAAAAAAAAAATTAGTTTTCTGAAGTTATAGAGCTAATGAGTTGAAAAGTGAAGACTAGAATTTAGGGATATTATTCTAAGTCTAGTTTCCTTCTATTCCACCTTAAGATGACCTTAAGACAATGAAATATTTTTCTGCATGGTCTCACAGACATTACCACTGATAATGTCCATTGTAGAAAGCTCCTGGAAATGTGGATATTAATATAATAACAGCTAACATTTATTGAGTACTTACTAGGTGCAGGAATTGTCCTAAGTGCCTAAAATGTATTAATTACTCATTTACCCCTCAGAACAACCCTATGAGGCAGTTAGAGTGAGGAAATGGAGGCACGCAGAGTTGAAGTAACTTCCCCAAAGCCACACAGTAAGGTAAGTGGTGGAACATAGCTGAAACCCATGCACTCTGGCTGAGAACCTATACTTCTAACCACAGTATCACCTCATCTCCCTGAAATGACAGAACCTTATTATAGCTGGCTTGATCCCACCTATGTTCCTTGCTGTTTTTTTTCATCTGTAAAATAGGCATTTTCACCTAGTTGTTGTGAAAATTAAATGATCAGAAAGTACTTTATAGTTAGTATTCAATAAGTCAGTTCAAAAGCAAAAATAGAACCAAACCCAACAACAACCAAACAAAAGGGAATGTGAAAAGTATTGTGTAAACATTTATAAAATATCAGTTACTAATTCTTATAATGTAATAAAATTATATAGTTACATTAAAAGGACAAAAATGCAACTATTAAGGGCCACTTGCAATGCCACACACTACTAAATGTCTCAGAGGGAAATTTAGTGGAAATATAGGATGAAATGCAAGGAGGGGCTCAAAAGTGAAGACTAAGTGAGGGAGAGGCTAAGAACAAGTCCTCCATGTTTCTATAAAAGGCAGAAGAAAGTGAAGAATATTTGTCTTGCTCCCCTGTGGCTCCCTACTGTGGTGACTCAGGTACCTAACTCTACAAAGAAACATTTCAACTATTATTACTAAATGTAAATATAGCACAGTTTGTTAAAAAGACTACATGGGAATGCTATAGTTTTCCAAAGTTAATTATGTTTTATATTTTAAGTAACTTGAAAAGTAGAAATCAAATTGGAGGTTTGTGTTCAGCTGGTCACAATCGTTCCTGAATGAAGCCAGAGCCTTTCATACTGTGGAATACTTGTTGGTTGTAAAATTTACATTGCATCCCTTAATGCTTGGGTACACTCAAAATAAATTAATGTCTTCATTTCTTAAATTTCCCGTTTGTAAAATATGAACACAAGTACTAACATGTCCATAATGTGGTCCCTAGAACAGCAGCATAAGCATCTCCTGGGGACTTGATAGAAATGCAAATGCACAGGCACCTGCCTCGGCCCCTGAATCAGAAACCCTGGGAGTGGGATCCAGCAACCTTTTTATCAAGCCTTCCCTGTAATTCTGATTGTGCTCAAGTATGAAACCCATTGCCAGAATGAATATACAACTAGCATGAAATGTCAAAAAAAGAAATCCCCAAAAGTATGCCTGGATAGAATTTTTAAATGTGGTCAAACACTGAATTATCACCTAAAATATATTACTAATATCAAATCTTCCTACATGTAATTATCTCCCTGTTCTGTGTTATTTGTGCTATTTGACTCAGACTAATTTTAGTTACATTACTTTAGTGAGAAAAATATCAGTACATTTAATCTATTAATTCTTTAGCTTGACATACTTTATAGAACAGAAAGCCTATTTCTATACCAAGTACACAATTCAAATGCATGTTTGGAAAACAAACTTAAAGTTGACTGACTTGAATGCTAGGTAACATTATGAAAACCCACCCCAATATAAAAATCTAAAATACGCATGCTATCTAGTTATTAGATCTATTCATGATCATTAAGTGCTGTAAGTATTTCAAAAGTACGTTTTCATACACAGGGACCTAGCAGCGAAGTATTAATAGTGGCTCCTCACCTTGAGGTGTCGGTTCTGCCACTGGCTTCGCCTTCACTTGGATCCCTCAAAACAAAGTGAAGGTTGAGATTTAATGATAAAAGTAAAAAATATATCAAGAAAACCTATATCTAAAATTATTTTAAAATTAGCTTGTTGAGCAAACTTCTACCATGACAGTTTTCTATTACTAGTCAGTCTGAGACTATTTCTCATATTTTTCACCATAACCGCATGTAATTTATCATTTATTGAGCGTCTACTCATTTTTGTCAAGAGGCAATATGAGGTGAAAGTTTGAAATTTTTTTTTCATAATCTTCCAATTCCCAGCCATGATTCATTTGAAGTCATAATTTATCTTTTGGTTTAGTTTAATCTAAAGTTAAAACTATTTAATAATTATCAATAGCAAGATTCAACTTCAAATTTGTAATTATGTATAATTCTAGTAGTCGCTCAATTTAGAAAATATATACATTAACCTTGTAGTTAGCAAATAAACACCAATTTCCAAATAAGCAATTTCTTTTAGAAGTTATGCTAACAATTCATGCACATGATAAAATATCACAGCAAATTAACAGCCTATCCATGTAGGCAAGTCTAAAAACACGGATTCAATCTTAAATAAAAACACTGACCTTACCTGGATATCCACCTGCGAAATAAAACCAGGAAAACACTACTAATTGTTCTGTGTTGCATGTAATTAATATTTTTGAAGTCTACCAAAATTTTAATGCTTTGTTATTTTTAAAGGTAATTAAATATCTTGTGATAAAGGGTAAAATACTATTAAATAGTGGGAAAAATCACCAACTTGAATCCTTAAGTTAATACTGTCTTAATGTTTTAGCCATTCCAGAAACATTTCTATTATTTATGTAAAACGAATGCAATAAGAATAAAATCAGTGGTACTCTCCCATCCCCCAAATTCATAAAACACACCCACATACCAAGCCCTAAAATTTTAAATTGTTCTTAAGAATATGAACGCCTTATGCCTCTCAGGGTCTTTAACTAATACATGCCTTTCTTAACAAACATATTATGAAAAAAAAAATTTTTCTATCTGAATTTAAAAGAATACTAAAATGTATTCTCACATTCAAATGTAATTTCTTAAATTTCTATTTTTAATAACTGGCATTTTCATTGGGAAGTATAATAAAAATTCAATGCCATCTATACAAATCCATTTTTATTATAGCACATTGAAATAAATAAAACATTTTTGAGCAGGCTGAAAGTGAAATGTACATTTTCAGTTACATGTAGATGAACTGATATACACAGATGGGCAGTATACCAACTTGGCAAGCAAGACAGTAATGCTGTTGACTCCCACTGCTAAGACAAAATTCCTTTAGGAAGGGACAAAAATCTCACTGGACTTTTCTGTCCTATTTATATTATGCTTTATTATTCACTATTAGCAAACACCTATACCACAGCTGCCAAACTTAAAACATTAGGAGTGAAATGTCCCTTAGACCCTATCTCCTCTGCTGTAATTGACTGAAATAGCAATTGACCCATACCCTGTTCCTGCCTACCTGGATGCCAGTAGGAACATTGGAAAAATTTCTGCTACTTGGCAATTGTTTCAAAGAGCCCAGGAAGTCTGCTTTAAGTAGCCATGGTAGGAGGCAGATGGAGCTACAGAAGGTGCAGCTGGCTCTAACAGCATATGCAGCACAGCATGCTCTCCAACACTTAACACTTAAAAAACAATTACCTACAGATAGCAATATATACTCAACTGAACAAACTGGGTTGTTCCCTATATAAGAATGAGCTATGGTTAGAAAATCATAAGGTTTGGTGTAGAAGTGAGCCATGCAGGTATTCAGGGCAGAGAATTCCAGGCAGAAGGAATAGCAGGTACACAATGCCAAAGCAGTGCTTAATGTACTTGAGGACAGTCTGGTCCCTGTGTGGCTGGTGTGGAAGCAGCAAGGGGAAGAGTGGGAGAAGAGGTCAGAGCAGAAATGGATGGCCAGGTTACACAAGGCCCCACAGGCCACAGTGAGGGCACAGAATTGTATTCTGAGCAAGGTGAAAGCTAATCAGGGGCTTTAAATTTAAGAGTGACATGATCAGACTTGACATGACACTGCTGAAACAGAAGAGGAGGACAAGGACAGAAACTAGGAGACCTATGAGGAAGTGAAAGATGAATAGTGGTTCAGAGTATGAAGGCAGTGGCGGGAGTGATACAAGCAGTTAAATCCTGGAAATGCTGTGAAGGTAAAGCCAACACAAATTGCCAATGGATCTGAGGTGGTATGAGGAAAAGAAGTGTCAAGGATAACTCCAAGGCTTATGGTCTGAGCAACTGTAAGGACAAGGCTGCCAATTTCTAACACGGTGAAGAATGAGGGAGGGACAGGTTTGGGAAGAGGAACGAGAGTTTACTTTTGAACATGTTCTGTTTCAGAGTCTATAACGTATCTAAGTGGAGAGGCTGAGCAGCAGTTGGATATGAGTCTGCAGTTCAGCAGAAAGATGTGCGCTAGAGATACAGTTAGGAGTTGTTCATACAGGACGGAATCTAATGTCATGAGCCTGACTGAGATCACCAAGAGTGTAAGGAAAACCAGAGAAAAAAATGTGTCCAAAGACTGAGCTCTGGGGCATTCTAATATTTAGAGGTTGGGGGAAAGGCAAGGGAATCTGAAAAAAGCCAGCAAAGGAGCCTGAGAAGTGATAGCTAGTCTGTGAGGTAGGAGAAAACCAGAGCCAAGCAAGGGAAACGCTTTAAATGTGTGGAATGTTTCAAGATAGTAAGTTGCTCACAGGAAGGCAGGAGACCCATCAGTCTCACTCACTGCCGTAGCAATAGCTCCTACAAAAGGGCCTTGCGTGTAGTAGGTCTCCACATATGTGTTCAAAGACTATATGGCAATCTTTATCAGAACCTCCCAACAGACCAGCTCTAAGGCACTTTCTTGCTTTGGCATTCTATCTCACGACTTCCTTTCCAAAGTACTCTGTTTCCCCTAGAGTCTAAATTTTTGTTGCAGTTAAGAGAAATATTTTGCACAATGCTTAATGCACAATTAGTAATCAAGCACTAAACTATAAACCTATTTTTCTTCACTTTAAAATTAATTCTGGCTTAACCATGAGAAAGTACTGGCTTTTTGAAATGGCCTTAAATAGACAAATTCCAAAAGCAGAAACTACTGATAATCTGACTAGTACCCTGCAGATGGCCGGCTAACACTATGATCTAACTTCCATGCTGACTCTGTTGGTGAACTTTTAGTTCTTTCTCTAGCAAGTTTCATGCTGCATAGTAATTGCCCCAATGGTACAAAGTCACTGACTGATATGGTTAGAAATTTATGTTACATTTGAGGCTTTAAAGTTTTTAATTCAGCTATGTGATACTGGGCAAACTGATGTATGAACCAAGCCTATAAATAGCTCCATGACAAGGCAAGTAAGACTGAAGCTGCTTCTTCTCTTTTCCACATCCACTCTTTGAAATCCTAGAAACACTAATAACATTGGAAACTAAGTATTTAATTAGTATTTCTTAAAGCAAGTATAATTATTTCTTACCCATCATTGAAGGCTCAGCTGAAATGATTATATGATAGGGTGCCTTCACTGTCTCCCTAGATAGAAACAATTGTGTCTTCCTCTGGAATCCAGCATGTTGCCCACACTTTTTAGCACATGTTCTGCTTTATATCATGGCTAGTTGTTTGTCTGCTTCTTACAAGACTATAAGAATCTGGAGGGCACAGATGCCATCTTACCTATCTTTAGATTCTGTTCTGCACCTAACACAGTGCTTTGTCTGTCGCAGGGCTTAAGTAGGCATTTAGTGGGACCAGGAATAGATGAAATCCACATCAGCCTGCATTGTAGTAGCAACTTGTATCATCAATGTGCACTGTACACGTATGCATAGTAAGCATAGTAAGTATGCTTACTTTTTAGAAAGTATAATTGTATTGTTTAAGTAGATTAGACCTTTACTATACATGTATTCATTTTGTGTTTACTATGTTTTGATGATAAGGTTTTATGATGTAAAATTGCATAAGTGATCTGTGACTCTGGTGTGTAGGCTTTTTATGCAAGAAGAAAAAAATGTAAATTATATATTATTAGTAAGCAATTTAAAAGTATTGTCAAGATAAATTTGAAGGAAACATGTAAACTCATTTCTTTTCCTCAATCAAGGCTTTTAAATATAAAATAATCTTTTGTTAAAACACACATTTTTGAAGTTAAGTCTTTGTTCTTTCCATTTTATTTTACAGATTTTTAAAATCTCATTTTGTCCATTTTTTCCTTTCTCTCTCTTAAGGAAAAATACTTTATGTCTTCCTAGATTTTTTTCTTCCAACTCTGTAAAAGAGCAGCTCTAATGAAATGTTATGAAACCATTTTAGAAAATTATTATAAAGATTTTTTTAAAAAGTCTAGTTTCCTTTATAATTTCTAGAGGAATCAAAACACGACAGTACATTGGTACTGACCTGCGAACAAATTTGGATGTGATTTTGCTTATTATACCAGTTGACGTTCCCCTTCTGGCATGTGCAAATGCACCCGTTTCATGGGATGGTGAAGCAGGTGGCCCATTATAAGCAACGCTGCGTCGCTCCCGGAGCTGTTCACCATGGAAAGTGCTTCGGCTTGAGCTCCCTCGGGGAAAACGGGTCCGGTCTGGAGTCGCAGTACTAATACTGTGAGCAGATGGGGAAGCAGCAGGCACTCTCTGGGTTGTACTGCTGGGACAAATTAAGATATATCATTCAGAATAATGACAAGAAAACCTTTCACTCAAGCTAAAAACTTGAAACAAATAGCTATGGCTACTTCTTTTGGCCCTACTTTATTTGTTCACATTAGAGATGTGAGACATGGGTTTGGAGTAAAATTTCAGTTTGAAATTAGGTACCTTTTGTTTGGTCACTAAAAATCAAGAAATGACTGAAACAGGGACACAAAGATAAATACTTTTCAGTATCAGGAATGCCAAACCAGGAGTACTGCAAATATTTTTTTAATATTCTCCTGAAACCACTTAGCAATGTTGAACACAAATTTTATTGTTTATTAAAAAGGCTTTGAATAAAATAATTTCCTATTTCTAATTTAGGCCTCAGTGATGCTACAATACCACATGGCACCACCAATATGCCTAACAAATCTAACAGAGGGTTAAAATGTTCAGATGTACTGAATTTGGGAAATCTTAAAATAGAAAAATACTAGAAAAACAATTATACAATTTTATATCTGAACAGGCTCTTTGAGTTCATCAGTTTCATTGACAGGAAAACTGAAGCCTGGTTTTATTAAGAACAAGGAATTGAGCCTGATCATTATCTGCGGGTCTCAACTCACAGTCTAGTGTTTGTTCGTATGGTTTAAATAATAAAAAAATCAATTTACCTAAATGACAAATTAAACAGCAATTTTTAACTTTATAGACGGATGTAAAATCAAATCCTTAAAAAAATTCCTCTAGAAAATGATTTAAGTTATATGCAACATTTCCAATAACAGCCAAAGTACATAGAAAGTTTATGTTACAATTCAATTTTTCCTCCATAACAAACACTGAATCTTATTAGAAAGGTCTTAATGTGATGGTGACTATCATGTATTTTCACATGGTGCTATATTTTTAGAAACTCTTAATGAACAAAATGAGATGTAACCAACACATTACCCAGGCCGGTAAGCTTCAGAGCCGTCTTTAATGGTTGGCAGTGTGACTTTAATAGGATGACCAGAAGTGGACATGGACTTCTGGTGGCGGGGTCGTGCTGAGGGGACAGCAGAGGCCACAGAAGAGCCTGCAGAAGATATGCTACTCACAGACATCTCCGTAAGGCTTTCACCATAAAGCAGTTGAGAAGACCATGGAAAAAAAGAGGAAAATTTGTGGTTTACTAAAATTTAAGAACTATATTTTAAAAAATCTAAACTGACTAACACCTTTCATGACTGAAACATTTGAAAGAAACTAACATTAGTGGCATTATTAATGACTAACAAAACAATTAATATTCTTATGAAAAGTATACAGGGTGAATTTATCACTATCATCTATGAAAAAAATCTCACACACACTATGTATGTAAATGTGAGAAAGTACAAAATTATTTTTGTGGATATACGATAGTTTCAGATAAAATTATTATGACTGGAGTCATTTTTTACTTCCCCAAAGTCACAGTTTGGTGTGATATGTTGCTGTAGTTCATTGTCCATTATTCATACAATCAGAATTGATAATTATACCAAAAATATTATCTCTAGATTCATCAAAACACTTTTAGATCATATTATGAGTCAATAGGTTAACTGTTGCAGATTAAAGGAGCTGCAGATTAAAATTTAGTATAGGAAAAATCATAAGTCTGAAATCAATTTCCAATTATCTTATGTCCAAAGAAGATACATTTTTCTTTGTATGCCTTACAATAGCACTTACTTTACATTCTTATTAAGTGAGAAGAAACAAATGTGAGAATGGGTTGTACACACTACTGAAATGACTGAAGGTGGTACTAAGAAAATAATTTCATTAGAATAGGCTCCATGTCTTTGTACTATATTGATGAGTAGTCCTTGTGACTCATGATAGAAAGAAGACACATCTTTTAAGTAATAAAAATAATATGATTTATTATTATTTGAAATAAAACACTTTAAAAATTATGTGGTTCTGAATGATGAGAAATAAGATGGTCACATTTTTTTCAGAGGGAGAAAAATAAAGCCTTTATTGAGATACAGCAATGACTTGATGGGAAGTGAAAGGGAAGGAGGCAGCAGGTGCATAAGAGAATAAGATTCAAATTATGAAGATGAAATTAGGATGGTATGATCTGCTTTGTTATAGAAAAATATTTACTATCAGATTTTACTCAGAAATTGGCAGGTAAAGAGATTTGTTTCTTGTTTTCTCTAAATGTTTTCCCATCCTTCTATCCTGGTACAGGAAAGATGTCTTACTAAGAACGGTTGGTTGCAATCTTACTATTTCATGTAATAACTGCTTTTCTCCTGACCCATTCGGCTGCAGGCATTTCAGCAAGGGCACTAACACAGAACAACAGCAAAGGTATTACTACTTGGCACTGTGGCATTTACCTGCTGTCTTTTCCATTCTGCAATGCTACGTATCGATCTGTGGTCCTTTCACAGACATATGTATTCCTTCTTGCCATGCTACCTCCAGAATACACATTGTTCTTCAAGAATAAAAAAAAGGCAATTAAAAAATTATAAATATATTTGTGGAAAGCCAAAGAAATGTATTTAAGCTGACTTTGAGAAAAATCCACAGAATTTTAATTGATCAGAATCTTATATTAACAAGATTATCCCCTGCCTCTCTCTAATTTAGATTTCAGAAGTAAAAGACAAAGCATCAAAAATGAACTCATTACAGTTTTAGCTTATCCTCCTATAATAGCAGCCAGCAGTTTGGAAGCAATAGGAGAGCTGGGTTTCTATTCACTCCCTCCTTTGTGAGCTGGTGGTAGAGAAAGGGCAGGAGCAGGGGTGTGAGCAGCTCTAAGTAACAAGGAGTGCAAGCCAACTCCACACTAAGTATCATCACCAACAGGAGCCTCGGGCAGTGAAGATGGCATGCCCACTCAGAAGCCAGTGGGCTGCCTTTCTTCACCTGCTTGGGAAACTCTCTCAACCACCAGGAATATTAAGCAGACTAAATGCCCCAGGATCAAAGGCATGTCCAGCTGAGGCCACCAACAGTGGTGTGTGCAGTGCCACCCTGAAGATATTTCCTCGAGTCTCAGGTTTGAGCTAGAAGGCAGGCCAAGTCTGAGGAGCCTTGGAGAGAAGAGAGAAAATAAGCAAAAAGGGATAGGCAGGTAATTCTCCTTACCATGCACACAACCTTTGACCTGTAACCCACTGTTGTGCCTGCCAAATCCTTGACTACTCACCAGTAATAAAATATACAGAAATGATTTTCAATGTGGATATAATACTCTTCTGTTTAATCCTTACCCAACAGAACAAAAATTTTTGCTACTTTTGACTAACCCAGCATTTAAAATATATAAGCAACCTAAACATTGTTGAATCATGAGGGCTACAAACTTAATAGATACTTGCTTGAATTCACTTTGAAGAAGGAAAAAAACTCATATAAACAAAACTGAATACAGATTTAAAATTTTTCAGTAGTGCAGGTTCCTAGATGGAAGGAATTTTGTCACCAGTTATATAAAAAGCATATGCTAAAAACTATAAAAGTATGGTAGCAAAACAGGCTAAGATTATTAAAATGTTTAGGTAAGACTTGGAACATGTAGGCCAATTGTGATGGCTCATGCCTCTAATCCTAACACTTTGGGAGGCCTAGGAGGGCAGATCATTTGAGGCTAGGAGTTCAAGACCAGCCTAGGCAACATGGCAAAACCCCATCTCCACAAAAAATACAAAAAAATTAGCTGAGTGTGATGGCACACACCTGTAGTCCCAGCTACTCGAGAGGCTTAAGTGGGAGGATTACCTGAGCCCAAGAACTTGAGAAGAATACAGTGAGCTGTGATTGCATCACTGCACTCCAGCCTGGGCAACAGAGTGAAATCCTGTCCCCCAAAAAAAAAAAAGACTTGGTCCATGTTATTAAGGCAAAGAAAATTGATTCGATTATGCAGACGCATTATGAAACTAACTTACACAAAAGTTCTCAAAAAACTAGAAATGTCATCCGTATTTCACAGTTTGAAAGAAATTGTTTCATTACCTGCTTTCCCATTTAACATGTCATTAACATCTATCCACATCAAGTGATACTAAAGTTTTACAGCTGTAGCCTATGCAACTGTACAGACATACCATATTTTATTTTAATCAATAAATTCCTAATTTTTGAACACTTAAATTATTTCCTACTTTACTCTTAGAAGCTACTAATATTTAATTCCCTAGAAATTAACTGGAAATTTGAAATCTAGAGGACAAATCTTAGAAATACGTAATAGGAAACAGGAAAAACACCCTGGGCAATTATTAAAACTGCACAGGATTACTGAAAAGCTGTAAAATCACCCCATGGGCACCAAATGTACCAATATAAAAATATTTGCTTTTGATAATCTCATAATTTTGGCCAAACTGTCATATGAATAACTTAATTCCTTGTCAAATCATGCTACCATACATCTTCTAGAAGCCTCTAAAATGTTTCTGGCTATTCTCAATGACATTTCTTTCCTTTTCAAAGGCTGATGGTGAATGGGATCTCTCCTTCCAAGCTGTGCCTCTGAATTTGTGCTCCTCCCACTCTACCTCCCTTGCCTTGGGGCTTCAATGCCAGTGACATTCAGGTATGGCAACCATCAGTTGTATTTCCCCAAGGAAATTTAAGATACAATTATGCAAAAGTTATGGAAACACAGTGTCACTGCTTCCATTTGTCATACATTCATATAAAACTAACTTTTATAGCTGACTTTCCTAGTTCAAATAAAAAAGATCTAGTTATCACTAAGCAGGTAAGGTTCTTTCTGCTGAGGATTTGGGAACTAGGTGGAAAACTACCCTTGCAGACTCTTAAACTGTAGTTTGGTAACTTCCCCAATGTGGAAACCAACCATGTAAACAACTTTTTGGGGGTTCTTTCACAGTAAAGTGATATTTTATATAATTATACCATAAGTTTATATACAGTATTTTATACTTACTATAGCATTCTTAATCTTTTTGAGTCTTCCTAAAAGAAATCTCTTCTTCCCCTTATTTTTTAAAATGTTGTTTCTTTTTTTTTTTTAATTTTTAAATCTTATTTTATAAGTTCCAGGGTACATGTGCAGGATGTGCAGGTTACATAGGTAAATGTGTGCCATGGTGGTTTGCTGCACCTATCAACCTGTCACCTAGGTATTAAGCCCAGCATGCAATAGCTATTTTTCCTAATGCTCTCCCGCGACCTCCGCCCTCCTCTGAAAGGCCCCAGTGTGTGTTGTTCCCCTCTCTGTGTCCATGTGTTCTCATTATTCGGCTCCCACTTATAAGTGAGAACATGTGGTGTTGGTTTTCTGTTCCTGCATTAGTTTGCTGAGGATAATGGCTTCTGGCTTCATCCATGTTCCTGCAAAGGACATGATCTCATTCCTTTTTATGGCTGCATAGTAGTCTGTGGTGTATACGTACCACATTTTCTTTACCCAGTCTATCATTGATGGGCATTTGGGTTGATTCCATGTCTTTGCTATTGTTAATAGTGCTGCAATGAACATAAGTGTGCATGAACCTTTATAACAGAATGATTTATATTCCTTTGGGTATATACCTAGTAATGGGATTGCTGGGTCAAATGATATTTCCAGTTCTAAATCTTTGAGGAATCACCACCCTGTCTTCCACAATGGTTGAACTAATTTACATTCCCACCAACAGTGTAAAAGTGTTTCTCTGAAACCTTGCCAGCATCTGTTGTTTCTCGACTTTTTAATAATCACCATTCTGACTGGCATGAGATGGTATCTCATTATGGTTTTGATTTGCATTTCTCTAATGATTAGTGATGTTGACCTTTTTTTCTTGTTTGTTGGCCATGTGTATGTCTTCTTTTGAGAAATGTCTGTTTATGTCCTTTGCCCACTTTTTAATGGGGTTCTTTTTTTCTTGTAAATTTGCTTAAGTTCCTTGTAGATTCTGGATGTTAGACCTTTGTCAGATGGATAGATTGCAAAAATTTTCTTCCATTCTGTAGACTGTCTGTTCACTCTGATGACAGTTTATTTTGCTATGCAGAAGGTCTTTAGTTTAATTAGATCCCATTTGTCAATTTTTGCTTTTGTTGCAATTCCTTTTGGCGATTTCATCATACAATCTTTGCCCATGCCTGTGTCCTGAGTGGTATTGCCTAGATTTTCTTCTAGGGATTTTATAGTTTTGGATTTTACATTTAAGTCTTTACTCCATCTTGAGTTAATTTTTGTATAAGGTATAAGGAAAGGGTCCAGTTTCAATTTTCTGCATATGGCTAGCTAGTTCTCCCAGCACAATTTGTTAAAATAGGGATTCCTTTCCCCATTGCTTGTTTTTGTAAAGTTTGTTGAAGATGAGATGGTTGTAGATGCAAGTTTTATTTCTGAGTTCTCTATTCTGTTCCATTGGTCTACATGCCTGTTTTTGTACCAATACCATGCTGTTTTGGTTACTGTAGCCTTGTAGTACAGTTTTATGTCAGATAGCGTGATGCCTCTGGCTTTGTTTTTGCTTAGGATTATCTTGGCTATACGAGCCCTTTTTTGGTTCCATATGAATTTTAAAATAGTTTTTTTCTAATTCTGTGAAGAATGTCAATGGTGGTTTAATGGGAATAGCATTGAATTTATAAGTTGCTTTGGCAGTATGGTCATTTTGACAATATTGATTCTTCCTATCCATGAACGTGGAATGTTTTTCCATCTTCTTTGGTCCTCTGATTTTCTTGAGCAGTGGTTGTAGTTCTCCTTGAAGAGGTCCCTCACTTCCGTTGCTAGCTGTATTCCTAGGTATTTTATTTTCTTTGTGGCAATTGTAAATGGAAGTTCATTCATGATTTGGCTCTCTGCTTGCCTGTTGTTGGTGTAAAGGAATGCTTGTGATTTCTGCACATTGATTTTGTATCCTGAGACTTTGATATAGTTGCTTATCAGCTTAAGAAGCTTTTGGGTTGAGATGATAGGATTTTCTAGATACAGGATCCTGTCATCTGCAAACCAAGACAATTTGACTTCCTCTCTTCCTATCTAAATGCCCTTTATTTCCTTCTCTTGCCTGATTGCCCTGGCCAGAACTTCCAATACTATGTTGTATAAGAGTGGTGAGGGAAGACATCCTTGTCTTGTGCCAGTTTTCAAGGGGGAATGCTTCCAGCTTTTGCCCATTCAGTATGATATTGGCTGTGGGTTTGTCATATATGCCTCTTACTATTTTTAAGGAACTCAGAATATGTTCCTTCAATACCTAGTTTATTGAGAACATGAAGGGATGTTGAATTTTATCGAAGGCTTTTTCTGTGTCTATTGAGATAATTATGTGGTTTTTGTCTTTAGTCCTGTTTATGTGACTGATTACATTTATTGATTCACGTATGTTGAACCAGCCTTGCATCCTGGGGATGAAGCCAACTTGATCGCAGTGGATAAGCTTTTTGATGTGCTGCTGGATTCAGTTTGCCAGTATTTTATTGAGGATTTTTGCATCGATGTTCATCAGGGACATTGACCTGAAGTTTTTTGTTGTCTGCTAGATTTTGGTATCAGGATGATGTTGGCCTCACAGAATGAGTCAGGGAGGAGTCCCTCCTTTTCAATTGTTTGGAATAGTTTCAGAAGAAATGGTTTCAGCTCCTCTTTGTACCTCTATTAGAATTCAGCTGTAAATCCATCTGGTCCTGGGCTATTTTTGGTTGGTAGGCGATTTATTACTGCCTCAATTTAAGAACTTGTTATTGGTCTATTCAGGGATTCAAGCTATTCCTTTCAGTCTTGGGAGGGTGTATGTGTCCAGAAACTTATCCATTTCTTCTAGATTTTCCAGTTTATTTGCATAGAGGTGTTTTTAGTATTCTCTGATGGTTGTTTGTATTTCTGTGGGGTCAATGGTGGCATCCTCCTTATCATTTGATTGTGCTTATTTAAATTTTCTCTCTTTTCTTCTTTATTAGTCTACCTAGTGGTCTGTTTTATTTATATTTTCAAAAACCAACTTCTGGATTATTGATTTTTTGAAGAGTTTTTCATGTCTCTATCTCCTTCAGTTCAGCTCTGAGCTTGGTTATTTCTTGTCTGCTAGCTCAGGGGTTTGTTTGCTCTTGGTTCTCTAGTTCTTTTAGTTTTGATGTTAGGGTGTTGATTTGAGATCTTTCTAGCTTTTTGATGTGGTATTTAGTGCTATAAATTTCCCTCTTACCATTACTTTAGCTGTGTCCCAGAAATTCTGGTACACTGCCTTTTTGGTCTCATTAGTTTCAAAGAATTTCTTGATTTCTGCCTTAATTTCATTATTTACCCAGAAGTCATTCAGGAGCAGGTCACTCAATTTCCATGTAATTATGTGGTTTTGAGTGTGTTTCTTAATCTTGAGTTCTAATTTGATTGTCCTGTGGTCTGGGAGACTATTATGATTTCAGTTCTTTTGCCTTTGCTGAGGAGTGTTTTACTTCCAATTATGTGATCAATTTTAGAGTAAATGCCACATGGCACCAAGAAAAATGTATATTCTGCTGTTCTGGGGTGGAGAGTTCTGCAGATATCTATCAGGTCCACTTGGTCCAGAGCTGAGTTCAAGTCCTGAGTATCTTGTTAATCTTCTGTCTCGGTGATCTGTCTAATACTGACAGTGGGGTATTAAAGTCTTCCACTATTATTGTGTGTGTGTGGGGGGGGGGGGGTCTAAGTCTCTTTGTAGGTCTTTAAGAACTTGTTTTATGAATCTGGGTCCTTCTATATTGGGTGCATGTATATTTAGGATAGTTAGCTCTTCATGTTGAATTGAACCTTTTACCATTATGTAATGCCCTTCTTGGTCTTTTCTGACCTTTGTTGGTTTAAAGTCTATTTTGTCAGAAACTAGGATTGCAACCCCTGCTTTTTTCTGCTTTCTATTTGCTTGGTAAAGTTTCCTCCATCCCTTTATTTTGAGCCTATGTGTGTCTCTGCACATGAGATATGTCTCTTGAATACAGCACACTGATGGATCTTGTCTTTACCCAGCTTGCCATTCTGTGTCTTTTAATTGGGGTATTCAGCTCATTTACATTTAAGGTTAATATTGTTATGTGTTAATTTGATCCTGTCATCATAATGCTGGGTGGCCAATTTTGCAGACTTGTTAACGTAGTTGCTTCATAGTGTCATCGGTCTGTGTACTTCAGTGTGTTTTTGTAATGGCTGGTAACAAATTTTCCTATCCATGTTTAGTACTTCCTTCAGGAGCTCTTGCAAGGCAGGCCTGGTGGTGGCAAAATCCCTCAGCATTTGCTTGTCTGAAAAGGATTTTACTTCTTCATTTTTGAAGCTTAGTTTGACCAGATATGAAATTCTGGGTTGGAAATTTTCTTTAAGAATGTAGAATATTGGCCCCCAATCTCTTTTGGCTTGCAGGGTTTACACTGACAGGTCCACTGTTAGTCTAATGGACTTCCCTTTGTAAGTGACCTGGCCTTTCTCTCTGGTTGGCCTTAACATTTTTTCCTTCGTTTTGACCTTGGAGAATCTGATGATTATGTGTCTTGGGGTTGATCTTGTGGAGTATCTTATTGGGGTCCTCCGTATTTTCTGAATCTGAATGTTGGCCTGTCTTGCTAGATTGGGGAAGTTCTCCTGGATGATATCCTGAAGTGTGTTTTCCAACTTGGTTCCATTCTCCCTGTCTCTTTTAAGTACTCCAATCAGTCCTTTTACATAGTCCCATGTTTCTTGGAGGTTTCGTTCATTCATTTTCATCCTTTTTTCTCTAATCTTGACTGCCTGCCTCATTTCACCAAGACAGTCTTCAAACTGATAGTCTCTCTTCCACTTGGTCTATTCGGCTGTTGCTACTTGTGTTTGCATCGTGCTGTGTTTTTCGGCTCCACCAGGTCATTAAGCTCCTCTCTAAACTGGTTATTCTAGTTAACAACTGTAATCTTTCATCACGGTTCTTAGCTTCTTTGCATTGGGTTTGAACATAATCCTTTAGCTCAGCAAAGTTCATTATTACCCACTTTCTGAAGCCTACTTCTGTCAGTTCATCCATCTCAGCTTCAGCCAGTTCTGTTCCCTTGCTGGAGAGGTGTTGCAATTATTTGGAGGAGAAGAGGCATTCTTCTTTTGGGATTTTCAGCATTTTCTTGTTGGTTTTTCCTCATTTTCGTGGATTTATGTACCTTTGATCTTTGAGGCTGTTGACCTTTGGATGGGGTTTTTGTGGGGTCTTTTTTGATGTACTTGTCGTTGCTTTCTGTTTGTCTTTCTTCTAACACTCAGGCCCCTCTTCCGCAGGTCTGCTGCAGTTTTCTGGGGGTCCACTCCAGACCGTTTGCCTGGGTATCACCAGTGGAGGCTGCAGAACAGCAGATTGCTGTCTGCTCTTTCCTCTGGAAGCTTCGTCCCAGAGGGGCAGCAACCTGATGCCAGCTGGAACTCTCCCATATGAGTTGTCTACTAACCCCACTTGGGAGGTCTCACCCAGACAAAAAGCACAGTATCACGGACGTCCTTAAGGAAGCAGTCTGGCTGCCCATTGGTGGAGCTGGTGATCTGTGCTCAGGGAATTGCCCTCATTCTGAACGCCCAGACTCTTCAGAGTCAGCAGGTAGGACTGCTTAACCTGAGACCACAGCTGCCCCTCCCCCCAGGTGCTCTGTCTCAGGGAGATGAGAGTTCTGTCTGTAAGACCCTGGCTGGAGTTGCTGGGATTCCTGCAGGGAGGCCCTGCCTGGTGACGAGGGATGGATCCAGGTCCCACCTAAAGAAGCAGTCTGGCCATGATCTGCCACAGCTGCTATGCTGTGCTGTGGGGGAATACAGCCCAGTCCAAACCATGCAGCCTCCCTAACACTGGCAGGGGAAAATCACTGACTAGAGCTGCAGTAATGGCGGTTGCCCCCAACGCTGGGAACTTGGTCATCTTAGGCAGACTCCAGGCTGCTGTGCTGGCCAGTGGGGATTCCAAGTCAGTGGCTCTTAGCTTGCGGGGGATCCATGGGAGGGGGACCCACTGAGTGAGGCTGCTTGGCTCCCTGGCTTCAGCCCCCTTTCCACGGGAGTGGACAAATCTCTTGCCTTTCTGGAGTTTCGAGAGCCACCAGATTATGTAAAAACTCCTGCAGTTCAGTGCCTGTCCAAACGGCTGCTGACAGGGGCAGCTGCCATGGGTCTGCCCAGTTTTGTGCTTGGGACCCAGGGCTCTGGTGGTGTAGGCTCATAGGGAATCTCCCGATCCATGAGTTGCAAAAATCTGTGGGAAAAGCGTAGTGCCCCAGGCAGGCAGCACACTCCCTCACTGCCTCTCTTGGCTCGGGGAGGGAGGTCCCTTTGCCCAGTGCAGCTCCTGGGTGAACCGCCCACCCCCACCCCTGCCGCTTTTCCTTGCTTTTCTTGGGTTACACCAATCACCTAGTTAGTTCTAATGAAAGAACCTGGGTACTTCAGTTGGAAGGGCAGAAATCACTCGCCTTTTGCGTTCCTCTCGGTGGGAGATGCAGACAGGCATTGTTTCTACTCAGCCATCTTTGGCCCTTCCTTCTTCCCTTTATTTTGTAAAAAAATTGATTAATACTTTTCTTAGCGTTCATGTCTTAGTCTGTTTGGGCTGCTATAAAAAAATATCATAAACTGGCTGGCTTATAAACAACAGAAATATATTTCTCACAGTTCTAGAGGCTGTGAGATCAAGATCAAGGTGCAGAGATACTCAGCATGTGAAGGCCCGCTTCCTAGATGGCCATCTTTTTGTTGTGATTTCACACGGTAGAAGGGTAGAACAAGCTCCCTTGGGCCTCTTTTGTAAGGGCACTAATCCCATTCGTGAGGGCCCTCATGACCTAATCACCTCCTAAAGGCCCTGCCTTCTAATACTACCACCTTTAGGGTTAGAATTTTAACATGTGAATTTTGGCAGAGGGTGCAGGGGGCACTAAGATTCATACCACAGTGGTTTACATCATTTTATATTTTGTACTGCTCACACATGTGATAGATAATATGGAAAATACCTTTACAAGTTTTATTGTTTTCTTGATTCAAAAACAGCACAACATATTTGTGTCTTCAAAACTCAACACTTAGCTCCCAAGTTTCTAGGCTAGTCAAGGGTTTTCCCTGAACTCCCACATATAATTTTTGGATGGGAATTTCTAGAAGGAAAATATTAAGTTTGTTTTTCCTGCACCTTACTTACAAATAGTAATACTCTGCTACAGTTTGAATGTGTCTCCTGAAGTTCCTGTGTTAGAAGCTTGATCCCCAATGCAAAAGTGTTGGGAGGTGTGGCTGATAAGAGGTGATTAGGCTCTAGTCTCACAAAGGAATTCTTGTGAAAGTGCGTTAGTTATCTGAGAGTGGCTTTGTTATAAAAAGCATATTTGGCCCCCTCTTATTTTCTTGCATGTGCCCTCTTGACCTCACTTTATGCCACGGGATGATGCAGCAATAATGCCCTCACCAGAAGTTGGCATCTTGATACTGAACTACCCAGCCTCCAGAGTTGTAAGAAATAAATTTCTTTTCTTTATAAAGTATCCATTATGTGGTATTCTGTTATAGCAACACAAAATGAACTAAGAGAGACTCCTTTCATTTCTAGTCTGTGATGGTTGTGGGTGATGAACAATAAAACAGATGACTCAGATAACTAACCAAAACATTTATCCAACCATTATTCTATTTAACTATTTAACTCAAAACTCTCCCCATGCTATCAACTGGCCAGTTTTAAAGATCATCTGCCAGTATCATCCTTCAGTCAAGATACTAAACTAATATTAAATAATACTGTCAATAGAATCATACTTATAAGCAAGAGCTTTTACTATTGACTAAGACAATTCTGATTTTATAAACGTTAAATGTACTATCACCTGTTAATTACCTATGGATGTTATGGGCACTATTTCTTTTTCCATCAGAAAGCAAGGGACCATTTCATGCCATTTGAATGGATTTAATGTTTTCCATTATATTCTACTGACACTGGTAAAAATGTTCATTTGTTCAGGCAATATTTTACACTATTACAGGGCTTGAATTGTAAATGCTCAAGTACTTTCTAAAAATTACCTCAAAGAAAAGGTATTAAAGCTGTGTGTTTTGGCTTTAAAGCAGTGATTAGCAAACTTTTTCTGTAAAGAGTCATATAGTCAACATTTTAGGTTTTGTGGGCCACACCATCAATGTCACCAATAGACAAGACAATGCAAATTGAAAACAAATGGAAACTTTTTTTTTCTTTTTGCCCTTCAGATTGGCAAAAATGTTAAAGATTGATAATATCCTGTTGATGAGTTTGTGGAGAAATAACTACTCTCTAAATTATCCCAACCATTTGGAAAATTACTTTGGTAGCATTTATTAAAAATTTAAATGTATATATTCCAAGGATATACACATAGTCAAGTATACTAAGACACATCAGAGCTGAGGTTTTAGGTGAGGTGAGTGCCAGTGGGGATGGGACTGCACAGACCAAGGGTGACTGTGTCATGGACTGAGGAGCATGAGGAGCCTGCCTCTTTGCCACTGAGGTTAAAAAGAAGTCACATAGACCCAGACATGGAACTTTTGAGAATGCCTCTAATAGAAGTATACCAATAACATAAATGTATAAGGATGTGCACTCTGGAGAATGAAAAACTCTGAACACTTCACCAAAAGAAAGGTTGAATAAATTATATCTATCTGTTAATACCAATGAAATAATATGCATCTATTAAAAAGATCTTGATGTTCCGATCTAGAAGGACCCCCAAACTATTATAAGTGAAATAAATTAAAATGTTACATAGTATGATCTCATTTTTATAAAAAAGTAAAATAAAATAATGCTCTGTGTACATATACATTCACTTATTTATTTTTATTTTTATTTTTATTTTTTTGACAGGGTCTCTCACTCTGTCACCCAGGCTGGAGCACAGTGGTACAACCATAGCTCATAGCTCATTGCAGCCTCAAACTCCAGGGCTCAAGTCATCCTCCCTCCTCAGCCTTCCAGGTAGCTGGAACTATAGGCATGCTGGAACTAGCCTGGAACTACACCAGGCTAATTTTAAAATATTTTGTAGAAATCAAGTTGCACTAGGTTGCCCAGGCTGGTCTCAAACTCCTGGCCTCAAGCAAGCCTTCCTCCATGGCCTGCAAAAGTGCTGGGATTACAGTCATGAGCCACTGCACCCAGCCTATGTTTTCTTTAATGAAGGAAAACCTATAGAAGAATTAATCCTAAATGATTAGCACTAGTTATAATTAGGAGTTCAGACTAAAAGGAAATGGATAGGGAAGAGGAGATGATTAATTTTACTTTAGAAACTCCTATAGTGCTAAAATTAAACAAAATATATTACTTTGGTTTCTCAAACTACCAAAATTAAAACAGTAAATAACAATATATTATAGTATTATGTGGCTAAGAACAGAATTTCTCTATCAAAATCTTTTCGCTTATGTTTTTTTTAAAAAAATGATAAATAAGTGTGACATATTTAATTTGAATTTAAACTAATTTCTTAATTTTTATGCCTTCTTTAATAAATATGCTTTGAATACACACTGTATGCTTCAGCACTAATGACTCTGAGAAAGCTGCTGTGTCAATATACAACAGATTATAAATTTGGGGAGATAAGGTTTACATGGGAAAACAACAGTGAATGAAACAAGACAGCATATAAACAGCTAAGAGCTAAATGACAGGATAAGCAATTGAAAAAGCTGATGGGTTTTGGAGTATTTGGCCATAAAAGATTCTGTCCAGGAGACAAGACTTGAAATGATCTATGGAAATGGAATTTTCATAATGTAAGGGGACTGTTTAGGCAAGGGCACTACATAAAGACAGACATGGAGATAGACAAAGCTGAGTATGTTCATGGAAAAATAAGACTCAGTTCAGTCAAATGACAGGTTAATATTAAATGGTAGAAAGTACGGGACCAATTATTTCTTTCTGCTATGTGGGGTGATTACACTGGAAACTGTCCTCTAAGGCAAATAGTGGCTTCTGTAGCAAAAAAAAAAAAAAAAATTTAAGCCCCATTATAGTTCAATCATTTCTAAACAGATCAGGTAGAAGCTAAGTGGTTTTATCCATCAATTCTTGAAGTGGTTATGCACATCTGTTCCACAGACTAAAAGGTGATAATCTAATCATATCATACATACATATTCAAATATACATAACCATATTCAAAAGAGGTAAGGCTCCAGTGGACTACATAAAATAATGGGTATTAGGGAGTTGAAGCCACTTGGAATTTTGCGCATTTTGGTATCTTATCTTGCATTTGCTATTTAAAGTAATTTTTTTCTCTCCTGTCCACAGGCTGAGGTTTTTTTTTTTTTCCTTCTGCTGGTTTAAAGGTTTTAATTCTTTGTTCTTACATTGTTCACCCTTAAGTTCCTGAACTCATGTTTGCTGCTTACTGCTAATGATTTCTTTCTTTCTTTCTTTTTTTTGGTTTTTGAGATGGAGTTTCACTCTTGTTGCCCAGGCTGCAGTGCAATGGCATGATCTTGGCTCACTGCAACCTCTGCCTCCCAGGTTCCAGAGATTCTCCTGCCTCAGCCTCCCAAGTAGCTGGGATTACAGGTGTGCACCACCATGCCCAGCTAATTTTATATTTTTAGTAGAGACAGGGTTTTATCATGTTAGCCAGGCTGGTCTCAAACCCCTGACCTCAAGTGATCCAGTCACCTCGTCCTCCCAAAGTGCTGGGATTACAGGTGTGAGCCACTGTGCCTGCTCTCTTAACTGCTAATGATTTCTTAAACTTACTCCTATCATCTGCCTAACAAGGCATGTGTTTGTTTATATTTCTTTAATCTCCACCTCTATCCTTATGCCCTGGATACTATTCAGAGTTTTGATTCTGAATTTTCATTATTTTCCTCTTTTTGCTTATGTTACTACATAAAATACTTTAGTAAGTTGATTACTTTCAACTCCTATATATTTTACAGCAACATTCTAGATTCATTTCTCTTCCCGTAAGAATGCTTCCTCCAACTAAGGTGTTTTCAAATGGTCACCGTGTAGTAAAACAGTTGAGACATTTTATGCCAAAGAACATGGTTTTTGTACCTTCATATTTAAATGACAACATGGCTAGATAAGATTTCTGGGCTCAATGAGCTTTTCTTTCAATACTTTAAAAATATGTTTCCCTTTATCTTACTGTATCCATGTTGCTATTGATCAACCTAAGGTCAATCTGAATCTTGTTCCTTTTTTTTTTTTTTTTAAACGGAGTCTCGCTCTGCTGCCCAGGCTGGAGTGCAATGGTGCAATCTCAGCTCACTGCAAGCTCCACCTCCCGGGTTCAAGCTATTCTCCTGCCTCAGCCTCCCGAGTAGCTGGGACTACAGAATCTTGTTCCTTTTAAGGTCGTCTGCGCTGACTCTGGAATCTTTAAAATATTCTTCATCTTTTTTTTGGTATCTATAAATTCTATTTTAAGAGTCCAGGAATAGGTTTTCTTTCTGGCTTCTATTTGTCACTCTGGGTCTTTTCAAAATGAAATCTTCCCTCTTTATTTTTTGTTATTATTTCTTTAACTATTTCTCCTCCTTCATTTTGCTCCCTTTCCTTTCAAAACACCTATTATCTGAATGTTACCAAGTCTTATTTCTACATTTCGTATATCTTAGTTTTCTTTTATATTTTCTTATCTCTATTCTTTCCTGCTGCCTTATGGGAGAGCATCTTCTTCTAGTTCCCATTATATAATTTCTAGTTTGCTGTTTTAAGTGAATAATGTGAGGCAACTTTATAAATTAATTATTTAACTGAGTCTGCCTTCATTAAACAGCTTATTGGTAAATAAAAATGAAATGTGCCAATATAATATTAAATAAACATTATAAAAAGGAAAATGAAGCAGGAAAGTTTCATGTACCATTTTGTGTTGAGGTTAAGTGTTAACGCATGCAAAAAAGAATTCTTTTTTGTTGTTTTTAACTTGCATTTATGAGAAGTGTGGTCCCTTTTGCATGTTCTTTAAATTATAATTCCCTTTAAATTTTTCAATCATTTAAAAAAATGAAAGATAAAAATTTTACACATAACCCTAAAACAAGTTATTACAATAAATTGCAATATACCAGAGTATTTACTCACACTTGGAATAGTTGAAGATTTTTTCCTCTCTGGCCCTACAAGAGGGCTTGCAGTCATCTCGCTTTTTGATCCAACTGTTGTGCTGCCAAGTTTTCGAGCCACATCTTTGTCCCACTCCTCTTTCTGTTCACTTTCCACACTGTTAGCCTGAGGTCTTTTGGTATATGATACAGCAGGAGGAATGGATGGACCAGCTATAATTTTTTTAAAAATAGCATAATGAGCTGAAAAACAACTGATCTACTTTCTGCTCACAAACAAAAACTCTGTATTAAAATTATCCATATTTGCATGCTTTAAACTCTGAACGAAGATTAAATTTTGATTTCAAAAATCAGGTCAGTCCCTGCAAAAGGGATTATATTTATAATTCAGTAATATAAGTCTGTGAGAACTAGATAACACAAGCACATAGAGACGTGAATGTACAATGCTTTAAAAACACAAATTTGGGAAGAACCCGTGTGTTGCTTCACTTATGTGACTTTTTCCCCTACCATGATCACTGAAACGCCGCTGCTTCTGATTTGCTGAGATACTTCTCTGGACCTTCAGGTGAGCAGGGGACTGAAGAGTGCTGTTGTTTAAGTCACTACTGGGCCGGGACCTCTGACACAAGTTTCCACTGGATAACGATTCACCACCTTCAAACTATAAGAAGAAAAACCACAGGGATTTTAAAGCAAAAAAAAAAAAAAAAAAGTTTGCACAAACACTGCACTCTTGATTTTCTAAATGACTTAAAGCTATACAAGAAGTAATCCAAACTGAAAAAACAGTGTAGTATTGGGCCTAGAACTTTAAGTTGGCAAGCAGGAAAAGGGGTGAACTGGATAGAATACGCTTTAGTGACTACTCATAATCTTGTATTATCTTGTACAAATCCTTAGTTTAGTCAAAATACGAAATAACAGCTACCAATTACTGAATGGGTTATTATAGACTAGGCACTGTGCTAAATAAGCTCTTTCTATATGTCACTTTATTTAATCATCACAACAAACCTATGATGTATTAACCTACACTTTATAGATGGAAAAACTGAGGTTAAAAAAGTTAAGGGGCATCACTGAGATTCAAACTTACAATAAAATCTAAAATTTTAAATATACACACATGTATATACACATATGTATGCATATAAACATACATATAGATTTGTTTGGTTTTCTCCACATTTGCAAAAAAAAAATCTGGTTTACTGTTTCTGATCAGGAAATTATATTTATTTAGAACTCAGCATGGTAAACTGCAGGTTGACACACTATCCCTCTCTCTGTAACATACAAGTTGTTTGCTGCCAGCAAACTTTTGTTGGAATCACTGGCATCCCAATAGGAAATCTAAATTCATATATAGATAATACTAATGATAAATCACAGAGCAATACCGATGATAATAAACAGCTAATGCAGAGCACATAATAATCCACTAGAAACTGTTTCAAGTTTTTAAGCACATAATAATTCACTAGAAGCTGTTCCGAGTTTATAAGTACTCATTCATTTAACATTTTCAATGATTCTAAAAGATAAGCACATTATTGCCCTCATTTTATAGATAAGAAAACTGAGGCACAGAAAATTAATTGCCTTAGTTGCATAGTTAGTGGTTGTGCTGGGGTAGGGCAGGGGTGGGGGTGCTTAGATCCAGTGAAGCTGGCTCCGAAGTTCAGGCTCTTACTACTTACCAGTAGCCTCATTCGTTTATATTTGATACAATTCATACTTCATTTAAATTCATGCGTGGCATGGTTATATACTTATAAAATTAGTGCTTCTTTTATATTTAAATTAACAGGAAAATTAAAGACTTCGGGAGTGTACTTTAAAATCTAAGTAGAAACAGTTCAGTTCAAAGCCTTTAGAAATAACCATTCATACTATTTCCCACTTAAAATTCTCTTGACTTGGCTTCTTTGATACCACATCTCTAGCTATTAATGTCTCCACTAAAGATTCTCTTCCATTATAATAGTACCTACCTGGTAGGTTCACTGGGAGGATTGGATTAATTAGTATTTGTAAAGTCCTTAGAACAGTTCCTGGCACACTACTGTGTGCAATGTGTTCCCCTCTAATGAAGACTCCAAATCTATTAATTATTCAAATCTCTCCCTCCAATTCAGATCTTTATATCCAAATGCCTAATAGCTCCATCCAACAGGAATCTCAAATTCAACCAGCTCAAATTGAACTTCCCCTCTTCCCCCTGAAATCTGTACCTTTCCTATCTTGGCAAATGTGCTTACACAGTCTTCCATATTGGAAATCTCATGGGCTCTTATCTCTTATTTCCAACTGGTCGCCAAGTGCTACTGTTAATTCTACTTCTTACATGTCACACAGACCTGCCTTGGTGGGTCTGACCTTAGCCTGTTGTAGGTACATGTCCACCTATATGCTCCCAGAGTATGCTGTGCATCCCCCAAATCAGAACACATACTGTACCATACTATTAACTGCTCACCTCGTCTCTAGACTAAGGGCTCCTTGAGAGCAGAGACTTTCTCGTCCTTCTATTCACAGTACACAGCATCGTTTCTGGTACAATAAAGGTTCAATATATGTCAGCTGGAATGCACTGCTCCATTAACAGTTACTACGGAATTATAAATAATTTCAGCTTTTTCTCTCTAAAATACCTCCCACAGATGTCTAACTTCCAATAAATTGTTAATGCTCTGCGATCTGTTCTTGACTCTCGATGTATAGCCTTTATATTTGTTTTCCTAAAGAATCATTGCTTTTATGCTTCATGATATGGTTTGGATGCTCTGTCCCCTCCAAATCTCATGTTGAAGTGTGACCTCCAATGTTGGAGTGGGCCTAGAGGGAGGTATTTGAGTCAGGAAGGTGGACACTTCATGAATGGCCTGGTGCTGCCCTCGTGGTAACAAGTTCTCCCTTTACGGGTTCACGCTAGATCTGGTTATTTAAAAGAGCGTGGCACCTCCCCCACCTCTCACCTGTTCCCTCTTGCCATGTGACATGCTGGCTCCCCCTCACCTTCCATCATGTCTGTAAGCTTCCTGAGGCCCTTACCAGAAGCAGATGCCAACACTATGCTTTGTGTACAGCCTGCAGTACTGTGAGTCAAATAAACTTCTTTACTTTATAAATTACCCAGTCTCAGGTACTTCTTTATAGCAATGCAAAACTGACTAACATAGTTCACCATTTGTATGCAGTTATTTCCTGAATCCATCTCCTTATTATAGTTCTCCTGGCCTTGAGAATTCCCAATTGAAAGCATCAGTCACTTGACACTTTATAAGGCAAAATATCATCAAATAACCTTTCCTGGAGTTACCTCTTTTAAAAATCCTTTAAGACATACATTTTATTTTAAATGCTATCACTTCCTCATGTTTCACTCACTGTCTTTTCTGCACACTTGGAATAACCATATTACCTTTGGTGGGACTGTTACATTTGGATGCACAAGCTGTGTGGGAGGCCATTCTCAAAGGCCAGGCTGTGAATGGTGGCTCTTGGAGCTAAGAAAGACAGTAGACCTATTCTTTCATAAAATCTCTCTTGGTACCCAGAAATACAACCAGTTCATAATTTAACATCTTGATTTTTGAATTCCAATAAATAAGAATGTTAGGGTAGGATCTTTATATTATTTTTGATTCCACAAAGAATATATTAACTAATATATTAGCTCAAGAAATAATTCACAGTAATCTGAAAAGGTGAAAAACTTACTTCAGGTGGTTTTCTACCTAGAAGAATATAAGTAGCCATAACTTCATCATACTTCTGATTTATTAAGGCATCATTTATTTCATCTCGTGCAAAGCCCATGGTGACCATAATGTCTAGAAATTTAAAAAAGAGAAATTTTCTGAAAATGGTTTTATTTTCGTAAACAAATCAACAAAAATGGGCAAGTTTGCCATCTTTGAATATGAAAACTTAGTCATGAAAATTTAAAGTGTAGTTTTAAAAACTTCTGGACTATTAACCTACGGATACCATATGTTCACAGATATTGTACAATGATAATTTTACATGCAGAAATTACCTACATCATGGTTAATATATTAATGGGCCCACTTAATTTCTCATTGCCTAATACATTCCTGAGCTAACTTTCTTTGTCCAGTCTAAGACCATGTCAGTCTTTGTTACACACAAAATTCTCTGTCTTTCTCTCAATTCGTCCTCAGCTACTAGTGAAGTGGTTTCTTTCATCTCTTAAAATTTTCTGCTTTCTGATTTGCAGTAGGTTGACTCTTCTTTGGGAGATTTGAATTTCCATGGTTTTTCTGATCAGGTTCCTAACACCCTAAAATGCTCTCCCCTGCCACTCTGCCCTCAAGCCAGATAGGAACACAGTTGAGATGACTCAGCTGAGACTAAATGATGGCTTTGGGAAGGGATTGTGAAATGAAGAGAACAAGTTAGAAGGAGAGCTCTGGTTGGGTATGGGCAGTAGCAGGACGAGTGAGGAGGGAGAATAAACATTGCTAAGACAGTGGAAAAAGAAAGGGAGAGCCAAAGTGTTCAACTCTTAATTCGGTGCCTCTATGTCTTTGGTTAAAATACATGCTATGTTCGCTGATGCTTATCAGTCTGATCAGTGCTGATAGTTACATCAGCCATTCCTCCTGCTGGGCATCACTGAAAGGAAAGAATTCGATTTATTTACATTAGGTTTTATATCACTGTTGTCAAACATTGAATTAGACCATAATATATATGGGAACAAATTAGGGAACTTGAAATGTATAATTTTCAGCATATTATCATTAAAATGACAATGCAAGTATTTTTCAAATAAAAATTGCTTCCTATTTATACTCTTAAACACTATTTTGGCACACTAAAGGACTCTTACTTGTTGCCTAGGGACAGCACTTCTTACCATGTTTAAATACTTACCTATTCTTTTTGTGTCATTGAAATCCGGATCAGGCTCAGTATATGGCTTTAGTTCTTCCTCTTCATGACCAACATTCATCCATCGATCTTTCATTATTTGCTAGGAAATAAACTCTACATTATGTGTGGTCAATCAGAACATTCAGCCACTTATTATAGCTCTATTTTAGCAAATGTAAAATTACTAGTTCACTCAAGAAGTTTCATGTGACATTTCTAGTTTGATTAGTGGGCCAAAAAGAGGTGTAAGACTTTGGGACACACACAACAACTATGACTATCTCCCTACACACTCACCAAATGCATTGATTCAAAATAGCATGCCTCTCTTATTCCTTCAAAGGGAATATTTTCAAATTTGGATATTTTAACATAAGAATTTACTTCTTATAAAACAGATTTTAACTTCTGTTTCAGATTTTTACATTTAAGATTAATACAGAGATTATAATTTTTTCCTGTTTTATGCCAAATATATGCCTTATTTTAAAATCATCATTTACTAAAATATTAGTAAAGAAGAGGTCATGGGGAATGAAAATCAGGGTTGGCAGTAAAGCTATCAATAAAGATAGCTAAGATAATGTGGGAAGGGAAGGCAGTCAAAATTTAAGTCTAGAGTTAGGAATTAGGTAAGAATCAAGCTGGGGTTGATGTGAATTACCAGAGTCAGATTAAGCTAAGGCTGTGAAATAACAGACAGTCCTGGGCTGTTAAAAGGCAACCTTGTGGGGGCCAACTAGAGAATGGGAAAAATATTTGCAAAACATATACTGGATGAGGAGTAAATATTCAGAATATGTAAAGAATGCCTGCAACTCAATAACATCAAAACAAATAACCTGAATAAAAAATGGGCAAAGTAATTAACAGATATTTCTCCAAAAAAGATACATAAGTGGCCAACAAGCATGCTTGCTGTGTGAAAAGATGCTCAACATCACTAGTCATCAGGGAACTCAAAACCATAGTGAGCTATCACCTTATACTCATTAGGATGGCCACTATCAAAAAAACAAGAAACAAGTGTTGGTGAGCATGTGGAGAAACTGAAACCCCTGTGAACTGCTGGCAGGAATCTAAAATGGTGCAGCTGCTATGGAAAATAGTACAGAGGTTCCTCAAAAAATTAAAAATAGAACTACCATATGATCCAGTAATCCCACTTCTGGGTATTTATCCAAAAAAACTGAAAGCAGAATATCAAAGAGATATTCAGAAACTTATATTCACTGCAGCATTAGTCACAAAAGCCAGGATGTGGAAGGAACCTAAATGTCCATTGACAAATGAATTGATAAAGAAAATGTGGTACATAAATACAAATAAATATTATTCAGCCTTAAAAAAAATCCTGTTATATGTTACAACATGGATGAACCTTGAGGACATTATGCTAAGTGAAATAAGCCAATCACAGAAGACAAATACTGCATGATTCTACTTATACAGATTATCTAAAGTAGTTAAACTCATAGGAACATAAAGTATAATAGAATGGTGATTGCTGGGGCTGATGAGGGGGAAATGGTGATTTGTTCAATGAGTACAGAGTTTTAGTCACACAAGATGAATGGTGATTGCTGGGGCTGATGAGGGAGAAATGGGGATTTGTTCAATGAGTACAGAGTTTTAGTCACACAAGATGAAAAAGTTCTGGAGATCTGTTGTACAACAATGTACACATAGTTAACGACACTGTGATACACACTTAGAAGTTGTTGAGGGTAAATATATGTTACGTGTTTTTTACCACCACCACCACCAAAAAAAAAAAAAAAAGGCAATCTTGTAGAGAATTTACTATACTCATGGTCAGGCAATGGAAAACTGGAAGAAACTTATTTGAATAATTCTGTATTAATTTAGAAAGATTGTTCACTTTTTATTACTACAGAATTTTAGGTTTTCATTTTAGGTGCTGATATATTAATTGCTTTTTCCAGGTCCTGTAAAGTACATTCTCCATCTTTAAACTTTACTTGCCAATATTCCACTAATTAGAAAAATAACTTCCCATATATATATCTTTTGAAGGCTAATTTCTTGACTGCCCAGGTACCTTCCCCTCATTTATTAATATCTACCTAAAGCTAATCACCAGAAAATAAGAAATCCAGGGAAGATCTCTAACAACTGGAATCTCTTAAGAATACTGCTGTGCTGGATTGGAGGCTTTTCCAGCAGTCATCATCACATGATTTTTTTTTTTTTTTTTAAAGACAGGGTCTCACTATGTTGCCCAGGCTTGAACTCTTGGGTTCAAGTTATCTGCTTGCCTCGGCTTCCCAAAGTGCTGGGATTATAGGCATGAGCCACCATGCCCAGCCACATGATACATTTTTAAATTAAACTTTCTAGAGAATTCATATTTTCTTGGAAGGCTAGGGATTGAGACTCAGGAATCCTTAGCCTACAGAGGATGCTGTACAAAAGTTGTGGGGTGGGTGCGATTCTCCAGGAAGAATGAATAGTGTAAGAATGAATAGAAGAGGGCTCAGATTACAGCCTCAAGGAACACTAGTATTTAAAGGTTAGAAAGAAAAGAAATCCAAGAAGAAAAACCCGCACAGCATGACATGGAAGGCGAGGAAAGAGTTCGAAGAGGAGAGTCCTGTCAAATATAGCCAAATGGTCAAATAAGGTGACGCCTAAATAAGTAGCCCCTTGTGTTTAGCAACAGAGATGGGGGACTTTGCTGGGGGAAGTTTCAGTGGAGTGGTGGCACTAGGAACCAGAAAGTAAATGGATTGGTGAGGAATGGGTGATGGTTTAAGTGTAGATACTCTTCAAAAGGGCTCACTACAAAGGAGGAGCAAGATGGCAGCACTGAAAGGGGATTGCCAGGTTGAAGGATGCCTTTTTTAGTGGAAGAGATTCACGTATGTATAAAAGCTGAGGAAAAGGAGTCGATAGAGATAAGGTTCAGTTGGTTACAGGAGAGAGCCTTTTTGAAGGGGTGAGATACTGAGAAGGAAGGTAGTCACCAGATACAGCAAACAGATGAGTGAGTGAAGTCTTCAACAAAAGACATCTTTCCACTGTGACAAGCAGTGGGGAGAGATGGGGTCTAAACAGTTATTTTTTTTTGTATAGAAATGTACCATTTTATTACAAAGGTCTCAAAAATGAAAACGGTATCTCAAAAAGGAAACTAGACCACCAACCTCCACCTGCAGAATTAGGGGAAGACAAAGGGCAGGCAGTGTGAGTTTCTTGGCTCACCTGAGGCCACTGGGAAGGTATGAGGACAGAGCCAATCTAAAAATGGCTGATGTTACATTAGCAGCCTGAAAAGAACGGGAGACCCTTGAAGACCTGGCCACCCCTTCTAGAATGTTCAATAAGGGTACCTTTCCAAAGCTACTAAGCAGGCATTTGGCATTTTCAGGATTTTGTCTTATGGTTGCATGAAAGTATCCCTTTCACCCAAACCTGGTACTCTTTATGGTTCAAAGTTAAGAACTGGGGAAGGATGGAAGGATGGGTGGCAAGGCAGCTCCTAGAAGAGTTCACCCAGCATAGCTGCCCTGGGCTCAGGGCCTTGGTTTCTGTCTAGTCCCTGGGGATATTTATATTTAATAAACTTTCCTATAAATACACAGAGAAATAGAAAGCATAAAATCTGAGGTGTTGGTGGAGAAAGGCAGGGGACTTGGCAAGAAGCCAGAGCTGGAGAGGTCTGCTCAGGCCAACCTGACCTCCTCCTTGACCCCTTTGGCTTCTGGCTTCTCCTCCTTGGTTTTCTCCTCTTCTGTGACTTTGCTCTTCTCATCTAGGTCTTTCTCTTTTCCATCCTGTTTTGACTCTCTTGGCTTTTTTGAAGTTGGAAGAGTTCTTGTGGCCACCCTCTCTCACCTCATCAGAGTCAGAGAACTCTTCCTCACAGGCAATTCGTTTGTCAGAGGAACAGATCGAGATCCATTTGTCAGGGTCTTCTTCGCTCTCATCGCCACTCTCCTCAGGGACAGATCCTCTGGAATCACCTGCATTTGGACCCAGGTTTGTGGGGCAGCATTCTCAGGTTCTCAAACAGTCGCTGTTTATCTTCTCCAAGTACCATTCGTGTTCTGGTTAGTCATACTGGAAGGACTGATGTGGAGCCTGAAATCTGGTCCAAACTATTCCAAGTAGTCGCTGTATGGAAGCTCATTAGGGATCTCTGTATCCAGGGCCACACCTGTCTCATATGTCCAGCACTAGGCAACATTACAAATTGGAACCACTTCCTCCCAGCATCAGCATAGGCAGGTTAAAGCTCTTGACAAATTCCATACACTTGGCATGCCCCCCTCAACCCTTTTTTTTTTTTTTTGAGATGGAGTCTCACTCAGTTCTCCAGGCTGGAGTGCCCTGGTGCAATCAGCTCACTGCAACCTCCGCCTCTAGGGTGCAAGCGATTCTCATGACTCAGCCTCCCGAATAGCTGGGATTACAGAAGTGCACCACCATGTCTGACTAATTTTTGTATTTTTAGTAGATGCGGGGTTTCACCATGTTGGCCAGGCTGGTGTCAAACTTCTGACCTCAAGTGATTCTCCTGCCTGGGCCTCCCAAAATGCTGAGAACAGGCATGAGCCACCACGACAGGCCAGCATGTGCTTTGATGATCAGATTGAAGCAACCTAACCAGTCCCCAGATAAGGAGTCTGAGCCACACTGTAAGAGCACTGAACTTGAAATGGCCTCATAGGACTTGTCGTCAATCCCATCTCGGAGCAGGTAGTTAACAGCATAATACTTGCCTTTGCCAGCCCCAATATCCTGTAGATCCCTAGTTCCTGAAAAGTTCTCTCCCTACTTAGGAGAAGACATAGTCATGACCCAGTCTGTGGTATAGAAGGCCTCTTCCATCCCATCGCCGTGGTGAATATCAATGTCAATATACAGCACCCTCTGGTGATAGGTTAGCAGTTCCAGGATGGCCAAGACAATGTCATTGATGTAATAGAAGCCAGATGCCTCAGGCTTCTTGGCATGGTTCAGGCCCCCAGCCCAATTCACAGCGATGTCTATCTGCTGCTTATTAAGTTTCACAGCACTTGCCAGAGAGCCACCAGTAGACAACTGTAAGAATTCAAACAGGCCATTGAATACTGGACAGTCCTTGCTGACGTTGAATCTGCATCTGCTTGCTGTGCTCGAACATGTATCTGAAGAGATGGAGCGCAAGAATTTAATGTAGTCATCCCTGTGGTACTTGGTCATCTCCTCAGTACTGGGTTTGTGAGGGTGACAGATTTCTATTGTTCAGTGGAGACCATAGCTGGGCAGCAAATTGTGAGTAGTAGATTTGGTGAGGCTTCATTGGATGGTCTTGTCTATAATATTAATTTCCAACATCCCCGTCGTAGTAGTAACAGACTTTCCTCCTGGTGCCCTGTGTCTGCGTCATCTTGCTTGCCTTCCATCCCTCCCATCAGTTGGTCTCAACAGTAATGTTTAAGGTATGGGAATGGTAAGTGAAGAGTACTCATGACTTTTGGTTTCTATTTTCTCAGCGGAATAAAAGACAAGGATATTTGCCTAGAATGTTTTCCCCTATCTTCCCACCTAAGTTCCTTTTTATTTCAAAATGACCACATAAAGCCTGGGACCTTTCTGTTACTCTCTTTCATGGCACCCTGATCTTTGCCTACAATTGAATGTAGCTTGTTGTTATGTAATATTTTGGTTTACCTGTTAATCATGTATCTCCACCACTGGACCATAAACCCAATCAAAGAATGATCCATGTCTGGTTTGTTCAATATTGCATATCCAGCACCTAAAAGTACCCAGCACTAAATGGTCAGTACATATTTGTAAATTGAATGAATAAAACCTCGTCTTAATCACTCATCTGTCCTTCTCCTGTGCTCCCATGGAACTCTGCTTATATCCTAGTGTTACTGTTATTAAACTCTACCTTTGATTACAGTTAGTTGTGTAGAGGTTTATCTCCTTCACATTATTTAAAGTCCTTGAGGACAAAGGCTGTGCCTTATATACTGTTTCTCTCACTACAGATGCCTGTTTTTGAACAAGGTAGTGTTTTAAAATAATGTTGCTACAAGATCCCTGGGTAAGACAGAATCCAGAGATTAGCAACAAGAAGACACCTTACGAAGTTGTTATAACGTCCAGGAAAGAGAACAGAGGACTGAACTAGACATGAAGAAATGGAAGAAAGAAACCAGAAGTATAATCTATTGCACTTGATGACAAGATTCATTTGGTTCTGAGGGAATGGATGGAATACAAGAGAGTTCTGAGAATTTTAAATCAGGTGCCTGGCAGAATATGGTTTCTATAAATTAAGCAAGAAATATAGGAGCAATAGCAGATTTGACAGCTGAGAGATAAGCAATTAGAAGGAAAATGAAAATAACTTTCTGATGTTTCTCAGTTAAGTTGTATTTATTTGGTGCTCACTTCATATCCATATGTTCCTGTCAGAAAAAATATATACATGGATCAAACCCTTAAGTGATTTGTTTGTTATTTGGGGAAATGAGATTTACTTATGAAATCTAAAACTTTTTTTTTTTTTTTTTGAGACGGAGTTTTGCTCTGTCACCCAGGCTGGAGTGCAGTGGCACAATCTCGCCTCACTGCTACCTCTGCCCTCCCAGGTTCAAGCGATTCTCCTGCCTCAGCCTCTGGAGTAGCTGGGATTACAGGCATGGGCACCATGCCTGGCTGATTTTGTATCTTTAATAGAGACGGGGTTTCTCCATGTCGGTCAGGCTGCTCTCAAACTCCCAACCTCAGGTGATCCGCCCACCTCGGCCTCCCAAAGTGCTGGGATTACAGCTGTGAACCACCGTGCCCAACCTATTTTTTTTTTTTTTTTTTGAGATGGAATCGCATTCTGTTTCCCAGGCTGGAGTGCAGTGGCATGATCTCAGTTCACTGCAACCTCCACTTCCCAGGTTCCAGTGATTCTCCTGCCTCAGCCTCCCGAGTAGCTGGGATTACAGGCGCTCGCCACCATGCCCAGCTAATTTTTGTATTTTTAGTAGAGACGGGGTTTCATCATGTTGGCCAGGCTGGTCTTAAACTCCTGACCTTAGGTGATCCGCCCCCTTGGGCCTCCCAAAGTGCTAGGATTACAGGTGTCAGCCAAAACTATTTGAATACACAACAGAATTAACTATTTAAAGTTGTGTTATTAGCAGTGAGTTTTAATAAAGACCAAAAGAACAACTTGAAGTGTGGGCTGGGATTTTCAGGGAAGGAACTGTAAGGGGGCAGGATGTAAACTGATTTGAAATATAAGCAGTATTTGGAATGGTGCAAAGTCATGGCAGAAGGATGTGAGGAACAGTGAGGAGGCACCCTTCTTTTACTAAGCACACAGATTGTATACAATGAAAGAATACATTTTATACAACATTTTATAATTAGCACGGGAAAAAATACAATAGGTGGACACAGAAGGACTGACTGCTAATCCTCACATAAAACTAGATTTGAGGCTAGGCTGAGTCAGAAAAAGTAGAAAATGCAGTGATAAGGAAAGAAAGAGAATTGGGCAGCAATGAGAGAATCAACAGTTTTGTTTCCCTTTATTATTATTATTCTAGCCACTGGGAATCACCAAGAGTCTACTAAGGAGTTTGTCTCACAACAACAGTTGTATTTCAAAGCAGAATAAAAGTAATCTTCTCAGAATGGAAGATAAAGGTTGGAAAGAAGATCTCCTTAAGAAAGGGAAGATGTGGGGGTTTAACTCTGTTAATAACTCTGTTATTTTTTTCCAAAATAAAGCATAGAAAGCAACGAAGTATGGATACATGAAAGGGAAGAGAGATATGGACTACCTGCCCTTAGTTGTGTGAACCTCATGCATATGTAAAATTCTTTCATGGTAACCAAAAGAGTTAACGTTAAAAGTCGAGGGAAAAACTTTCCCAGAAAATGGAGGTACTGGGTGACAGGAGAGAGCTCATGTAACCCGAGTCTGGGTGGTCTCAGGCATGGTATAAAGAACTAGGCCAACCAACTGCACTAGACATAGAAACTAGCTGAATAAACTCATCCACTCCGATTTCATTTCAGGTATCTCATGAGAAACTAGAGGACAAAAACAATTCCAAAATTAACAAAACAAAGTTTACTCTAGCCATCAGTGCCAATGAACATAAATGACTGCCTGAGAGTTATATTAACAAAATAATTAATTCAGACGAATTAAAGAATTAAACCAGCTATGGGAAATATACACTCTATACTTAGATGCACATTTATTTTATTTTATCTTATTTGGAGACAGGGTCTTGTTCTGTCATCCCGGCTGCAGTCCAGTGGCGCAATCATGGCTTACAGCATCCTCAACCTCCTGGGCTCAAGCAATCCTCGTGCTTCAGCCTCCCGAGTAGCTAGGACTACAGGATGTGTGACACCACGCCCAGCTAATGTAGAGACAGGGTTTTTCCATGTTGCCCAGGCTGGTCTCGATCTCCTGGACTTAGGTGATCTGCCCGCCTTGGCCTCCCAAAGTATTTGGATTACAGTCATGAGCCATCAAGCCTGGCCTGAGGTGCACATTTTAAAAATATGGAATTTAGAACGGCCAGACAAATAATTTTACTTAAATGATTTCAACCTTTGTAAAATATACTATATGCTTCTGAATTTGTACACAGAAATCTTTCATTAAAAAATTATGAATTAATTGATTTTTTTGCTTTACTGTCATTTGGCAGACATAAACAAGACTGTAAAGATTATTTTAGTAACACCTGAAAAATTAAGTATCAAAAGTCAAAATAAACACTTTTATGGGAGGACCAATGACGACAAAGAGAGGGCAATAAGAGGAGCTTTGCTTCAGGCTCAAATTTTGCATTGTTTTGAAAGGTAATATAGTCCATCTTGGTTAAACACTGGAAAAATGAATGAACACATACAAAACAGGGAAAGCAGAAAAGTTTTTCAGTTTCTTTCTAATAAAAAAATCTAGACATACTAATATTCCAATAAATGGGTTAAAAAAAACCCTAGTGTACAACATAAAGCACAAATCCGTTTAAAATCATAATGCCCTCATTATGAGAGGACAGTATAACACATGGAAGTTCCAGACTAGTACAATTAGAAAGAGCTGACAGCATTCACATATATAACCTGAAAAAATTATATAACTGTTTGCTTATGTCTAGAAACAAACTATAGGCCTAGTAGAATGTGAAACTAATTTCAATAATTTTTATTTTCACAGATGATAAATAAGGCATTTAACTTATGAGTCTTTAAGAAACACTTTAATAAAATACACAGTTATGTCTGGTAGCAACAGAAAGGTAAGTTAAATAAGTTTGAAACAATATGCAACCATGTAAAATTCTCTAAATCAAATTTCAATATTAGCAAAATATATAGTGAAGAAAGACTAGAGGATACTCTAATCAATAATTCATGACACTAAAGTAACACTGAAAAAACATTCATGATGTTCCATTTTTTTTAAATGTGGAAATTACCAGAAAAATATTTTATATTAAAATATACAAAGTTGGTACAAATCTACGAGGCTTATTAACCAGACTCCTTAAGACAAGTAGTTAAAAGACACTGAGAGCTTATACATGAAGAAGCACAAACTATTCATTAAAAATATTCCATTTTATTGCTAATAAAAGAAATACAAATTAAAGCGAGGCATCAAATACTAGAATTTGTATCCATTATTGAATCAGGGTATGGAGAATAGGTACATTCAAAAGCCTTGGGTCACACATATCTTTTGGCAATGATAAAAGAGCTATCCGATCACTTACACCCTTTGACCCAGTAATTCCACTCTGAAGAATTTATCTAAACATATATCCCAAAGGGGAAAAAAGTATACCACATTGTTTTTTATCAAAAACAATGGAAACAACTCAGATGTGCAATAAGCAGGGAATAGTTAAATAAATTACGTTACGTAACCCAAGGAGAATAACATAGCTATTAAAAAGGAAGGAGTGCATTCTTATGACAAAGCAAGAAGTGCATATCAAAAGCTTCTAAGGTTAAAAAAAAGAATGGAACATAATATAAAACATTACTAACACATAAAATGTTATATTTACATAATAAAGATGAGTATTTTGAAAATAGCTTTAAAAAAGTTTACAGGTTTTTTACTGTAAAGCTAATAAAATTGGTATGAAAAATAAAAGTGAAGACTAACAATTTTTGAAGTCACCAATATTTCTAGGAGAGTTTCTTAAGGTATGGTATAAGAAATATTTCTTTTTTAAAAAATGGTGTCAAGTTTCCCTGGAAAGTCATTTCTGGGAACTGTGAAGCAAATCAGCCTTTGTATAGTAATATCTATAATATAATATTTCCAGTGGGGACTCGTGGTTTCATAGCTGAAAAACTTTGTTTTGGTAAGCTGGAACAGAAAGTTGCAGACTATACTGAAATATATTAGAATGAGCTTCTGATGATCAAATATTTTAGTAATAAAAATTTGGCTTTTAAATTCAACTCAAAGCACTCTAATATTTTAATCCTCAACATGTTAATAATAATGATAAAAGACTAAAGTGTTTGGCTACTATAAATTAATCATCTTTAAGACATAAGCACATCTTACCTACTGTCCATAGAGATCTGTAATATCTATCCCCCCAAAATAATTTTTGTATGTTCTTTTTGCTCTGCTCATTAGCTAAGCTGCTGCTTCAACTTTGAGCATTTTATTGTGTCACTCAGGTCAAGTGGGGTTCTTATGATAAAAGTTAGTCACAAAACAGGATTACAAAACATGTTCTCTAAAGTTCATTATTTTAGAACTGATATGAGAGTCAAAAATTTTAGCTTTTTAAATATTTCACCTAATTTTTCTATGAATAATGATGGAAAGCTTTCAAAATAAGTGATATAAAAGTGGGCATTATATAGTACATGTTCTCTATTAAAGCATTAACTCATTTTTTTTAACCCCATAAGGAGGGAAAAGCCCACAAAACTCATAAGCTATAACTAATCACATTTAAACAAATAATTCGGTAAAAAAATCATGATAATTGACTAACTGACACAAAGCATTTAAAATAATTTCCCAATGGAAGTCGCCATCCCTTAACTTCCATCAAAACATGCTGTATCCTCTACTGAAAAATATTTGTGGAAATAAAATTACAAAGCCCACACTAACCTGAGAGCTCTGTACACAGGGATGGCTCACTATAAGGCTGCCTCCTAAGCAGCATGAAGTCCATGCCAGAAAGCCCCATTGCTACACTAAAAAAGTACAGTTTATATGAGGTTAATTCTCTGAATTCTCTACCCTTTCTATTAAGGTAAATAAAAGAAGACAGAAAGTACTAGTGAATAATGCATGCTGAATCTCTGAAATTATCTTAGTAAAGGCTAAAATATCATTCTTAAAAACAGATGGGCAAAATACTTAAGAAATAAATTATTCTAATTGCAGTGCCAGAAGAAAAAAAATAGTAGACATTTTGGTTATGTGAACTTGCTTGGCTGTAACATACTTAGTCCATTTATAATAGTGTCTATTATTATAAATAACCTCACATACAGAACATATGTAGGCAACACAACAGTGTGCTAAGAAATGAAATGCCTGTTTCCAGTATGTTGTACTTAAATATTTGTAAATTTTCTTTACTAAAGTTGAGAGGTTTCTATTACATTTTTATTTTATTTTATTTTTTTATGATAGAGTCTCGCTCTGTCGCCCAGGCTGGAGTGCAGTGGCGTGATCTTGGCTCACTGCAAGCGCCGCCTCCCAAGTTCACGCCATTCTCCTGCCTCAGCCTCCCAAGTAGCTGGGACTACAGGTGTGTGCCACCTCGTCCAGCTAATTTTTTGTATTTTTAGTACAGACAGGGTTTCACCATGTTAGCAAGGATGGTCTCAATCTCCTGACCTCGTGATCTGCCCGCCTCGGCCTCCCAAAGTGCTGGGATTACAGGCGTGAGCCACCGTGCCCAGCCCTACATTTTTAAATGCTAGATATCAATGTCAGATATAGCTGTGAAATATTCATTAGATTAGAATTTTCACTATTTTCTTTTATCCTTGAAATATTTATTGAGTACTTACTAAAAACAAGGTTTCTGTTTTCGACAAAGCAATTTCTGACAGCAGCTACGTTTTCCTCCTTCTCTAACTAAAAGTCAACCTCTATTTTTGTGTTGTTTTTATTTAATACGGCACTGCAGAACAAAGAGGAAATAATAGTTTTTAGAGACAGCTACTGTGGCAACTTTTGAAAGTGAAAAAAAGTCATGTAATTTTCCCTACCTACAAACAAAAGGCAGATTAGATAATTTGGCAATTTTCCTAAGAAAACATAGGAGAAAAATGCTCTTCGGTTCCTGGAATATTTTAATTGTTAAAATTTAAATTTGGAGTACAAAAATTTACTTACTTCCAAGCTGCCTCTCTTTATTGGATTCAGGACTAATAATTTCTTCAGAAGATTTTCACAGTCTGTGGACATATAGAAGGGAATACGGTACTTCCCTCGTAAAACTCGCTCTCGCAGTTCCTTAATAAAAGTGAAAGAAAGCACTTATAACTGGTTTTTGACATAATCATACTTGGGGATAAAACATTAATAAAGAATTTAGCTGATACCTTTAAATTCTGGCCATCGAAAGGCAAGGAGCCACTGACTAATGTATAGAGAATGACGCCCAGACTCCACACATCCACTTCAGGCCCATCATACTTCTTTCCTTGGAAAAGCTCGGGAGCAGCATAGGGTGGGCTTCCACAAAATGTGTCCAATTTGTTCCCAACTGTAAATTCATTACTAAAACCAAAGTCAGCAATTTTAATATTCATATCACCATCAAGGAGAAGGTTTTCAGCCTAAGAGGAAAATAATAGAAAGAACAATGTAAAAAGCCTACATAAAATAAAAATATTTGTAAAAGAGTTTTAGCTTCCAAACTTACATATCTCTTGCCCCTCATTTCTAAATGTAGTATCAAATTTAGAAGCCCAGTATGGTACTTCAATGCATAACTGTTCTGAATTACATCTACATAAGACTAAATTTTAACACTACATAAGGAAAGCTCTCTTTATATGCATATATGCAACTACTTAAGAAAGGTTATTTAAAACCTATTTTCTTTCATAGGTTATTTTAAACTCATTTTTTTCCTCACAGTCAGAAACATCCTGGAAGCGTACCTTAATATGACCTACTCTAAAGAACATAATACGAATCCATCTGGGACTTAAACCAACATGATTACCCAAAGGAGCTCTATTTTAATAGGGTATTGTTGGTTAAAGCAAGGCTCAAAGGTATATCTACAGTAACTGCCTGTCAGAGGTTCTGTGACTACTAATTCATTCCTTTGTTCTCTCTTGTAGAATGTTTTCTCAACAAAGTACTGTTTCAGTAAAACATGACCAAAAAATACAGCCTCCATTATATCTTGTCTGTTTTAAGCTTCTTTTTGCTGTTCTAAAACTAGATTCTCTTCTTGATGTATATTTTACATAGAAAACAATGAATTTTCCACGTTTTGAGATGGTTTTCCAAAATCCTAAAGCAGAATCACTCAAAGACAATATTTTACATGTCCCTTTTGTAAACAGAAGCAACTCAATAAAGGACTTGCTTTTGTACATGTTTTATTTTAAACTCTATTACAATGGATGGATAGACTAACAAAGTAATAGGTTACTTTGTAGATGTGTTTTATCAGGTTCCAAAAAGAAATAAAATTTGACTAAAACAAAAATCAGATTTCTCTATATTACTGGAAGGTCCAACAATTATAAGAGTCAAGCACTCTGCCCATCATCTATCTCTTCCCTCCCTACCCACCACAACCTTTCTTTTCTTCTTTTTTATGGTATACTAGCTTGGGATATTTGTTTTCATTTTATTTTGGAAAATGCAGATACACCTAGAACCCAAAATATACAATAAAAATAGGGTATAATTTATCACATAAATACTATAAAAGCACATATATTTGGAAAAATTTATATTAGATTGTCACATTTTTGAACTGTGACAAAACCAGGTTATTTTTATGTTCTGATGTAAGGGGCTGGTCATTGTAAATTTCTGCAGCTGTTTGTGAGCAAGCTGGACTTTTTTCAGTCTCTCTAAAAATGTCTGGATGGATATCAAAGTATCCAAGCTGCCTCAGAAGAGAAGAGCTGCAAGGGGTTCTGAGGTCTCCTTCCAGGAATGTACAGGAAAACTCTCTCTATTGGACTGGAGGGAAAACACAAGGTTTTGAACATGATTATTTTTTGCAGATTTTTTTCATATAAGAAATGAGATGATAAACTGGGAGTTAAACACAGAAGCAGGGGAACAGTTCTTTTCTTTCTCATTCATCATAGAAGTGATTCCCCTTAAAATAGCCAAGGAAGGAAACCAAGAAATAGAAAAATTTGGAGCAACAGAAAATTCATAAGCTCTGAAAAATGAAGCTAAAATACAGAATTAGACTTGACTTTTTGACAACTGTTTAGGATAATATATTCAAATATAACCCAAACTGGTGATAGTAGTTGATAAAGGTGATGAGGAAAAAAGTAAAACAGAAAAATAAGAGTCCTATGTAAGGGACAATGCAAATTAAATTTGGAAGATTAGAGAAAAAAGGAAAAACAGGTATAAACATTTTAGTCCAGGGTGTTTCCACTTTCAACAAAATCTATGTGGCACAACCATTTATTGACTAACTACACATTTCTTATTCCAAAGTATGCTCATTTGTACTATTATACACATTTAATGTTCATAAAAATGTTTTACAACTTTCCTTAGTTCTTTGAGCTTTAAGGTAGAGTGTGAATACTGTCTCTTACGTAAGGGAAACATGGGTCTGTGCTCTGACTTTGCTTCTGCCTGAGGTCCCACACTTTTGGCTGGGAACGAAGTTCCATATCTATGCATTTAAAACAAACTAATTAATAGTGAATCAAATCGTCTAACTTCTAAAGCTAGAAAACTTATCACTCATATTTTCTTCATTTGCTCAGTGAAAATATTACCTTTCATAAAGTTGCTGTGAGAATCAAAAACTAACTACTTGTATAGTGTCCAGCAGCACAGTTAGGCAATAAAATAGACAGCTCTAATATTATTATTAAATATATGTTAATAATAACGATTTTTTTTTTAAAAAAATTACACTCAGAAGCTTACCTTAAGATCACGGTGAACAATGTACTTTTGATGACAATACTGTACAGCAGATACAATCTGGAATAAACATTTGGATAAAAGAGTCAAATTATTAAAAAAACGCAATTTTCCCCAATAATCACCTCCAATTTAGATAAATTACTAATTCGGATTTCAAGGTAATATTTAATAAATATGCAATGCTTTTAGTTCAGAAAACTATACACATTAAAGTGATGAAACTTTCACTGTTAAATGCAGAAAATATGGTAAAGTAATATTCTCTTGCGAAAATACAATAAAATATTTCTTTGTCAGAGGCTGTGAAGATTTCATATGGATCATTTATAGTTCTCTGTTTATGTGACTGAATGTGTACAATTTATAGTTTTGGCCAAATGGTTTATTATAGTGTTGAAATAAAAGCTTTGGCACACATGAATTAGTATTTTAAGATAATTGTCTCAAGTTAAAAAAGCAAAACTCTATTCTAGGAATTACATCAAATGTGTTCAAGGCATGTTTCTTTAGTGAGGCCAAATCACTAAGAACTTAACAATGAGGTATTTAGCAATATCTATATTTATCTGTTCATATATAAAGAGAAAGGAAAATGTTTGAGCCTTAAAAAGAAACCTGATCAGCAACAGAAAAGAGGGAAAAATGAAATTCAATCTTAAACCTGTCACTAATTCAGTCAGGTGAAGTATTCTATGCCTGTAACTTGATTTTGTATGCAGCCATAATTTTTAACTATCACACAGGGCTCTTTGGAGAAAAGGACTAAACAAGGAGGAACCCAACAGTTTAAAGGCCAAAACTATGAGAGAAATAGATTATAAACAATTCTATGATAGTTCTTTATTACATAAAATACAGAAATAGAAAGCATCTGATAGCAATCAATTAAGAACTATTTTGTACATATAATTACATCTGATGAATAGAAGGACAGTCATTTTAATGTACATCAGAACATTCAGTTCTGTGGATTCAGTTAAATATAAAAACAGTTTGAATGTTAGGCATTTACAAATGGAGACAAAAATGAGATTTTTTTAAAAGTCTAAAGGTGATGTGAAGTATGACCATGCTAATAGGAATATGGGTGGAAAAAAAACTTCAAAGTACAAGTAAACTGATATTTCAGTATTATAAAATTATTCTAATGTATATTAAAATGGTTTGAAGACAGAGAAAACATGAATTCAAAACAAAATCATCAACACACAATGAGTAATACACAATTCCATTTAATTCATTTTGATTCAACAGTTTATTGAGTACCTGCTATGTGCAAGGAAATGTGATGGTTGCTAGGCAAATACAAAAATGAATACTAAGTGGACTCTGTCCTTAAGGCGCTTACAATCTGATTAAGAAGAGAAAATAAGGTATATATTCTCTATATACCTTGTATTATGGAGGTATATATTATTATATATAGAGGTATATATTATTACCTTTCTATATATTGTATATAGAGAGGTATATATTATTCCCCTATAATACAAGGTAGAATCACAGAACTCTACCTTTTATGAGAGAATCATAAAAAATAAAGAATAATTTCAGTTGGAAATGCTTCCTGAAGGAGGTGATATTTGGTCTAAGCCATCCTTGAAGGACAGAAATATTTTAAAATGTGGAGATCTGGGGATGGGGAGGTGACGAAATGCATTAATGACAAGGGAACTGTGTATTTGAAAAGCAGGTAGGACTCATGCCTATAATCTCGGCACTTTGGGAAGCTGAAGTGGGAGGATGATCGCTTGAGGCCAGAAGTTCAAGACCAGGCCTTGGCAACACAGTGAGACCCCGTCTCTACAAAAAATAAAAATATTAGCTAGGTGTGGTGGTGTGCACCTGTGGTCCCAGCTACACGGGAGGCTGAGGCAGGAGGATTTCTTGAGCCTAGGAGGTCGAGGTTGCAGTATGCCATGTTCACACCACTGCACACCAACCTGGATAACAGAGTGAGACTCTGTCTCAAAAACAACAAACAAACAAACAAACAGACCAACCGACCAAACAAACAAAATAAACCCCACAAAACCAAACCAAACCAAAAATCATTTAAAGAAAAGGAGGTGGAAAAATGGTGACAGTGGGAGTCAAATCTTGACAAATAGGTTGGTCAAAGTCATGAATTCAAAACTAGGCAGGTACTGCAGAACCACTAGATGTTCTTGGGCAGGGTGACTGGGAATGATTATAATCAATTTGAAGTATGATTCCCCAAAATACAGAAGGTTCTAATGATGAAAATTTGTAGTATTAGTTTTCTTAAGCAATATGCTTCAAAATTCTAATACCCAATTTTCACTGAATTATGTTCATTAGCCAAAAGATACATACATTTATATGTATATTTTATTAGACATACTATATAGGTTATAGTATGTTCATATTATAAGATTATTTCGTATCATGAGTGCCAGAAATTTGCTGATAATTACATTATCTTTTGTTAGTCACATGTTTGTATGAGCCACTGAAGGTATGCAACAGATAATAATTTGGTTACCAAACATGATCAGAGGCCATGCAACTCATGTCAGACAGAATGGTCTCTATGAAAACAGTTCTATAAGTACTTCTGGAATCAAACATTTCCTGAGCCTCAAAGCATCAAGAATGCAAAGATAATTACAAAGAATCCTCTGCATTAAGCATGTGTTCTCCCCAAATTCTATGAACTCTGAGCTATCAGTCAAATGTGGTAGTTTATTATAGTATTACCACATTTGCTTAGCAGGGAACAATTTCTGCCATGAAAGAAGTTCTGCCTTCTGACTCAATGCAAGAATCCCCCTCCACAAGCCCAATTTTTACTGCATTATTTTACAGCTAGACCTTCCCATCTCAAACCATTCTGTACTTCCATAAATAGGATATCGGAACTTCCCTATGAGCCTTCTATTAATGGATCCTGAAAACATGATTTACTGTCAGCTGGGTACTGACGGTAAGACCACACACATCAGTGTTTTCCATTGAGGTGGAGTTATCACGGTTACTTTGCAATTGTTAATACTTATAAGTGGTAGACTTGATATTGCAAGAATTGAATCAATATTACGACTTTTTTTTTTCTGTAGGCTCAAGTCTTAAGGGATGTAAAAGCATTGTATGGGCAATGGCTGCTCAGTGGTCTTAAACTGCCCAAGTGTCTTTGGTATTTCTAAGAGTAAGGTCAAGGATGTATATACATTTATTATTGTTGACACAGTATTAATACATACATTCTTTCACTGTTAAAATAAAAAAGCAAATAAAAGTAAATGTATATTCATTAAGTCCATAAGAGTTTAAATCAAATCCATAAATAAAAGTAAGCTCCTCAAAAATAAATTTAAGTATAAATTTATCTGTAGTCAGGTAACTACAAAATAATGTATGTGTGTGCATGTGTGTATGTATGTTTACATATCTCTGGTTTGTAAAAATGTGAGTTAGTAACTTTTTTAGTTTTGGGAAAACATATATAGATACTAAATACATTTAAAATTTATAGTAAATAAATACATTATAAAGAAAATATTTGCCATTGTTTTACAATTTATATAGCATTCATTTGGCACTCAGTCTCTGCAATGTAAAGAATATGAAGATGATTTCAAAATATTACAGACTTTATTTAAAAAACCAAGCCAATTTTAGTAATTATTTGTATCTCTATTAAAATACCTATGTCCCAACCTCTTATCCTGCTCTCGCTCACCAGCAAAGATGGAAAGCTCTTTAAAATAGCAGGCATTTCCAACTTCTCTAATTCCATATAGTACCCAGTACAATTTTCTACATCTATCAAAAAATAAGTAAAACTAGCTGCCTTAAAAAATAAGTAGCAATAATCTTTAAAATATACATTAGGATTCTAATGGGAATATTTAACGCAAATTGGAACTTTCTTGCTGGTCTGCTACTAACAAAAGCTACTGTGACTGATATTAAATGAATAATACTTAAAACGATGTGTGTGGCTGGGCACAGTGGCTCACGCCTATAATCCCAGCACTTTGGGAGGCCGATGTGGGCAGATCACCTGAGGTCAGGAGTTCAAGACCAGCTTGGCCAACATGCTGAAACCCCATCTCTACTAAAAATACAAAAATTAGCTGGGCGTGGTGGTGTGTGCCTGTAATCCCAGCTACTTGGGAGGCTGAGGTAGGAGAATCGCTTGAACCCAGGAGGCGGAGGTTGCAGCGAGACAAGATAGCGCCACTGCACTCTAGCCTGGGTGACAGAGCAAGACTCTGTCTCAAAAAAATAAAATAAAAATAAAAAATAAATAAATAAAATAAATACATGTCGAGGGACATTCCAAGAAGGCCGAACAGGAAGACCTCTGGTCTGCAGCTCCCAGCATGATCATCCCAGAAGACAGGTGATTTCTATATTTCCAACTGAGGTACCTGGTTCATCTCACTGGGACTGGCTGGACAGTGGGTGCAGCCCACGGAGGGCGAGCTGAAGCAGGGCAGGGAGGCACGAGGGGTTGGGGTATTTCCCTTTCCTAGCCAAAGGAAGCCGTGACAGACTACCTGGAAAAACGGGACACTCCCCACCCAAATACTACGCTTTTCCCAAGGTCTTAGCAACCAGCAGACAAGGTGATTCTCTCCCGTGCCTGGCTTGGCGGGTCCTACGCCCACGGAGCCTTGCTCACCGCTAGCACAACAGTCTGAGATTGATCTGCGAGGCAGCAGCCTGGCTGGGGGAGGGGAATTTGCCAATGCTGAGGCTTGAGTAGGTAAACAAAGCAGCCAGGAAGCTTGAACTGGGTGGAGCCCACCGCAGCCCAACTAGGCCTACTGCCTCTAGACTCCATCTCTGTGGGCAGGGCATGGTTGAACAAAAGGCAGCAGGCAACTTCTGCAGACTTAAATGTCCCTGTCTGACAGCTCCGAAGAGAGCAGTGGTTCTCCCAGCATGGTGTTTGAGCTCTGAAAATGGACAGACTGCCTCCTCAAGTGGGTCCGTGACCCCCATGTAGCCTAACTGGGAGACACCTCCCAGTAGGGGCTGACAGACACCTCATATAGGTGGCTGCCCCTCTGGGACGAAGCTTCCAGAGGAAAGATCAGGCAGCAATATTCTCTGTTCTGTAATATTTGCTGTTCTGCAGCCTCCACTGGTGATACCCAGGCAAACAGGGTCTGGAGTGGAACTCCAGCAAACTCCAACAGACCTGCAGCTGAGGAACCTGACTGTTAGAAGGAAAACTAACAAACAGAAAGGAATAGCATCAACATCAACCAAAAGGTCATCTACATAAAAACCCCCATCTGTAGGTCACCAACATCAAAGACCAAAGGTAGATAAAACCACAAAGATGGGGAGAAACCAGAGCGGAAAAGCTGAAAATTCTAAAAATCAGAACACCTCTTCTCCTCCAAAGGATCGCAGCTCCTTGCCAGCAACAGAACAAAGCTGGACGGAGAACGACTTTGACAAGTTGACAGAAGTAGGCTTCAGAAGGTCTGTAATAACAAACTTCTCCAAACTAAAGGAGGATGTTTGAACCCATCACAAGGAAGCTAAAAACCCTGAAAAAAGATTAGACGAATGGCTAAGTAGAATAAACAGTGTAGAGAAGACCTTAAATGACCTGATGGAGCTGAAAACCATGGTGCGAGAACTTCGTGATGCAAGCACAAGCTTCAATAGCCGATTCGATCAAGTGGAAGAAAGGCTATCAGTGACTGAAGATCAAATTAGTGAAATAAAGCGAGAAGATAAGGTTAGAGAAAAAAGAGTAGAAAGAAATGAACAAAGCCTCCAAGAAATACGGGACTGTGTGAAAACACCAAATCTACATTTCACTGGTGTACCTGAAAGTGACAGGGAGAATGGAACCAAGTTGGAAAACACTCTTTAGGATATTATCCAGGAGAACTTCCCCAACCTAGCAAGGCAGGCCAACATTCAAATTCAGGAAATACAGAGAACATCCAAAGATACTCCTTGAGAAGAACAACCCCAAGACACATAATTGTCAGATTCACCAAGGTTGAAATGAAGGAAAAAGTGTTAAGGGGAGCCAGAGAGAAAGGTTGAGTTACCTACAAAGGGAAGCCCATCAGACTAACAGAGGATCTCTTGGCACAAACCTTACAAGCTAGAAGAAAGTGGGGGCCAATATTCAACATTCTTAAAGAATTTTCAACCCAGAATTTCATATTCAGCCAAACTAAGCTTCATAAGTGAAGGAGAAATAAAATCCTTTACAGACAAGCAAATGCTGAGAGATTTTGTCACCACCAGGCCTGCCTTACAATAGCTCCTGAAGGAAGCAGTAAACATGGAAAGAAACAACTGGTACCAGCCACTACAAAAACATGCCACATTGTAAAGACCATCGATGCTATGAAGAAACTGCATCAATTATTGGGCAAAATAACCAGCAAACGTTGTAATGACAGGAGCAAATTCACACCTAACAATATTAACCTGAAATGTAAATGGGCTAAATGCCCCAATTAAAAGACACAGAGTGGCAAATTGGATAAAGAGTCAAGACCCATCAGTGTGCTGTATTCAGGAGACCCATCTCATGTGCAGAGACACACATAGGCTCAAAATAAAGGGATGGAGGAAGATCTACCAAGCAAATGGAAAACAAAAAAAAGCAGGGGTTGCAATCCTAGTCTCTGATAAAACAAACTTTAAACTGACAAAGATCAAAAGAGACAAAGAAGGCCATTACATAATGGTAAAGGGATCAATTCAACAAGAAGAGCTAACTATCCTAAATATATATTCATCCAATACAGGAGCACCCAGATTCATAAAGCAAGTCCTTACAGACCTACAAAGAGACTTAAGACTCCCACACAATAATAATGGGAGACTTTAACACCCCACTGTCAATATTAGACAGATCAATGAGACAGGTTAACAAGGATATCCAGGACTTGAACTCAGCTCTGCATCAAGCAGACCTAACAGACATCTACAGAACTCTCCACCCCAAATCAACAGAATATACATTCTTCTCAGCATCACTTTGCACTTATTCCAAAACCGTCCACATACTTGGAAGTAAAGCACTCCTCAGCAAATGTAAAAGAACAGAAATCACAACAAACTGTCTCTCAGACCACAGTGCAATCAAATTAGAACTCAGGATTAAGAAACTCACTCAAAACCGCACAACTACATGGGAACTGAACAACCTGCTCCTGAATGACTATTGGGTGAATAACAAAATGAAGGCAGAAATAAAGATGTTCTTTGAAACCAATGAGAACAAAGACACAACATACCAGAATCTCTGGGACACATTTAAAGCAGTGTGTAGAGGGAATGTGTAGCACTAAATGCCCACAAGAGAAAGCATGAAAGATCTAAAATCGACACCCTAACCTCACAATTAAAAGAACTAGAGAAGCAAGAGGAAACACTTTCAAAAGCTAGCAGAAGGCAAGAAATAACTAAGATCAGAGCAGGATTGAAGGAGATTGAGACATAAAAAAACCCTTCAAAAAAATCAATGAATCCAGGAGCTGGTTTTTTGAAAAGATCAACAAAATTGATAGACCAGTAGCAAGACTAATAAAGAAGAAAAGAGAGAAGAATCAAATAGATGCCATAAAAAATGATAAAGGGGATATCACCATTGATCCCACAGAAATGCAAACTACCATCAGAGAATACTATAAACACCTCTATGCAAATAAACCAGAAAATCTAGAAGAAATGGATAAATTCCTGGACACATACACTCTTCCAAGACTAAACGAGGAGTACGTTGAATCTCTGAATAGACCAATAACAGGCTCTGAAATTGAGGCAATAATTAATAGCCTAGCAACCAAAAAAAGTCCGGGACCAGATGGATTAACAGCCAAATTCTACCAGAGGTACAAAGAGGAGCTGGTACCATTCCTTCTGAAACTATTCCAATCAATAGAAAAAGAGGGAATCCTCCCTAACTCATTTTATGAGGCCAACATCATCCTGATACCAAAGCCTGGCAGAGACACAACAAACAAAGAGAATTTTAGACCAATATCCCTGAAGAACATCAATGCAAAAATCCTCAATAAAATACTGGCAAACCAAATCCAGCAGCACATCAAAAGGCTTATCCACCACAATGCAGTCAGCTTCATCCCTGGGATGCAAGGCCAGTTCAATATACGCAAATCAATAAACGTAATCCATCACATAAACAACAAACAATGAAAACCACGATTATCTCAATAGATGCAGAAAAGGCCTTTGACAAAATTCAACAGCCCTTCATGCTAAAAACTCTCGATAAACCAGGTATTGATGGAACGTATCTCAAAATAATAAGAGCTATTTATGACAAACCCACAGCCAATATCATCATACTGAATGGGCAAAAACTGGAAGCATTCCCCATACTCAATGGGCAAAAACTGGAAGCATTCCCTTTGAAAACCGGCACACGACAGGGATGTCCTCTCACCACTCCTATTCAACATAGTGTTGGAAGTTCTGGCCAGGGCAATCAGGCAAGAAAAAAAAATAAAGGGTGTTCAATTAGGAAATGAGGAAGTCAAGAGGTCCCTGTTTGCAGATGACATGATTGTAAATTTAGAAAATCCCATCATCTCAGCCCAAAATCTCCTTAAGCTGATAAGCAACTTCAGCAAAGTATCAGGATACAAAATGAATGTGCAAAAAATCACAAGCATTCCTATACACCAATAACAGACAAACAGAGAGCCAAATCATGAATGAACTCTCATTCACAATTGCTACAAAGAGAATAAAATACCTAGGAATCCAACTTACAAGGGACGTGAAGGACCTCTTCAAGGAGAACAACAAACCACTGCTCAACGAAATAAAAGAGGACACAAACAAATGGAAGAATATTCCATGCTCACGGATAGGAAGAATCAATATTGTGAAAATGGCTATGCTACCCAAGGTAATTTATAGATTCAATGCCATCCCCATCAAGCTACCAATAACTTTCTTCACAGAATTTGAAAAAACTACTTTAAAATTCATATGGAACCAAAAAAGAGCCTGCATTGTGAAGACAATCCTAAGCAAAAAGAACAAACCTGGAGGCATCATGCTACCTGATTTCAGACTATACTACAAGGCTACAGTAACTGAAAGAGCATGGTACTGGTACCAAAACAGAAATACAGACCAATGGAACAGAACAGAGGCCTCAGAAATAATGCCGCACATCTACAACCATCTGATCTTTGACAAACCTGACAAAAACAAGAAATGGGGAAAGGATTCCCTATTTAATAAATGGTGCTGGGAAAACTGGCTAGCCATATGTAGAAAGCTGAAACTGGATCCCTTCCTTACACCTTACACAAAAATTGAAGATGGATTAAAGACTTAAATGCTAGACCTAAAACCATAAAAGCCCTAGAAGAAAATCTAGGCAATACCATTAAGGACATAGGCATGGGCAAGGACTTCATGACTAAAACACCAAAAGCAATGGCAACAAAAGCCAAAATAGACAAATTAGGATCTAATTAAACTAAAAAGCTTCTGCACGGCAAAAGAAACTACCATCAGAGTGAACAGGCAACCTACAGAATGGGAGAAAAGTTTTGCAATCTACCCATCTGACAAAGGGCTAATATCCAGAACCTACAAAGAACTCACAGAAATTTACAAGAAAAAAACAAACAACCCCATCAAAAAGTGGGCAAAGGATATGAACAGACACTTCTCAAAACAAGACATCTATGCAGCCAACAGACACATGAAAAAATGCTCAACATCACTGGTAATCAGAGAAATGCAAATCAAAACCACAATGAGATACCATCTCACGCCAGTTAGAATGGTTAAAATGGCAATCATTAAAAAGGCAGGAAACAACAGATGCTGGAGAGGATGTGGAGAAATAGGAACGCTTTTACACTGTGGGTGGGAGTGTAAATTAGTTCAATCATTGTGGAAAACAGTGTGGCAATTCCTCAAGGATCTAGAACTAGAACTACCATTTGACCCAGCAATCCCATTACTGGGTATATACCCAAAGGATTATAAATCATGCTACTATAAAGACACATGCACACATATGTTTATTGTGGCACTATTCACAACAGCAAAGACTTGGAACCAACCCAAATGTCCATCAATGATAGACTGGATTAAGAAAATGTGGCACATATACACCATGGAATACTACGCAGCCATAAAAAAGGATAAGTTTCTGTCCTTTGCAGGGACGTGGATAAAGCTGGAAACCGTCATTCTCAGCAAACTATCACAAGGACAGAAAACCAAACACCACATGTTCTCACTCATAGGTGGGAATTGAACAATGAGATCACTTGGACACAGGGCAGGGAACATCACACACTGGGGCCTGTCGTGGGGTGGGGGGCTGGGGGAGGGATAGCATTAGAGAAATACCTAATGTAAATGATGAGTTGATGGGTGCAGCAAACCAATATGGCACATGTATACCTATGTATCAAACCTGCATGTTGTGCACATGTACCCTGAAACTTAAAGTATAATTTAAAAAAGGAAGAAAAATAAAATAAAATAAAATAAAATAAAATAAATAAAAATTTAAAAAAATGATGTGTGTAATACTTTATTTAAGGGTAAGCTTGAACTTCCATCCCAGGATAGAAAATAATATTACAGTACGTGGTTGAATGCCATTCAGTTTCTTAAAGTTGTTTTCCTTATTACTAGTTGTCTTTACATTCAGCTATTTTAACACGAATATTTCTAGGAATCTATCACAAATAAAAGTGCTATGCATACCTTTGGTATAAAGCATTTCACAAATTGTGTTCCAAAAAGCAATAATTCTGTGAAACATTAATAACAGAGGTTTCACAAAACAAACACACTCATTTCATGGTCAATTTGGAGAATGCCATGTTACAACAAGTTAAACAGGCTTTTTCCTCCCCTCCCTTTCAGGACTTCTCTATTTGTTTAACATGTTAACACACACATATGTATCTTAGAGAAAGATCTTATATCAGTATTTGGTCTTTTCCGAACATACTGATTACAGAACCTCTTTAATTGTAGAATTAAAGTGTTCATGCAGGCAGAAGAGGTAGCGAGCCATTTTTAAAATTCTAAATTTAATAAAAGTTTAGGATATAGTAAATTATCCACTTAAACTTTAGTAAATTTTATGAACAATTTACAATTTACAATTCACTAATTTGCTATTTCTATGGTAACTTATATGTATGCTTACAATTTACAATTCACTAATTTGCTATTTATATGGTAACTTATATGTATGCTTATTTCAATCACTTCAGTTCTAAAAATTAAAAATAAAATTCTAGATAAATTTATTTTTTCTTATTTTATCATTTCTGTAATAAGTCATATTCAAGTTGAACTGGAAATATGAGTATCTTACCATATTCCTCTGCCACAATTTGGAGTTTCTTGCCTACTTGGTTAAAATAAAATTGACCATATTCTTTAAATCTACAAAAATGAGTTTAAACACCAAAACATCTTTAATTAAAAAAATATAATACAATAAACTCTTTAAACAGTACACATATATGCTGTATATATAAAGCCAGTAATAATTTATAATAATTATTGGATAAAGACTTCAAAGGGTTAACTAATTTTTTTCTATCTCAGTCTAGTCTACGTTTCCAGGACTCTCAGAGAGTCTTAATAAGGTGAGTCTCATCTATAAATATTTATTCTTTATGACAATCTGAAAATAACCATCTGCAACTATTTAAATTTAAATTCAGAAAGGTTTATTTTTTAGGAGTTTTCCATCCTTAAAAATATAAGAAAGCAGGAATTCTTCTTTTTAAAATACCATGTGCTGTGAAGTCCAGTTTGTAATACTGTCCATTGTACATCGCTACAATTATCAGCAAAACAAAGTTGAAAACTACTTTCCATACCTGCCTAAATTTTGCACGGGCCTCTTTCTCTTTCATTCTTCCATGGGCAACTAAGTAATCAAATACTTCACCTGAATCAGAAAGGTAAAGCAGGTAGTAAAATATACATAGATTTTTGGTTAACAATATATGCAATGTCAAGTTTTTTCCTTGTTTATAAAGAAACTTTTGGCCCACAATTTTCTGCTAGTTTATGTAAGTTACAAACTAACACATGAATAGAAAAAAGGAAAAAATTACATATAAAATTGAGTATCTGTAGCAGTTTGTGATTTAGCAAAACTCTTTAAAAAATAAGTCATAAAAACACAACCAAGAAAACTTGCTTTCTGCTTTCAAGTATTATGTAAAAATACAGTCAACTCTTTATTATACATTCTAGTAAAGGGAAGCCACAGCCTGGTCAATCAAAAATTACATTTGGCTTTGTATTTGGGGCCTACGTTTCAAACAAAATGATGAAGTGTGTTTTGTTGGATTGCTCTTTTAAATTCTCCCTGTCATGTAGTCTGGATAAAATTCCATCTCACTACTTCCATCCACATTGATTTATTTCTTTCCTTTCCTATACTCTGTGTTTATTCTCACTCTACTCATTTCATACATTCTAGTAGTCAGCCACAAATTATACAGAATTAAATCATTTGTGTGTGTATCTCTAATACCCCAGCTGAACTGTAAATTACTTGAAAATCATCATAATATCTGTACTTAATTTGCATCTTCATCTTCATGGCAGAACACGAAGTGGATAGATAAATGTTTGGTGAAATAATTTAAAAAGAACTAGAAGCTGTATAAATTTTCTACTGGATCCATTACTTTACATGTCTGTAAGTTTTTCTCCTTTTTCTCTAGTTAGTAATAGCTTAAAACTAAATTAAACTTGAGTTACAATTTTAAAAATAAAATATTATCTTAGTATAAGGATTAAATTTATTTTTGTGTCCTTATAATTTGTACCAGATAGATATACATGTATATTAAAAACTCACAAAATGGCTTAAAGTGTTCTTGTAAAGTATAGCAAAGTGGTAAAAACAAAAAAACTCAGACTTTAGAATCAGACCAATTTTGGTATGAATTTTGTTTTAGCCCTAAGTACTACTGAAAGACATTATTAGGAAGATTTCTTAACTTCATTAAGACTCAGTTTCTACCTACTGTCTACTCACATGGTTGTTGTAAGGATTAAATGAAATAATGCATGTGCTTAGCACAGCGACTGGCATATAGTAAGCACTCAATAAATTGCATTTTTGTACCTAGGTATACAGATATATTACATATATATGCAATATCAATCCTAGGATATAAATAAAATATTAAAAATCAAATACGTAATGAATGTATGTCACATGAAACTAATACATCTACAATGTTAGACAGCATATTATATAATATTAAGCATACTTAAGTGATTAAATGGGATGATGAGAACAGAGAAATGAATGGATGCTCTAGTTGACTCATCATAGTAGTTAATTCTAGATATGTGGTAATAGTTGTTAATTCTAGTTAACCCATCATAGCAGTTAATTCTAGATATCTGAGTTTAGGCTAGGAAAGATATATACAAGAGTTCAAAAAATTTGGATCTACTCTTAAGTGCTGCCTAGAATACACTTACCCCAGGTATTTACATGACATAGTCCTGTACTTATCATATATTGTTTGTGTATGATTTACTTCCCCAACTAGAATGTAAGTGTCTTGAGGGTAGGGACTTTGTCTTTGCTCACTTATGTATTCCCAGCACCTAGAACATTACCTGACACATGGTAAGCATTTTATAAATGTTGTTTGAAAGAACAAAAGGAAGAATAAACACATCATTCCACAGTAGTCCTGAAACCTACTTTTAATAGGCTCCTTTGGATTAAACATGGTTCAAAATAAAAAAAAGATTTCTTTGATTTTCTAATCACTGAAAATTTTCATTCCATTAGTGAACCAGAATCAACTCTTGGCAAAGAGGCAGTTGTCTGACTTAATTCTTATTCACATTACCTTTCTAGTGTACATGTCAGATTTGATCCTAAACTAAGTAGAAATTTCAGAGGAAAAATATTTAGTGTTTTATTTTCCAGAGTCACCTTGCCATTTATGGATTAAAAAGGCAAGAAAATCATTCTAGATTTACTGCCACAGAACCATGATGGTTTTTGTTACAGAATCACTAACTTGCAAACTCAAAGAAAACCTATCGCAGGAATCAGGATTTAATGAGACTGGCTGGTGTGGTCTGAATTCCTGTACCCATTTCTCTACACTACTCCCCACTGTGCCTCCCAAATATGCTACTGAAGGAGAGTGGTGAAGGCCTTACATACTCTTACTCTAGCCATTACTCCCCTTCATTAGCACCAATAGAGAGTTGACTGTACTTACCATTAACCATTAAGTCAGTACACATATTAATATTAACAAAGCCTTGCAGTGGGCCTTTATAAAAAGAGAAGGGTGTCTACAGAATTTTAGCAGTCTATGATTTCCCATATCAAAGTGGGTATAGCCCCTTTCTCTAAATTTTATATCACTAAAAGGAAGAAAAGAGTCTAACTAAACTAAAAATAATAATTGGGGTTCCCATGAGACAGATTATTATAGCAATCTAACTGAAGGACATAAAAATAGAGAAATAGTTCATTATGTGGTATCTGTAGATTCATTAGTTTTATTATAGATCCACATTTTATGGAAATTTACATGGCTGTTTTAATACAATTTTTAAAATCCTATCATAATAAACATTAATGATAGATTTTCAAGTTAAGTCAAAGAACCTACACTGAAATATTTTTTTCAGGTGACAAAAGTTTTGCAAAAAAAAAAAAAAGACTAAAATATTCAATCTGTATAAACAACTGCAAAAGCAATTAAATATATTAACATCTATAGTAGTTTTTTAGAAATATGAGGCCAGGCGCGGTGGCTAATGCCTGTAATCCCAGCACTTTGGGAGGCCAAGGCAGGCAGATCACGAGGTCAGGAGATCGAGACCATCCTGGCTAACACGGTGAAAACCCATCTCTACTAAAAATACAAAAAAATTAGCCGGGCACGGTGGCAGGCACCTGTAGTCCCAGCTACTCGGGAGGCTGGGGCAGCAGAATGGAGTGAACCTGGGAGGCGAAGCTTGGAGTGAACTTGGGAGGCGGAGCTTGCAGTGAACCGAGATCGTGCCACTGCACTCCAGCCTGGGCTACAGGGCAAGACTCCGTCTCAAAATAAAAAAAAAAAAAGAAAAAGAAAAGAAATACGAGACAGTATAAATATAGTTTAGTTGCTACAGACTAGATAAATCCTTTTTATTCTAGTTCACATAAAATCTGAATCACCATAAAAATTATAAATTTCATTAACTAAAAGAGCTCAATAGTAAGTTCAACACTAAGTTTTTCTATTGATTAGCAAAAAATCAACCAGCCAAATAATTTCAGCTGCCTTCTTTCTTCTTCAGTTGCTTAAATCCTGAGCCCTTAAAACCTCCCTTTAAGTATTCTTTATTTTTACTTATTAAATGATTAATTCCATAAATTTTCAACCCATTTCTGAGAAAGTGAAGTCCTAAGTCTAAAAGAAAAGTGATTCTGAGCTGACACATTTCTCGTTTAAGGGAAAGTGCAGGAGATGAAGATGATTTTCTATCACATATCAGTGTTTCAAAATCATTCCTATTTTTGACACCATGATAGTTAAAACATATGTGATATTCTACTACAAATGCATCTTGCTATCTCCCTGTCAACTCAGTCCTCTAACATATAAAATGTACAGATCAATACTTGTTTAAATTGAAATATTTAATTCACTTTATGAATTATCTTGGAAATGTATGTATATTGAGAATCTGTCATATGTGAACAATCAGTGAAATAAACACTGACCTAGAACAAGCTTTTATTATAGATTTTATTAAATACATTCTGTACTTGAGATTCCCTGCTGATAGCCAAGAGTTTCTAATCATGATATGATATAGTAAAATTTAGATAAGAGAATCAATACATTTATAAGATGAAAATACAAATTTAACGTTTCAAAAAATGTCCCTAAGTAAAATGTAAATAAGCCAAAAATTCCATTTATAATGTAAGATCGAAAGGTCTTAAAAGTAAACACTGAATTTTCCTTAAGATGTAATTTAAAGGCATTTAGATAAAACAATAGATTCATTAACACTGAAGACATAAATGTCATAATGAACTCTTAGGTGTTAACATTTCTGTATGTCTCAGCAAAGAGAACTTTTCAATCACCCTCATTCTTACCCCCACTCGCGTATTCCATGACTAAATAGAGAGTCTTCTCTGTTTCAATAACTTCAAACAATTTTACTGAAAAAAAATTAGAGATATAACTCTATAACTGTTAGCACAGATTGAATATGCTTTAAGAAAATCTAAGGTAACACTAAACTAGTAGAAAATTTGACTACTTGCTAAACATTATTAATCACAATTTTAAGTTCAAAAAGTCTCTCAAAGATTATTACTCCTATGACAGAAAACTACTTACCACAAAGTGATTTAGAACCAACTTCTTGAGTTGAAAAAGTTAAGTTTCTAGGATTAAAAGGTCATTACTTTTTCAAATTAGAATAAGGTAATAAAAGGAACTCTTAAAATCAGAAAAACAGAATTTAAACTGAAGTTTAAAAAGAGACTATGTTACATTACAGTGAGACATCAAAAAATGCTAAATAATCTTTGGTACAGAAACAAAAGAATTTCTGTATTTCTGTGATATTATGAAAGTTTCTGGTTAGAAAAATTACCAAATTATCAAATTTATGTAGTTCAAATATTCACCACAAATAAATACTTTAACAACTATATACAGATAAGATTTTTAAATGTGCAAAAAAAAGTGTTTTAAAAAACAGATTTTAAAAAGAATTTTACTTGTCACAATCAAATGATTTCATATAATAATATATCTAATCAATACGTTTATTTGCAAAGGGGGAGAAATCAGAACTTACTGAAAAATTTTACTAAAATTGAAATCAACTTTTTATTTTCTTTAAAACGCAAAGTTATTTTGCCTGTAAACCTATGATCAAACCCAAGTGCATAGTATCAAAATATCTGAAAGCCATTTTTTTTTTATAGATACCTAAATGACCTGCAATATCTATTTAGAGACTTTTTTTTGAGACAGGGTCTCACTCTGTTGTCTAGGCTGGAGTGCAGTGGTGCGATCTTGGCTCGCTGCAACCTCCACCTCCCAGGCTCAAGCAATCCTCCCACCTCATCCTCCTGAGTAGCTGGGCCTACAGGTGCGCACCATCACTCCTGGCTAATTTTTGTATTTTTTTGCCGTGTTGCCCAGGGTGGTCTCAAACTCCTGAACTCGGGCAATCCACCTGCCTCAGCCTCCCAAAGTGCTGGGATTACAGGCATAAGCCACCACGCCCGGCCAGAAAGACATTTTTTTTTAAATTTAGAAACATTTAATTAGGAAATTAAAAAAAATTGTATGCATTAATTCTGAATGATATCAATTATTTTAGTGGAGAGCAGAAGATAGCAAGGTAGCAGAAAACAGCAATCTGTAGCCTCCAGTTAGCTTCTTTGTAATCTATTTTTACCCAAAGTATCACTTCCTGGGGTTATCACTCAGGTTATCACTTTTCTTCTGCTTAAATAAACTATCCTTAAACATTGTGTCTTTTCAAATACCCTCAAATTAAGGAAAACACTTCATCGCTAATTATATATATATATATATATAATATATATATATTTCATACCTATATTAGGATGATTCAGTATCTTCATTATTCGTACTTCTCGAAATAACTGTTAAAGAAAACAGGTAGATATATTTCTGTTAAAAAAAAACAAGCAAGCAGAGAGCCAATTAAAATATTTATTTGAAGAAATTAATCTGCTTACAAAATGCTACAGGATTCTGGCAATGCATTGAAACAAGATATTTTCTCAGTCCCAACTCTGTACAAACAAGCTATGTTAACTTAGACTGTGACATTAACTTCGCTGTGACTTGGTTTCTAAAAGAATTTTAAGTAGATGAACTCAAATGATCTGTGTGTGTCTGTGGTGTGAATACACTATACACAGTAAAACTTACAATTATTTAACCATTCCTTATGAAAAGCTACAGAAGAAAAACACTGAAAATGAAACTAAATGCTCCTTCATATGATTTTTACCCAGAAACCACCTTCCTTAGGGGTTTGACTCTTTAAAGTCATCTCTTCTGACTGATCAGACATTTTAATGAAAGATTCAGTAAGGTTTTTAGGTAGATTTGTAGAATAACATTAAAGAACAATAAAAACACATTTACTAATTTATATAAAAACAAAATGACAAGAAGCGACTTGAAACACAAATGTTAAAATTTTCCTCCTTTTCATTTTACTTTTTAAACAATACAGGGCACATTTTTCAAAAGCATAATTTGGTATTATTTTCTCTATGTCTTTGAGTATATGTTAGCTTCCAAATAAAGCAATTTGTTCAAGAAAATAGGAGAACCAAAAATTGGTGATATTCTGAAAGTATATTAAGACATATGCATTTTATCAGAATAAAATCTAAAGTTACTACTTTCAGAGGTGACATTTCTGCAGCAAAGATACACAATAGTCAAAAGAACACAAAAAGATGTTGAACATTATTAATCATTATGGAAATATAAATCAAAGCCACAAAGAGGTACCACCTCACACCTATTAGGATGACTGCTATCAAAAAACAACCCCCAACTCTGCCCAGAAAATAGCAAATGTTGGCGGGGATGTGGAGAGACTGGAACAGTTCTGCAGTATTGATGGGAATGACAAACGATAAAGCCTCCATGAAAAAAAATACATAGCAGTTCCTAAAGAAATTAAAAACAGAATTACCATATGATTTAGTAATTCTACTTCTGGGTATATGTCATATACCCAAAGAATTGAAAGCAGAGACTCAAGCAGATACTAGTACACCCATGTTCATAGTAGCATTATTCACAATAGCCCCGCAACCAGAGTCTATCAACAGATGAAGAGATAAACAAAATGTGGTCTATACAAACAATGGAATATTATTCAGCCTTAAAAAGGAAGGAAATTCTGACACATGATAGATACAACATGGATAAACCTTAAGAACATTAGGCTAACTGAAATAAGCCAGTCACAAAAGGGCAAACACTGTATGATTATGCTTATATAAGGTACCTAGAGTGGAGTCGTCAAATTCATAGAGATGTAAAGTAGAATGATGGTTGCCAGGGGCTGGAAGGATGGGGCACTGGGCGGGTTACTGTTTAATGAGTACAGAGTTTCTGTTTTGGAAGACGAAAAACATTCTGGAGATTGATGGTGATGTTTGAACAACAATGTAAATGCACCTTAATGCCACTGAATTGTATACTTAAAATGGTTAAAATGGTAAGTTTTGTTAGGTATATTTTACCACAATTTAAGGAAAGAAATAAAATGTGCAAAAATGAATCAATAAATGTTCACCCCAATTAAAACAAAATGACTTAAGGCTTACCTCCTACAAAAAAGCTTGCTTTCCCTAGCTATTCTCAATAATTCCTACATAAACCCAGGGAGTCTGTATGTGTGCATATGTATATTCATATAAATAAATTTTTATAAAGTCCATGATACTTACAACTTTAATAATTAAAAATTACCTATCAGTAAATAAAATATAAAGGTGGATTCATTCATGTTCAAGACAAGTACTTTCTGTAACTTTGAAACACATTTTCATTTCAAATTTGGGACAAAGAGCATACGGGTTAACCTCTCAGTACACAGGGTCTTCAGTACACTTGAGATCATCTCTTGCTCTGGCTCTGACAGTACATCTTCCTGACCATCCTCCTGCCTAAATGACCCCTCTCAGTCTTCCACTAAACCTCTCCCCTTCTACTCAACCTTTAAACATGGAGGTCCTCAGGGTTCAGCCCTTAGCCCCCTTTATCTTCTCACTCTACATGTTTCTCCTAATGATTTATCATGGCTTCAAATATCATCGATTTGTTGCTGACTACTAAATTTAACTTTATCATCCCAACATTTATATCCAATCCATATATACCTACTCAATATTTTCACTTGGCTGTCTCACAGAAATTCAAACCCAATACTTGATTTCTCACATCAAATTTGATACTGGTTTTCCCCAGCTCCATATGTCTGTCAAGCACCCTAATAACTGAAACTTTAGGATCATCCTTAACAACACCATCTCTTGAAATTTCTACATCGATGCATCATTAAGACATTTTTACTCACCTCCACAGTTTATCTCAAATCCATCAACGTCTACCCATCCATATTGACACTACTGTCACACTGAATCTCACTGGTCTTGGTACAACCATTCTGACTCTCTTTTCTACCTTCCCATCCTCCAACCTGTTATCCACACATCTTTTCTATCCTCCCATCCTCCAATCCGTTATCTACTACTTAACATCCACTGGTGGTTTCTCAATGCTATTAGAACTAAACCCCTAATCTTGAACACTGGCTACCAGACTCTAGAAAAAAATCAAGATCCTATTTACCTCTCTAGCCTTATCTCATGACTCTCAAGTGCCTACTCTGAGCCTCGTCTGCTCTACCTTTGTGCTCCACAGTCCTAATGGCCCCTTTGAGCTCCAAGTCACTGTAACTGATGATTTTGCTATTGCAGCCTTGGACAATGGGAGTCAGCCTTCACTCAGAAGCGTTCCTCAGAGTTTTGAACTCTTCACCTCCCAAACAGGGCTAACAGGTTTTAAAAAGCTATTAGCTATTAGCGTGCTACTGATTGCTTGTCAAAACTGAGCATCTGACCCACAGAGGGACAGCTGCATTCACTGACCAAATTGCCTTACTCAGGTATGTGAACCAGGAAAAGTCAAAGTAGCACCAGAAGTCATTTTATATACATATACATACATACATATACATATCTATGATACACATAAACATAATAGACTTTATTTTTATAGCAGTTTTAGGTTCACAGCAAAATTGAGCAGGAAGTACAAACAGTTTCCATATACTCCCTGTCCCCACATATGCAGAGCCTCCCCCACCATCAACATCCCAAACCAGAGAGGTACATTTGTTATAATCGATGGAGCTACACATCATTATCACTGGAAGTTCACATTTACATTACTGTTCACTCTTGCTACTACTATACATTCTATGGGTTTAGACATGTACCCATCATTTTAGTATTACATAGACTAATACTAACACTGCTCTGAAAAATGTGTTCCACCTGTTCATCCCTCCCTTTTCCCTAACCTCTGGCAACCATTGATCTTTTTATTGTCACCAGTTTTGCCTTTTCCAGAATGTCACATACTTGAAATCATACAGCATGTAGCCTTTTCAGATTGGCTTTTACATAGTAATACACATTTAAGGTTCCTCCAAGTTTTTTCGTAGCTTGATAGCTCATTTCCCTTTAGTGCTAAATTATATTCTGCTGTCTGGATGTACCATTGGTTATTCATCCATTCACCTACTGAAGGACGTCTTGGTTGCTTCCAAGTTATGACCATTATGACTAAAGCTGCTATATAAACATCCATGTGCAAGTTTCTGTGTGGACGTAAGTTTTCAGCTTCCTTGGGTAAATACCAAGGAATGCAACTGCTGGATCATATGGTAAGATATGTGTAGTTTTGTAAGAAACTGCCAAACTCTCTTCTAAAGTGGCTGTACCATTTGCATTTCCGCCAGCAACAAATGAGAGTTCCTGTTGCTCCACAAACTTGCCAGCATTTGGTGCTGTGTTTTGGACTTCTGCTATTCTAATAGGTATGTAGCAGTATCTCACTATTGTTTTAATTATCATTTCTCTGATGACATATGATGTGGAGTATCTTTTCATATGCTTATTTGCCATCTATATAATTTCTTTGATGAGGTGTCTGTTCAGATCCTTCACCTATGTGTTAATCAAGTTGTTCATTTTCAAGCCTTTTCAAGCCAATTTTTGAGAAGCCTGCTCCAATCCTCAACAATACCAGATGCCTGTGGACAGTAGGAAATGTAGAATGTTCATTAAATATCTTGTTGATTCTAATTTGTCACATCAGAGAAAGGGTCCTTACCGTGGGCAGTCCTGGAGGTCCTGGGCAGAGGGAGCCAGAAGTCATATTCCCTCAATTCCTCCTCAGGGGTCTCAGGGAGGTGTGGGCCTTGGTCTGAGTGGCGTGCCCTCAGGTCAGCAGAGGAGAATGTGCCTGGAATCTGGGTGATTATCCAGAGTGAGGGCTGAGGGGGCCTCTCACTCTGACACAGAAAGGATGCCACCCCTGCCTGGGCCTACCCAGGACTGACAACAGAAATGGAGCTCCATGGGGTCCCTTGGTCTGAGCAGGTAGTCCCCTCAGAACACATTCAGGGTTTTTACCTTGGCTTCTGACTCCACCTGAGCCTCCTCTCTGCCTACCTAACCCGCCCCAGACTCACCTCCCTGAGAACCCCAAAGAGAAACAAGGGGGCACCTCATCAGGTGACCACTGCCCAGAGACTCCCAGGCTGACAGTAGGGGTGGGGCTCTGTGGGTTAGATTTGCAGAGGATCTAGGCTTCTTATTTCAACCTATTTTTTTTCTTACTGTGGCACATGAGCAGATAAAATTCACAAGTAATATGAGCAGACAAGATTCACATATAGCTATAAAACCAAAATTCACAAATCTGATGATTCTAGGTTTTAATGTAACCAAGTAATTTTTTCCAGAAAGTCAAGTCAAATACGGTAGCTTATTATTTGATGACTTTCATAAAATCATTTTATGAGCACTGAGTAGTAAAATCAGCCATTTAAACATTTAGAAGTCATTTTATAAGAAAAAATGCTTAAGTGTAACTGAGGTAATTTTAAAAATTGAACATAATTTTTTAAAAATAGTGTTCCCCAAGCCTCCGAGAACATATTATAAAGAATAAATACAAACAGTACTTATTTTGGTTTTGCTATAAGATATAGATTTTAAAGTTTATGAACTTGTTATTAATATAAGTAGCATTATTATGTTTCATTTGTAATTTATTTGTATTATTGCTATTATATATCTCTAACAGAAAAGTCCCTGGCATCAGTCTTGCTCTCCTACACTCATATAGAATATCTAAATGAATTACTGCTTCTACTTTCTTCATCTATTCTTGCTTTCTTGTTAAAATTTTATTTATTTGTTAAGCTGTAGGAAATGACTTAAAAAATCACAACTCAGCATTTCAGTATATCAGACATCTTTGTAACTGGCCTCTACTAACTAACCTGCCAACCTTTGCTCTGCATTCCCTCTGCAACACACAGTGAGTGACATCTGTGCACCCATAATGCTCTTGGCTAGTGGTGCTCCCTGCAGCCTTACACTCCAAGCAGTTGAGAATCATGCTTACCAGAGGTTATCTAGGTCCCAAACATGTTTGCCAGTTGCAGTTACCACTGGAAATAGTTTATATATTAATTTCCTATTGATGAGTAACAAAGTACCATACCCTAGCAATTTACAACATACATTTGTCGCTTTGCAGTTTCTGCGGCTCAGTATTCCAAGCCTGACTTAACTGGGTCTTCTGCTCAGGTCTCGTAAGGCTGCAATCAACGTGTTGTCCAGGATGGTTCTCATCTGGATACTTGACTAGGGAGGAATCTACTTCTGAGCTAACCCAGGTTACTGGCAGAATTCATTTCTTTTTAGCTGTTAGTACTGAGGACCCTGGCTTCTTGGTGGCTGTCAGCTAGGGGCCACCCTTACCTCTTAGAGACTGTACATAGGTCCTTGCCAAGTGGACTTCTCCAACATGGCTATTTACTTTCTTAAGCCAGCAAGTATAGTCTCTAGAGCAAGTCTGCTAGCAAGATAGTATAATATAATATAATATAATATAATATAATATAATATAATATAATATAATATGATATAATCATGACAGTGAAATTCCATCACCTTTTCCCTATTGCATTGGTTAGAAGCAAGTCATAGGTCCTGTTCACAATCAAGGGGAAGGGATTATGCAAAAGTGTGAACATCAGAAGGCAAGAATCATGGGGGTTGCCTCAAAGTCTGTCCAATACAAATTTTACATAAACCAATGAAGTACATGTTTGTTGTTTGACAAAACAAACCAAATTGAATACTTTGGAAATACTAGATAAAAGCTGCTAGACTGCTGTCCAGCTAGGTGTGGGCAAGATAAATGCAAAAGACTGGAATAAAATCTAGGCTTCTGCTCTGATTGCTGCCCGAGTGTCATTCAATTCTCTCATTAATTAAAACAAAACAAAACTGGAAATAGTAGGAAGGGTATTATGAGCTTATGAGTGTGATCTGTACAAGGTAAATAAAGCAGAATGACAATTGGCAGAACCAAACTCAAAAAATAAATAAATAAATAAAAAGCTTTGGCCCTACATGAAAAGATTCATCAATGCATATACATTTGTGTGTACAATAGAAGTGTTAAATGTTTATATAACTTTTAATAATTCCTCACTTTAACCTGCTTTTTTCAATTAACAGCTCCTTACTGCACTATGAAAGAGGGCTTTTACTTGTACTCTCTAATTGGCACAGGCATTTCCTGTGTACTAGGAAGTGTGGCCCATTAAGCTACAACATGAATAAGCCATGCTGGTTTCTGGGTTCTAACTCCTCTTCTTTCTCTTGTCTTGACAAAGTACATCAAATTACAGTATACTGAAGACAACACTGTCATATGAATAATCTTGAATTTACTCCAGTTACTTTTTATGAAATTACTGGCAAATTTGGTAGTTTTCTCTTAGAATCGGCTGGGACATATCTCAAAACTAACAGAAACATACTGATGTTTCCTGGCAGCTCCATGTTTCAGAACAACTAATCTAAAGAAATAGACTGGCAGCAAATTCTTCAGGAATTCCTCCAAAAGTATTGGGGTGTTTTTTTATTTAATTATTTCTTAAGTTGGGTTTTTGACTGCAATTAGTTCATAAATTCAATCCCTGACTGGTACCTGGAATGCAGTTATTCCGTTCTACAAAGAACAGACATGAGCTGAGGGACAGGATTAAAATCATTTTGTGAAAACTGGGGCATCCATAACAAAAACAACACCTAAACAGAAGGTCACTCCACTTCCATCTGAAGAAGCAAGAAAAAGACGTGTAGGCAGGGCCAAAGTTCTAATCAGAACTTTAACTGGAATTTTTAATTCCAATAAAACAACAATACACAGCCATTGGGTTCCTATATCTCAAAGATGTCTTGAGTATATTGTTTAATCCTTAGTTTCCTCTCCTTCAGCAGCTTTGGACAAGGAGAGAGAAAAAAACATAAGCGATAACAAGAAGATGTGCGTGGGTTTGGGTGTGTGTTGACTAAAAATGATAGGCAGTTGTCGAAGAATGGTTGCTGTAAGAAGGAACATTAGGATGTTTTACATGGTATATTGAGTAAGGATAATGGAATACCAGATTCCTATTCCATCAAGCATCTCTCCTCACAAAGAAACACTTGAATTGTCAGCTGGATTTGGATCCCTGTTATGAAATGAACTGTGCCCCCCTAAATTCATATGTTGAATCCCTAATGCCCAGTGTGACTATACTTGGAGACAGGGAATTCAAGGAGCTAATGAAGGTTAAATAAGGTCAGAAGAGTGGGGTTCCAATCCAATATGACTGGTGTCCTAAAAAGAGGGAGAAATGTCAGGGATGAACTAGTCATGTGCAGGCCAAGGAGAGAGAACTCAGGAGAAACCAAACCTGCCTACACACCTTCATCTTGAATTTCCAGACTCTAGAAAGGTGAGAAAATTTCTGTTAAGTCACCCAGTCTGTGGTATTTTGTGATGGCCCGACTAGCAGACTAATATGATAACCCTCCAAATCTAGAGAATTTTGGCCAATTGAAAAGTACCACATCTTAAGCAAATGTCTAAGATATCTCTTCCTCTCCAAGACTCCCCTAAACCCCTGCCTAACTCTTTATTTTCCAGCTGGCTGCATGAAAGAAAGAGACCGAAGCTAATGGCAGAGTTTTCTGCATGAGCTGCATGAGGCAAAAGGAAGCAGGGAGAGGGAGAGGAAGAGCCACATATACATATGTGATCTTTTAACCCAGAGCAGATCCTCATCAGCAAGGTGCCAATCTTCACACTTCTTTGGGTCAGTGGAGAGAGCTGAGTAGGCATTTAGACTATGAAAAGAAGTTTACTTTGAAACAGAGTTATTCTTTAAAAAGTTAATTATTGCATGTGTCATACACTCCAGGTACAAGTATAAAAAATAGAGGTAATTTTAAGAACAGCAGTGCCATGCTACTATTTGAGTTTCTGATGTTAATTTTCAGTTCTTTTTCTTTCTCATTTTCAAACTGTGATGTCACACAATGTTGCTAGCAAATGTAAATTTAGTAAAAGAGCTCTGAATTTACTATTCCCCTTCAAATTTACTGTTTCAGGTTTGCTGTAGGCTGGAAATTAAGGCCAGAGTTTGCTAGACTTGTGTGTTAAATTAGGAAAATAAGCCAGGAGTGAAGGCCTGAGATATGTCTTCTATATCACAGCTATTCTAGTTGTTCAGAGGTCTTTGTTTCCTTCTTGGTTCTTGGCTTTGTTCCAGATAACTAAAGTAGTAAACAATCTTCAATTCTTTGGAGATATTTACTTTTCAATTGGGTCTTTCCTGGCTAGAGCTTAGGTCAGGGTTAGCCAAACTCCATTAGTGTCAATCAATATTTCCCTCAATTATGTGCATTTTCCTTTTCTCTTCTCAACTGCTCTTTGTTCCTTCCTATCTCTTCCATTCCTCTGCTAGCACTCTTTTTGTGATGATGAAAAAGTCTGTCATTTTTAGAACTAGCCAACTGGACATGGCTTAGACAATCGTCATTCTAGTTACACCCAAAGTGTCATAGTCAGGGGCCAAATGCACATGGTTTTCTCTCCATCAGACCTGCTCACCAGTCTGACGAAGTTGCCCTTGGTCTCATCAATGTCACAGGACTTCGCCATCGCTTGCTTGATCTTGAGGCAGAAGGAGCACATTGTGGTCATTGGGAGCTTGACAAAGGCAGTGGTTCAGCTTGTTCCTCCTGAGAGAGTTCTTTCAGGCTGTCTTCAGAGTCACAGTAAACTGGGCTAGTAGAAGGCTGGCATACAGTTCTTGTGCCTTACAACATAGCCTTCTTCACCTTTCAAGGATTTTGCTCTGATTTGGGTTTCAGGAGGGATAGGAACCCTTCTTTGTCTTCACTGCAATCTTTATAAAACTTCTGTCTGTATATTTGACAGTTTACTGGCCTATTAATATGAAGTGTGGGTGTGGTTTTACCCTGAAGGTGACATGCAGTTCCAAGAGACTGCTAGGTCCTTGTCTAGACTATCTCATAAGTGCCATTTATTGAGGGATTATGTATATATATATTTTATCTATGTTAACAGAATCCTACAGATTAAACTTTCAGCTTTTTAAATTCTAGGATCATCATGTCATTTCCTTTTTAGCTTTTAGACATCTCATTGGGATGTCAAGTATTTTGTAAAATTATTGCTAGCAGCACTATAACAATTTAAGCTAACTTCTTAAGGTCTTCCTATGAAATCGTAGCACAGAAAGAGATCTGAATATAATTAAATGAATATATATTAGATGATTTATAACTACAACAGTAAAATAATTATTCAGTATTTCTTTATAAACTTGATAACTTGCAGCCAATTATTCATTGCAAAGTAATAGAAGGAAATATTCTATAAATGATAGCCTGTGTCAGTTTCCCAAAGTTTTGTCTTCACATAGGTAGATTATAAGATTCTTATAAGAAGATTATAAGTCTTATAATTTCTTATGAACTAGTACCAATTTCACATTACTTGAATCTCTCCTAAGATCCTGCACAGCTTTGGGTATAAGTTGGTGCTCAGTAAAAGTAATTGTTGGAGATATGAAGTTAAATAATTTCAGAAAGAAGATATTAAACTTAAAAGCAGCCTAAATTTGAAAAGATGGCCAATCTCATTAGAAATCATGGAAATTAAAACTAAAACTAGATACAACTTCACACCCATAAGGTTGGCAAAAATTTTAAAACATGGTAATATAAAGTGTTGGCAAGAATGTGGAGCAACAGTAAATCTCATACAGTGTTGGCTTAAGTAAAAATCGGTACAACTACACTGGAGAGCAATTTGACATTATCTAGTAAAGTTGAGGCTATGCATGCCCTTCAACCCAGCAATTCTACTTGAAGAGAGACATCCCTCTATACATCTTCTCAAAAAGATATACACAATAATGGTCATTCATTATCTGTATAGTAAAAACAAATAGTTAACTAGAAAAACAAAATAAAATACATAGAACAATAAAATCCACTAACAGGAAAATAAATAGATATAGTATATTAAGGAGAAAATGGATAAACTATGCATGGCATATTCATACAATGGGATCTAACAATAGCAATAAAAAATAAATGAACAAGGCTGGGCACGGTGGCTCATGCCTGTAATCCCAGCACTTTGGGAGGCTGAGGCAGGTGGATCACCTGAGGTCAGGAGTTCAAGACCAGCCTGGCCAACATGGTGAAACCCTGTCTCTACTAAAAATACAAAAAATTAGCTGGGCTTGGTGGCGGGCACCTGTAATCCCAGCTACTTGGGAGGCTAAGGCAGGAGAATCACCTGAACCCAGGAAGTGGAGGTTGCAGTGAGCAGAGATCACGCCATTGCACTCCAGTCTGGGCAACAAGAGTGAAACTCCGTCCAAAAAAAGAAAGAAAGAAAGACAGAGAGAGAGACAGAGAGAGAGAGAGAGAGAGAGAAAGAAAGAGAGAGAGAGGGAGGGAGGGAGGAAGGAAGGAAGGAAGGAAGGAAAGAAGGAAGGAAGGAAGGAAAGGAGAGACTATATAGTTAGCATGAATAAACTATAAGACAATGTTAAATGAAAAAATCTGATTACAGAAAGATAGGAAATTTTAAAATAACTAATATACTGTATTTTAAGTACAATCATATGTAAAAAAAAGTTTTTAAAAATTTAAGTGGGAATAAGAAAGATCAAATTCAGAATAGTGGTTATTTCTAGGTAGGAAAGACAAGACTGGAACCAAGAAATGACACATGGGTCTTCAATTATAGCTGTGATGTTTTATTTCTTTAAAAACAAGATTAGAACAAAACATTTTAGTGCAATAAATAAATATCATGAGAAAGCAACTTTTTTAAAATGGGAAAGACATTTTGAAGTCCCCATCCAAAAATTAAAAATAGACTAGTTTATTATATCAACAAACTGCCAAGCTTAGAAAAACATGAAAATACGATGCTTAAAATAACTAAATAAGAAAATAAGACTGTGACTTTTAAAACAGCCAGATAGTTAGTCTAAACTTCATAGGTGACTTAAAGACTCTAAGCCTCCTTCATTTCCCTCAAGAGAAAATTCTTCCACATTGATTTCAGTATATCTTAAGTAGCTTCTTGAGAACATAGAAATGGATGCTTTGCAGCTATTAAAAACCAAGCAATTAGGACAGAGGTTTTTGGAGTTAGAGGTAGAATACAGGCATTAAAACAAAAACATCAGAAACAAAAAGTGTCAACAAACAAATCAACAAACGACTACCAAAACCAAAACAAATAAAAATAAAGTGGTTATTTATAAATAATCCTTGGTTATGAGTGCTTGATTTTATGGAGGGTAAGTGGATTTAACACTGTTAGGGGAATAGGAAAGGTTTCCCTGAAGAAGTGACTCTAGGCTGAAATGGGAGGAATGAGTAAGGACTAATTAAGGGAAGAGGGGAGATAAGCCTTACCCAGAAGGTGGGAGAAAGTTGCAAAGGCCTGGTAACTGGAATAGAGTATGAATAGGAGCAGATGAAAATCACTAAAGCTGTAGGAGTCGGGGAAGAGGAGAGTGAAGAGAAGCTACGGCGAGTTCATGGTCCATGAGGTGGAAAAGGAAGTGAGGACCTTTATACCATGTTAATGAATTTGATTTTTGGACTACAAACAATAAAACGCCATCTGAAAGCTTAAACAAAGGGATAGCATATTCACAGACGTATTTTGCATCCTTGACAACTTTTAAACTCTATGTATTACATTTTAAACTCTCTCTCTCTGCGCACGCGCGCGTGTGTGTGTGTGTGTGTGTGTGTGTGTATACGTATGTAAAGTGGATGCAGTTGGAAGGCTACAAGAAGATAACAGTGACTTTGTCTAAACTGGTCATGATAGAGAAAGATAAAAGCAGACATTTTCAAAAGAGATACAAGAAATAAAATCAGCAAGAAAATTCCCAAGTCACAATCATAGATTGACTGGGAAAATGAATAAGCATTAGGTAATGTTTCAGGTAATTCTCAAGACATTCAGAGTGATTACTGAATCTAACCTTAAAGAGATATTTCTCCCCGAAGATTATGTATGGCTGTGAAATTCTAGGTTGTTGAGCTTACTAAACTCAAAACGTGAAAGACTGGAAGTTTTAATTTGAGGGATATTAGCAAATAGATTTTTGACATACTCTTTGGATATGCTTGCTCTGGAAGATATTTTTCATATTTGGATGCACATCTGTATGTTAAAAATGCCCAATTATATGTCATTGAGCCCTTTCCCCAGTAATTAAAGAGGGCTAACAAGGTTTAGAAAAGTCAGATTTTTGGTCACTAAACTGCACAGTTTGTTTTTCTCAGCAAATCTGATGATCACATCCTCAACATTTAAACTGTTGATATTTTAGCCAGATATTAATATTATTGGTATCACCTTTAAAACACTTGTTTAAACACCTTTCCCTCAAAATCCTCATATTTCAGTGTGAAAAGTATACTTCCCACCAATTCTTCCTATGATTTTATGTTATACTCTGTTTTCAGTACTTTGTCCAAAACCAAATCAAAATTAAAAGCATTTTGCTGACCACTAATTTCATGGAGAGTGAAACAGTGGGTAACTGGCTATTAGGCATAATCTTATTTATTCACATGGCAGAATTATTCCTTGCAGAATATCCCCACCTTTAACCCTCAAAAAAGCTCTAGGGGTATTTCATCATTATTGGTTAAAAGATAACTTATGCAGTCTACATATCATTTCACAAAATAATAATTCTCTTATCACTTATGTTTTTGTTGGCCCACGTAAGAACTGGCCAAATTGTTCCTTCAAATGATCCACACATGTGACAAGAACTGTATGAAAGAAGTACTCAGCACATAAGTGGTTTTGTTCAGCTATAGAGTGAAATATGCTATATAGCATGTATATGTGAGAGTAGCTGATATTTCAATATATGTCCAATAGTGACATTTGTTAAGGAATATTTCCAAAGAGCTTCTTGTGCTCTCTCCTTGATAAAAATATTTGTCAATAATTTTGTGATTGGTTTTGCAAGTTTGGTTTCTGATAATTTGCTAAAATATATTGAATTCTGAATATTGCTCCCATGGTTCTGTTCTCCTCTCTACCTTTAGTTACCAAATTCTTCAACATGACAAAGATTATTTTGCAGATAATCTGGAAAACTTAATTAGCTTACCAGAGAGGTCTCTGGGCTTTATTTAAAAACTCACAAAAGTTTAATGGCTTAGGCCACCATTTGACAACATTTTATATAACAGGTAACACACCAGACACGAGCGGTAACTTGATTATTCATTTAATAAAGTCTAATTTTCAGAATTCAATAATTTAAATGTTTTACCCTTTTCCTGTTTGTGTAAAATCACTGTCCTAGCAAAGCGATTCACATTCTATAAAACTTTAGCGCAGCAGTCATCTATTATATAATGACATAATTCTGAGTTGTACTAAGTCTTGTTTTTATTTTCATTACAGATTTTACTACTTAGGAAATCACTTCTGAACCACTTAGCCACTTTTGTGAATATGCAACATAATATAACACAGTAAAACAATAGAAAATGTAAATTAATAAGTAATACACAGAAGATACAAAAATGTTAGCAGAGATAAACTGCACTCTGGTGACTGTAAGCTGAGACAGACTGACACAAACTTTGTCATCTTTGCATCAATTGATGTGTCCAAGTTTCAAAACTAGTGATATCTCTGAGAAAATGATCTTACATTTCAAATTTATGAACTATGAAAAATATTATTTTATTGTCTTGCTTTTCCTTCAACATTAGTAGGCTGCTTAAAAGAACCCCAGGAGGCAGGGTGCAGTGGCTCACACCTGTAATCCCAACACTTTGGGAGGCCGAGGTGGGTATATCACGAGGTCAGGAGATCGAGACCATCCTGGCCAACATGGTGAATCCTCGTCTCTACTAAAAATACAAAAAAAAAAAAAAAAAAAAAAAAATTAGCCAGGCATGGTGCATGCACCTGTAGTCCCATCTACTCAGGAGGCTGAGTCAGGAGAATCGCTTGAGCCTGGGAGGTGGAGGTTGCAGTGAGCTCAGATCGCGCCACTGCACTCCAGCCTGGGCAACAGAGCAAGACTCTGTCTCAAAAAAAAAAAAAGAACCCAGGAATCACTAGTATGGTTCATGGACCCTCTTCTAAAATACATTATTCTATGAGGTAGAACTAATGCTTTGAAGAGGAAGAACTAAAAATAGCATCTACCTAAAATACTTTTTAACTATGAAAACTCATTGAATTGGATTCCATTAATTCAAAATATGTAATACAAATAATATGAGCATATTATGGGAACAATATTGAAGCCAAAGATACTTAACAATTCCAAAAACCAAACACGTTTAAGAACTTTGTATTTTGGCAGTATTAAGCAGTTGGTGTATCAACTTTAGATTCTTTTATCTATCATTGATGTTTGCAAAGGAAGGCAGTAATTCCTATAAATATCTGATACACAGAAGAGGATAAAGGAGAGGGATCAGCTTAAATTCAGATCAAACCAGAACAAATTTACCCAAACACTTCTAGAAGTGAGATTACAATGAATCCTTATTTCATATAAATGTGCGATAATTACCTGCCTTTTATGAGTATACCTAAGACATGGAAGCAAATTTTACTGTCTTTTTCAATGCTAGGGAAAAATGGATTGTTTCACATTCCATTACTTTTTAAGTATGACTGACTGGGAGATGCTACTGCCTAAATGGGAAAGGTCAAATGCTGAATGTTCTAAACACATGAGAATTAATGAAGACTTGATCTGCTTTTCCTTCAGAACTTCTAAAAGAAAGCAAATCTATCAACATACATGTAAATCACTCAAAAAACAATCACACACACAGTGTACTGGCTACATTTAGTGAGTCTTCATCTTTATTTTCACGGGTTAAAGAAAACAAAATTGTATCATTTTTATATGCCTATTTGGAAAAGCAATACTTTATCAACAAGATTAGTAGATTTTATGACAGAAATTACTTATCATCATCAAGTACACGTTTTAGTTATTCAGATAAAGAAAGCAACATTCAGTTTCATGTTCACATGTTTCAATAAGTACAACTTTGTTTATACAACCTTGGGAAAGACAGAGTAGGAGTCGCATTGCTGTGTATTCCAGCTAGCACAACAGGCCTGAGTAGTTCTAGATGCCACTTAAAAATCACTCAATTTGCCAGAGTAACCCACAACTAAATCCAGGAAAAGTAGAAAAGCTATGTGGGCCATGGACAGGGACACTGTGTACAATTACCCAGTTTGTGCATTTTAAGTGGGTTCCCAGCACAGGGGTAGGCAAAGATATGTCCTACTGTGGTTCCAGCCCAGTAAAAAACAGCATCTTTGCATAGTTAATTGGTCCAGGTAGGATGTCTTTTTCTCACTTACACAAAGGCATCATGGTTAGCAAAAAGACTGGTGCTAAAAGAAGAGACTTTCTCCAAGAAGAGACCCATAATACATTATCTCACATTCACAGAAAAAGAAGAACCCAGCAAAGTTTTCATGTTCTTACTGGGCAGAAATATCAGTGTTATGAAAAGTTATACTGGTTGTCAAATTTTCAAAAGAATCTCCGATAAGTACAAAGGCAGAGCTCTAAGAAGAAATCTGGGACTGAGCCAAATGAGAAGAAAGTTTGAATATCACAAATCTAAATTTTTAATCTAATGCTATAATCATAGCAGATGTAAGCACACATACTAACAATTTCTTATAAGATTCTTTCTGTTTTAGGAATTCAAAGTCATTTGTATTAAAATTACATATGTGACAATGGTCCCATTATATTCTAATAAAAGTCACAATGTATATTCTCTCACTCTATACAAACCTATCACATACAGCATAAATGTTAAAACATTTGCTTCATTTTTAAAGTACTAAAATGTGCATCTGAGAAAATTTTCCCATTTAAGTAATTAATGAAGTAACGTGAAACAGCTTTGGTTTGCTAAGGCAATCCCCTTCCTAACTGCTTTCTTTTCTCTCTATGTTGTTTCATATTTTCAATCCTTTAAAGAAACATTCTTATTTTGTACTGTGAGTTATCTGAAAGACTAGTAGTTCTTGTGGAAGAAGGAAGAAGAGCAAATGAAGCAATAAAAGGAAACTCACCTATGAACAATATTAACTTCTAACTAGATTTTTAATTAAGAAGCTTATCAGCAAGGTCTCTGGACTTTATCTGAAAACTCACAAAAGTTTAAATGGCTTAGGTCACCACCATTTGTCATTTTATATAACAGCTAAGGCACCAGATATTATCAGTAAATGGATTATTCATTTAATATAAGTCTAATTTTCAGAGGTCAATTCTGAATACTTGAAAATACTTCAAAATATTTGAATATTTCAAATCCTGAATACTTCAAAATGTATGACACAAGGTTTTATTCTATTGAATAGAAGAGATACATTTCTTTCATATACTACATGTATTTAAGTAGTAGATAGTTTTCAAGCAACTACTTGGTAAGTCATAAACATTACATTTTATATTATGTCTTTTCTTCTTATATTGATGAAATGTAGAATTGTACCTAATAGAAAATTTAGAATGACTGATTTTACAGAACATCACATATTAATGATAAACTCACATTTTAATTACTTATTAAATTAATTAAATACCTTTTGTAGACTGGTAGGATTTAGCTGAGTTTTGTCTATTATTTTCACAGCAACCTAAAAAAGAAGAATCATTAAACTCTATTTGAAAAATGCATATTTTAATGAATAAAACTTTCAAAAAATCCAATTTCTGTTTCATTCCTAACTAGATATAATTTAGCTCTTTTTAGGTGTTCACATAATCAGATAGTAACATTTTGATAATTTGGCAGTCTTAGAATATACTCCATTGACCCAAGTCTTTAATCTTTTGATCCTGAGCCAATGAAATGAAAGCTTTGTTATTTCTTCTAAGTTTCCTTCTTTAAAGTAAAAATCATCCTGTATCTTAACCTTTTACTCACGATCTTGATAAGCAACAATTATAGGGGGAAGTGGCTTGTGAACTTGCAGTAAGTTAAATATTATGTGAATAAAACAATTATGTTGGTAGAGAGATTGGATATCCAAGCTTACTTAGAGCAAACTGACAAAATGGACTTGAATATCTAAGGCTCTGCCCAGTATTCCCTGCCTCTGAATGGCTCCTGGGGTCAGAATAGACAGAAGGAACCAAATTCAATGGGAAACGACAATAATATTATACATAGAGCAAAGTGAAAATTTATTAAAAATATTTTCTTTGAGTTTTTGTTTTTTTTTTGAGACAGGATCTCACTCTGTTGCTGAGGCTGGAGTGCAGTGGTGCTACCACAGTTCACTGCAGCCTTGACCTCCCGGGCTCAAGTAATCCTCACCTCAAGCTCCCAAGTAGCTACAGTTGCACACCACCAAGCCCAGCTAATTTCTGTATTTTTTGTAGAGCTGGGGTTTTGCCATGTTGCCCAGGCTGGTCTTGAACTCCTGGCCTCAAGCAATTATGCCCACTTCAGCCTCCCAAGGTGCTGAGATTGCAGGCATGAGCCACTGCATTGGGCCTGATTGAGATTTTTTTTTATAATGTCCTAATCAGATCTAGTAAACGTTATATAATACAAAATGTTACACATTTATTCAAATAAAGTCTGTAACCCTAGCATACAGGTATATATACACAACGTACATATGTGCAAATATATAAATTCTTACTATATAAATACATATAACTTAAAACACACGAGATTTTAGAAATCCAATTATCTTATTACCTGAGAAAACCACCCATATAGAAGTACTTGTTCAATGTAGTCTCTAAACAGATACAAATTAGCAGGTGACTTTCTACATATTTATACCTAACTTATATCAAGCAGCAAGAACTTTTGTTCCTGAGGGCTGGGCAGCAATGGCAATCAGAAATGTTCACAGAAATCATATAACGAAAGTCAGAATCTGAGGAAAGCTCATCTGCAGCACACCTGATTTATGAGATGCTAATATATAGGAATGATTCTTTTCTAAATATTAAAAGGTCAACTTTTATGCCGTGATAAACCTCTGCCTACTAATGTTCCATTCACACACACCCCAGTGTTAATCATATTGAAACTGTCATTTTACTCCCAAACATGGGCTATAAGGAAGCTTTAACAAGACTCCAGAGAGGTCCAGGCAGATATTAAAAGGCATTGTGCAAACTTACCTCTCTACCAGTTAGAACGTGTCTTGCCAATTTGACTTTGGCAAAATTTCCCTTCCCTATTGTTTTTTGTAAACGGTAATTTCCAATGTGAGGCTGTTCATCTGTTGCTGACGTAATGGAGTTTCTACACCGGGGGATGTTCTGTCTGCTACTCGACTTGGTAGGCTGGATGTGTGGTTCAGTATATCCATCCACAGATGTATGCTAAGAAAAAGTTTACAAGATTTCATTGTTAATTAAATTATATTATAAAAGGACAAGTAAAAAGAGTACAAATAATTATTATTACCAATTCTTCAATAAAAACATATTGCACTACATCCTTTTAAAGTTTGAGCATTCTATTTATAATTTCTTCTGGACTTCAGCTCCCTTTACCAGGTAGAGTATAATTGTTTAAAATGAAATATTCAGGCCAAGCATGGTGGTGGCTCATGCCTGTAATCCCAGCACTTAAGGAGGCCAAGGCAGGCGGTTCACTTGAGGTCAGGAGTTCATGACCAGCCTCGCCAAAACAGTGAAACCCCATCTCTACAAAAACACAAAAATTAGCCGGTTGTGGTGGCACGTGCCTGTAATCCCAGCTACTCAGGAGGCTGAGGGAGGAGAATCGCTTGAACCTGGGAGGCGGAAGTTGCAGTGAGCCAAGATCATGTCAGTGCACTCCAGCCTGGGTGACAGAGCGGGACTCCATCTCAAAAAAATAAAATAAAGTGAAATATTCTACATGGCTTTAGGGATATGCTTTCAATTTAAAATTGTAAATATACAGCCAGAAGCCTCACAAACCATTATTCCTATAAAGGTGTTATCGCTTTAGGTTGTGATGACAGTATAGCTCAGGGCTGCTTCATTAAAAAGGCAGAATGTCTTTATTGCCAAGACAACCTCATGGGTATAAATCTTTTTCTCAAAACTAGCCCAGCCATTTGTCATGTTCTTGCTTCCATTTTCTGGGCATATAACTCAAAGAACTGACCAATCAGCAGCCTGCCTCAAGTATACCTCTAATTCATTTCTGCCCAACCCCCTCACCCAGTTTATCATGTCCAAGTGAAAGCTATCTATAGTCCTGCCCAGGTCCATAATCTATCCATTGCATCAGTGCTGTTCTGGAGGCAAAGATGTCACTTTGTCTCATGGTCTCACGCTAACCTACAATTGCAATGGAGAGCTGATCCTGTTCACCTATGGACTCAACACCTAAATTCCCAGGTCAAGCTGCCTAACCAGCTCTGTTTCACTAGCTGTGATTGTTCCTGCTCTTGTCTAGCTTTGTCTGCATTTTGACATACATAAAATTTCTAGCAGTTTTTGTGAAAATGTTGAATCACACATAATAAACACAACATCTTTCTCTGGCTTCTTAAAAAATTGCTGAAGAAGAGTAAAACAAAATAACAAAGGAAAGGATATATTTTGTTTGCAAAATGACTAATGCAGAGTTATATTGCCCCACCTGTAAAAGCAACAGCTTCCTAAAGAATTTTGATCTTAAAGGCAACATTAAAGAGGAATCCATTTACCAATCTCACGCAAAGCATGATTCAAAGTCATTTTTCTATTTGTTACTACTTTTTGTTTTATTTTATGATAATTTTTTAAAACTCAGCTCAGGATTAAGGGTTTTTGCTGGGTCTTATACACATCTGCAACCTCTGGCCTCATTCTGTGTTGGATGCGCTTTGGGGTATTCTCGCCACAACCTGTACTTCCACGTATCACAGCATGCTTTCCATTGTGCTATCATTATACATTTACTCGTCTGTCTCCCACCACCCTATTATAAACAATTTTAGGGCACAGATGTTTTCTTTTCATCTTTATGTACTCAGCACATTACAGGCTGCCAGATACACAGGAAGGATTCAATAAAGCAATAGTTTTCACAGTGTTATCCCTGGTCCAGCACCATCAGAATCATCTGAGAACTTGTTCAAAATGCAAATTCTCTGGTCTTATTCCAGACCTACTGAATATGAAACTCTGGGGGTAGGGTCCAGCACTCTGTATTTCAACAAGTTTTCCAGGTGATTCTGATGCATGCCAACATTTGAGAACTGCAATGAAAATAATGTAAGAAGGAGTAAAATACAAAGTTATTCACTGGCTCTTGGAGACTCTTCTATTACCTGGGTAGAAACAAGAGATTTTAATTATAGTACTTAATTTCTAAGAGTTAACAGACTGCCATGATATTTCCTACAACTAGTACTTCTCTACCTGAACTTGTTCTGCAGGGAATGCTGACTTCTCCAGCCTTCAAGATGTATCTTTTTTTTTTTCTTCCTGAGACAGGGTCTTGATCTGTCACCCAGGCTGGAGTGCAGTGGCACGATCACTGCTCACTGCAGCCTCAAGTGATCTTCCCACTTCAGCCTCTTGAGTAGCTGGGACTACAAGTGTGCACTGCTGCCCCTGGCTACTTTTTTAACTGTTTTTTTGTTTTGTTTTGTTTTGTTTGTAGAGATGGAGTCTCATCATGTTGGCCAGGCTGTTCTCAAACTCCTGGGCTCAAGCAATCCTCCCACCTCAGCCTCCCAAAGTGCTGAGATATAGGCATAAGCCACCGCATCTGGCCATTCATCTTTCAAGATTTAATATGAGTATCTCCTCCACACAGCTTTCTATGTCTTTTCACAGAGATGATTATTCCTCTTTTCTGTTGCTACCTATATACCCAATATATACTTCAACTATTAGAACTCTCACACCATCTTCTAAGTACTTGTCCATGGTCTGTGTTTACCGTTGACTTAAAGCTCCTAAAGCCCCATAACTTAATATAGTGTTAGGCACAAATAAGGCATTTGATACATACTAACTAAATTGAAGGGATTTAGGATCCTCATACTCCTGGTACCCTTATAGAATGACTTCTGAGGAGTAAGTCCATGCTGTCCAGATCTTTGCTGCATATAAAAGCAATACGCATTAAAATACTTGAGATGTAGCTCAGCTCCTAATGCTGGTTGTAGGCTATATATTAATACTATACCACATTTTGATGGACTGTATTATTAATCCCAAATTTTCACACCCTTTGCCATGTAACTTTTCCAGGACCCTCCCACTGAGGGTGGGGGCATACTTTCCCACTCTTTGGGTTTAGTCAAGTGATTTTTTTTTTTTTTTTGGCCAATAAAATGAGTTAGACATGATGGTATGCGAGTCCCAAGCTAGACTTCAAGAGGCCTTGTTGTGTCTCAACTTGCTGTCTGCCATCACCATGAGAAGGACTTATCCAGACTGACAGCAGGATGATGAGAAATACATGGAGCAGAGTCACTGCCAGTTAAGCCAAGATTTAATCAACTGATCCCCAGCTGACTCTGACTCATGAGAAATCATAAATGGTTCTTGGTTTAAGCCACTTAGGTTGGGATGATTTGTTACACGGCAATGTCAGTAGATACACAATGCTATCGTTATTTTAAAATTAAAAAGTAAACACAAGAGAAAAGGGAAAAACTTATGAACAATTGGAAGATTCTTATCAGACATGTTTACATTTTAGCAGAGTCTGAAAAGAAAGGATGAGGGAGGGAGGGAGAGAAGAAAAAAAAAGGAGCTATATACGGTCAATTCCCTAAGGAGAAACCCTTCATTGTAAGCTGTATGGGAGCAGAATCCTTGATTATTTTGCATCCCCATCACCAAGTATGGTGTAACACAGAGATCGACAAACGATTCTGGAGAAATAATACCCATGGGCCTATAGGCTGCAGTTGGCCAACCCTTGGTGTAACATGTCACATTTTGGGATACAGGTTTAAATTGTTCTCAATGATTTTTTAAAAAGATCTCCTAGCCCTCAACATTAAACATGATCATTTATACACAATACATTTATATGTCTTAAATAAAAAATCAGAATACACAGCATATATTTTATATTACATATATTATACATTCTGAATATATTATATATTCTGATTATAAGATATCCACCAAAACAAATATTTTCAAAAATTACATCTTTCCTTAGGATTGCTACAGCATCACTTAGGAGACAACCTTTCCTTGGAAGGACTCTTTGAAGTACAGTTTGGGATAGCTGATCTCACTTTCCTGATCAATAGCTTAATTCTCAAATAGAAAATGTGGCAAGAATATCAATTCAGCTCATGCTAGATTAAACAGTGAATTTAATTTGGAACTACCTCAATCCTAAGGCTGTTAAATAGAAGAAATTATGTTAGCTCAATTACAGCATGTCTATGAATTTTAAATTTCTACCTTTATCTGAAAACACAAGTTCCAATCCTGTCATTCTTTCTTCAAGTTTTCCACTTAATCCAGTAGACTGTGAATTCCTTTATTCTTTCTGCAGCAGTGGTAATGTGACCCTAAAGCTTGCCCTGAGTGTGCAGTGTAGTCAAAGTAAGCAGAGATAATGATTTCATTAGCTCTTCAGTGCTGCATCCCATGGAGCACCAGACTCAAATTCCTGAGTAATAAGAGAATTTTCCCCGCCTTTAATACTGACTGAAATGAAGTTCTTCTACTCACTGGCTATACATCCTTAGAAATATTTTTTAAAAATTGCAATGTTTTATGACAGTCACTAAATCTGCTTGGTGACCGAATATTCAAATACTCCTAAAAAGTCAGATAACATATTAGACCTGAAGGTAGGGCTGTCACAGCTCTGCTCTCAGGACTTTGGAATATGCTATTTTTGCATACCACAACCACCCTTTGGCCAAGTGATATTAGCACCAATACAGGTCATTGCAATTTAGAAACAATAACCAAACTTTCATTTCTCAAAGTCATTTTATTAAAGGAGTAGGGAAGTTCTGCTTCCAACAAAGAATAGTTTGTAACTAACTAAACCTATCAGCAGACAAAAATATAATCTGTAGACAAAATATTAAAAACAACTGTTTGAAGGCTCTGAAGAGCCATAAAAAAGCAGGCAAAGTCTTAAGGGAAGTTGATCATTGAATGAAGAAAAATTTCACAACATAGAATCTGGCTTGTTACAGTTTCGAGCTGGGGGCAAACTCTGGCCCACCTCACTCCATGTGACTTAAACTCAAGCAGACAGCAACAGTTTTCTCGGCTAAAAAGGAGTCTGAGGATAGGTTTGGGAGCTCACAAAATGGCTGGAAAGTGAGAGAGAAAACCTTGGGAAAAATGAAGTCATGGAGAAGAAAAATGAAATTTGTATATTAATTGCAGGTGCTTTGCTAAGTCCCAAACGATGTATAAGCAAGACAACCTCTAAGGAACACATTAGAACAAGGCAGTTAGAAGTGTAAGATAATAAAGTAGGTATTTGGCCTGTTGGCCACCACAACGCAGGCTGAATTTGAAGTTTGAGTCAAGCCAAATTAACTGTCTGCTAAAGCAAAAACCAACAGTTCAGAAGATAATTAAATTCAGAGTCTCCATAGAGTATCAATAAAAATGTCCAGTATGTAAATAAAACTTACTAGACACATGAAGGAACAGACAGATATGATTCACTGTCAAGAGAAATAATAGTCAACAGAAACAGACCCCAAGATGACCCAGAAGTTGGAATCAGCAGGCAAGAACTTTAAAGCAGATATTATAAATACATTTTTTAAAGTAAAGGAAAATATGGCCAGAAAGAACAAGTATATGGGAAATGTTAGCAGAAAAATGAAAACTATAATAAAGAGACAAATGGCAATTCTACAATATACTACATATACTACAATATATACTACATATATACTACAATATATACTACATATATACTACAATATATACTACATATATACTACATATACTACAATATACAATATACTACAATACTGCAACATTTAAAAAGAAAAATTCATTGGATAGGATTACAGTAGACTGCAAAGAAGAAAGGGTCAATGAACTTGAAGACAGATTAATAAAATATAGCCAATCTTAACAACTGGGACACAGGAAGACTGAATAAAAATAAAGCCTCGGCCGGGCACAGTGGCTCATGCCTGTAATCCCAGCACTTCGGGAGGCTGAGGTGGGTGGATCACGAGGTCAGGAGATCGAGACCATCCTGGCTAACACAGTGAAACCCCATCTCTACTAAAAATACAAAAAATTAGCCAGGCGTGGTGGCGGGTGCCTGTAGTCCCCGCTACTCAGGAGGCTAAGGCAGGAGAACAGTGTGAACCCAGGATGCGGAGCTTGCAGTGAGCCAAGATCATGCCACTGCACTCCAGCCTGGGCGACAAAGCGAGACTCCATCTCAAAAAAATAAATAAATAAATAAACAAAGCCTCTATGATCTGTGGTGGGTCAATATCACATAAACTGTCACATGTATAAATGGGGCCCAGAGAAGGAATAAAAGAAAATAGGGTAGAAAAAAGTACTTGAAGTAATAATGGCCATACAATTCCTCCAAACTGTAAATTCTAAGAAGGATAAATACCAAAACAAACAAACAAACAAACAAACAAATAAAAAAACCCAGTGTAGAAGATCACTGTCAAATTGCTGAAACCATGCATAGAGGAAAACAAAAACCTTAAAAGGAGTCAGGGAAAAATGACACATTCACACATAGGAATAACAATACAAATGGCAACTCACTTCTCATTAATCAACAATGGAAGTCAGATGACAACATTTTTAAAGTGCTATAGAAAAATCAAATGCAAGTCAAAATTCATTATCCAGTGAAAACATTCCTCAAAAAAGGCAAAAAAGACATTTTTAGATTAACAAAAACTGAAAGAATTTGTTGCCAACAGACATACACTATAAAAAATGCTAAAGAAATGAAAGTAACAATAGAGGGTAAAATGAATCTATATAAATGAATAAAGAGCTCTGGAACTAGAAAATATGTGGGTAAATACAAAACAGTACACATTTTTCCATCTCTTCATTTATTTAAAAGACATATGACTGTTCAAAGCAAAGCATAATACTGTACGTGGAACTTATAAGCAGAAGTAAGTATATGTGAAAACAAAACCACAATCAGAGATTTCAACATTACTCTCTCAATAGCTGAAAGAACAACTATACATGAAAAAACAACCACCAGGCGCGGTGGCTCACTCCTGTAATCCCAGCACTTCAGGAGGCTGAGGAGGGCAGATCACCTGAGGTCGGGAGTTCAAGACCAGCCTGACCAACATGGAGAAACCCCGTCTCTACTAAAAATACAAAAAATTAGCCAGGTGTGGTGGCACATGCCTGTAATCCCAGCTAATTGGGAGGCTAAGGCAGGAGAATTGCTTGAACCCGGGAAGCAGAGGTTGTGGTGAGCAGAGATCGCACCATTGTACTCCAGCCTGGGCAAAAAGACTGAAACTCTGTCTCCAAAAAGAAAAAAAAGGAAAAGAAAAAACAGTAAGGATACACAAAATCTGAACAACACTATCAAGTTATGGAAGCTTACAGATTTCTTAAAGCACATAGTTCTTAAACTCTAAGTCAAGAACACTTCTCTAGCTCCCTTAAGCTCTTTCCATAGATATTTTAGTTCTCTTTAGAGTGATAACTTGTCTTTTTATCAAAGGATAACTTAAAGAACAGCTACTTTGCTGGCTGCAGTGGTGTTTCCCTGTGGTCTCAGCTACTCAAGAGGCTGGTGGGAGGATCACTTGAGCCCAAGAGTTCTGGGCTGTAGTACACTATGTTGACCTGGTGTTTGCACTAAGTTCAGCATCAATATGGTGACCTCCTGGGAGTGGGGGACCATCAGGTTGCCTAAGGAGGGGTGAACCAGCCCTGGTCAGAAACAGAGCAGGTAAAAACACCCGTGCTGATCAACAGTGGGACTGCACCTGTGAAGAGCCACTGCATTCCAGCCTGGGCAACATAGTGAGACCCTGTCTCTAAAGAAATAAAAATAAATAAATAAAAAAGAACAGTTACATCTGTATAGGAACATGGCTGAAGATACTTTAATAATAATTAATACCTACTTCATAAGGATCCAAGCAATGAATCTGCCTGAGTTTAGTTGTCAGAAATATTTCTCTGAGCTGGTACGCTTCCTTTATTATGTTACTATACAATAATAATCTCTCCCTCTTTCCCCTGTTTTGGCATTTGAAGGTGAATTTTCATATTAAATAGTACGATGGTGGATGTTGTCAGTGACAGTACTTTTATGAGTGACAAAAATGTTTTAACAGCTGGAAAAGAATGCTTATGAAGCACAAAAGACCTGTGATTCTCCTCCTCTATGTTCCTACTGCACTTGAAACATTCTTTTACATAATACTTACAACCTTACAATGAAACTACCTTATTTTTTTAAACCATGTTCTATGAAACTGTGAGCTTTTAAGTTGTCACGCACTACGTCTTTTACATGCATTATCATTCAATATAGTGACTAGTACATGAATGGACCCACTAAATATGTTATCTTCTATTGTTAAATACTCAACTTAAATCCTTCTGCAAACTGGCCAATAATTATTTTATCTGGTTCTTTAAAATCAACAAAACTAAAAGTCCTCCACAAAATGTAACTTAATTACAAACAAAAAAATCAATTTTATTTGATATATCGGAGCTTATTTCAATGAGATGTCAATAAATTTGATAAGACAGTCACATACCTATTTACAAAAACATAAAACACAAAAATATGAGTTCTAACAATGGAAAAAGAAAAAGCTATTGAAATAAATTGCCACTAAAACCTTCTGAAAGCTACTATGCTATGCACAGCATAAATCCAAAGGGAGAAATTGTACCATATGTTCCTGCCTGCCCTTATTGAGCAAGTGCATACTTCTCCAAATGTTCATATTACAAGTAGTCTTTTACCTGACTTGTTTTTAGGTACTAGAAATGGGTTCAGTTTTAAAACCTAAACAGTAAGATAATAATGAAGAAAAGTAGCCAATACAGTGTATTAATAGAGATCCAAGGAACCTAAATGAAATATTAGCTGATATCACCAATAACATATTAAACAATTATCACTTCAATCAATTAGGTGTATGATCAGAAGGCAAAGTTAACTCTATACAAGAAAAATATTACAATTTACTGCTTCAACTTTAAAAACATAGAGTAGTACTAAGTGAGATAAACCATAAAAACAGAAACAAGAATATCCCATCAAACACCCTCATTCAACAAAGCAGTAGTATTAGATATATCAGCAATACTTCTTAAGAAGATATATACATGGAAAAGATTTATTTGTATTCTCTTTCTGCAGCTGGTATAAATATAAACCTAGAAAATCCAAGTAAATCAATAAAGTATCTTTCGGAGGTTCAAAAAGTTGTAAGAGACAGGAAACATCCTTAATAATCATTACATTCTGAGAAAAATCACTGGGTTAACTCTTCACTCATCCTTTCGCATTCAGCTTAGATATCACTTCCCAGGAAACACCACACATCATATTGGAGTTTCCACTCCTTCTTCAACTAAGCCAGGTTCAGTGTCATATTTGGTCTTTCTATTATTATTTCTAGCACTGCACTGTTCCAAATTTTTAAATTAATTTTTATGAAATGATATATTATTCACCATTGTTTCTTACATCCTTGCACTTCTCTTCGATTTTTCTAGTTTGTAAAATTTTTTTCAGATAGGTGTGTAGGTGCTACACTTTCTGAATCTTTACAGCTACTAATTTTTCTTATTTCAACTTCACATGTAAACAATAATTCCATTAGATACAGAACAGGTACAAAGGAACATTTTTCCACTTACTTCTGGACTTATTCCAGAAGGTTGAACCTTTCAGAAACATGGCTTACTGACATCTATAAACACATCACAAACTGTGACCTCTGAATGACAAAACAATAAAAGACAGAAGAAATCCTACAGAAGTTCCAGGTGAAAAAAACTTTTTAAAAACCTTTGTCTAAGGAATAGATCTAAATGCAAACATATGTGATATGTTAGTGTGAAATTTAGCACTTCATATCAATGAAGAAGTAATAAATTATTCAACAAATGGTATTGGAACAGCTAGAAAAAATAAAGCTGAATCTCTAGGAGTGAGGTATCACTCTTTACTCCAAAATAAATTCACAATTGATTAAGGATATAAATGTAAAAAGAAACAGAAAAAAACACAAAGACAAAGAAACCACCAAAGTACTAGAAGAAAGAATCGACAGTTCAGCAAGTGTTTTTTAGTCTCAGCATGGGAAATGGCTCTCTAGGTATAACATAAAATAGAAGTCACTAAAAAAAAGTTTAATAAATGTGACATCGCAAATTTAAAAGACAGTAGTTGATTTTTTAAAAAACTCTCCTTATATCAAAGTAAAGAGGCAGAAAATAAATTGAGAAAAAATATTTGTAACATATGGCAGGAAAATGGTTAATTTTAAAATACTAAACTTCCACAAGTCAATTTTTAAAATGGGCAAATATGAATGTGCACAGGATGTATACAGATATTTCACAGAAAAGGACATATATGTGACTTTTAAACATATGAAGTAAATCATAAGTGAAATATAAATTAAAGCTACAATAAAATCTATTTTTCATCTATCAGATTACAACGATTAGAGTTTGATAGCATTTGATGGTGATGGTATAGAACTAGGCATACTTATATATCATTGGTCACAGTGAAAATTGACACAAATTCTATGTATAGGAGGAGTTGGGAGACAACTATCAAGTAAATTCCCACAATCCTTGGGCTAGAAATTTTACTTCTAGTAATTAGTTTTACAGACATAGTCACAAATGAGTGTAAAGATGAACACATACAATATTTATTGTAGCACTGTTTGTAACAGCAAAAAACAGAAGCAAGCACAAAGTCCATCAATAGGCAGAGCTGGTTATGTATGTATGGTATGTTCTTTGTAAATGTGTATATGTGTACATGTGCCTCCATGCACATGCTTCAATAAGCACAGACTATCTCCAGAAGGTTACACAAGACACAGAAGAGAAAGTAGTTACCTCTAGAAAAGGGAGCTAGGGGACTGGGAAACGGGAGTATAGGGAACATTTTCTTTTTCATATCATATCATCACACTCTTTGTTAAATATCCTGCAACAGATCCCCATTTTATTCACAGTAAAATCAAAGCCCTTATATGACCAATAAGGTAAGACTAACAAAGTCGGACCCCCTATTACCTTTCTGCCCTCATTTACTACTATGCCCCTTCTCACTCACCTTGCTCCAGCCAAATTGGTTTCATAGCCATTCTTCAGGAATGTCTGGCACACTCATACAACAGGTCGTTTGCTCTAGATGTACCCTCTGCCTAGAACATTCTTCTCTCAGATATCAGTTTGTCCAATTCCTTCAGGTCCCTCAAGTCTTTGCTTAAATCTCATCTTTGCAGTGAGGTTTACTTTGACCTGTTTCATACCACACATCTCCTTTGCCTTACTGATTGATTGTTTATTAGTGTTTTCTCACCCTCATAAGAACAAAGATATTTATTGCATTTACTTTTATATCCCAAGTGTCTGAGAAAGTACAAATATCAAGAAGTACCAAAAAGGTTCAAATACAATAATTTAACAATATTTTAACAAACATATCTATTATATTACTGAGCATAAGTGGGTTGCATTAACCTATTCAAAAGAAAAAGACTTTTTATACCATGAGAGGGGTGTACCTAAATTCAACTATATGCTGCCCATAAGAGACACATATAAAACAACTGAAGTAAAAAAAGTTAAAAGTAAAATATACTAGGCAAATACAAATGGATAGAAAGCAGGGGCCATGTGGTAATTAAGAGGATAAGCTTTAAAGCTAGACAGACTTAGTATCAAATAGTGCCTATGCCACTAAGTAATGTGACCTTCAGGAAGTTACCTCTCTGAGCCTCAGTTTACTATTCTATAAAATGTTGTTATTACCTATAAGTCAAGGATTTTTAAATTAGAACTATACAAAAGAGAGCATTTAACACAGTGCTTGGCACATTCTCAATACCAGAACCTACTGTGATTACTGTCCTTGTCACAATTCAAAGTGGAACAAATGCCTTTCAATATTTCTGATATCAGAAAAACAGGCCTAATCCGAGTTGTTTTAAAATAAAGGGAAAGTCCAGAGTAGCAATTCTAGCTTTCGGGTATCTCTTCAGGAATCGGAAGAGGCCTGAATAGCCTTTAATGTGAAAAGGCTTACCACATAACTGGTAGCTCTCCTGTGTTTTTCCATCCCTCATAGGTAAAACACAAGTACTAATTTTGTCCTATCAGAAGCTTCTTTAGTATTTACTCCATGAGCCAGCAACTCCACTTCTAAGATTTTAGCCTACAAATAAATTCCCACACATATGAATGTGAAATTACACAAGTACAGGTCAGACATTCACTGCAATAAAATATTTGTAATAACAAAAGGTCGGAAACAACCTAAATAGCCATCAGTAGCAAACTTGGTTAAATATGTCCATAGGTAGAGTATTAAGCAATTTTTAGAAATAAAATCTTCATATAGTGATATGCAATCATTTCTAAGACATACTATTACACTTACAGTGTCATATGCTGCCATTTGTGTAAGGGAGAAATCTGTATTTGCTTATATATACATAAAATATGTATGAAAACAAACTCAAGATACTAAGGACTAGGTGGGGAAGAAAACTTCACTGGCATACCCTTTTGAACTTTTAAAATTTTCATGTATTTGAATATATTACCTATCAACAAAAATATTTAAACAAAAGACTATTAAGTAGTTAGTTTCTAAGTAGTTACTTAGCAGATGTTACCAGTTTCTCAAGCTTACAATGAGGATTAAATAAAATAATGTCTAAAAAAGCATTCAACACAGAAGATGTTGTCAGTGTTGAGTAAATGATGGCTGCTATTAAGTAGTTACTAAGTAGATAGAAACTACTTACCTACTTTCTAAGCAAATTAGTAGATTATGCCTGAATTTGTTCACCAAAGGCTAACTAAATATCTACTATGTATGGACATTTTTTCTTCAATTTCATAATTTGTTTAGTTAATACTGCTGTCATTAGGGAACTACATACATGCCCACACAAATTACATTTACTGATCCTGGCAAGCACAGTGTATTTACATCCACTCACATCACCTCCTTTTAGAAATGAACAAATAAACAAAACAAAAAACCCCAGCAACGGTTTGCTCTCAGTAAACTGCTTGACCAATAATAGTTTCAAGTACAAATGTTTTCTGGTCTGCAGATGGAGATCCAAACTAGAAAATTCTAGCAGATAGATGTATGGTGAAATGGTGTGACTCAGTATTATTCTTTATTAATAGATCATTCAAGACTAAATAGCATAGGTTTATGCCTTAAATGGTGGTTCTTTCATCTGGTCACTTCTCTTCCATTTTGTCCTAGCTTCTACTACGAGCAGAACACATTGGCAACTACTTGTAATCCCTGAAAACAGGAATAATGTTACTACCAGTCCAATAATAGTAATAGCAGTCATCATTTACTCAACACTGACAATGTCTTCTGTGTTGAATGCTTTTTTAGACATTATATTATTTAATCCTAACTGTAAGCTTGAGAAACTGATAACATTACCCAATTTAAAGATGAGACATCAGAAGCTTGGAAAGCAAAACAAATGTCACACAGCTAGTAAATGTCAGTTCCAGAGGCAAAACCTAAATCCATCTTACTATAAGACCTATGCTTTTCACTAGAGCTACCTCCCCAAACCTTCCTCCTATCCCAACATTAACAGTCTCTGAAGATACCAAAGGATTCCTCTTGGGGCTGAGTGTTTACAGAGTGTTATCAGCTTTCATCTACATGGTAAGCTTTGCAAGGCAGGCTCTGCCCCTTGTGCCAGAGGCTTGTGACTGTCCAGCCTTACCAATAACTAAAAACAATAAGTGAGAGAAAAACATCAAAAATCTGATGGGAATTCTTACAGGCATGGACAAGGAAAAATCTCATCAATATCTCTCACTGGCTACTACAACAAGGCCAGTTTCCTCCTACAGAGTCTTTAGCCTGAGCTTTTGGGCTAGGGAAGCCTTTGTTTCCTCCCCACTCCCAGTTATATTTTGTTGCTCCAACCTCCCTCCCCCCGACCCCCGCTCTTCATAGGCAATCCAAGACCAGGGGCTTGCCATGTAGCCAGCCCTCACAGAACAGTGCATATACAAGTACACACTCACATTTCAGCATTTCCTTCTGTTCCTCCAAAACAATGACGGCAACTTCAACAAATCAAGATTATGGGCCACTTTACAAAACCAAGAGTCAAGGTAGTATTCTCTGGATATTACCATAGGGATACTGGTGGCTCCCAGAAGGACCTCAATATTGTGGCACCATCTGAAATAGGTTGTTAGCTGATGAAAGACACCCACAGGCTCTAAATGATGGTCACAGCTGAGAAAACTGATCATTCATGTTATAGCTTAAATGCTCAGTGAGAAACAAATGGGAATATATTTGATGGATATAATTAAAATATACTTATTTTCCCCTAAAGCTCTGCTCATTTTTCACATCTACTGTTCTATTCTTAATGAAAAATTTACTGCAAACAATACCTTACTGAAATATAAAGGCAGAATTATACACATTTGGGATTTTACATGCTTTTGCATAAAATAGGTAGTTCTGTAGTGTTTTAAATTACAATATAAGCAAGTTTCTTCTCTGAAAAAATAGAAGGGGAAGGAGGGGAAAAAGTAATCTAAAGAAGAAAATGAGAATAATGATAATAAAGAGGAAATTATATTGGATACTTCTTCTTTGGTATTTGAATAAACAGCCTTAAAGAAGAAAAAAGACAGTATTACTTCAGGAATAAGATGAAGTCCCTACACTTCAACATTACATTGTCTAGTTGAATTGTTGAATTTAACCAATACTAATTGACAACCTATAGTTGCTGAAGAAATAAACATTATTACAAGAAATGGCCCAAAATATTAAAGGTTAGTAGGAAAAACTAACAGTTTCCATATGATATGGTACTTTATAAGAAAGGTACACACAGGATGCTATGTTTCTGTCAGCTAGAATTGTTTCCCAACATTAAACAGCAATTCTCAGGCCACCTGAGTTGTAATTCAGTAGATCTCTTATCTACCTTGTACCATCCGAGACCTAATTGGATAATATATAGAGAAAACAATTTGCATATACATCTGGTTTTTACCTTCTTAACAATTATCGCTATAATTAAATAATTAATTGTATGTCTCCAAAGGGCAGAAAAAGTGCTGACTCATTTGTCTCATACCAAACAAAACACTTTGTACCAGATACTCAGCTCACAACAGATTTTCATGTATGAAACAAAGGATTAAACATCCAAATACATACAGCCCTACGACTGGGCTTCCCCAGTGCAGTACCTCATACTCATTAGATGTCACAAAGCCTTTAGTTAATGAATACTGTTTCAATCCAAGACACAAAAAGAAGTTACAGACTAAAAACACATAAAACAAAAAACCCTCAATTATTTGTATTAAATTAAGATCACAGAGAACTCAGAGAAATTAAATCCACAGGCTATTTAAAGGCCATTTAATGCAATGATTTCTACTTTGTCTCTCACTAAACTAATGTTTTTAATAAATAAGCATGTAATCCATTTTAACCTGGCAACTCTTCTCTTTTCCACTGCTATCCTCTAACGGAAGTACTGATTTACAATGAAATAACCAAAAGGAAGACAGCACAATAAAGAAGGAAGGCTCTCTCTATATAAACTGGATTATCAGTTTTTTAAAGCAAAAAAAGATGGGGGTTCAAATTAAAAATATTTCCATTAAAAATATGTTTTGATTATTCATTCATTCCTACAGACTTTAGCACAGTGATTAAAAGAAATGAACAGGTCTGGAATCAGGCCACCTGGTTTGAATCCAGGCACTGCAACTTGTAAGCTGTGTGACCTTGGGCACGTTTTTTAACTTGGGTATTCCTAGGTTACCACAAGTAGGAAAATGAATGATAATATCTTCTTCAAAGGGCTATGGTCAATTTTCACCCAACTACACAGAGGGGTCTTCTCTGATCACTGTTTTTAAAAATGCCTCCTGCCAGTTTCTCTCCATCTTTTAACTTTCCTTTATTTTCTTCACATAACTTACTACTATCTAAAATGATAGACAGTTATCATTTACTTGTTTTCATCTGATTTGTAAGAATAAGAATCTTGTCTGTCTTATTTACTTCTATAGTCCTGATTCCTAGGAACAGTCCCCAGTACTCACAAGTAGGAACTCAGTAACGCTGAGTAAATGGAATGAGTAACATACAATACAGTAAGAGGTATACTAAGCATTCAATAAATGTTAGCCATTATTTTTCAGGTAATTGGTAATTTTTTTTTGGCTTTTCTTTTACCTTCTTTTAAGGAAAATTATTTATAAATTTCCTCATTGTCTTTGCAGGTTGTATTTACGATTTGCCAAAATCAAGAATTACATTAATTTACTGCTTGAAAGGATTTTCCCTTCCAGTGTTAGGAGCTGCCTTTGGGATACATTATTTCATTTACCTTGATCTCAGACATTTATTGAGCACCATACTAAGAACCACATTTTGTAGACAAAGCAATAAAGACAGCCCTGGCCTGCCAAGAGACTGTGTCTTAGTTCAGCACCTGCTACTGGCCAAGCTACCTACTTAAATGCAGGAAGAGGACTGATATCAATATGTACAGTTGGCCCTCTACATCTGTAGTGTCCCACATCCATGGATTCAACCAACTATGGATTGAAAATATTCAGAAAAAAAAATTCCACAAAGTTCCAAAAAGCAAAACCTGAATTTGCTCTGCCAAATACTACATTGAATCCACATGAATGAACTGGTGTGAAGGCACTGTATTCGGTATTATAAGTAATCTAAAGATGCTTTAAAGTATATAGGAGGATATACACAAGATATATGCAAATATTATACTATGCCATATTATATAAAGGGACTTAAGCATCTGTCAATTTTTTTTTGAGGGAGGTCCTGGAACCAATCCCCACAGACATGGAGTGACAACTATACAAAATGTTACTGGGTTGAGGGAGGTGGGAGTTTGTAAATGGTACTGAGCATTTAATGGAAATCCTCATCAATTACACAGTTCTTTGGGGACCTTCAAATTCCTTTACTCATTATGGCTGAAGTTTTATCTTAGCTACTGTTTTTGTTTTTGTTTCCTTTTGAGACAGACTTCTCGCTCTGTCACCTAGGCTGGAGTGCAGTGGCGCTATCTTGGCTCACTGCAACCTGCACCTCCCAGGCTCAAGTGATTCTCGTGACTCAACCTTCCAAGTAGCTGGGATTACAGGTGTGTGCCACCACACTAAGGCAAATTTTTTTTTGTATTTTTAGTATAGATGGGGTTTCGCCACGTTGGCCAGGCTGGTGTCAAACTCCTGGCCTCAAGTGATCCACCTGCCTCAGCCTCCCAAAGTGCTGGGATTACTGGCGTGAATCACCATGACCGGCCTGTTTTTGTTAATAGTAATAGTATCATCAAAAGGCCAACTGGCTATACCAAGATTCTCAAATAAGCAAGTTAAGGTTTCCAAAATATTTCCAACCAGATAAAAGTTTACACAGGTCTTCAGCAAATAAAAAATATATATTTGTATGCATATGCAAATGCATACACATATATTAGTGTAAGATTGCCAAATGTTCTCTCTTAAAAGGATCATCCCTCTGAAATCATGGCCTTCTTCTCATGGTAAGTTTTCCCCCACATACTTGACAAACAAAAAGCTCGCAATGTCATCCATTGCCAATAGATTTTTATTTTTATTAATTTTCTAAGTCCATGAAACTCTGAAATCTAGAATATCTAGAAGTAAACAGAACACAACAGCTCCCTGGCCAAATTCCAAATACAAAATGGTTGATCTTTTATTCATTAACATACTGTCTCTTCATTCACCCAAGTCCAATTTTCATTACCCATTGTCTATACTATTCTAGTAGATCTTAATAATAACTCAGACAATATTAACAATATTTATCTGATCATGTGTCTCAAAATGGCATGGATCTTCCCAGGAAGTGCTTAAATCCTGTCACATTGCTTAGAAACACTATTATCAAACTCTGTTTGACCTTGTTCTTTGTAACTTTTTAACTTTTCATGTATCCCTCTAAGTAAATCTTGTCACAGAGAAGCTAAGAACATTTAGAGCAGAGGTGTCCAATCTTTTGGCTTCCTTGGGTCACACTGGAAGAAGAAGAACTGTCTTGGGCCATACATAAAATAACACTAATGACAGCTGATGAACTTAAAAAAAAAATCACAGAAATTCTCGTAATGTTTTAAGAAAGTTTACAAATTTGTGTTGGGCTGTATTCAAAGCTGCCCTGGACTGCATGCAGCCCAGGGGCTGCAGGTTGGACAAGCTTGATACAGAGCATTTATCTCATGTGTTTAACTCTGGTCTCAAATACCTTTCCTGGAATATTCAAAGCTTTCTTTAACCTCAAAGCCTCTAATTCACTGGCCCTTCCCATTCTCACTACCATTCATCCCTGTAATGTCCTACCTACACCTCCTTACTCAGGTTATATGTCAGGGTCCTTCGGTATAACCACTCCTTTGCAAACATCCCTAACTTCCCTGCTTTCCACACTCTCTTCCATATTTGCTTGGCAAACCCACACCATTCCAAAACCCAACCACTCCCTACTCTACATCTGCACCTGAAAGCTCAACATTGTTACACACATATACAAATGAGCTCCCTGATTTCACTTAAATTTTTGGTCACAGATCCCAATGAGGACTCAACATCACCTGACAGTCCTCTGTACTTTGAGTACAGTATTCCCAGCTTATCTGTGATTTCACTTTCTCTGGTTTTAGTTACCTAAGGTCAACCATGACCTGAAAATATTAAATTGAAAATTCCAGAAATAGGCAATTCATACATTTTAAATTGTGCATCATTCTGAATAGTATGATGAGGTCTTACTTTGTCCATTCTGTCCTGCTTAGGACCTGAATCATGCCTTTGTGCAGCATACACATGCTGTATAGGCTTTCCACCCATTAGTCACTTAGTAGCCATCTCACTTATCAGATAGGCTGTCTCGGCATCACAGTGCTTTTATGTTTGAGTAACTCTATTTTACTTCGTAATGGTCCAAGTGCAAGGGCAGTGATGCTGGCAATTAAGGTATGCCAAAGAGAAGCCATGATGTACTTAATTTAAGTGAGAAGGTGCAAGTTCTCAACATTAAGGAAAAAATAATAATCCCATGCTGAGGCAATTAAGATCCATGGGAAGAACAAATCTAACCATGAAGTTGCAAAGGAGGAAAAAGAAATTCATGCACAGTATATGTATATCTGCAGTTTCAGCCATCCACTGGGGGGATCTTTCATATGGTTTAGCTGTGGCCCCACCCAAATCTCATCCTGAATTGGAGCTCCCATAACTCTTATGTGTTGTGGGAAGGACCTGGTGGGAGATAAACGAATCATGGGGGGGCAGTTTCCCCCATACTGTTCTCATGGTAGTGAATAAGTCTCATGAGATCTGATGGCTTTATAAGGGGTTTCCCCTTTCGCTTGGCTCTTTCTCTATTGCCTGCCGCCATGTAAGAGGTACCTTTTGCCTTCTGCCATGATTGTGAGGCCTCCCCAGCCATATGGAACTGTGAGTCCATTAAACCTCTTTCTCCTTATAAATCACCCAATCTTGGGTATGTCTTTATCAGCAGTGTGAAAACAGACTAACACAGTCTTAGAACATACACCCCAAGTATGTTCTACTGTACACTCACTTTACTCTTCTCTAAAACTTCCACTTCATTCTTCCTCCTCTGTCTTCTTACATCCCCATTTGCCAGTGATGTCTTTGCTTTATGGTTCATTAATCCAGAAACAATTAGAGATCCACTCAGTCATCAATCTGTATCAAAACTGCAGCCTACCCACTGCCTCCATATTCTCTGCCTATGTGAAATCTCCCTGCCAAAACCACTTCCCATGCTATGGATTCTGTTCAGTTCCATCTTTTCAAGAGCTTTTGCTCCCGCACTTAGTCTCACTTACCTGAATCATCAATTACTCCCTCTCAAATAGACTTTGTTCAATAGCATATAAACATGCTCCTGTATCTCATGGTAAAGAGAAAATTCTCCCATGACCACATGTCCCTTTCCAACTATGGGCCTATTTCTCTGCTTTCCTATATATAAAAAGTTCTTAAAAGAAGTTTTTGTAGTTGTTGTATCACTTCTCTGTGTTTACTTCAACCCACTCCAACCAGGTTTGCCTCCATCATTCCACTGAGACTAGCCTTGTCAAGATCATCAGTTACCTGCTGATTGACAACAGCTGCATTTAACACAGATGACCTATCCCTCTTTATTCTCTTGGCTTCCACAACACCACAATCTCCAGATTTTCCTTCTAACCTACTAACAGATACTTCACTGCCCTTTGCTGCTCTTCTCTAGCACCAAATGTTGACATGCACAAGAGCTCTGTCCCAAAGCCCCTTCTGTTTTATTCATCTTTTCAAAGAACCAGCTTTTTAGGTTTCTGATTTCTGTAATTTTTCTTTATTTTGCTATTTCATTAATGGCTGCTCTAATTTTCATTACTTCCTCCTTCTACTTACCTTATCTGTTTAACCTATTTTAGGTTGCAAAACTGACCTCTTGAACCTATTTAGTTCTCTAACACTAGCTGATTAATTTTCAATTCCTTATTTTCTAATATGTGTATGTAGGGTAATAAATTTTCATCCTAGTTGCATTTTAGCTGAAATGTTCTATAAATGTTTCAAGAGAAGAGTATATTCTGTTTTGAGAGTATACGACTCTATACATTTCCATTGAGTAATACTTATTTTGCTTGTTCAAGTTTTGCTTATTCTTATTTCTATAGTTTTATCATTAGAGATGCTTCTTAAAAATCATCTATTTGCCCATTTCTTTTATAAATATATCAATTTTTTGTTTTATATATTTTGGACCATGTTGTTATATATGTATAAGTTACAGTAATATATCTCCTTGTTAATAATATCTTTGATTATTTAGGGTAATGGCCTTTATCTTTAATAATGCTCTTTATCTTATTAGTCTGATATTAATATTGATATGTCAGATTCTTAATCATCTTTTTTTCAACCTTTCATTGTCAGCAAGCTTTAGTCACTTTAAAATAGCTAGAGTTATGTTTTACTAGTTTTTACACAAGCTGAGAAACTATTTTTTTAAATAAGAGAGTTTAATCCTTTTATATTTATTTTCTGATTATCTTACCTGGTTTTTTCTTTTTCTTCTATCCACTGGATTTACTTTTCTTCAATCTTCCTCCCTACTGCAAGCTGCTATGAAGTTATACATTCAGTTTTTATTCTTTTAAATTTTTAAATGCATAATGCATAATAAAATAGTCCATTTCCATCCTCCTCCCCAATAACTGAAGACCTCAGAATTTTTAGCTCCAATGTTTCCCCTGCCATTTCCCATATTATTATTATTATTATTATTATTATTATTATTATTATTATTATTTGAGACAGGGTCTCACTCTGTTGCCCAGGCTGGAGTGTGTTGATGTGATCATGACTCACTGCTGCAACCTTGACCTCCCAGGCTCAGGTGATCCTACCACCTCAGCCCCCTGAGCAGCTGGGAGTACAGGTGCATGCCAGCATGCCCAGCTATTTTTTTGTAATTTTTGTAGAGATGGGTTTCACCATGTTGCCCAGGCAGGTCTTGAACTCCTGGGCTCAAGTGATCCACCTGCCTCAGCTTCCCAAAGTTCTGGGATTATAGGTGTGAGCCACAGTGCCCAGGCATTTTCCATATTATTCTTATCTAGCATCTTTGTCTCACTTGATTTTTCCAACACCCTAAAAATAAGCAATTGCTCTTTTTTGGCAGTTTTACAGTCAGTTCTTGTTCATAGTTATCAACCTGCAACTTCTTTTGCATATTATCACTTCTTGTATCCAACTTCTTTCCTCTAAATTCTGTTTCCTTCTCCCTGAACTATATTTTTTTTGTAATTCAAACATAAGAGTACATAGGTAGAAAAATCTTAGTTTTCATTTGTCTGAAAAAACTTTTATTTGTCCTTTTTTTTTGAGACAGAGTCTCTCTCTGTCACCCAGGTTGGAGTGCGGTGGTGTAATCTTGGCTCACTGCAACCTCCACCTCCTGGGCTCAAGCAATTCTCATGCCTCAGCCTCCCGAGTAGCTAGGACTACAGGCACATACCACTAGGTCCAGCTCTACTTTAACAGAGACAGGGTTTCACCATGTTTGGTCTCAAACTCCTGACTTTAAGTGATCCGCCCGCCTTGGCCTCCCAAAGTGCTAGGATTACAGGCGTGAGCCACCGCACCCAGCTTAATTTGTCCTTATTCTTGAAGGATCATTTAGTTAAGAAGATAACATGAGACTGATATTTTCTCTCATATTCTTTAAAAACATTATTTCATTTTAAAAATATTTGTTATTGCTGATGAGAACTCTAACTTTTGTTACTTTGGAAATCATGTTTTCTCTGTTATTAAAATTTTCTTTCTATTGTGAGTTTGCCATTCCATAGGTATGAATCTCCTTTTATTTATTCTGCTGGTACTTGCTGTGCATCAATCTGAAGACATGTATCTCTCTCCACTTCTGGATAACCCCTAGCCACAATCTTTCAAATACTGCCTCTCAAAAATTTACTCTATTATCTCCTCCTGGATGTCTACTAGATGAATGCTGCACTTTCTTATCTGTATTCCATATTTATTAACCAGTCTTTAATATCCTCAGTCCCTATTTCTCTATGATTCATTCCAAGTCATTTCCTCAGATCTATACCAGTCCATCAAGTCTATCTTTGGCTGGGAATAATCTGCTGCTTAATCATTCTACTGAGATTTTAATTTCAGTGACAACATACTTCATTTCTATAATTTCTATTTAGTTCTTTTTCTAATCAGCTTAATTCTCTTCATTTCTTATTCTTTTATTATGGTATTTATTACTGCCTTTAAAACTTTTTAAACAAATTTATATTCTGCTTTATTTCAGATTGTTCAGATAGTCGCATTATTTCCAGTTCTTAGGGTGGTATTACTACTTTTTGTATTTGTTAACTCTCTCCACAAGTGGTTAGTTTCCTCATGAAATCTGTAATTTGTTTTTTTTTTTTTTTTTTTTTGTGACAGTCCCATGGGTCCTAGATTTTGAAAGTAATCCTACCAAGCACTTTTTCACTTGTTTCTAGCAAAAACAAGTCATGAAATTTTTTTCAAGTTAATTTCATAGTTTGGGGTTTCTACTCGACATATAGCATGGAGCTGATGTTTTCATTTATTTAGAATAATCATTTAAGTTTAAGTGTCTCCCCGTTAAACTTAAGGCCTCCGGTACTGATGACAAGCTTCCTTGTCAACTCCCTCAACTAAGGGGCAGAGTTTTTTCTAACTTTCTTTGCAGGGAGACAGAGCTATCAAGGCTTTGAGCTTCATACAGGAGGTTCATTTCCAGTTCTTCCAGCACAGATGGTGCTGATACCGTATTTCCTGTCCCTAAGACAGTGTTAGAGCTACATGTCCCAACTCTTATGCTGGATCAAAAAGCCCTGAGGAATGCCATTATGTCAGCTTGTGCTTACCATTCTGGCTTTGATTTCTCTTCATTCCTTTGTCCTTTAAAGCTCAGTTATGTAGTTAATAAACTTTCAGAAATTATATTTTAAGTCTATCTACATATTAGCAGCAAGAAGAAAGGGAACCATGTCAATTCAGTCCACTATGTTTTTGGTACTCTCCCCTTTTTCCTGGCTATATATTCTCCCTAGGTGAATTTACTCAGTCATGTGACTTTCAATATTATCTGTACCATATGACACCCAAACTTTCTCTCTACCTATGACCTTCCTTGAATTTTAGACTTGTGTGTCAACTGTATGACATCTCCATATGGATATCGAATAGGCACTTCAGATTTCTCATAGCCAAACATAACTTAATTTCCAAATATCAAATTTGCTCCTCTCACAGAATAGCTCATCTCATTAAATGGTTCTACATCTAAAAATCAATTAGTTATTTTTGGTTTTCTTCTTCCTCACCCTAACTCCTCAAATCAAGTCCCATAAGCAAAGGCAATCAACCTTAGCTCCAAAACACGTCACGAATCCATTCACTTCTCTACACCTTTACCTTTACCACTTAGACCAAGTTGTCATCATCTCTTACTTCAATACATCAACAACCTCCCAACAATTTTCTCTGCTTCTCATTATTTTGCATCCTCCTTACCCCTAAGAATTCTGCCCACAGCAGCCAGAATAAACTGAGACATAAATTAAGTCATATGTGATTATTTTCATTACAATTAAATATATCTAATACAGATAGGATGATTATGTAATAGATTTCCATGCCCTCAACCCCCTGCCACATCTCCAAACTATCTCCAAAGTAGTAATTCCTAGAGACCCCAAATTCCACTGTGATCCACCAATCAAAGCAGGAGTTTATGGAAATCAGATGATCAATGACGTTTTGGACTGGGTCCAGTTCACAATGGAATCAGTGGGTCCCCAAACCCATTCTGTGGTTACTTCCCCAGTTCTGGAATACAGTTGGAAGACATGTACTCAGCATCTGCTACAGCCTACACATTCATCCCTTGGCCTGCGAATTAAGGACTATTACACTGGGAAAGGACAAGTGGAAGCCATTAGAACTGCTTGGGCTTACCAAAATAGTAAACCAAAAGCAATATTGCTTCCTGGGGGAACTGTAGGTTTAGTGCCACCATAAAAAGTTTAAAATTTTCAGGGATGGCAATTCCCACTACATCTCCACTCAGCTCACCTATTTGGCCTATGCAGAAGACAGATGAATCTTGTAAAATGACAGTTAAGTTATCAAAGTTTTATAAGTTGGTTATGCCAATTACAGCACTATTCTAGATGTGGTTTCCTTGCTGAATCAAATCAACACACTCCAGTACCTGGTGTGTGACTGATGAACTGCAAATGCTTTTTTATTTATAACTGTTAGTAAAGAAACATCTGAACCAGCTTGCTGCTTCATTTACTATCCTACCTGGGGGCTATTTCAAACCTCTACCCTTATGTCATAATTTAGTTCAGGGTCTCTCAAACTCAGTACTACAGACATTTGGGGCCACATAATTCTTTGTTATAGAAGACTATCCTACACATTATAAGAAGTGTAACAGCATCCCTAGCCTCTACTCAGCAGATGCCAGTAGTACTCCAACCTCTACTTGTGATAACCAAAAATGTCTCCAAACATTGGCACATGTGCCCTGGGAGGTAAAACTGCCCCCAGCTAGAAGCGCTGATCTAGTGCACAGGGACCTTAATCACCTTTCCTTCTATAGGAAATCACACTGGTCCATTATATTGATGACATTACACTGACTAGATCTGGTGAGCAGGAAGTAATGACTACTTTAGACACCGTGATAAGACACAAGCATGCCAGAGGGTGAGATATACATCCCACATAAATTCAGGGACCTGCCTCCTCAGTGAAATTCCCAGGAGTCTAGTGGTCTGGGACATGCTGAGATAGTTCTCTTAGGACAAAAAGAAATTGCTGCATCTGGGCCCTTCTACCCTTAAGAAAGGGTACCATGTATGTCAGTAGTGAAAGTAATATATACTGCATTACCATTACAGCTAATCTGAAAGCCTGCCAGTTTTGAATGGACGCCAGAACATCAGAGGTCTGCAACAGGCCTAGGCTGTCATGCAAGCTGCTTAGCCACTTGAACCCCGAAGACTCACTGGTGCTTGAAGTAACTGTCTGTGGCAGATAGAAATCCAGTATGGAGCCTCTGGTGGGCCCCTTATGAACCACAGTGTAGATCTTCAGGATTTTGGAGCAAAGGTATGCCATTCTCTGCAGACAACTATTCTCTTTTGAGGAAGCAGCTAGTAGCTTACTACCGAACTCTAGTAAACACTGAGCAATTGACCATAGGCCACCAAGTTACCATTCAACATAAGCTTCCCATTATGAGCTGGGTGTTGTCCGATTCATCAAGCCAAAAAGTTGGGCATGCACTGCAACATTCCACTATAAATGCAAATGGTATGTATTAGATAAAGCTTGAGCAGGTCTTGAAGGAACAAATTACATTGCATGAGATGCTCCTGACCCATACTCCTGCTCCCCTGCTACATTGATGTCTAAATCAACAAGTATGGCCTCATGGGGAGTTCCCTAGGACCTGGTGATGAAGAAAGAAACAATACAAGTCTTATTTACAGTTGTTTCTGCACAATATGCTGGTACCACCCATAAGTAGATGGAGCACTAGAGTCCCACTCTGGGGTGGTACCAAAGGAAGAGTACAGGCGGAACTTTGAGCAGTGTACCTGGTTGTTTATTTTGCCTAGAAAGAGAGAGAGTATGTAGTATAAATCTATAGAGATTCACAGACTGGTGCTAATGGCTTGGCTGAATGATCAAGGACTTAGAAAGAGTATGACTTGAAAATTAGTAACAAGGAGGAAATCTGTGAATAGATCTCCCTGAATGAGCACAGCATATGGAGATCACTGTTTCCCATGTACATACTCAGAAAAGATGACTCATGCTGTATACATCAGTTACTCTCTTTCTCCAGCCACCCATTCTTGCCCAATGGCCTCATGAACAAAGTAGCCATGATGGCAGGGATGAAGGTTATGCATGGGCCCAGCAACATAGATGAACATTCACTAAGGCTAATCTGTCAGCTTCATAGAACAACACTGAGCTCCCAAAATAGCACCACTCCTGGGGGTGGCAGGCGGCAGGGGGTGGAGTGGGCAGGTGGGTAAGAGAAGGTTACCCAGTCACCCAGTGACAGGTTGATTATTTTAGACTACTTTCATAATAGAAGGGAAGGTGTTTTGTCTATTCTCATTGGAACAGATACTTGCTACAGACATGTATTTGTCTTCTCTGTCCACAATGCTATGACAAAACCTTCACTGGTGGACTTACAGAATACATTTTCACCATTATAGTATTTCTTTAGCATCATGGTATTCCACATAGCATTGCTTCTAGGCAACGAACTCATTTTATAGCAAATAAAGAATGAAAGCAGGCTCATGCTTTGAGAAATCACCAGTCTCACTATATTCCCCCAATACTCTGAAGCAGCTGTCTTGATAAAACAATCTTTTGAAGATTGTTTTGATGCCAGCTGGGTAACGACACCTTGCAGAGCTGGGGTAATATATTCCAGGATGCAATATGTACTCCAAATTTGTGACTAAGATATGGTGCTATTTCTCCTGTAACCAGATTTCACAGGTTCAGGAATCAATAAATAGAAATGGGAATAGCTGTTCTCACTATTATCCTTAGTGATCCATTAGTAAAAAAATTTTTTTCTAGTCCCTACAACTTTGGGTTCTGCTGGTCTAGAAGTCTTAGTGCCTAGGGAGAAAATGCTTCCACCAGATGTCATAGTAATGGTCCATTAAATGGCAAGTTGAGACTGCTTCATGGCAGTGAATCAATAGGCAAAAAAAGAGGTTACCATACTGGCTGGGGTGACTGATCCTGACTATCAAGGGAAAATTAGGTTGCTATTACATAATGTCTGTAAGACGGACTATATCTGAAATGCAGGGGATCCTCTGGGGCACCTCTTCTTACTCCCATGTCCTATGGGATAAGGCAATGGAAAACTGCAATAACCCAGTGCAGGCAAGACTTCTGATGGCCCAGACTCCTCAGGAATGAAGGCTTGGGTTACTTCACCAGGCAAAGAACAAAACTCAGCTGAAGTGTTTGCCGAGAGCAAAGGAAATATGGAATCAGTAGTTGAAGGAGGTAATTATAAATACCACCTACAACCACATGACCAGTTACAGAAACAAGCCCTGTAATACTTATAAATATTTTTTCCTTATTTTGCTGTAAATACACTTGCATATATATTAACCAATTCTTTTTTTTCTTTTTGATTCCCCTTCCCATTTCTCCATCATTCAACATCAAAGTGTTAACATTAGCTAACTCTTTATGTTAATACTGAAGTTGCAGGGAATAAGGAGAGACTGAGAAGAGAAATGAGCATCACCTAAAGATAGATAAAGAGACTTTTGTATCATGTTAGGCTAAAGATTAATTCTGCTATTATCTTTATCTTAAGTATGGTTAAGAGAAGTGTGGCTAAATCTCATACTTAAAATGATGGCCAAGCTGACAAGGAGTGGGTTTTAATGACTTCCAATGTGTTAACTTAGCTAAACTGGAACTCCGTTTCCCAGAATTCCCTTCTCTCTATGGTCCTAGGCTAACATCAGCCACAAGAGAAATTTGCACAAGATTAAGAAGGCAGAAATGAAAACAGTAACCATTTATATGCTCTGAAGGTCAGTGCAGGGCCAGACACAGCAGCACTCACGCTTGACATAGCTGATGTTGCTGGCATGTCTCATGGAGCTCCTTCAGCTCCCGCTGGACCACTTGCTTCAGCTGCTCTGAATTCTGGTCCAGATGCCTGGGCAACTCTCCAATGAAGGGCACCAGCTTATCCTCCAGGTCACCCATCTTAGAAGACAGAAGGCAGTGAGAGACACGAGTTCCAGTTTGTCCTCGCAGGTTCTAATTTGTTTTACTCCCCCATGTCACATTCATCTTTCCCTCCTGACTGCTGGCCCTGAGGATTTCAGCCTCTTAATACCAGACTCTGAAGCAGCAACTATACACAGAATGCTTAACCAGCTTCCACAATTGTGTAAGTATAATCCCTTAGTAAAAGCTTTATTCTGTATCACTTAACAGAATTCTGCTTCCCTGACTGAACTCCAATGTGATAAATTAAATGGCAACGTTCTTACTTCTAAAAGGTAATTGAACATGAGATTGTATTTCTAATTTAAGTCACTATTATGTAAACCTGACCAAGGTGAAGTTAATTCCTTTGAATAAAAAAATACCAAGCATTACTTTAAGAAAGATGAAAATATCTTTCCTTAAAGGGACACAGGACAAACAGAATTAGAAGAACTCCTCAGCTCTCATCTGTAATCCTGACACTTTGGGAGGCCAAGGCATGCAGATTGCTTGAGCCCCAGGAGTTTGATACCAGCCTGGGGAACATGGCAAAACTCTGTCTCTACAAAAAATACAAAAATTAGCGGGGTGTGGTGGCGCACGCCTGTAGTCCCAGCTACTTGAGGGACTGAGGTGGGAGGAGCACTTGAACATGGGAGGTTTAGACTGCAGTGAGCCATGTTCCCATCACTGCACTCGAGCTTAGGCAACGGAGCAAGACCTTGTCTCAAGAAAAAAAAAGAGCTTCTCCTAACTCTGCTTCTAGCTCATCAAACTATTATCTATCATTTCTAAGGGGCAAAAATATAAGCATTATGATTCAGAAAAGACAACAGAAGAATACTATATTCCAGCATACACAATGACATTATGAAAATTATCTTCAAGCTGTAAATCCCTGACTTAAGACTTGCCTTTATATTTGGGTTCAGTAAAATCAATGCAGTCTCAAGAGAGAGATTCCATTAGCATGTTTAAAGCTGTAATCATTTCAAGTATATTTGTACTCAGTCTCAAGAATGAATGCATTAAAATGAAGAAACTGGTAAGCATGGAGAAAAGGCAAGCCCAAAGAACATGAATTTAGTTGTATCACGACTGTGGGGTAAGAGAAATACATCCTGATCAACAACTGTGAACTTTCTCATCATTTTGGTTTGATTCCTTGCTTCTTTGATACCATTACTGAACATCTATTATTACAAAAGTATATTATATAAGCCTACCAATGAAAACCCAACAACCATCCAACCAGGTGTGTATTATCTTTGTTTTACAGATAAGGAGACATGCCCAATGTAATACACCTTGTAAAAGGCTGAGCTCGGGATAAACCCCAGGAATGTCCTGTCTACAAAGTTTGTGCTCTTAAACATTATGTAACACCACAAATACGTCCATTCCCACTGAGGACATCTATGTCACTAAACAACTCTCCTCTTCTGTACTCTGCTCTAATTCCCTGCTTACCAAGCCGCCTGCAGATAATTCAGCTTCACAGTGGCCCTCTTACACTTACTACAAAAATTCTAGTAAAACAGAAAGACCTCATGTTGTAAATGTAATACTTTTTCTTGGTATAAAAAGGAATAAATCCATGATGTAAAATACAGAAATTTAAAAAATGAAAACCATGTAATTCAGGAACCCTGAGATGCACTTAAAACTGGCAAATTTACTTCTTTCAAGCTTTAATTAAATGGAATAATAACAGCAGCATCAGCAGCTAGCACTTCTGCTAGGTGTCAGGTACTGTTCTAAGGGCGCTATATGTGTTCAGTTAGTTAAACAAAACAACAACTGAATAAGGTAGACACTTTTGTTCCATTTTACATGTAAAGAAACTGAGGTATAAGGAAGTTAAGTGGCTTCCCAAGGTCACATCTAATAAATGCTAGAGCTAGGATTTGAACCCAAGGACTTGAGCTTCAAAGCTTGTGCTCTTAACCAAGAAATTACACTGCCTCTACATCTGAATTGTGGTATACAAAGGGCAATTACCCCTATTCCCCACACAAGCACAGCCTGAGGGCTGAGACAGAGGAGGCGAACAGGGAGTGGCTGAGCCTGTATTTTTAGAGGCACTTCTCCCTAAGATACTCCCCTACACCCCAAGAAGCTACTTTGGGAGGGCTTTCACTACCACTTGCCAGGATTTATTACAAGCTGGTAATAAAAGAAAACACTTACCTAAATTATCTAAAAATACCGTGTTAAATTCTTTTCCAAACTTCCTAGTTCTTTCACTCTCACAAGAACAAAAACGTTACAGCAAACTCATGCCAGAAATTACAATAGGTGTTTGTTCTTTATTTATTAATTATTATTATTATATTTTTTTTCTGAGATGGGAGTCTTACTGTCCACCCAGGCTGGAGTGCAGTGGCACAATCTCGGCTCACCGCAGCCTCCGGCTCACCACAGTCTCTGCCTCCCAGGTTCAAGCAATTCTCCTGCCTCAGCCTCCCAAGTAGCTGGGACTACAGGTGCCCACCACCACGCCTGCTAATTTTTGTATTTTCAGTAGAGATGGAGTTTCGCCATGTTGGCCGGATTGGTCTCAAACCCCTGACCTCATGTGATCCGCCAGTCTCAGCCTCCCGAAGTGCTGGGATTACAGGTGTGAGCCACCGTGCCCAACCCGATGTTTGTTCTCTAAATCATTACATTTGATTTAATTTAATACTATAGTAGTCAGAGCTTATTCTACAACCTTCATTTCAGTTATATTTAGTAAATCTAACAAAATCCAGTAATTATTTCCTAATATAAGCTAATAATCATATCAACTTAAATTAATTTTTTGAAGTACATTGAAATTTTATGATAACTTTAACTTTTGATCATGAACATAGAGGAACCTCTCTCCGATATACTTCAGATGTTCACCAAAAAATGACCAGAATTTAACCAGCAAATACTGTATCTACATAGCATCACCTCATATTCTTAAAGTACTCCACTATTTCCAGGGAATGAATGAATCTTAACTGTATACATTTACTAAACATCCAATGAGTTGCTGCTATGTGCACAGCACTGTGCTAAAGTATTGTAGGAAGAGGAATGTATTTTGTTGACATACTCTTGCTGTTTTTAATCCAGCAAGGTAAGCAATTCTGCAAAGTGCAGGTATCACTGTTTGCTTGATACAGGAGTCAGTAATAGTGTTCTTGGTCTCAAGGAGTTTGCAGCATTATGTGTGTGACAGGCTTAAGAAAATCACAGTACAGAGGTTGTGCGCGGTGGCTCGCGCCTGTAATCCCAGCACTTTGGGAGGCTGAGGCAGGCAGATCACGAGGTCAGGAGATCCAGACCATCCTGGCCAACACGGTGAAACACTGTCTCTACTAAAAATACAAAAAAATGTAGCCGGGTGTGGTGGCGGGCACCTGTAGTCCCAGCTACTTGGGGGGCTGAGGCAGGAGAATGGTGTGAACCCAGGAGGTGGAGCTTGCAGTGAGCTGAGATCGCACCACTGCACTCCAGCCTGGGTGGCAGAGTGAGACTCCACCTCAAAAAAAAAAGAAAATCACAGTACAGTTTGACACTACTGTCACAAAGTACATACAAAGCAGAATTAGCAACTGATAAATACTCAATTCTGGCAAAAAGGGGAGTAGAGTCTCCTCAGTGACCATACTCTTACCTCTCCTTGTTTTTCTCCCCTCCTGGAGAGGAAGGTAGAAGGGAAAGGTGGAAGTGATCAACCAACCTGGTTCCAACCTTTTCTATTCAAGACTTTCTTCCGTAGGATGTTATTTGGGCACTGGTAGTTAACAATTCACTAGTAAGCCAATTCCACTGGTTTAAACAGTGGCTACTAGTAAATACTTTATTTCCTTTTAGTTCTTGGTATTTAGGCAATACAGAAAGAATCTAGAGTGGCCAGAAGGATCAATGGCATGATTTAGTAGTGCTATTCAGTTAATAAATAATTTCTGCAGAAAAAAGTACCCAAGACAGTTTACAGGTAAGTAGGTACCAAAATGAGATGTACCAGTAAGAGCCATAAGAAAGAAAGGTTAGTGATTTGATCCAAGATAAACTAGCTTATCCATAGCTTTTTGCTTTCTATTCCTATAGTTGCTTTTCTTTTCTTTTCTTTTTTCTTTTTTTTTTTTTTTGGAGACGGAGTCTCACTCTGTTGCCCAGGCTGGAGTGCACTGGTGCGATCTTGGCTCACTGCAGCCTCCACCTCCAGGGTTCAAGCGATTCTCCTGCCTCAGCCTCCCGAGTAGCTGGGACTACAGGCGCACGCCGCCATGCCCAGCTAATTTTTTGTATTGGTAGAGACAGGGTTTCACCGTTGTTGCCCAGGCTGGTCTGGAACTCCTGAACTCAGGCGATCCACCTGCCTCAGCCTCCCAAAGTGCCAGGATTACAGGCGTGAGCCACTGCACCCAGCCAATTAGTTGCTTTTCATTTCTAAAAGCAGGCTGGACACTATCTTTACAAAGCAATAATATCCCTCCTTAAGAAACTGAAGAGGTGGTAATAGAAAGATAAATCTAACCCAGAACAGAGCAGTAGCTAAATAATCTTTCCCTTTAGTTCAACTATATTCATCACTGATTAAAATCACAAAGACCAATCACCATTAAAGGACAACGATATACCAATCCTAGTATTTGCTAAATCCTTCTCCTTGCCCCTTTTTATCATCCTATTCTTCTGCCCTAAATCTAGAGAAACTCTACTTTCTAGTATACTAAGTGATTGTTTTATGGTTACCATGGACATCTGTAACCATACTCGCAATACATACCACCACAGTGAAAAATGTGTGGGGTTTCATTATGAAATGTGAATCTTTTCTTAACTGGTGTTAAATAAAAAATTATTCTGATGTTTGTTAAAACTATAAGGAAAACTTTACTCAAGACTATTGTAATAGGGGTATTACCATAGGGAAGAGAGACAGGCTCAACTCTGAATATTGCAAAGATGGCTAGGGATTTACAGGCAAGGAGCAGAGTGAGAGGGTCAATAGATGGAAAAGTACTAAAGAAGACATCAAGGGTAAGGTGGTTCTTGCAAATGACAGGCCAAGGACTCAGACATCAAAGATGGGGGGTGAAGAACTCAATCAGCTCTCAGGGGTGGTCAGATATCAAGGGTGATATCTCACCAAACTGACTTAGCAAGATTCTTTGCTAATTCGGAGTTGTGCAGGCCCAGTAAGGGAAGGAAGGAAATAGAGGGCCAAGGTCAAGGCCTAGTAGAGAACAGGACTCTGAGCAGCCTAATTAAAGTTTGTCAAGAGTCTTTGTCACTAGCACTGGCGTCTCCCCTTTACCAAACCTTTCTCTCATATGCCAGATAAAGTGTATATAAATACTGTATTAAAAGCGCTTTCAGGCTGGGTGTGGTGGCTCATGCCTGTAATTTCAGCAATTTGGGAGACAGAGATAGGGTGGCTCGCTTGAGCCCAAGAGTTCGAAACCAGCCTGGGCAACATGTCGAAACTCCCATTTCTACGAAAAAATACAAAAATTAGCCAGGCATGGCAGTGAGCACCTATAGTCCCAGCTACTCAGGAGGCTGAGGCGGATGGATTGATTGAACCCGGAAGGCCAAGACTGCAGTGAGCTGTGATCACGCTACTGCACTCTAGCCTGAGCAAGAACCTATCTCAAAAAAAAAAAAAAAAAAAAAAACCATGAGAAAGCAGCCCACTGAATTTAAAAACTAGAGTGTTTCTAAAGCATGCAGGCACACAGAAAATATTTAATACAGATCTCATCAAGTTGACCCTCCATCTAAATCCTCCAAGAGCTTCTGCGGCCTCCAGGACTGGTTCTTGCTATGGCATGTAAGGCCCTGCCTAATCTCAAGCCAGGCCCTCTCACTAAATGCTGCCCTCTTCAGGGTGATGTTCTCCTCTTCTCCACTTCACACTCAGGGACTTTGTGCAAATGCACCTTCCACCCCGAATGCCCTCGTCTTCCCACCAACTCAACTTTCCACAGAGCCACTTGGTGAAGGAGTACTTATCTTTCAAGCCTCATTTCAAAGGCTTTCTTGAGCACCTGGCCCGCCTCTCCTTCCTTCTTTACTCTGTGTTCTAATCAGCTGGATGACAAGGAACTGCAACTTTCTACTATACTTGTTTGTCTCTATGTCTGTCTCCCACTTCAGGCTCTGAGTCACTCCAGAGCAGGGAACAGGTTTCATTTGTCTTTGTATCCTTATCATCTTCAATTGTGATGAAGCGAATAGAAAAGGAAATAAAAGCAAACCCTCTTTTCAAATTGTGAAAGCAGCATTGCTGATCCCAAAAGGAAAGGTAGTCTTGTTAAACCTGTCACCATATACTTTACAGGTAGTTAACTATAATTTGGTACTGTGGCTCAGCTTCTAATTTGTTTACCACCTGGACTAACCTGATACAGTGGTCAAAACAGTATTAAATAACACTTTCTCAGGAGAAAGATTCAGCCTAAAACTAAAGGCACTGTCTTAATCTCTTTTCCGTTGCTATAACAGAATACGGCAGACTGAGTAATTTATAATGAACAAAAATTTATTTAGCTCATGATTCTGTAGGCTGGGAAGTCCAATATCAAGGGGCTGGCATCTCGTGACGGCCTTCAGCCTGCGTCATCCCATGGTGGAAAGGCAGAAGGGCAGAAGGGTAAGCAAGTGTGCAAAAGAGAAAAGCACTATGGGCAGGGCTTGCTTTATAACAACCCACTATCGAGATAACTAACCTGCTACTGAGAAAACATTAAGCCATTCGTGAGGGCTCTGACCTTATGACCCAATCATCTCTTATTAGGCCCCATCTCCCACCACTGTTGCATTGGGTATTAAGTTTCCAACACACAAACTTTTGGGAGGCACATTCACACCACAGCAGGCACCATATGGTAAACTCCTTTTTCGGTTGCCATCTCCCTTCCCACTTTATTGTTAACCACATAAATTTGAGGAAAGGGAAGGGAAGAACATGAAATTCCTCTTTAAACCCTTTCTTCTATCTCACACCTATAACAACCACATGCATGTACCTTACTACTTACAGAAAATTCCCTGATATTTTCTACTGTTGTCATCACCTACAAAAGGATTGACTTATCATTTTTTCCATCCTACTTTCTAAAATATAGCCATCAACTATAATTGTCTTTTCATTTTCATCATAATATGAGGTTAATTACAATGTAATCATCATCATCACATAAATCAGTGTTTTCCAAAACCTATCTGTGTAAGAATTCCCTAAGGGTTTGGAGAAATTCCTAGACCCCACCCTAGAAAAACTGAGCAAGAACAAAGATTGGGAGGGAGCAGGAGTTAAGAAATGCAAATTTGAAACAATCTCCTCAGGTAGTTCATAAACTCACTGTATTTGAGAATAAATAAATAAAATAGACCTTGGTTTATTAAATTGTTGAGTACCAAAAAATATGCCAAACACTATGCTAGGTAATAAAGGATATACAGAAATAATGTTGAAAGTGGTCCATGGCCTCAAAATATTTTCAATTTAGCTAGAAAGCAGAAGTTTATACGCAGAAGAATTAGAGAACAACGCTAAACTCTGTGGCATAGAATGGCCTCTAAACTACAGTCCAAGGTATTTTTAGCTTCAAAATGTGTAAGTATGCATTCCCATAGAAATGCTAATAAATTACATATGAATTACTTTATAAATAGATTATGCATATTAAAAAGTATAGTATAAAAATTTTTGGAAATATATTGAATTCTAATGGTACAAACTTTTCAGTGATTAGCAAAATATTATTAATGTTATACAATACAAATGAATGTTTCTTGAGTTTTGTAAATGTTGGCTTAACAATTTGTGATAAAGAACTGAAAGACTGATTATAAGTCCAGTTTATGTTGCTACTTAATTTCAATGACTGTCATGGCTAATGAGAGCATCTCACATAAATGGAAGCAGTGGACAACTGCTTGCATTTATTTAATTATGATGCTCATAGTTCGATCTATTCATCAATTATGCAAAAGTTCTGTTAGATTTCCACTTTGCCTGAGCCATTCTTGAAAATTAATCATTCTAACAATTGTAACAAATGATTTCAAAAATCTAGTAAATTTTCAAATGAAAGATTTATAAACAGAAAATTATGCACATTTTAAAGTATACAGATACGAGAATTTCAGAAATGATACATGGTTTAGGAACATAAGTATGGAAATTTACATAAGTATGGAACATAAGTATGGAAATCCCATAAGTATGTAAATTTCTGAAGACCCATTTACAAAAAACTTATTCCAGAATTTCTACAGTGCAGTAGGCATGATATCATAAGGGGTACTCCAAAATAGTATCTATTTTTTAAATGAATTACTGAACTATAAGAGAGTAAGAGAGACCTCCAAGGGCAAAACAAAAACAAGTAAACAAACATAAAAAAACAAATCAACAAACAACAGCTAAAAGTTAACCACAAAAGCCTTAGTTACCCTGGAGTCAAATACTAAGTCTTGGACTCACTACAGGGTGAGAGAGCTGAACCTACAACTCCCAGGAATCCCTACAGGAGACTAAAGTGCCCCACGTCAGTAGGGGTTCCCAGCAGAAGCAACCCAATCCCTTTCTGAAGGAAGCATCCTCAATTTAGGCCCCCAAGTTTCACACAAATAACAATCAGGCAAAGAGGAGTTCACCATCAAATACCAGCACATTCAATAAGAAACAACCATAGTGAATGACACCATCAAATACCAGCAATTCAATAAGAAACAACCATAGTGAATGAGAATTAGCAGATATCAACAATAAATCTAACCTCCTAGGGACTTCAGATAATGGAATTACCAGAAACAAATTACTATATATTAAATTGCAAGGATGCAAATTACTATATATTAAATGTTCAAGGAAATGAAGATGAAATCATAAAATAAGCAAAGTCCAAGAATCTACTTAAAAAGGCAGACAAGCTTAAGAGAAAAATCTTAAAACTTAGAAATTAAAAATATGATAAATGAAATTAAAAATTCAACAGATGGGGAAAAAGAGTGGAGCACGGATCCAATGCTCTGATTTTTAGGGGACTGCCAGAGGGACTGGTTTTAGATGCTGATAGAACCCAGCTTACACTAGAGGTCACTACAAAAAAATCAATGAAACACATAGGAATACAGCAAGAGAGGATAAGAGGGACAAAAACCTACAAGACGGAAAATAGTTAACAAAATGGCAATAGTAAGTCCTTCCCTATCACTAATTGCACCAAATGAAGATGGATTAAACACTGTAATCAAAAGACAGAATTGTTGAATGGATTAAAAATATAACATCCAACTATATGTTGTGTACAAGAGATTCACTTTAGATTTAAGGACACCCACAGGCTAAAAATTAAAGGATGAAATAACCAAAAGAGAGCAGAGGTAGCCAAACTTACATCAGATAAAACAGACCTTATGTCAAAAACTGTCACAACAGACAAAGAAGAATATTACGTAGTGATAAAAGCATCAATTCATGAGGAAGCTATAACAATTATAAATACATATGTACCCAACATCAGAACAGAAGCAAACATGACAGAACTGAAGGCAGGAATAGACGGCGACACAACAATAAAAGATTTCAATACCCTACATTCGATAATGATAGAATAACTAGACAGAAGATCAACAAGGAAACAGAGGACCTGAAGAACACTATAGAACAAATTGACCTAACGGACACGTAGACATACAGAGCATTCCACCCAATAGCAGCACAATATAAATTCTTCTCAAGCACACACAGAACATTCTCCAGGACAGATAACAAAAATACAACAGCAAAACTTATGGGATGCAGCAAAAGCAGTACTAAGAGGGAAGTTTATCGTGATTTCATTAAAAAAACACCTACGTTAAAGAATAAGAGGCTGGGTGTGGTGGCTCTTGCCTGTCATCCCAGCACTTTGGGAGGCCAAGGTGGGCAGATCACTTGAGGTTGGGAGTTTTAGACCAGCCTGGCCAACATGGTGAAACCCCGTCTCTTCTAAAAATACAAAAATTAGCCAGGTATGGTGGCAGGCACCTGTAATTCCAGCTACTCAGGAGGCTGAGGCAGAGAATCACTTGAACCGAGGAAGCAGAGGCTGCAGTGAGCTGAGATTGCACCACAGCTCTCCAGCCTGGATGACAGAGCAAGACTCTATCTCAAACAAAAAAAAAAAGAGAGAGACTTCAAATAAATAATCTAACTCAACACCCCAAGGACTAGAGAAAGAAGAGCAAACTAAGTCAAAATTTAGCAGAAGAAAGGAAATAAAAAAGATTAGAGCAGAAATAACAAATTAGTGAATACAAAAACAACAGAAAAAAATCAACAAAAGACTTGGTTTTTTGAAAAGATCAACAAATTTGACAAACCTTTGACTAAGAAAAAAAGATAGGACTCAAATAAAATCAGAAATGAAAGAGGAAATAATACAACTGATGCCACAGAAATAAAAACGATATAAGATACTACCATGAATAATCATATTCCAACAAATCAGATAACATAGAAGAAATGTATAAATTCCTAGAAACATATAACTTACCGTGATAGTTAATTTTATATGTCAATTTGACTGGGCTGAGGAATGCTCAGATAGCTGGCAAAATATTATTTTGGGGTATATCCAAGAGAGTTTTTCCAGAAGAGGTTAGCATTTTGATCAGCAACTGAACAAAGCATATACCTTCATCAATGTGGGCAAGCATCATTCAATCCATTGAGAGAGCCCGATTGGAATATAAAGAAAAAAAACGGAAAATTTATTTCTCTCTTCTTCAGCTGGGATATCCATCTTATCCTGCTTGCAGGCATTAGAGCTACTGGTTCTTGGGCTTTCAGACACAGACTAAATTATATCACTGGTTTTCCTGGTTCTCCCACTTTCAGATGAAATACTGTGACACTTCATGGCCTCCATAATCACATGGACCAGTTCCCATAATAAATCTTCTCATATATCTATATACAGCCTATTGGATTTGTTTCTCTGGAGAACCCTAATAAACCTACAAAAACTAAGTTATGAAAAAATAGAACATCTAAACAAAGCTATAACTAGTAAGGAGATTGAATCAGGAATCAAAAACCTTCCAACAACGATAAGCCCAAGACCAGATGGCTTCACTAGTGAATTATACTAAACATTTAAAGAAGAATTAAAACCAACCCTTTTCAAACTCTCCCCCAAAAAGAAGAGAAGAGAATACTTCTTAACTCATTTTATAAAGCCAGCATTACCATGATAAAAAACCAGAAAAAGTCACTACAGGAAAAAAAAACTACAAGTCAATATCCCTAATGCATATCAATATAAAAATTCTCAGGAAAAAAAAAAACCTAGCAATTCAATTTCAACGGCACATTAGAAGGATCACGTACCACGCCCAAGAGGCAATTATCCCTAGGATACGAGGATGGCACAACATACAAAAATCAATGTGATATATACCACATTCATAGAAGGAAAATTAAAATTGCCTGATCATCTCAATAGATGCAGAAAAAGCACTGACACAATTCAGTACCCTTTCATGATTAAAAACACCACTCAACAAAATAAGAATGGAAAAAAATTACATCAACATAAAAAAGACCGTATATAAAAAGAACATTGATGCAAAAATCCTCAATAGAATACTGGCAAACCAAATCCAGCAGCACATCAAAAAGCTTATCCACCATGATCAAGTGGGCTTCATCCCTGGGATGCAAGGCTGGTTCAATATATGCAAATCAATCAATGTAATCCAGCATATAAACAGAACCAAAGACAAAAACCACATGATTATCTCAATAGATGCAGAAAAGGCCTTTGACAAAATTCAACAACACTTCATACTAAAAACTCTCAATAAATTAGGTATTGATGGGACATATCTCAAAATAATAAGAGCTATCTATGACAAACCCACAGCCAATATCATACTGAATGGGCAAAAACTGGAAGCATTCCCTTTGAAAACTGGCACAAGACAGGGATGCCCTCTCTCACCACTCCTATTCAACATAGTGTTGGAAGTTCTGGCCAAGGCAATTAGGCAGGAGAAGGAAATAAAGGGTATTCAATTAGGAAAAGAGGAAGTCAAATTGTCCGTGTTTGCAGATGACATGATTGTATATCTAGAAAACCCCATTGTCTCAGCCCAAAATCTCCTTAAGCTGATAAGCAACTTCAGCAAAGTCTCAGGATACAAAATCAATGTACAAAAATCACAAGCATTCTTATACACCAATAACAGACAAACAGAGAGCCAAATCATGAGTGAACTCCCATTCACAATTGCTTCAAAGAGAATAAAATACCTAGGAATCCAACTTACAAGGGACGTGAAGGACCTCTTCAAGAACTACAAACCACTGCTCAAGGAAATAAAAGAAGATACAAACAAATGGAAGAACATTCCATGCTCATGGGTAGGAAGAATCAATATCGTGAAAATGGCCATACTGCCCAAGGTAATTTATAGAGTCAATGCCATCCCCATCAAGCTACCAATGACTTTCTTCACAGAATTGGAAAAAACTACTTTAAAGTTCATATGGAACCAAAAAAGAGCCCACATCGCCAAGTCAATCCTAAGCCAAAAGAACAAAGCTGGAGGCTACCTGACTTCAAACTATACTACAAGGCTACAGTAACCAAAACAGCATGGTACTGGTACCAAAATAGAGATATAGATCAATGCAACAGAACAGAGCCCTCAGAAATAATGCTGCATATCTACAACTATCTGATCTTTGACAAACCTGAGAAAAACAAGCAATGGGGAAAGGATTCCCTATTTAATAAATGGTGCTGGGAAAACTGGCTAGCCATATGTAGAAAGCTGAAACTGGATCCCTTCCTTACACCTTATACTAAAATGAATTCAAGATGGATTAAAGACTTAAACGTTAGACCTAAAACCATAAAAACCCTAGAAGAAAACCTAGGCATTACCATTCAGGACATAGGCATGGGCAAGGACTTCATGTCTAAAACACCAAAAGCAATGGCAACAAAAGCCAAAATTGACAAACAGGATCTAATTAAACTAAAGAGCTTCTGCACAGCAAAAGAAACTACCATCAGAGTAAACAGGTAACCTACAAAATTTTCACAACCTACTCATCTGACAAAAGGCTAATATCCAGAATCTTCAATGAACTCAAACAAATTTACAAGAAAAAAACAAACAACCCCATCAAAAAGTGGGCAAAGGACATGAACAGACACTTCTCAAAAGAAGACATTTATGCAGCCAAAAGACACATGAAAAAATGCTCATCATCACTGACCATCAGAGAAATGCAAATCAAAACCACAGTGAGATACCATCTCACACCAGTTAGAATGGCAATCATTAAAAAGTCAGGAAACAACAGGTGCTGGAGAGGATGTGGAGAAATAGGAACACTTTTACACTGTTGGTGGGACTGTAAACTAGTTCAACCATTGTGGAAGTCAGTGTGGCGATTCCTCAGGGATCTAGAACTAGAAATACCATTTGACCCAGCCATCCCATTACTGGGTATATACCCAAAGGACTATAAATATGCTGCTATAAAGACACATGCACACGTATGTTTATTGCGGCACTATTCACAACAGCAAAGACTTGGAACCAACCCAAATGTCCAACAATGATAGACTGGAGTAAGAAAATGTGGCACATATACACCATGGAATACTATGCAGCCATAAAAAATGATGAGTTCATGTCCTTTGTAGGGACATGGATGAACTGGAAATCATCATTCTCAGTAAACTATTGCAAGAACAAAAAACCAAACACCGCATGTTCTCACTCATAGGTGGGAATTGAACAATGAGAACACATGGACACAGGAAGGGGAACATCACACTCTGGGGACTGTTGTGGGGTGGGGGGAGGGGGGAGGGATAGCATTAGGAGATATACCTAATGCTAAATGAAGAGTTAATGGGTGCAGCACACCAGCATGGCACATGTATACATATGTAACCAACCTGCACATTGTGCACATGTACCCTAAAACTTAAATTAAAAAAAAAAAAAACTAGGTGATAGGATGATCTGTGCAACAAACTATGCCACATGTTTACCTATGTAACAAATGTGCAAATCCTGTACATGTACCCCTGAACTTAAAAACTGAAAAAAAAAAATAACAATAGATACACTTAGAGACTTATCTATGGAGATACTCATCAAGGTTATTTACAGTAAAGAAATGGAAAAACCTTCAATATCTAACAAGAGAGGACTGGGGCCGGGCACAGTGGCTCACGCCTGTAATCCCAGCACTTTGGCAGGCTGAGGCAGGTAGATCACCCAAGGTCAGGAGCTTGAGACCAACCTGGCCAACATGGCGAAACCTGTTTCTACTAAAAGTACAAAAATTAGCCGGCCATGGTGGTGTGCACCTGTAATCCCAGCTACTGGCGTGTGCCTATAATCTCAGCTACTTGGGAGGCTGAGGCAGGAGAATCGCTTGAACCCAGGAGGTGGAGGTTGCAGTGAGCTGAGATTGCGCCACTGCACTCCAGCTTGGGTGAAAGAATAAGACTCCATCTCAAAAAAAAAAAAGAGAGAGAGGACTGGTTAAATAAATGCTAGTTCACCCACTCTAATGTAGCCATTGCAAATGATAAGGTTAGAAACTTAAGGCATGGAAAATAGTCATAATTGTATAAAATGTACACAGTAGTTTATAAAATAAAATGTATTGTGTGGGAAAAAAAAAAAAGCCCACAACTAATATAAATAACACTCAGTGGTAGAAAACAAAGGTTTCCCTTTAAGACCAAGAACAAGACAAGGATGCCCATTCTTGCCACTTCTATTTAACATAGTATTAGAAGTCCTAGGCAGAGCAGTTAGACAAGAAAAAAATAAATAAATAAAAGGTATCCAAATCAGAAAGAAGCAAAATTATCACTGTTTGTAGACGAGATTATCTTATATGCCGAAAACCCTAAGGATTCCAAATACCAAAAAAAGAACTGCTAGAAATAATAAACAAATTCAACAGTTTCAGGCTACAAAATCAACATACAAAAGTCAGTTACATTTCTATGCACTAACAAAGAACTAACCTAATGGCATTTTTTACAGAAACAAAAAAAAAGTATAAAATTCATATGGAACCACAAAGGACCCTGAATGGCCTAAACAATCTTCAGAAAGAACAAAGTTAGAAGCCTCACACTTACTGGCTTCAAAACATATTACAAAGCTATGGTAATCAAAATAGTATAGTAATAGCTTAAAGACAGAGATATACACTAAGAACAGAATAGAGAGCTCAGAAATGAACCCATGCATACACAGTCAAATGATTTTCAACATGGATGCCAAAAATTCACAATGGGTAAAGGACAGTCTTTTCAACAAATGGTGCTGGGAAAATGGATATATATATGCAAAAGAATGACACTGGACCCTCATTTTATATCATACACAAAAACTATCTCAAAAGGGATTAAAGATTTAAATTTAAGACTTGAATTATAAAATCCCTAGAAGAAAACATAGGAGAAGAGCTTCATGATATTGGTCTTGACAAAGATTTCTTGTATATGATATCAAAAGCACAGCCAACAAAAGCAAAAATAGACAATCAGGACTAAATCAAACTAAAAAGCTTCTGCACATCAAAGAAAACAACAGAGTGAAAAAGCACACTACAGTATGAGCAAAACTATATGCAAACTTGATTTAAAAAAACTTGATTTTTAAATGTGCAAAGGAGTTGAATAGACATTTCTCTAAAGAAGACATACAAATGGCCAGCAGGTACATAAAAAGACGGTGAACATCACAAATCATCTGGGAAATGCAAATCAAAACCACAGTAAGATATTTACTTTACAACTGTTAGGATAGCTATAATTTTAAAAACCATAAAACAAAATAAAAACAGAAAATAAACATTGGTGAGGATGTAGAGAAATTGCAACCCTTGTGCACTGTTGGTGGAAATGTAAAATGCTGCAGCTGCTATGAAAAACAATATGAAGTCTCCTCAAAAAATTAAAAATAGACTTACCATTTGACCCAGTAGAACTACCATATGACCCAACAATAGAACTAACATACGACCATTTCTGGGTATTTATCCAAAAAACTAAAATCAGGATCTTGAAGAGATCTTTGCACTCCCATATTTACTGAGGTATTATTTATAAGAGCCAAGAAGTAGAAGCAACCCAAATGTCCACCCGCAGATAAACAGATAAACAAAACAAGGTACATAATACAATGGAATATTATTCAGCTATAAAAAAGACAGAAATCCTGTCATATGCTATAACATGGATGAACCTTAAGAGCATTGTGCTAAAATGAAATAAGCCAGTTACAGAGGATAAATGTTACATGATCCCATTTTTGTGAGGTATCTAAAGTAGTCAAACTCATCAAAGCAGAAAATAAGAATGGTGGTTGCCAGGGTCTGGAAAGAAAGGGAAATAGGGAGTTGCTGTTCAATATGTACACTGTTTCAGTCACACAAGATGAAAAATTTCTAGAGATGTGCTGTACAATATTGTGCCTATGGATGAAATTGGAGGTCATTATGTTAAGTGAAATAAGCCAAGTACAGAGAGACAAATATGTTCTCACTCATATGTGGGAGTTAAAAAAGCGATCTCATGAAGATAGAGAGTAGATTGGTGGTTAACAAAGGCTAGAAAGGGTTAGTAGGAAGGGGAGGATGAAGAGAGATTGATTAATGAGTATAAACATACACTTAGAAGGAAAAAGACCTCGTGTTCAATAGATCACTGAGGTGACTATAGTTAACTAATCAATTGTACATTTCAAAATAGCTAGAATAATTTTAATGTTGCTAGTATAATGAAAAGATCAATATGTAAAGTGATAGATATCCCAATTGCCTTAATTTGATTATATGAATGTATCAAATTAACACATATACCCCCAAAATATGCACTAATAGATCTAATACATATCATAAAATTAAATAAAAAATAAGACGTGAAAAAATAAAAAAATAAAATTGCCACCTTACCACCACTAAAATCTACTCCCTCCCCACCAAAAATACTGTACTGCACACTTAAAAATTTGTTAAAAGGGTGTATCTGATGTGTGCTTTTTACCACAATGAAAAAAAATTCAACAGATAGGTTAACAGGGTTATATACAGCTGAAGAAAGATCTAAACATATATGGTAACTATAGTATAGGTTATACTACAGATTGGAGTACAGATAAACAGTGAAATAGGAGGAAAAAAATAAATGACAGGTTAAACATGAAGGATAGAATGATAAATTTTCGCACATCTAACCAGAGTGCCAGAAATACTATGCAGAACAGAGGTAAGGTAACATTCAAAGACATAATGGTTGGTACATTCCCATAACTGATGAGACATATGAATCCACACAAGATAGAGACAGACAGAAAGGATCACACACCAAATAGCAGATGACTCCTGAACAGAAACAATGTATATCAATAGACAATGGAATACTACCTTCTGAGTGGTGAAAGAAATCAAACTATCAACCTAGAGTTACAGACTAAGCAAAGCTATCGTTTAAGAATTAGGGCAAAATATGTCTTCAGATCTAAAAAAGTTCATCACTAACAATCCTGCACCAAAAGAACTTCCACAGATATTCATCAGGAAAAGAGAAAATGACACCCAAAGGAAACAATGAGATGGAAGAGGAAAAATAATAACAATAATAATAACTTTAAAATCATGTGTCTAATTCTATATGAACTGGATTTTTATAAAAAAAAAAGACGTAATAATAGCATGTAGGTCAGAAGTGAAGTGACAAACATTAAATACATTTCTTCTTCCAATGTATTGCCCTGCACACCCACTTTAGAGACCACTGATGTGTACTATATACATCCACCACTGTTCAGCTACAACAAACAACAATATTAGCTGCAATCATTTCAGAAGTCTTGTTAAAACAATGAGACAAGCCATAAAGGATTTGTAAATTTGATATGAAGGGACAAGTGCAAGGCACTCCACACAGAAAACAGTAAAGGTTCAGAAGTAGGGATAGGGACGGCATACCCTGTTCTTCCTCTAATAAAGTATCTTATACCATTTCATATGCTCTTCTAAAATCTATTTTTTTTTTTAAAAAAAAGGGTTCACACTCTGTCACCCGGGCTGGAGTGCAGCGGTGTGATCTTGGCTCACTGTAGCCTTTATCTCCTCGGCTCAAGCAACCCTCCCACCTCAGCCTCTCTAGTAGCTGTGAATGACTACAGGCACACACCACCATGCCCAGCTTATTTTTGTATTTTTAGTGGAGACAGGGTTTCTCCATGTTGCCCATGCTGGTCTCGAATTCCTGGATTCAAGCAATCCTCCCACCCCGGCCCCACAAAGTGCTGGGATTAGAGGCATGAGCCACTCTTCTAAACTCTTTAAGACACAAACAAAACAAAAGAAAACAAAAAAACACTTTCTCGAAGTAACAGCATGAGTACAGTAATAGTGGAAGGTGTCAGATTTTCATTATTCACCTTGAAGGATAGAATTATTAACCTTGGGTAGGTCACTAAATTTTCTCTCTGAAGGCTTCATTCAGCCTCTCAGGTTGTAATACGTAATGTCTACCCTCACCAATGTCACCAATATATTTTGATGATAAATGAAAAAATTCAAAGGGGGTGTTACAGCACTGATTTCTTATATACTGTACTAGTCACTGTGCTGGGCACTGGCAACACAGACTAAGGGAGACAAAGTCAGGCAATTAGATGCTATGTGATAGGTACTGTGACATGTGAAGGATGCACAGAAAATCCAAGGATAGTGACAAAGGTATGCTTTCCTCTCGCTTCTTCATGCCATTAACAATGATTCTCAAAAGACAAACTACTGATGGCAACCTTAGTTACAATAGGTAATCATTATAATCACCGCCATGAATTTCAGTATGTCACAAGACTCAACATCGAGTCTTTTTTTATTAAAGGCTTTTTAGTCTAACTGAATTCAATTTTAAAACATTCCAAGAAGTAGTCAAAAGAGTTTTCTTCATACTGATCAAAATTTCATCACAGAAAGCTAGGCTGAGCATTTTTGACCCATTAATAATTAGCATAATCGGAGTTTTTCCCAAATACTAAATTTTTTTTCTTGTTTCATTAAAAAACATGTAAGAGTAATGATAATATATTATCTATATCCATGGTGGAATTATCCAAATAAAATCTAACAAAAGAAAAAAAGAGAAATCTTTTTTACTCTTTTTCTGGACTTACTGTTTATAATCTAAAATCAAACACATTTTGCATAGATTCTATTATCTGCAACACATTTTTTTTACTTTACTACAAAGTGTTTATTGCCTTAAAAGTTAATCATTGGTTGTCCTGTTGTATTTAGCCCGTTGAGGCCTATTAACAAGGCACACACAAATCTTTCATCAAAGAAAATACTCCTGAAAAAGTACACATAGACTGTTCTTAGAGAAAAGCAATTCTTTCTCATTCTACTATATATAGCAGTAGTATATAAGAGATCAGTGCTATAATATTCCTCTTTTGGGATTTTTATTTATCCTGAATATATATTAGTGACACTGAGAAGGGTAGATATTATATATTCCCAAGGACACAAAATCCAAATACGTTATATGGATGACCAAAGAAATGTTTATATTAACTGCAAACGACAACGAAATATCAAGATGGTGTTTTAAATTACTGTATTTGTTGATTTTAATTTCTAAGGAAAATAAAATGTTTTTAGTTAGTGTCCTTGATATACCAAAGGACTTAGAACCCTTTAATAGTCATATGAATATAAAAGTTTTGTAACTATTTTTAAAAATATGTCATGTAATTGAAAATGACTATAAACAAAAATACATTTTGGCTGCCATACTGGCATTAATATATTAGCTAACAAGCAGGCTTGTTACTTTATTTCATCGATGAGAAGTAAAAATGGATGATGCCATTTACTACCAACTAGAGAATAAAGAGAGTCACCAATGGTGATTTCGTAGCCATCAGTGGTGGCCTCTTTGATAAACACCTATAACACCTATAAACCAATTTAGCCCTATTTACACAATGTCTTCTACCATACATTACTTGTTTGGGATTATTATCTCTTCTGTAAGCTCCTTGCAGGGAGAGACTTTATCTTAAACACTACTTCTATATCCCCTTCCCAACCCTTTACCTAAAAAATGAACATGCTGAGTGCATACTTATTAATTGACAGGTGTCATATAATAGATATTTTCCACAGCAATTAGGAGAAAATAAGGTGTGGGTAAAGTAAGCTAAATGGAGATATCATTATGTACAACACAATAAGGCACAAGACCATAAAAGTGACTTTGAAATAACATGTTCAGAAACAGCAAATCAGTTTATACAGCATAATCATTTTCAGAAGGTACTCACAACAAAATTTATCATACTATTATTGCTTAGCTTTAAAATCCTTTTTTGTGTGTTCTTACATGAGAAGCTGCATTTTGTGCTATTCCTTAATGCATATTTCTATAATTATATCTCATGTCTTTATGAAGTACCTTATTCATACAAGTATGAGAAAAGCTATACTATTCAAAATCTAAAAGAAAATAAAAACAATGTATTTTTCCACTCCTCCTGGGTTAACACATACAGTAATTTGCTAATAAAAACAAAGGTTATCATCTGTCATACTTTTCATTCACACTCTTGAATGACAGGCATTTTTTTAATGTTCCTGTTAGAAAAATTCTGTGCCAACTCGGCTTTAAAACCAACTCAAACCAAAATATCCATCTTTTTCTCTGAACTTGTTCAATCTCTCAATCAAAATTATGTATCAATTATATTTTCTAAAATAGTTATGATGCAAATGAAGTTCTAATTTATGATAGCAGCAGCCTTACACTATCTTTCCCATTTAAATGCACGGCGCTAGGGAAGACAAAAGCATACTCTGAAACATCTTCACAGGTCCTCTAACAATGGTCTCTTAGTAGAATTTCTTCTCTCTTTGTATAGTTATATTAAATTTCTGTGCTTCCCTCCTAAGATGAAATCATCTGTTTATACCCCTCCAACAACTCAGAAGTGAGCTTGTATCCTTTCTCTCATGCCTTTTGTCTAAGAACACCAAAGCGCTTCGTTATTTTATTTTACCAACCCCATGAAGTCAGTGGTATATCAAAAGCTGGACGGCTGATGAGATAACTAGACAGAGAGCTCTGGACAGCTGACCAAAACTTAGTACCCCTCTAGGTCCTTAAAATCAGTCGGAAAATCAGCCAAGCCCTATTTACAGGTCTTGAGTGTTTTAAACAAAAACAAAAACAAGAAAACCTTCCCACAAAGGAACTTGCACACACACACACAACTGTACTTTTCAGAAGGTGGAAATACAAGGGATCTTGTTCTTTTCGTTTTTCAAGAGTTTAAAAGCCCGGCACATCTGCATCTTGATAACAGCTCCAGAGGGCAATCTGATCAAAGACACAGAAAATCCCTCCTTTAAAGATGTGCACCTTGTGACACTCCAAGGAGGAGAGATATTTAAAGTAAAACCTGCCCTGCATCATTATCACTGACTTAAGGAAGAGATTAAAAAGCCCTTGGCTTCATGTGGCTTTTCAACATTTTGCTGTAACCCCAGGGCCATAGATGCTGTTCGTGAAATTCTTCTACTCATCCCTACTAAGAGTGTCACAGCAGTATAAACTCATACACAAACACGCACACATCTCCACTTCCATTCCCATCCTTCTCGCTTTGGTGCCCATGACCCAAAATGTGGACACAATGTTACAAAAAGCAAAGTCATGGGGCAATGCGGGGGGAGGAGGGGAGAGTGCAAAGGATTGAAAGATCCAGAAAAGCAAGAGTGTGAGAGGTAGCCGGCTCGTCTGCTATTGTAAAGCAAGCATTCATTCGGGTGGGGGCACAGAATGCAGAGGTAGAAATAAAGCAATCCTGACTGCCCACTCTGCCATCCCATTCTGCTTCTCTGCCCTCCATCACCCCATCCGCCCCTGGAGGACCACCTCCGAGCGAGAGGGCGCCACTTACGGTTCCCTACCCTCACCCTTGAGGGGAAACAAGCGAAATGGGGTTGGAATGAAGAATAGGGCTGAGCAGTGGGTGAGGGTCACGCCGGGCTCCAGGTGGAGACCCTGCCGCGGGTGGCCGCGCCGAGGCACGGGGGACGGCCCAAGCGCGGGTGAAGTGGGGATCAGAGGAGGGTCTCGCCCCCACTGCTCCCGAGGGAGGCTCCGGTTACTCACATTTTCCGTGTCCCGCTCGTTCACCGTCGGCAATGGCGTCCGGGCCGACATTTTGTGCGGGCAGCGGGGTCTGGCCGGGGTCTCGCCGGCCGGGCTGTGGTGCGGGCCCCGGGGGGCGACAGGAAAGGGGTGCGGACGCGAGCACAAGGCCGGGGCGAGCGGCTCCCGCAGGCCGCGGGGCGGTGCAACAAGCGGCCCCGGCGGGGGAAAGAGGGAAGAGGACGCGGAGGAAGAGGAGGGGGAGCCGCTTCCCGCGGCGGCGCCGCCGGGGTATGCGGACAGTAACGAGGGAGGGCTTCGGGCGAGGCGGTTGCCCGGCGCTGGCGGGGCGGCGAGGCTGGCAGGATGAGGCGTGGAAGGGGAGCCGGGAGGCGGTGGCGAGCCCCGCTAGGCTCTCCGGACCATGGGTGAAGGTGAAGCCGGTGCCTCAAATCACTGCCTGGCTCGTCCTGGCGAGCGCCTGGGCGTCAGGAACCGCGGCCCTGACAGCGTCACCCGCGCCGCGCCCCGTTCTCCGCCTCAGGTGTACGGCGCCGCCCGACCCAGCCGCATCCACGCGCCCGGGGCCCAGCGGCGGCGGCGCCCGATCCCCCGGCGCGAATGTCTCGGCTCGGTCCGCGCGGTCACAGCCACCGCCGCCGCCGCGCCTCAGTCAGGAGGAGCGGCCCGAGCCGGCTGCGCGCGGAGCAGCGGGCGCGGCACGCAGCGCCCAGAGGCACTTGGCGGCCGCCGCCGGGTGGGCGGGCGCCAGCCGAGGGGGCCTCTCCATTCATTCCCTCATTAGGGATGCGGGGCCGCCTCCTCCTCCTCCTCCTCCTCCTTTTTCTCCTCCTCCTCCTCCCGCGCTCTCTTGCCCGCCTGTCCCTGTGTTTATTTTTGTTTCGTGCCCCACCCGCAGAGTTTACGGTCGTCTAAGAGCCTCTGGTGGTTTTATTTTTATTCGTGTTTGGTTTTTGCCGGGTTGAGGGTGAGAGAGAGCTGATGTGAATCAGTGGCTTTTTTTTTTCTTTTTCTTTCTTTCTGTTTTTGTTTGTTTGTTTGTTTGTTTGTCCGTTTCATTGGAGAAGAATTGGATTCAATCCTACCCTGGATCCTACCCCTCCTTTTCTCCTACCTCGGGACTTTTACCATTCTTAAATTCTACTCCTCCTCCCCCGTTTCCACGCTTTCTCAATCCCTATCCTCGCCTGAGCCCTCTGTCAGTCTCCTTCTCTAGGGAGCCGTTAGGTTCAGGGTCACCCTCAGAGTTTGGCAAAAAGCACAGAAGCCCCTAGAAGCGCCAGCAGCCTAGGGAGGCGGCTGGAGACTCAGTACAAGTGGGTCTCAGCCCCCGACGGCGCGGCCTCTTCGGGAATGGGGCCGGCGGAAGACGTCTCGCTCTGGGCGCCCTGCAGCACCCTCGGAGTGGGTGAGACCCGCGAGTCACAACATCTACACTGGCTGATCGTCACTTCCTGGGACACAAGGAAGTGTCACTTAGGCGAGCCTGTTTAGGGAGGATGGAGAGCTGTGTCTGATTTGGGCCCTGTCCTCCCTCTTCCAGGTGGCTTCCTCACACTTCCACCCACCTGCCTCAAGACATCCTGTAGGCACCCGCGTCTGTAGTGCATTGTCCAGGACCCATTCGCCTTTTATAAGCAAGGCTGCATTTTTTTTTAATCTCATTTGAGAGCTTACATTTTGCACATTCAGCCTGTAGAACGAAAACCTTATCGTCTCTCTATTCTTCTTTGCAACATTTCTTTTTCACTTCCTTTCATGGATGGGCAGGAAGACAAAAGGAATGAAAGATAGGAGCGGATACATTGATTTTCTGAGCTGCTTCAGTATGCCTCCAGTGGAATTCTTATAATGGTGGGAAATTTCTCGTCTCTTCTGAATTTCCTCCATTTGAAAGAAGAATCCCTGAACCAGATGGTTTTTATCCTGACTCATTAAAGGTTGTTTCTGAAAAGTTAACACTTGACCCTTGAAGCATGGGTCCAAAAGACCTGAAAATAGCAAACACAAAAATCCTTTGAGGAAAGAAGCAATTCTCACCCAGTCTATATTCACTTCTAGAACACCATCTGTGTACTTATTTCTTTAGCATTTTCTCTTGTAACCACTTACCAATTTCACAAAGCAAATGAAAAAAAAAAAAAAAACAAGATCCCTTTGGTGGTCATCACCACTTCTCAAACAGAATTTAGGCAGCGGAACTGCAATGCTGCCTCCTGAACTATGATGTGTTACTGAGAATGTCAAGCATTTACGTGCCCTCTGCAGAAAATCCTGAATCACCAAGATACATTGAAGTTGCAAGGGCATAATCCTGTATTTTTCTGGTTATTTTCTGGTTAACTATTGCGACGGCTGCCTGTAGGGGCTGCCATCACAGTGTCAGCGGCATCACTGACTGCTGCAGCCACACAAGGGTACCTAGTGTTGCAATAGTACCTGAGTTAACCTAGCAATAAACAAGTAGCTGTGAAAAGGCGTTCAGCCCCATTGGAATATGAATCATTCCTTCAGCTGGTAGTATGTATTTTGCTCTTTAAAGTATACTCACATATTTTTCTATCTTTATAATCGTGGTGACCCTGACAGGCATATTTATTTCCATTTTACAAAATTCCACTAAGTTAACTTGTTCAAGATCACAGATGCACCAGGTTAATAAGATACAGAAGAAGATAACTGAAATATGTGGTGCTGTTCAATCTTGCACCAGTCACAAAAACCATAGGTTCACCCCATAAGATATAATGGCTAATTCGAGACAGAGCTTAAAGGAGAGCCCCAGATTCTGGCACAGTGGCTTCCACAGATTTTAAAGTGTCTGTTAAAAGCCATGGACAAATCCCTTAGCTATATTTGCTACACAATGCTCACTATTTCACATATTGAAATTTACGGAATATCACATAATAATAGGAAGGGATATTTATTGTTTAAGTCAATCCCCAAGAACACTTCTAACAGTGAAACTACATTCAAAGAGAGTCATTACTAGGTAGCTCGAATCCATAATTCTAGCTAGCCAAATTGTTTTTTTGGATAGAACAATTCTATCCAAAAGAAAATGCCATTCAAATAATCCTTATTAATACCTAACAATTTTAAGCTTGGTATGTAGTGAAAACTAAGTGAAAATGCACTTTGCCCAGGTTAAAAAAAAAGTCACTATGTTTTTCAAAAGGAAATACTGTCTGTCCCTATATGAGCTCTTCTCCCCTTAAAATGGCATTAGTAGATCCTTAAACATGGGAGAGGAAAAAAAAATGACATGAGGCATTATTGTGATGGAGTCAATACTGTTTAACCCTAGTCCTTAGAAATGAAAATGCTCATGAGCAAAATTTTTTTGTGTTACTATATATAGCTTCTGTGTCTGTGACTATGGAGAAATGACAAAGGGAATATTTTAAGGCTTTGAGTAATTTTTTTTTGGGTTATTAACCAAATGTGGCATGTTCAATTCACAGGTTCCTAACTTAATGTGTTAGGGTAATGAAAGTTTTGGAAGAAAATTGAAGTACTGACAAAACAAAAGGGAAATAAAGATCTAAAAGGTGCTAAACCTACAGTGAAAAGTGGGAAAAGAGCATTGCCTACCGTCAGCCCTATGGAGTAGAATTTTTTAGAACTACCGGGTCCAGTACCAGTTACATGTGACTACTGAGCTCTTGACATGTTGCTTGAATTTTTAATTTGACTCAATTTCAAATAATTTACACTTAAAAACCGATTTGATTCAGTGACTGAAAAAATTGTGTTATGTTTGAAAGTATGTTAAGTATATGAATCTACTTTTTCAACTGTAAATTTTCTGAAATCTATATACCGATTAAGTATTTCTCATGGAAATGTATTACCTGAATTGGGATGTGCTATAAATATAAAATGCACACCACATTTTCAAATAGTAGGAAAAAAAAGAGAGTAAGATGTCTCTTTATAAATATTATAACCATTTCATATTGAAATGCCAATATTTTAATATATTAGGTTAAATAAAATATATTATTAAATCATTTTCAACTGTTTCTTTTTTACTTTTTCAAATGCAGATCCTAAAAAATATAAACTTACATATGTGGTTTACATTACATTATCTCTCTGTTGGACAGTACTTCTCCATATGGTCAAAGCTGAGAATAAAAAGGCTTAGTTGCTTAAGAATCAAAGGCCTTGATTATAAGCTATTAATAATTCATTCTGTGGTAGAGTGGCACCCAATAAATGCTTGTTGGGCACCATTCTACCACATGCCATGCTGTGCTGTTCTAGGGGAATATTCTTCACCTAATAGTTAGCGGCAGTCAGTCTTACGCATTCTTTTTAAAGAGCAAAGTGGAAAACATGTTGAATTCATACAAATGAGCATTAACAGATTGCAGTCATTTGTAAACAAAGAATTTATCAAATGTGACAGATTCAGCAGATTAATAGTAAACTCTTAAAACTGCACATGTCTTTATATCATGTGCTTTAGATGTATCCAATGTCTGATAGACTTGGCCAGTCAATAATTATTTGCATACTTTGTTTTAGGTACTACAAGGCTATTTACAATCTTTCATTTAGCCACACAGGAAAACTACAGGATAGACAGTTCGGTAAGGTAACAAAGAGCAGTCTCAGCTAAAGAGAAACAAGGTTAATGTCCATCAGGAAAGAATAATCAGTCCTTGTCACAAATAAACTGGGTCCTGATTGCCTGCCTGTCTGGCAAGGTGAATTTTTATTGTGTCAACATTCACTACTTAAAATATAGAATCACTGAAATGGACAAGATCCTCAAAAGAAACGATATATCGTATTTTTAAAACTGCTTAAAGCTGTTGCCTTTTACATTGTATATATTGTCATAGAAGGACTGAAAAGTCCTTGTGATAATTTAACTTATACTTGTCTTCATAGCCATCAGCATATACATAAACTGTCAGACCCAGCAAGGGTCAGCTCAATGCTTTTTTTGGTTATGCCACTCCACACCTCACAAACATAACCTCCAAGAGTTGTTTACTCTTCTGTTTCCCACAAGCACTGTAGGTTCAGCGATGTTCGTTTTCTTGGAATTCCCCGAACACACCATATTGCTTGACTCCTCCGTGCATTTGTGTCATCTGTTCTGTCTTCCTGGAATGTCCTCTCCTCTTTTCTGCCTGATGGCCTCAGAGTTGGTCTTTAAAAACCTTCCTTTAGAAACCTATCCTGACACCACTGTTTCTCCCCACACCCACAGTTAATTAATCACTCCCTGTGCACTACCTCTGTACCTTGGACATACCTCTACTGTTGCTCTCCTTGCACTGTGTACCTGGCTGGTCCCCTATCCACCTGTGCACTAGGAAAAGGAAGGGAATATGTCTTATTTATTTTTGCCTAGAACCTAGCACAGTGCTTAGCAATTAGTAGATGCCCAATTTCCTAAATGACTTTTATTGACTTGTATGTTCTCCTGAACTTTCACATTCTTTTAAATTTCTAAGAAGCATCATTGAAAATATAGGAGAATTGAAAATATAGGAGGATAATTAAAGTCTACAACTGGGGGATATAAGAGTTTACATAGTATGCAAAGTATCTTCCCAGTAAATGTTATTGACTGGGTAGCAAAGTGACTCTATTCTGTCTCCTACAGATTACCATAGTGCCACTAATTTTACTGCTCTGTGATTTTACTGTAATTATTCATTTTTATCCATACATAGGAATTGCTGATCATTGATATTTCAATAAGTCTTTTAAATGAGTATCTGCATAAACCAAGGTGTACTGTACTTGGTCAGGAGGAAACACTTCAAAAGTAGGTTGAAAAATTAAAAATGGAATGACACGACAATGAAGTGCTAGAGGCAATAGAGCTGGCGGTCAACCCCAGGGAACAGTCATCAGAAATTGGGTGACTCTTCCTAAGTGAAAGCCTTTCAGCAGACTGAGCGTCACAGTGTCACTTGGCAGTGCAAATTGGCACAGCAAAACAAAGAACAAGACACATGGAAGTTACTATTGCGGTGAGTTATGCACTGGTCTTTAGCAATGCTGGAAAAGTGCAGGTGAAAATCAACATTCATAGCGTGATCTCAAAGGAACAATGGTTGCATATGAGTTCATAAATGTATCAGTATAGATATACCCACATTATTGTACCTTCCATACTGTAGTTTTGTAAAGTCACATAGAAAGCAAAACAATCTCTTAAAAGTCTTATGGTAGCCTCCCTAAAGTAGGAGCTTGGTTGTCTTTTACTTGGCATTTGTGACTACAAATTACACATAATGTAGTTCAATGCCCTTTTAAACAGGCTTGCAATTTGAGTATTTGATTTCCTAGATGACACACTAAGTGAATTGTTCCCTCATGTCTTTATACTTACCTTATTAATATAAAAATGTTATTTTTGTAGGTTCTTTTTATAAACTCAATTTATTCAATGCCTTCAAATTATTTTTTCTATGTTAAATGTGACATCACTTAACATTTTGTTGATTTCTTCCTTTTCTACATAAATACACCATTTTTCACTTTGCTTTTCATTCATTCATTAATTTAAAAATATATAGCTCTGTTAATGTAAGGGACTATTCTAAGCTCTTCAGAAACAGCAGTAGACGAAATAGACAAAAATCCCCACCCACATGAAGTTCACATTTTTATAGGTACTTTCAGTGTCTAGACAGTTCAAAACCAGAGACTCCCATTATACAAATAATATTTTGTTATGTCTTGATTATATTACTCTTTTAACAAACACAAGCACCCAGGTTTAACTTTTCTAAAAAAATTAATGAATTACAGCAGCTAGATCTATTCTCCAATCCAATTATAATTTGCTTTCTGCCTTAATATTTTGGCATTTCTCCAATAAGCTTTTGTATAAACAGCTTCAACTGGTTCCACAACTAGCTTAGGTACTTGAAAACCATAATAAAGATGCCTTCCTGAGCAGGTGACTTATATTTGATCTACATTTCGTAATATTACACCAGCTTTATTATATTGACACCAGTACACTTACTACATTTCAACATTATGAACTGCTTTATCTTCAATAACTGATAGTTTTCTATTTCTGTTAGTGCTAAATAATATTTTTGTAGTTCAGCAAAAAATCATATAGTAAATAGGAGTCTACATTATAACCTAAGCAAAAGCCTTTCAGCAGACTGAAACCATTTAATCAAATGTGAGATTATCCAATTTAATTATCAGTGCAGCCCATCAAAGTTGATGTGTAAACTTTATAACTCTGTAATAGTAGAAACAGCTTTATTATAACTGTTTTAGCAGTACTTTTTTTTCAGATAAATAAACAGTTTTGGAATACTCTTTCCTGTCCATTTCATAAAAACCAAGCTCCCTATTACTTTAGTAATATATTCTACTTTTCTTTAATAGCTCTTATAATAATGACTAAAATAAAGCAATTGTGAATGTTCAGTCCAATACCGTGTCTCTAATGCCTAGCACAGTGCCTAGCATATGGGAGTTGCTCAATTAAGCAGATGAATGGATAGTAGATTTAATCATGTGTCTGAATTTGAGCATATGTTTTCAGATCCTGGATTTCTTTCAGATGATTTTAGTATATTACCACTCATAAGCGAAGAACCCAGGTTAAGTGTCCTTAATCTTTCCAAATTGACCCTCTATAGTCACCCATTGGGCACTTGCCATCCATTGCTTAAGAACTCAATTGCCAAGACTCCCATATTAACTTTTTCCACTATTTACTAATATCTTCCTTTTCTAGCACTAAGACAAACATCTAAATTTCTAAAGTTATAAATGTGTCCTTTTAAAAACATTACAATCATGGAATATGCATCTCAGAAGATTACCATGGCTAGAATCCAGGTTTGTTTACATATGAAAAAGTATATTTCATTTGTAATATTTTTAACCATTCTTTTGTTATCTACTTCTGTCATATCAAACTCTTAACAATAAGCCACAATCAATTGCATACTGTTGAGCATGTACTATGAGTTCTGTTCTATTCTAAGAGGTGCTAGGTATGAGGTATGATGCTAACATGTTGCAATTAATATATATATATATATATATATTTTGAGATGGAGTCTCGCTCTGTCTCCAAGCTGGAGTGCAGTGGTGCGATCTGTGCTCACTGCAGTCTCTGCCTCCCAGGTTCAAGCGATTCTCCTGCCTCAGCCTCCCCAGTAGCTGGGATTACAGGCATGCACCACCACAGCCAGCTAATTTTTGTATTTTTAGTAGAGACGGGGTTTCACTATGTTGGCCAGGATGTTCTTGATCTCCTGAGCTCATGATCCGCCCACCTCAGCCTCCCAAAATTTTTATATAAATACAACAAGAGTTGTATGCAAAACTTGAGCTGAGCTTTCAAAGTAGTCACTCTGAGGAAGTATATATTTAATACAATGATGTGATGGTACACTTTATGAATTTATTTTGCAAGAGCTCTGGAACCTGTAGTTTGATGTTTTGTATATTCTCAGGGGTGGTAAATCTTTGTCTTTTGATGACTTATTTTTAATGAAGTATCTGTTTGGAAACAACTTTGATGAACTGCATGGATAATTAAATTGGATAATCCCACATTTGATCAAACAACAGAAATGTAATAGTAAAAACAACAGTATTTTCTTATGTTCATCAAACTGGATCATTCCTCAAAGGAGCATTTAAAACAATGAATGATGACAGCCTCTTTTCAAGTATAAAATCTTGAAAAGTAACTATTTTAGGATATGTACTAATTATTTTACAATCATTTCTACAGGTGGTCATATGGTGCATGCAGTTGAGGAACATGCAGTCTTAATAGAGTAACATGAAAAGTTAAAGAACAAAATACAGTGTTAATTGGTAACTGTCCAAAGGGCACTAGCGGCAAAGGAAGATAAAGAAAAGGCTTCATACAGAAACATCAATGTATATCATCATCGTCTTTATTAAGAGCTAAAGTTTATGTGGGTTTTCTAAAGTCTTCTGTTTACATCATCTCCAGTAATTCAGCCTAAAATTCTTATAAACCAACAAGTGTTCTTAGTCCATTCCCCAAAGAAGAAACCAAGGCACAAAAGGTAAAAAGGTTTGTCTTGTAGCATATATTCCATGACAAATGGATCTGGAAATCCAGGCCCTCCAGCCCTGAACCCAGGCCTCTTTTCATTCATTTCTGGGTCACAGGCACCTGCATAATGATTGCTGACTCCCACATCCATATCTCCCTTTTCTTTTCGTTTTTACTTTTAAAAACCACTGTAGTCTTCTGAGTATGAGAACATTAGTGCAACAGAGACATGGAGGGGAGTGTTAAGGACATAAAAATATATGAATAAATGTTGTGAACTTATTCTGCTATAAATGTCAAATAAAATCAGGTCTGGCCATAAAGGCAGGATTCAGGACAAACTGCATTGTGTAGCTTGCCTGATGTTTTTATATGGATGAAATCAGATTAGAATTAAGACAAACAGCAAACTAGAAATAGGAAAGAAATAGTAAAACTATGTAACGTACAGCCTAGAGAGTATGTATTGGAGGGACTGGTAAGAGGGAAAGGCACCTATATGCCGAAGTGGAGAGAAATTTTGCCATGTTGATGGTTGGGAGAGAGCTTGTGGACTACAGACATACTTCAGAGATATTGCAGATTCAGTTCCAGACCACTGCAATAAAGCAAGTATCACAATACAGCAAGTTACACAAACTTTTTGGTCTCCCGGTATATATTAAAGTTATCTTTACACTATACTTATCTATTAAGTGTTCAATAACATTATGAATAAACAAATAAGGTACTTAACTTAAAAATACTTTGTTGCTAAAAAAAAAAAACCACCAGATTCTTCAGCAAGTTGTAATTGGAGCCTTCAGCAAGTTGTACTCTTTTTGCTGGTGGAGGGTTTTGCCTCCATGTTGATGGCGCTGACTGATCATGGTAGTGGTTGCTGAAGACTGGGGTGGCTGTGGCAATTTCTTAAAATAAGATAACAACGAACTTTGCCACATTCGTTGACTCTTCCTTCCACAAAAGACTTCTCTTTAACAGATGATCCTGTTTGATAGCATTTTACCCACAGTAGGACTTTAAAAATTGGAGTCAATCCTCTCAAATCCTGCTGCTGCTTTATCAACTGTGTGTATGTAATATTCTAAATCCACTGTTGTCAGTTCAGCAACATTCATAGCATCTTCACCAGGGGTAGATTTCATCTAAGAAACCACTTTCTTTGCTTATCCATAAGAAGCATCTCCTTATGCCTTCAGCTTTTATGATGAGGTTGTAGTAATTCAGTCATATCTTCAGGCTCCACTTCTAATTCTAGTTTTCTTGTTATTTACCCCACATCTGCAGTTACTTTCTCCACTGAAGTCTTGAACCCCTAAATTCATCCATGAGAACTACAACCAGCTTCTTCCAAACTCCCCTTAATGATATTTTGACCTGCTCCTATGAATCATGAATATTCTTAATGGAATCTAGAAGGATACATTCTTTCCAGAGCTCTTCAATTTGCTTAGATTCATCAGAACAATCACAATCTATGGTAGCTATAGCCTTACAAAATATTAATATACCTCTAGGCTTGAAGGCCAAAATTACTCCTTGATCATGGGCTGCAGAATGGATGTTGTATGAGCAGGCATGAAAAAAAACATTAATCTACTTGTACATCTCCAGAAGAATTCTTGGGTGACAAGGTACCTTCTCAGTGAGCAGTAATATTTTGAAAGGAATCCTCTTTTCTGAGGAGTAGGTCTCAACAGTGGGCTTAAAATAGTCTATAAATCATGCTACAAACTGATATGCTGTCATCCAGGCCTCGTTGTTCCATTTATAGAACACAGGCAGAGTAGATTTAGCATAACTGTTAAGGGCCCTAACTGGTATTGGCTTCAATGTAAAGTCACCACCTGCATGAGCCCTTAACAAGAGAGTCATCCAATCCTTTGAAGTTGTAAAGCCAGGCATTGCCTTCTTCTCTCTAGCTGTAAAAGCCCTGGATGACATCTTCCTCCCATAGAAGGCTATATTTTCCGCATTGAAAATCTGTTGTTTCATGTAGCCACTTTATCAGTGATCCTAGCTAGACCTTCTGGATAACTTGCTGCAGCTTCTACATCAGCACTTGCTGCTTCACCTTGCACTTTCACGTTATGGAGACAGCTTCTTTTCTTAAACTTCATGAACCCACCTCTGCTAGCTTCAACTTTTCTTCTGCAGCTTCTTCACACTTCTCAGGCTTCGTAGAATTAAAGAAAGTTACTGCCTTGCTCTGAATTAGGTTTTGGCTTAAGAGAATGTTGTGGCTGGTTTGATCTTCTATTGAGTCACTAAAACTTTCTCCATATCAGCAATAATGCTGTTTCATTTATCATTCATGTGTTCACTAGAGTAGTACTTTTAATTTCCTTCAAGAACTTTTCCATTGCATTTACAACTAGCTAACTGTTTGGTGCAAGAAGCCTCGCTTTTGGCCTGCCTGGTCTTTCGACATGCCTTCCTAAGCTTAATCATTTCTAGCTTCTGATTTAAAGTGGGAGACAAGTGACTCTTCCTTTCACTTGAACACTTACAGGTCATTGTGGGGTTATTAATTGGCCTAATTTCAATATTGTTATGTCTCAGGGAATAGGCGGGATCGAGGAGAGGAAAAGACATGAGGAGATGGCCAGTAGGTAGAGAAGTCAAAACACACACAACATTTATAGATTAAGTTTGCCGACTTATGTGGGCACAGTTTGTAGCTCCCCAAAAGAATTACAATAGTAACATCAAAGATCACTGATCATAGATCACCATCGCAGATACCACAAGAAACAAGTTTGAAATATTGTGAGAGTTACCCAAATGTGACACAGAGACATGAAGTGAGCATGTGCTGTTGGAAAAATGGTGCTGATAGACTTGCCTGGTGCAGGGTTGCCACAAACCTTCAATTTGTAAAAAAATGCAATATCTGTGGAGTGCAATAGAGTGAAGTGCAATAAAATGAGGTGTGCCTGTAACAACCTGCCCAAGGAGGTTAAGTAGTTAGTGAAAGACAAGGTGTTTCCTAAATGCTAGCATTAGTTTCAATGGCCATCTAACTCTCCCAGAAGAATAAACGTAGGCTATTTTTATTAAGCAACCACAACAGCAATAGCCACGAAAACTAGCAATCTGGAGTGAAGAGCTCCCATACTGAGCCTTGTACTAGAATCACAAAAAGATAGAGCGCTTCTGTTATTGAACATCTACCGGGTGCCCTGCAGGTCACGTTTGTCATGCTGTTTAATCCTCACAGCAATCCTATGGGAGTTGCCTAAAGTCACACACACTTATGAAATATGTCTGACTCCACCACAGCCTGAGGGAATTGTCCCTGCTTTCGAGGGTCTCACAATCTAAGTAGATCAGATGCCTACCCACCACATCTTGCCACTTTACCACCAAGACCTGAACACACATACACACACACACCCTACACAGAGCCAAAAGCACCTATAAAGCAAAATGCCTGCATAGAAATATAGTATAAAATGTATAGATTAGGGCCACAAAAGAATGACTGAGTCAGTTACATGAGTTAATTAGAAAAGACTTCCTGGAGGAGCAGAGCTTTAAGCTGTGTTTTAAAAGACAAAAAGGACAAATATAAGTAAAGTGAATCAGGCATTCTCCAAGAAGAATGTAATGGGTAAAGGCCTGGAAACAAGAATGAGCATGCTGTGGATGGGCGATGACAAGTAGCTTTGTTTGACTGAAACAAAGTTTTCCACAGTCCTGAAGAATCATTCATGTGAAAAAATATTTAAGAACTCAGCTATGTGTGCTCATAGGTGAACGTTGTCTTTCTCTGAATAGAATTTTGCTACTTGCTGTAGAACCATCAGCATCTACTGAGATGGCTTTAAAATAATGCTGGGAACCATTGCTTGCTTTTTTCAATTCCTTCGCAGTTTTCTCCCTGTGGGACCATTCAATTCTCATCTTTGGGCTCCTCTGAGTTCTAGCAGCACTCACTCCCTTAGGTCTATAAATACTAGTATTAAACACATACACACACGCAAACTTTCTATTTCCTTAAGAGGGGAATACAATCTTTATTTTTAGTTGAAATGTATTATTGTGCATTTTCTGAGATTCTTTCCCAAGAAAAGACCACAACTATTTGTAGTCAAAGAATATTTTGCAGTTCAGCATGTGGAAACTTGTTTTTGTAAGATACTTTAATGCATTGCTAAAGAAATATATTTGCTTTGCTTTGCTGCTTGTTATTTTTATAGACCATTTATTCGTGATACTAAGAGCTTTAAACAATAAATGAACACAACCCCAACCCTCCATAATCTCCTCTGGGGAGGAAGCGGGGTCTGGATGTTAAGCCATACCAGATGATGGAACAACAGGAACTCTGGGCCTGCTTCCTGGTTTCAACGCAAGTCAATTATGGCAATTCCCTGTGCCTCAGTTTCTTCATTAAAATGGAGATAGCCATTCTCACCTCATAGTAAATGCTTATAAAATATGTTCAAAGGCCCAGCGAACTATAAATATAGGTTTGAAAGTACTCACTTTCTCCTATTTCTGATAAAACCACAATATCTACGTGATGTAATAAGAAAAGTCGCCAGAATAGAGAATTGATCATTCCTGACAGACCTCTTAGATGGTGACAAAAATGCCACTTAAAATTACATTAATTTATATGTGGCCCAATTCTGAGGGAAAGGTTCATAGTTCTGATCTTTGAATGCCTTTCCTAGGCTTCTGAATATATGTATGTTGCTTTAGAATACTGCTTTTAACATTATCTATGCTGAGGGGCCAGGTGTTTTCCTCCCAAATTTCAAACCTGTCAAATAATTATACCTTTGTAAAGTACAATAAGAATGAATTCATTTAAAAACCATTTAAAAATGTAGACATACACAATAAAAGCTTAAATTTATTACTAGATTCAACAGACCTAAAATTACTCTGTCAAGTTCTATACAGTTCTTTTTCTCTTTTTCCTTTTTTTTTCCCAGGAGGTGAAAGGAAGGAAGGGAGGGAGGAGGTTGGCGAATGTGCCAGGGACTCTCAAAATTCTATACATTTCTAAACACTCAATGGGTACTCAGCTCATCATTGAACAAAAATGAACAATTCCGAGTTTGGCACCAGCGTGTGGACTGACCATACTTTGAGTAGCTCTGCTCAAATGTACTCTCCCTGAACTCTCTTTCCATCATTTCCTCCTGTACTTTACCCCAAAATGTTCTTAATACTGATCTCATAGTTCATTGACTATGCATAGAGGGGTATGCAAGACCAGAGCATGGTTAATGCTAGCAATTTAGAAATGTCGTCTTATCTTTGAGCATCCAGAGCATCTTCTCAGCTTTGTGTCTTCATCTCAAGTCCGGAAATGATCTGAGTAGTTACTTAATCACTGGGAATGGGCATAGTCTTCTGGTAAAGAAAGCTAAATAGTCTAGGCTTGTCCAAACAACTCCACAGTTGCACACCACTCCTAGGCTAAGTAGGGGAGATTCCTGAGATTTGCCATGGAATGCCAGGTCCTCCATGCCCCAATCCCTGGTCCAGAGACAGGGGAGCCCAAGAGAGTTGGGAACTCTAGAAGTGCATTTGTCCTCCTTCCTAGCCTTTGTTTTGGTGGTCTCTGCCACCAAATGACATTAGCTGCCTCCAAAAATGCTTCCAAGCAGCCATCCTTATCCTTTGGCAACATTTTTCTCTAATAACTGCATTCCCGTGATATCAGATAAATAGAAAATAAAGAAGAATGGCCAAAGGGCATCAGTCCTTATGACTTTAAAGCTAAAAGAAAATAACCTCCTGAAACTTCAAGCCCTCCCCCGCCATGATGTAATGAGGATGCAATGAGGTCATCCACTTTGGACTTCTGCCTCTGTATAGAGCTATAATTAAATTAAGGATCATTTGTCTAGAGTCTGAAAAAGAAGGAGATCTAGGCCAGGCATGGTGGTTCATGCCTGTAATCCCAAGACTTTGGGAGGCCGAGGCGGGTGGATCATCTGAGGTCAGGAGTTCAAGACCAGCCTGGCCAACATGGTGAAACCCCATCTACTAAAAATTCACAAATTAGCCGGGCGTGGTGGCACCTGACTATAATCCCAGCTACTCAGGGGGCTGAGACAGGAGAATCACTTGAACCCAGGAGGTGGAGGTTTTGCAGTAAGCTGAGATAGCGCCGCTGCACTACAGCCTGGGCAACAAAGCAAGACTCCATCCCCACCCCACCCCAAAAAAAGGGAGATCTAGAGACCCCCTGAAAGATATAAGAAATCACGAGTATATGTGAAGTTGTCTGTAAAATGGGGCCCTAGTTTTAGTCAGATTTTTTAAAGAGCTCTGTTTTTTAAAAAAAGTTTAAGACTTCTCATTTAAACAATCCTAAATGGAAGAGTAGCTTTCTTTCTGTGTTTTTGACTTAGATTCTTTATAGTGCCAAACTCAAGCCTTATTTAATATTTCCTCTTCATCTAGCCACTGTGTTCTTCAAATTACCTTTGTGATCTGTACTATAAAGCACTGTAGGCATTTACAAGAGAATTAGAATAGAGTAAAATAATCATTAGTGTCTTGTGTATAATAAGGGTAAGTACTATCTTTTTTTTTTTTGAAATGGAGTCTTGCTCTGTCACCCAGGCTGGAGTGCAGCGGCATGATCTCGGCTCACTGCACCCTCTGCCTCCCAGGTTCCAGTGATTCTCCTGCCTCAGCCTCCTGAGTAGCTGGGATTACAGGTCCATGCCACCAAGCCTGGCTAATTTTTGTATTTTTAGTAGAGACGGGGTTTTGCCATGTTGGCCAGGCTGGTGTCAAACTTCTGACCTCAGGTGATCTGCCTACCTCGGCCTCCCAAAGTGCTGGCATTACAGGCATGAGCCACCATGCCCAGCTGGTAAGTACTATCTTATGACACTTTTGTCATGTGTGTATACTGCATCTTGATGTAAAATGAATTTTTTACCTGGGTTGGGCCAAACATGGTTGAAAGCGATTGATGTGGGGCTTTAGTTCTCAGACTTGAATGGTGTACAAGAGTCACCTGGTCAATGAACTAAAATACAGATTCCCTGGCCCTGTCTGTAGAGCCTGCTTATGAGAAATCTGCATGTTTACAAGCTTCTTGGATGAATCTGACGCAGGTAGGCTGTGGACACACCAGGATAAACATTCACCTGGAAGCACCGATTGAGAGCATAGGATTGGGAATTGCACAGACCAGAACCAAAAGACCAATTCTGGTGTGTTAAGGATCTTGGCAAATTACTCTGTGAGCCCACTTTCTTATCTGTGAAATGGCATCGTATGTCCTACACATAGAGTAGTTGTACATATTACAGGAAATAGCCCGTGTACGGGGCCAGCTACATGTTACGGAGATCCAGTGCAAAATGAAAATGCAGGGCCCCCTTTTCAAAAATTATCCAGAATTTCAAGATGGCAACAGCAGAGCATTAAATCAAATGCAGGCCTTTCTGAGGCCAGCATCTTGTGCCACTGTGCAGGTGCACACTCATAATGCCAGATCTGTGAACGCAAAGCATCTAATTCAGTGCTTAATGTGTAGAAAGCCCTCAAGAAAAGCGCAGCACTATCTAGCTAGACCATATATCAGTAAAAACACGAGACAATCTGTATAAAAGCGTTCCAAACAAAAGCACACAACTGTAAATAGGCCAAGGTATTACTAACAGGATGTAAGATAACTATGATGATGCTGATAGGAGCTGATCTGAACTTTCTTAATTAGGATCAGGGATGCTTTGTTCTACAGTTTTGTTGTTTGAAGGAAGAAGAGCCATTGTGAAAGTCCAAGTACTGAATTGTTTCTGGCAGGTCCAAAATGTGCCATGTCCTCCTGTGCCCTCCAGGGGCCGTCACAGTGGGATAAGCCGCCACTCCCTTTCAGCAGCAGTAACCTGAGTGTGAGGCAATAGCAACCTCCTGCCCGCTTCCATCTCGGAAAGCCTCCCAGGAATTTCTCAGCAGCCTCATGAAAGCCCAGTCTCTTTATCAATGAGTAGAGGTTAAATAAAGCACTTTCAAGATCTAAGAATAATTCTCAGAACTTCATGTCAAGTGGAAAACAAGTATTATTAACATCAGTTCAGAGATGGAAAAACAACATGTAGGAAAACTCATTCACTCTCTGGGCAACTTACCTACATACCTTGTTCATTACTTCTATGCCCTCAACTCCCCAAATTACATTCCCATCAAAGCCATTCATTCTTTACTTACCCTTAACAAAATTAAGCACACTTCTAATTTAACCTCAAATGGGCTCAAAACCAAATTTGGCATCGTTGTCTCTCACATTGGCTTCTCTTCTTGACATTCCATTTTGTTACAGTATCCCAGACCAAGACCTTGGAGTTTTCTGTAGTTTATCCCTATATACATACACCTCCCATATCTAAGAGACACTCTTTCAGATTATAGTTATTTATGTGCTCCTCGGTTGCCCTTACTGTATTCAAATGCCCAGAGGGCAGGAACAGTGACTCAGTCTTTTATGCATGCTGTGTCAGCAACCAGACCTGTCTCATCCTCCATTTGCTTAGCAATAGACAGTACAGAGGGCTTGCAGCAGGCCTTAGTATATATCAGCATCAGTTCGAATGCCGATTGGGCTACCAACTGTAGCTCCAGTCATCTGGTAACTGCTATGTCCAATGCTTCCCAACACTTAGGGCCCATGACAAATATTACAATTTGCAATTATTGTGTTCCCATTAAAAAATATTTGCCTGGGATAGGGTTGAGGTGTATAGGACTTCCTCTTATTCCATGAAGTAATAAGGTAACACTTAATTTGAAGGTACATAAATTTAAGTATCTTGAATCATTTTTATATGACTTTTCCTGATATCTTAATACCTTAGATGACTCTGGAATATCAATCAATCAACAGGCTTAAGAATAGTGTACCAATTAATCTAACATGCTAGGTCAGGTTCTGATACGCTAGGCATTACAAGGTATAATTCTTGACATCAAGCATCTTAAAATTGAGTTTAAGATATTGTCTATGAAATTAGATACAAAGAGTACTAATGTACAATTGGCTGGAAATTTCAGAGATGGATACAAAATTATAAGATTAATGTGTGCATGAATGACTGAAAGAAGGCTTCAAGCTCCCTGGCTTGAGCGTTGAGGGATAAGAAGGGTTTGGATGGATAGAAGGGGGACATAAAGAGATAGCTGGGGGAAAGAGCAAGTAGTAAGCCAGGTAAGCCTGACCTAACCATGGATGGGAGAATAGGAAGGAAATCGGCTTGTTTATAGACAGGAGTTATATTTGGGAATAGCAAGTACCTGAGTTTGTATATTTAGGTAAGCCAAGAACATTAATCTTGAAGTGATAAAAGGACTTTGAACTTAATCTGATAGGCAATAGAAAACAATTGCTAACTATTTCCAAGAAAGTGGCAGAAAAGGTTTGGGCATATGAATCTATCATTGGTGCAAGAAATTATTTGGGAGGATGAGTATTATGGGGTAGTCAGGGGGATGGAAGTTCTGCTATAATCCATATGTGAGATTATGAGAAGCCAGACAGCCATAGAAGTAGTAGAGTAGGGGAGAAACAAGAGGAAGGAATCTAGGAATTGCTGAAAAGTCTTGATTCAGTTCACAAACACTCACTGAGTGCTTGCTAAACGCAAGAGCTTCTGCTATGTTTAGGGGAATCAGTGGAGAACAAGACACACAAACCCCTGACGTGCCAGCATTTGCCTTCTAGTGAGGGGGCCAGACAATGAAAGAAGCAGGGAGTTACAGCACAGAGTCATAGGTATTCTGATGGGACAAGTGAGTGTATTCTCCATGGACACATACAAAATGATTCCCAGACCTACAGGGACAAGGGGAGTGGTGGAGAGTCTGGGAAGATAGTTAAATAAAATGACATGTAATATAAGAGGATGGGTTTGGAGAAAAAAAAGTACTCTGGGCATGCTATAAAATGGGGAAAAAGTGTCACATACCCAACAAAATACACACAGAAAACACACATACCTTAGAGGCAGCTCTCAATCTTCAAACCATTTCTACTTGACAAATGGCAGAGCCTTAGATTAAAGACTTCCTTTTCGACTTGAAGATAATGGAAGCTGATCAGGTTTGTATCCTGTTTTTGTTTTTTTTTTTTCCTGGAAATACATAATCTTAAAGCATAGGAGGAAGGTATCAAGATCCTTGCTCTAGGCAGCTGCTGGCTGAAACAAGAGCATGATATACTTCAAAGTATGTAGAGAGACAAATAAGGCTTTGGAGAACAAGACGTGCCTGTTTTTAAAAAAATATATGCGGTGATACCGTATTATCAGCTTACATCTGGATACCAAGGTTATTGCTCTAGTTACAGAGACTCACTTGGAACAGCAAAGGGCAGGAGGGATGCACCATCCTGTGCACTCATGAGCTTAATGACGGAGGAGCAGGTAGAGTACACAAAACAAGCTTATGGACCACTAGAACTGATGATGGCTTCCTTCTTTAATAAAGGAAATACTGGAAGAGAAACAGGTTTGGAGCATGTTGGGGGGTGGGGAAAATTATTGTTCACTTAACACATGAGTCTGAAGTACCTATGGGACATGCAGATGGAGATATCCAATTTGCAGGTGAATCTGAGCTCGGAGAAGCGGTCAAGACACCCTGTATAATGAATACTTTCCTTTAAAAGAAGAAAAGATCTGAAGGGAATATCGGAAAATTTTAACATCTATTAAGTCTTTTTAGTGGAGATTAGGAGGAGTTTGAATCACCCAAGAACCATCTTCTTGAGCTAATATTTTTGCATAATTATATTTTTATTAAATGAAGTATTTCAAACAGAAATAAATGTTCGGGGAATCACTTAACAAACACAACTATCAACTAACAGCAGCTCTAAGAATTTACATCAATTTACCCAGAAACAACAAAGGCCAGCAGACAAAAAATTCCACTCGTCCACTTCTCTCCCACCTTGTGTCCCATCCTCTGTTCCTCAGCCCCTTTCTCCTTCCCCTTCCATTTTTGTCATGCCCTTCCCTCTATCCTACTTTTGCTTTTTTCTCGACCATTCTTCATCATCTCCAGCTGGTATAGACTTTACAAGATATGACCTTGTCCTTCCACATGATTCAGTTCATTACATCTTCCTGTGTAGCTCCCCAGCTTTCCATAGCCCATGATGGAGCCTGGGAAAAGGAGGGTGACTGCTCTCCGCAGGACTCATATACCCAGGTGCTTCCTCCTTTTCACCCTAAAGAATTTCTGGCCTCCAAAAACAATTTATAGATACCAACAGCATTCCCAACAGAAAGCACTGCACTCCTAACCAAGTATCATTCTGCATCTTACATGGCTCTCCATACTCAGCTTGCTCTTAAAATTTTACTCATCTCCTGTTTTCCTCCTTACTTTCAAACCTGAGTTGAAGTCATTCACTGTGGTCATAAGAGAACAAACATTTTTGTCGATATCAAACCCCTCAACATAGAAAAATCTGGGATAAATATTTTAATCCCCCATGGCCAGGAGCAGTGTGACCTAGCAATTGAATATTCAATTTAGAAGTCTACATTTTAATCCCTGTTCAAATTTAAGATAACTTTTCTCGACCTTCCATCCTAACCAACCTTAAATATCCAACTCCTTCCTGAAATCTTCTCTGACTATTTTAGTTCACTTTATTATTTCCCTTTTCCCAATGACCACAGTACAGTCATCTCTCAGTATACTAGGGGGATTGATTCTAGCACTCCCATGAATATCAAAATCCGCAGATGCTCAAGTCTTTTGTATAAAATGGCATAGTATTTGCATATAACTTACACACATCTTCCTGTATACTTTAAATCATCTCTAGATTACTTATAATACCTAATACTATGTAAATGCTATGTAAATAGTCACCATACTGTATTGTTTTTATTTGTATTCTTTTTATTGTTGTATAGTTACTTTTTAATTTTTTTCCAAATATTTTTGATCTGCAGTTGTTTGAATCTGCAGATGTGGAAACTGCAGATATGGAGGGTCAACTGTATTCACATCAAACCAAAACAATTGAAATTAATCTAATCAAGTACTTGCATATGTTGCAATTAAGTGATTTCACCAAGACTCCTGCATCCTTCCAGGCACTAGCATAATGGGAACCAAATCGTAGTTTGGTTGGAGTAAATATTAATCCATGCTCATACACATGTTGGGAGTGGAAAGAAGAAAAGTCAGGTCTGATAAAGGCCAGCTAGAAAGCCAGCATTTTTTTTTTTGAAGCAGAGTTTCGCTTTTGTTGCTCTGGCTGGAGTGCAACGGTGTGATCTCGGCTCACTGCAACCTCCACCTCTGGGCTTCAAGCAATTCTCCTGCCTCAGCCTCCCAAGTAGCTGGGATTTCAGGCGTGTACCACCATGCCCAGCTAGTTTTGTATTTTTAGTACAGACAGGGTTTCAGGAGTTCGAGACCAGCCTGGCCAGCATGCTTTTATGTGGGATCTAGGGAGTGACTAGACAGCTGCTGTGTCCCCACCAACCTGCCCGTGCATCTCACTGCCACAATACAGCTTGGAGTGTCACTATATTATGTATGTATCCTGAGTCATCTGTTCCTCAGGAAAAAGCAGAGACAGGAACACGAAAAGGGAAGGGTAGCACTCTATGTACATTCACCGACAAGTTTCCTCAAAGATGTAACATATTACAAAATATCTCTAAAGGATTCTCATTTCTCACAGCATAAACTGTCATAAAACATGCAAGTAGCTGTATCTGTTTCCTAATGAAATTTATTTTTATCCCTTCCCTGAGGCCTCACGATAACTTCAGTAAGAGGAAATGTGAATTCAAGTGGAAGCAGGGGGACTGCAGATGGTCCATCTGCCTGTTAGGATGGGTTGAGGAGTGGGATTTATATAAGTAGGATGGATAGTAGATAAATAGATAGATCGATAGATAGATGGACAGACACATAATTTATTGAGCATGTACTCTGTACCAGGTACTGTGTTAAATCCATTACAAAGATTATCCCATGAGGTGGTTAGACTATTATTCTCTCTATTTTAGAGAGGATGAAACTGAGGATCATAGAATTTAAGTAATTTGCCCAAGGTCAACACCTAGAAAGTTGAAGTGTCAGGGTTTGCTGCCGGTCTGGTTCTAGAACCCAAATTCTTAACCCTTAATGCTTAATGTTCTGAATATAAAAAGGAAGTTTAAGCCTAGTGAACCCTTTCTGTATCTCTACTTTACCATTAGCAAAATGTCTATGAACACCTGAAAAGTTTCTTCTCAAGAATGTTTCTGCATAGAAAATTTGGGCACTGGAGAGGGCTGTGAAGAAATGATCTCTAACATCTTCTCCAACCGCAAGTTTATCCTAAAAATTTACTGTGTGAGTACAGCAAGTTTTATTTTATTGCTCTTTAAAACTGAAGGGAAGGCTGGGTGCAGTGTTTCACACCTGTAATCCCAGCACTTTGGGAGGCCGAGGCGGGCAGATCACTTAAGGCCAGGAGTTCAAGACCAGTCTGGCCAACATGGCAAAAGCCCATCTCCACTAAAAATACAAAAAGTAGCTGGGCGTGGTGGCATTTGCCTGTAGTCCCAGCTACTCGGGAGGCTGAGGTGGGAGAATCACTTGAACCCGGAGGCAAAAGTTTCAGTGAGCCAAGATCATGCCACTGCACTCTAGCCTAGGCGACAGAAAGAGATGCTGTCTAAAAAAATACAATAAAATAAAAACTGAGGGGAAGATAGATATCATCCCTCTGGGATTAATTTTTGAGTGCTAAGTAGTTAGAAGTTTATTCAAAGCATTTGAAGAAAGGACATGGCCAAATTGCTGTGTTCAGAAGGCTATTTTAACCATATCCCTTTCCACCCATCCCTAACACCCAAACACGCATATTCGTCCAGCTAATTGCACTTTCTCCTTCAAAATCTCTGCTCAAGGTTTTCCTCCTCGAAGAATCCCTCGCTGCCTGCGCCCCTCAGCGGGATCTCATCCATGTCCATTGGGTCCCTGCCTTGTTATAGGTTTTATTACATTGTCCCGTCATCATGGATTTTCGTGTTAGTCTCTCCTGCTGAACTGCATGTGTCTTAGGGATTGTAAGTATGCCATCTGTGTATAGCAGTTTCCAGTCTAGTGCATGACACTGAAAAGACACTTAATATATGCTAGTAATAAAGTAATATACCATAACAATATAGAGCCTCTAAGCCTGAGGAAAGGACCCTCATCTTTACTGTGGGGAGCTACTGGCTGAAGTCAGCTCAAGACACCTTTCCAACCAATGTGCAAACCGTGACAGCCTGTGTGAGAGCCCAGGGCAATCAGATAAATCCCCAGTTGCAAACCTTTATGGTTTTCAGGGTAAAATACCTCAGAGACAATTGTTCTCACTTGTCATTTCAAATATTTAAAGTCACCATTCCCTAGAGCTGCTGCTGTTGACAAGCACCATGGTGAACATCTCTGGGTCTTTTCACCTGTCGGAGAGGTCTGAGGACAGAAGGGTTTAAGAAAGGAGCATGGCCTTTTTTTTTTTCAAGCATGGCCTTGTTTTTCTCTACACTCTTGCATAAGGTTTTCTTGCCACGTTTTTTTAATGTATAGATTTTTGTCCACGGTCATATGAGTGGCTTTGCTGGATGCAGAATTCAGGTTTCCTGACCCCCAGGCGGCTATATTTCTACCAGTTGATTTCAACTCTTTCATCAGAATGAAGTCAAGCCTCACCTCCTCCAAGAAGCCTTCAGTGACCTGCTCCCCAAGTCACATTTAAATGCCCTCCTCCGTGCTCTCAGTGCGCTGTGTGTGCTTCTAGTGCGGCACTTATTACCCTGGTCAGAAGACGGGCTGATTAACTTGTCTGTTTTCTACTAGGCTGTTCGCTGTAGAGAACCAAAAGCACGTCTCATATCCCATTGCCTCAAACCATGCCACACAAACAGACTCTTACATTAATTATCTCCCTGTTTCTTCCTGGTTGGGGAGGGGGAGGAGTAAATATTTTTTGATAGTTTGTGCTTTTCGTGAGGTCCATTTTTGCACGTCCCACTGCTACAGGGAGCAGGGAGAAAGATTTTAGTGTGGTTTACCATGTTAAGATCCAGGGTAATGATAAAGGTTGCCTACATAAACTCTAGGAGCCCTTCCAGCTCCCGAAATCTAAAAAGTAATTTTATTCGATGCCATCTTCTTTTCCCCCTCCTGCAAAGCCCTGCTTCCTGCTCAACCAACATTAGAGAAAATAGGGTTGCACTGAACTGAGCAGCCATCTGAAGGCTGATGTTATAAACACTCCCTGGGACTTCATAGCAGTCAGGAGGGCTGAACTGCGTGTCAATTCAAAGACCAGTCCAGCTGCTATCCTGGGATGAGGGATCACAGGGAGAAGATGCTGAAACAACTGTTATAGATTTTACTGGCAGTGGCTTTTGACAGACTAGAATGGAAACGATAATTGGTGAAGACGTCTTAGAGGTCACTAGTGAGTAGGAGAAAGCTCTCTGGCTTTCATTAATAGCAGCATCTGCCTGAACTGGATAATAACCTTGAAGATAGTAGCTTGAAAAATGAATTCATATTGGGAGAAAGTCCGGGACCACTTCTAAATAGCAGCTTATAGCCTTTCAGAAACAAGTGCTATAATGAGAGTCAAGTATTTCTCTTTAAAAGATTCTTTGCTACAAATTCAGGTAGTCAAATAACTGTACCCCAGTTTTATTAGAAAACAAACCTTCTAAATTAACAAATAAGCTAAAGTCATTAGTGAGCATTTTCAGTAACAAATATATGTTTCTTAGTGGAATAAAGAGAAGATAAAGAATTTAGCTTTTTCCTTCCTGGTTGCAAATGACCTTAAAAGATATTTTAAATAATAAATGTCCATTAACTAGTCTTGAAATAATTGCATTTAAACCAATTTTATGATCATATAGAACCACATTTTACATCATACCGAAGCAAGAGAAAAGTGCTGTATATTGCAGCTATTGGGCAGTAATAGAAGGCTGTCTTGTGAGAGGATTAATATTCAGGGCATCAAAAGACTACAGGTGTCCCCCAGATGTGGTATCACCAGCTTGTGGTATCGGTCTCCTTTTCTCCCATCAAAAGATGAACAAAGAACCAGATCATAAAAGAGAAAAAGTTTCTCGAAATGTCATCCTTTTTAAAGACAAATAAGTATACAAAAATCAGCCAGGCGTGGTGGCATACACCTAGTAGTCCCAGCTGCTTTGGGGGGCTGGGGCAGGAGGATACCTTGAACCCAGGAGGTCAAGGTTGTAGTGAGCCGAGATTGCACCACCGCACTCCAGCCTGAGTGACAAAGTGAGACCCTGTCTCAAAAAAAAAAAAAAAAAGGCAAATAAGTTACTTAACAGAGTGGGAGGGTTCTTTCCGTAGCCTCCACCACAAATGCAGGTTAGTTTCTCCAACTGACTAATTGTCACCTGAGAAGGTAGAGGAAATCTGCTAATATTTACCAACATTGTAGCGTGACTAAGGAAATGAGCTGCAGAAATGCAGGACATCATTTTGTCATTAGTTGGTTAGTTAGCATCTTCTCTTTGCACATGATCTACAATGTAAGTCACCATCATTATTATCTGGGTTTTTCTGTTCATATCAAAGTTTTCTAATATGATGGTGTTGCTTAGGAGAGAGAACGACATAGAGAAGCCTGCCCTTCTCCTTCACTTCTGCACTTTGTAAAGTGAGAGAGGGAAGGAGGGAAAAAGTGAGGATATTTTCGTCTCAGAATAAAAAATTTGCATTATTGGTATTCAGTAAGAGAGTTCTTATGCTCTTGGGAGAAACAGAAAAAAAATCTTTAGAGAGAAACCTCATATATTGTGATATTGTGATACCATAGGCAAAAAAGAGTTCAAAGTGAAGAATTTATGGCAGGTATAGCCAAAGAAGAAAACAATTTTAAATATATCACATGCCTAGGTAATAGCTCAGGTGGGTACAGAGTCTGCCTGCCTGTTAATGGATTAGCATTAGGCCTAATGTTTCCTGTGTGCATTCTCTTATGCCACACAGGATAAAGGTACACTCTACACAAACAGTACAAATGCTTTGGAAGGAAAAATGCTCCTTGCTTTAATGAGGATGGACTTCCCACCTTGGTCAGTAATTCTAAACCATCTAATGTGGCCAGGGAATGTGGATGATCAGCCAGGGGTCAAGCCAAAAAGATCAAATTCATCAGTAGCTTTCCCTTTTGTATTTTTAAACTGCCCCCACCCCATCCCTACAGACTTATAGGAGTCCAGAACAAGTCCTGGAGTTGTACTTCTTAATACTTATTATAATTTGAAGGATGGGGCTTTCAAAAATGACAATAAAACACTGATAAACTGATAAACAATTTGTTTGGCATTACTTTAGGGCAGCATCATGAATGAGTGGCATTTGGCCATCTGTGTATTAGGGCCTGGGTTGATGAGGGTAAAGAACAGAAACACCCCCACCCCACCTTCAGCCTGTACCTCTGCCACCTACCACCAGGATGGATATAAAGGGAAGGGAAGGGGTAAGATGCACCTACCCTGAAACTACTCTCTCCAAATCAGCATGAATACCCATGCTGGCCTTCATCTATGCTGGAAGTAGCTAAAATGGTTATAACCATGCAGCAGATCTGCACTGTATTAGGCCATTCTTGCATTGCTATAAAAGAATACATGAGACTGGGTAATGTATAAAGAAAAGAAGTTTAATTGGTTTATGGTTCTGCAGGCTGTACAGAAAGCATAGCACCAAGATTTCCTTCTGCAGAGGCCTCTGGAAACTAACAATCATGGCAGAAGGTGAAGGAGGAGCACGTGTCTTAAATGGCAGGAACAAGAGCAAGAGGCAGGGGAAGGTGCTACACACTTTTAAACAACCAGATCTCGCAAGAACTCACTCACTATTGTAAGGATAGCACCAAGAGGATGGCACTAACCCATTCATGAGAAATCTACCCCATGATCAAGTCACCTCCCACCAGGCCACCTCTAACATTGGGGATTACAATTCAACATGAGATTTAGAGGGGACATATATTCAAACTATATCAAGCACATTCTTTTTACACAGTAGCATAATTTGAGAAGTCTGTGAAGTATCCTCATTCTCATCCTGAGAACTGCAGCTGATGACTGGTTGAAATTCATGTGGTCATCGTTGCTGCATGTGTAGAAAGCCTTGGACTTCTGACTCGCAGTGCATCTCCCACATCTACTAGACAAGAGATGCTTAGGACGATTGTTTGATTTCACTGGGGAGATTTGTCAAAATATAATTTCCTGGGGCCCCCAATACATAGATCTGATTCAATGTACTTTGAAAAACCTAAGGGACTATGGCATACACCCCAGGTTAGGAACAGTCTACTATCCAGGAAGACATTATCGGTCTTGAGTAAGAGTGACCCAGGACAGAGCCAACAAGAACCATAAGTGAGTCAACATCTGCTGGAGACGCCAGGGTGCTGGAGCAGGGGACAGGAGGAGGAGGAGGAGTAACAGTTATCTAACTTGTGTACCTCAGTCTTCACATCTGTATAATGGAGATAGTAATATTACCTGTCTCAGGCAATTGCCATGAATGTTAAATCAATCAGTCAATGTAAAGTACATAGTACAGTGCCTGGCACTTATATCTTAATAAATATTAGATGCTGTTGTCTTTATTTGGATCCAAAGCTGCCTGAGTAGAAGTTGGAGAATGAGGCAAGGTTGTTTAATTGGACAAGTCTAAAAGGGGCAAGGTGAAGTACAAAGGAAACCAGGTTTCTAGCTCCTTTAAATGTCCAGAGAAGAGCTGGAAATTCTGCTAGGGTCAATCTTTAAGGATTAGTAGTTTGTTAATTCACATTAAAAGGATCAACTTAAGGCAAGATTATTTAACATCCATAACATACATTTATGTCATCCAAAAAACCTCCAGCATTTGCCAAAAGGAAAAAAAGAGAAAAGGAAAATATTTTACCAGTAATTCAGATTTTACTTGGAAGCCCCTGGCTTCGTGAACATTCTTTATAAAGACTGCAAATTTTTCAGGATTAATACTTACACTCTGACTTACAATTCAAGTTAGGGAGGTATATTTGTTACCTATTACTGTGTAACAAATAACCATAAGGCTAGTGGCTTTTAACAACACACAGTTATTATCTCACAGTTTCTGTGGACTGAGATCCAAGCACAGCCTGTCTGGGTCCTCCGCTTCAGGATGTCTCCTAAGACTGCAATCAAAGTGTCTGCCAGATCTGGGGTCTTGTATGAAGGCTCAACTGGGGAAGAATCTGCTTCCAAGCTGATGAGGTTGTTGGCAGGATTCATTTCCTTGTTGGCTCTCCTTACCATTCCTTACCATGCAGGCCTCTTTGACATGACAGTTTTCTGATTAAATCCAGCAAATGAGAGAGTCTGCTAGCAGGTCAGAAGTTACTATGTTATGTAACCTAATCATAAAAATGACATCCCATCCTCTTTGCTTTCTCTGCTCATTAGAAGCAGTCACAAGTTCCATGCACACTCAAGGAAAAGGGATTAAACAAGGGCATGAATACCAGGAAGCAGGGCTCATTGAGGTCCCTCTTAGAGTTGGTCTGCCACAGGCAGCATTTCCCAAAAGCACTACTGTGCCTCAAGACATTAACTGACACTTTAGGAAACAAATTGACACAATGATAGTAATTGTTTTTCATCTCAATATTCTCAGACAAGGAAATCCAAAATATGCTCTTATATAATGACCCCAAATATGCAATAATCTGCCATATCCAAGAACACTTTCCTTGAAAGATTATTACTTAATATGAGCATGCAAAATGTTCACCATCTATAGTGATGCATAAATAGCATTGATTACAGGTTGATCTATGTCATTTATTCAGTGTCCGCTGCTGTGTGTTATCTATCTTGTCTTACAATTTCAACATAAATGAATATTTAATGTTTCTTTTATATTAAATACTTATGCTACACAAATTTATGCTCCATAGATCTGTGACTCAAAAAAGGACCTTTCCAAACAACAAAAAAGAGTGTTGAGATTCTCAAACTGTGTCACAATCAAGCAGAAGTTGGAATACATCAAAATGAAGGTTAAAGCTTTGCTTTCTAAACATGCCTGGGAGTAAGATGCCCAAAATGAAACACTGAATTATTCCAGAATAATCTAAGTCAATGGTACCAAGATTTTGCAAAATATATAATTTGGGCTCTTTCTTTCCCTGTAACACTCACCACCTCTATGACATGGGATTTTTTTGGCTGGGCATGGGGGCTCACGCCTGTAATCCCAGCACTTTGGGAGGCAAAGGCGAGTGGATCACCTGAGGTCAGGAGTTCGAGACCAGCCTGGCCAACATGGCAAAACCCCATCTCTACTAAAAATACAAAAATTAGCCAGGAGTGGTGGCAGGTGCTTGTAGTCCCTGCTACTTGGGAGGCTGAGGCAGGAGAGTCGCTTGAACCATGGAGGTGGAGGCAGCAGTGAGCCGAGATTGTGCCACTGCACTCAAGCCTGGGCGACAGAGCGAAACAGTCTCAAAAACAAAACAAAAGAAAACAAAACAAAAAAACCATGGATTTTTTATTTTTCTTTGAAATGAAAGGAAAATGTGGAAGAGATTAGATGCTGCACTTCAAATTTGGATTTTAATTCAGCAATATATCATTTCCAAAATTAGACACAAAACATTGTTTTTGTCAAAAGGGTTTTTTTTTTTGATGTCACATTTTACATTAACATGTAAAATAAGATTTTTATGTTTTCTCTTAAAATATTCCACTTTTCTAATTTTTGTGTGACAATTTTAGAAGGAAGACAACAACTGTGAAACCTTAAATATTATATCCTTTCTCTTGTCACTCCTTCTAAAGAATATCCTATGTTTTACATTTAGCTCCTTGTACCTTTGTGGTGCTGATGGGATAAAAAGGCAAATTAAAGGTTGAGAGAAACCACGCAAACATCAATGAGCTCATAGAAAAAGATCACGAAGAATGACACAAACTTAAAGACAGGGAGAGGGCATCAAAGTTCTGGAAAGACAGGCAGAGAAAGGAACTGGAAGCAGCATCCGTCAATAATGTTGTTCCGTACTGAGAAGGATGAGGAAAAACTGCTTGGTTTTTCTCTGTGCTTTGCAGTATAATTCTCTCTTTTTCTGCTCATAGAAAAGCAGTAGCACCAAAATAATCTTCAATAATAATCATTATTAGTCTTTAAGACTTTCAAAGCCGGACTTGTGTTTTTTTTAGATGTGCCACAATGCTGAGGTGGGCCTTCCTTGGGGCACTCAGAAAGTTGTCTCTCTCCACAGCATCCTCTGTGTTTGCCCTGTGCTAATACTGACAGTTCTTCTCCCGGTTTCCGTAATATAAAATCCACTCCACAGGGTATTAGTGTGCAAGGCAGATTTCACCAAAGATTTCATGGTGAATCATGGATGACTTCATTAAAAAATTTCCCTTGGGTAATTGCTCTCCAAGACTGGTCTAGTCTGCCAGCTGCCAGGTCTGTGTGTCCCTGTTTCCCCATCTGCCTTTCCCTCCTTCCCTCACTGGTATTGCCTTCCAGTCCTCCAGCTCCTTGAGATCTACTTCAGTATATTCAACCCCCCACCCCCACCCACCCCATTCCCCACTTGGCAAACAAAATACTCTCCCTAGAAATCCATGCAGGACTATGTAGAAATGTTTTTTCACTGTCACATAATGTTCAAAAAAAGAAAACTGATAAAATTTTAATCATTTATGATAGCAATTGTTTTGTCTGTCCCTTTTCTGGCATAAATAGAAACCAAGCCTCTATTACATCTCCTGACCTTTTGTCAATGCTCTGTCAGTACATTCTAATTTTAAAGGAGTTTTGATGTCAAAATGGTTTGGCAAATTTTGCAGTGGAATGTATGGCAGGGAGTGGCATCTCTAAATCCAAATTAGGCAGGAGGATTCAAGCAAAACTTGGGTAAAGTGATCACTTCAAAAGGATGAAGGATACGCCATATGTAGAGGGAGAGCCTGAATATTCATTCATTCACTGAGCATTTGCTGTACACCTACTATGAGACAGACATGAAGCTGAGGGCCAGGCCTACAATAGGAAACAAGTTGGACATGGTTCCCACCCTCATGAAGTCTGTGGTCTGGTGGGAGAACAAGTAAACGATTAAACAAGCAACTTGAATAGAATGTGCATAAATTGCAGGGGAAGTACAGAGCGAAATGGGACAATATTCCCAAATCCCCTAGCACATTTATTTGTTTATCTAAGATAACTAGGGAAGAGGTGGGAAGGTGAGAGTGGGGATCTTTTGAGCAGGGGTAACAACAGATTCAAAGATAAGGAAGTAGAGAAAGCACAGACAGCTTGAGGAGTGTTGAGAAAGGAGCTTATTTTGTCTGGGTGTGGGAGGGGAAGGGCAGGTTTAGCCAAGAGGCTGGAAAGGAAAGTCCCACATCCTCAGGTTTCCACCCTTCGGCAACAAATTCCCGTTTCCTTATGCTCAGCTGAAACCTAATCTCAATCTAAGCCTGTAGTTTGACAGCATCTCTTTCTCTCTGGAGGAGCCCAGAGTTTCTGAGTCAGGGGGCTGCCCTGCAGCATCTCAATGGCACCCCTCAGCCATCAACTCTCTAAAGTTGGGACATGCAATCAAAGGGTGGTTAACTTTACATCCCTCACCTTACTTATGCTGCCTATCAAAAAAAAATGGGTAATTTAGCAAAATATGTTTTTTATTCATATCAAATAAATTAATTTTACTTTAAGTTCTTCTCTGAGAATTTCTTGACCAATCTTCAAAATAATAGTAACATGCTGGCATATTACATATTGGATTTGAAATTCTTTTCCTCGATCTGAATATTATACATTATGGAGATGAAAAAAATTAATTAACCCAGAAATCATTGGATGAGTAATAATAGCCATGTCCTAGGAGTTACATAAATAAGAAAATGTCTCTCCAAAGTGTTCACAGTCTAGTACACATACAAGGAAACTCTATAAATTCCTGTGATAAAGAGTGATGTAAAGGGTATTATTACAACGCAGACCCAAAGGCATAGAGTTAAAACAGTGACTGGCGGCTGGACGCAGTGGCTCACGCCTGTAATTCCAGCACTTTGGGAGGCCAAGGCGGGTGGATCCACTCTCCTGACTCGAGGTCAGGACTTCGAGACCAGCCTGGTCAATATGGTGAAACCCTGTCTCTACTAAAAAAATACAAAAATTAGCCAGGCGTGGTAGTGTGCGCCTGTAGTCCCAGCTACTCGGGAGGCTGAGGCAGGAGAATTGCTTGTACCTGGGGGGCGGATGTTGCAGTGAGCTGAGATGGCGCCACTGCACTCCAGCCTGGGTGACAGTGAGACTTTGTCTCAAAACAAACAAACAAGCAAACAACAAAAACCAATGAGTGGCTGGGTAATACTCACCGAGGAGGTGCATATCAAGGGTGATATAGTTTGTCCCTTCCATATGTCATGTTGAAATGTGACCCCCAGTGTTGAAAGTGGGGCCTAGTGGGAGATGTCTGGGTCTTGGGGGTGGATCTGTCATGAATGGCATGATGCCCTTCCTGCAGTAATGAATTCACATGAGAGCTGGTTGTTTGAGGGAGCCTGGCATCCCTCTCTTGCTCCCTCTCTTGCCATGTGATGCCTGGTCCTGCTTTGCCTTCCTCCATGCATGAGTATAAGCTTCCTAAGTCCCTCACCAGAAGCAGATGCTGGTGCCATGCTTCCTGCTCAGCCTACAGAACTGTGAGTCAAATACACCTCTTTTCTTTGTAAATTACTCAGTCTCAGCTATTCCTTTATAGCAATGCAAAATGGACTAATACAAGGAGAGGCTGTTTCTCTTTGCCTTTTCCTTCTTTTCCTTTATTGCATGATTACTGCTATTCACCCAGGCTTTCTGGGACCATATCCCCAATTACCACACCAATGTAGTAACTAGATAAAAAGACTCCATTATGAAAGCGTTCTGGACATATTAGGATGGGGTTTGAAGGAAGGGATCTTGCTCCTTCTCTGTCTCAAGCCTGTCCTCACATTCATGCCTTTCCCATGACTTGTTGGCCCATTTGGCCAAGGAGGTCTTCTCTGATAAATAGGCAGCTGGATGCTAACTTGTGTTCCTAGACACCCCAGTACTCACTGCCCCAACCCAGGAATTAATGTTGAGAGCAGACAGAGCACCTAACTAGAAAAGACCTGCAGAAACACATGGAGGCAGAGACCAAAAGATACAGAACTTAGCATACATGGGAAGGGAAGCCCACACAAATTATACGAGGGGAAATGTACGATGTCAAGAATCATTTGTTCTAAACTTCTTCACTAATTTTTTTCAAAACTTGGCATCTTAATGGAAAATGACAATAAACACATTGGGTAGTGAAGTCAAATCAAATGCGTTTTTTTTCTTCTCATGCACCCTGCAGTCAGTACCTGAGGGCCCACATTGAGAACAGATTACCCTTTGAGTGTTGAATAGGAATGTTTGAATATTAGAGGTATGCTTATTAATCAGCAGTAGTTATCTTTTTCACTCATTTGTTCACTTATACAACAAAAATAGAACCCCTACTACATGCCATATACTTTGGATCCAAAATATAAATAAGACAAAATCAGTCTAATAATGAGAACAGACAAGCATAGTACAATGACTAGAGTGCAGTATATCAGAGAACAATGTAGGCCTCCCAAAGAACAGGGACGTATTTCCCTATTAGCCATTCAGAATTTCACCCCAAACACTTAATGCAACACCTGACATATAATAGGTGCTCATTAAATAAGTGCTAAATGATGTGTCTATGTGTCCAATGCACAGTGTGCTATATAGCATGGAAGCAGGACACATAATCAGACAGGGTTGGTGGGTGAGGAAGGTTCAGCTGAGCTTTGTGTTCATACATAGAGTGACAGCATCTGCCTGATAATGTGATTTTCTGCAGCAGTGCTCATCTGCTTGATTATAAGTGGAATCATTGGATGATTTGGATGATAAAAAATAAGTTTCAGAAGGCAAAATATACAGGCGTAGGGAGGCAAGAGCCTTTCTGGAGAGTGACTGAAATAAATAACCATAAAATCTAGGAAGGAGAACTGGGAGCTGTGGCTCACACCTATAATCAATCCCAGCACTTTGGGAGGCTGAGGCAGGCAGATTGCTTCGGCCCAGTAGTTCAACATCAGCCTGGGGAACATAGGGAGACCCCATCTCTACAACAAATACAAAATTTACCTGGACATGGTGGTGTGTACCTGTAGTCCCAGCTACTCAGGACGCTGAGATGGAAGGATTGCTTGAGCTCGTGAGGTTGAGGTTGCAGTGAGCTGTGATCGCGCCACTGCACTCCAGTCTGGGTAACAGAGCGAGACCCTGTCTCAAGAAAGAAAAAAAAATCTAGGTGGGTAGGCAAGAGAATAAAGAAGTTCCAAGGGAGTGAAAATAGAGTGGTCAAAGCACCAGAGGTCTCAGTGAAATTCAAATACTAGAAAGTGGGAATAAGAATGAGGAAATAGGACCCATAGGTGAATATTGATGTACAAAGCTAAGATATTGATGTTAAAGATTTCAGAAATAGACCTGTTCAGGGTAATGTTTATTTCCAGTGGGGATGCTGAAGTGGGGTGGAGGCCATTTAATTAGAGAAGATCAAAGCAGTCTGTAATGCTTGGGTGGCAGATGGGGTCATCCTTGCTGTGTAGGACAATGGCAACAGGAGTAGCCGTGGAGGAGAAGAGCCAGAGGCCAGAGACCTCAATGGAGCAGTGGCAGGGCCATCAGTGAATGACAGCATTAGAGAGGGGTAAGCTTCACCAGGGTTCTTTCAGAAAGCAGAGCCTGAGGCGATGGCTTGCATGCAGTTAGTTGATTTGAGGAAAAGATCCTAGTGAGTAGGAGTGGGGAAATGGGGAGATTGAAACAAGGAAGGCAAAAAAGTTAATGAAAAGGTATGCTCTTGAGTGATCTCTACTGTGATTGAATAGGGTTCTATCCTGCCCTCAGAAACTTCTGAAATGCCATGTAAAATGAACCTCAGAATTTGTCCACCTTCTTCTTCCACTTAAGGGGGAAGTCAAGGATTGTCTTAGTGGGGCTTGAACTCTTTCTTGTGAGGCTGCAGCAGTGTGAGTGCCAGGCAGCTTTCCACAGGTGTTCTACCCTAAGGCCTCTGAGAAGCCCCAGAAAAATCAGATGATAACAAGGTGCAGCTGAAGCAACATGCTGTCAGGTTTACACCTGCCTGGAGCTGGTTGTCAGTACGGTGGCTGGAGTAAAAGCTAGGCAGAGATAATGTGAGATGGGGCACCAGAAGAGTCTGTTACAATGGGTAAAGGAGTCATTGTAAGCAGGAGGTAGGAGCAAATAGAAAGCCAGTGTAGGCACAGGCATGGAGTTACTGCAGATGGTTGGCATTAATGACCAGAGTCCAGCTGGAGCCTTGTCCTAGAACTCCAAAAGAATGTGGATGAAAAGTCATCTTGCAGCTGAGAAGGACCCAGTTCCAAGGAAGGGGGCTAGACAGGAAGATCCATGCTCACTTGGGCTTCCAGGTGTCTACCCCAAGTGTGTTTAACCAGATATAGAGCATGGCTGCTTGGAAAAGCAAGCTGTGGCCTACTCAATGGCATCAATATATCAGGAGATACAATATTTGAGTGCGTAGAAGTCTGTTCTGAATAAGGAAGAGAGAGAGAAAGAGAGAGAGAGAGAGTGTGTGTGTGTGTGTGTGTGTGTGTGTGTGTGTGAGAGAGAGAGAGAGAGAGACTAGAAAAACAAATAAGGTGGCACTTTACTCAGCCTTGAAGAACTAACATACAAAGATATAACTTATCTGATCCACTTGGCAGTTTTATTTATAAAAGTAAATTAACAAATTGGCATTCTGATTTAGATATAGCTCTCTTCGGAGTTTGTTTAGCTGGTTAAGCTCCCCTGAGCCTGAACAACCCTGGGCTTGCTAATAAATCAAGTCTAAGGATCTCCAAAGCAGAGGATCACACCCTGGGATTCAGTGTCCACAGCAAAGAACTGAGGTCCTTTGCAGTATGCAGTCCTAAGTTAGTGTCAAGCTCATCCCCTTCTCTGATATTTTAAAATTCACTTTCTGACTTCAACACACTACTTCTGTTACATATCACTGTATGAAAATAAAATGATGTCTCTGTGGCATTAGTTACCTTTGGCTGCATAACAACTTACCCCCAAACTTAAAACAACCCACATGTATTGTCTCACAGTTTCCGTGGGTCAAGAGTCTGGGCAGGCTTAGCAAGTTCCTGCACTTCAGGGTCTCTTACAGACTTGCAGTCAAGGTGTCAGCTGCGATGTAGTGATCTTAAGGTTCAACTGGGCAAGGATCTATTTCCAGGCTCACATGGTGGTTGGCAAGATTGAGATCCCTGTGGACTGTTGGACTGAGGGTCTCAGTTTCTTGCTGGCTGTTGGCTGGAGGCCTGCTTCAGTTTCATGCCACATAGGCAGCTCCAACATGGCAAATTGCATCATCAAAGCCAGCAAGGCAGAGAGTCTGTTAGCAAGAGGAGATTGCAACCTTTTGGCACTTAATCAGTGAAGTGACATCCCATCATCCATCTTTGCCACAATCTGTTGGTAGAAGAGAGTCACCAGACAAACCCACATTCAAGAGAATGGGATTATACAAAGGTACATATACCACGAGGCAGGATCATTGGGGACCATCTGAGAGGCTATCCACACCACTGTGTATCATCATAATGGAGACTGTGGCTCATTGAGGATACAAGCTAAGCTGCTTGGATATAGAAGTCCAAAAGCAGTGGCTTAAATGGGATAGAAGTTTCGTTGTCTCTCTTTAATAACAGGCCAGAGATCTGCAAACAGTGCAGTGTGGAGGGGTAGCTGTAGTTCCTTTTATCCTGTGGCTTATCCCTTCCTCAGAATGCTGTTTAAATCCCCATGAAGCAAACTGATTTACCATCTCATTTTCATTCTAATCCCCGGGAATGAAAAAGAGGAAAATAAGAACTTAATCAAATTTATTTTAAGGATGTAATGCAACAGGGAAGTTTTGCAGGTCACTTCTACTTGCATCTCACTGGTGAGAACTTGGGCACATGACCACCTATAACTAAAAGGAGGCTCTTGCTGGTCATCCATGGGCCCTGTCAAAACTTGACAGAAGGGGTCCTATTAAAGGAAGATAATGGGGAACAATCAGCAGACTCCACCACTGTGGCCAAGGATGACAGGAGAGTTAAACATTTAATTTGTTACTTTCAGGTCATGCAACAGATGTTTCTTTGTCCCAACTGTGACGCTCTCTTCTTATCTATCATGGCCACCTAGAAAATACTATATACTGGCAGGCACGGCTGCCAATCTGAGATGAGCAATTTTCTGCTTGGTTAAAATATTAATTCCAGTCCTGATGAGGGTCAAACAAGTGAGGTATTTTCCCAAACTAGAAAGAAAAAGTGCATTACAGATGACCGACCTCAAGCTCTGTTACAAGCTGGACCTTGTATAGCTATACTTTGTTATTTAAACATCTTAAATGCTAAAATTCAAACTTATAAATAAAATATTCAAATTAGTGGACAATTCCTAATTGAACTCTTCACTTTTTACATATTTCAACACCATAGTTATCAAATCATGAGAACCCCTTGTGCATTTATTTTAAAATATTAATTTATTGAAAAAGAAAAACTCTGCATCCCTGTATTGATATAAAACAAACTGGTGCTGCCTGGTAAATTCTATTAGAAATACAAGCACTGATAAGGCTGTGATTGCCATGTTGTCAGTGTCTAAGAGGCATTTCCAGCCACTAGTCCTACACTAATCCCAGCTAACAGGAGAAGACTGGGGATAATGCCCAGTGTTTTTTTTTTTTTGAGTTTTTCTAACAAATGTGTTAACTCTCAGAAACACACTTACTTTACAATGTGTAACTTCTTCTTTGTGTAAGAAAGAAAGTCTCTAGGATTTTCTAGGAGGTTTCGGGGTATACGTATATTAAAAATCTTCCTATGCTATGTCTTTCAATAGTGCCAGCACAGGTCACTCTATGGTTAAAGAATTCCCATGGACATTATCTATCCCAAAATTTGTCACTAGAACCACTGGCCAGGGTACAACTGTTGGGCAAATTGGATCCACCAGAAAGTTAGGATAAGTAAGTCATTGGGCTAAATTTTTCAAACCTCTCAACTTTCTTAAATAGGTATTTTGGTTTGATGGCATTTTGCCAGAGGTATTAAGAAATTCAGATGCATCTGTGATCTTTCACCTAGTGATTTACAATTTATAATTATATTTCAGATTTTTTTTCCAAAAAGCAAAATACAGTTTGAATGATATGTCTTCCTTTCCTCTTCTACTTCCTAGTGTGAAGATTATCAACATGGATTCCATGAAATTGCTTTGGGAGTTGTGTAAAACTCTTGCAATTGTTTGTAAAATTTGTATATATGTGTACAGACTCTTAAAAGGGTGTTTGACACTAAGAAGTTTCCAGTGAGTGGATGACACAATAGTGAAATAAAACCTAAAAACAAAAGAAATGACAACAATTGTCATTTATTGGGTAATTCCTATGTGCGAGGTATTATGCTAAATACTTCACCTAAAATACATCATTCCATCCTCGTAACAACCCTATTAAGTATGTAGTAATAGGCCTCATGTGGCGGCTCACGCCTGTAATCCCAGCACTTTGGGAGGCCAAGGTGGGTGGATTGCCTGAGCTCAGGAGTTCAACACCAGCCTGGGCAACATGGCAAAACCTTGTCTCTAATAAAAGTACAAAAAATTGGCCAGGCATGGTGGTGCACACCTGTCATCCCAGCTACTCGGGAGGCTGAGGCATGAGAATCGCTTGAACTGGAGAGGTGGAGGTTGCAGTGAGCCGAGATCACGCCACTGAATTCCAGCCTGGGTGACAAAGGGAGATTCTGTCTCCAAAAAAAAAAGTGGGGGAGAAGGCAAGGCATGTTTTAGCAGTGTCATATGAATAAGCAGTTGGGTTGTACAGATGCACCAAAGAGGAATAAGATCACAAAGCCAAACTTAAGTTTGTACAAAACAGAAGCTCAAGGAGATTCACTGTCATGTGGCTAATAAATAGCAGAAGCCAGATTTTAACTCAGGGTGTTCTCATGCCAAAGCCAGTGCTCTAATTCTGTGATTCTGTGAGTTCTCGCCTCCTCTGTATTGAGACGCGCAGGAAGAATTTGCCTTATGTTGATGAGCAGTATCTACACTAAGAGCAAGGGGAAAGTTTGGATTTTTTTTTTTTAGGTTTGGGGGTTGGAGTTTGTCTGTCATTTGTTATTGATTGATTGATTCATTCGTTCACACACATATCAAATATTTACTGAGCACCTAGCATATGCTAAGCACAATACTAAGTATTGGGGAACTCAAGATGAAAAGACATGTCCCTTTTCTCAAGAGATCTAACAGGTTAATGGGGACATAGTCCCACTAATATATAGCGACACCAGAATGCGAAGGAACTAAAGTGAATTTGTGAGGATGCTACAATAAAAACATAGGAAAAGGGGTAATCCCCAGGGGAGTCTGAGATGGTTTAAAAGATAAGAAACCCTTGAAATAAACATTTCAAAAAGAGTAGTGTTTAGGAAGATAAGTATGGGAAGCTGCAAATGAGAGAGGGGGAGGAGGAAAAAGAGAAAACATGGTATATTTAGGGAGTGTCACATGGCTTGACATTATAAAAGCATGAAGAATGAGGAGGATACAGAGTTGTGTTGAGAGAGTTATAAGGCTGCACTGCAAGACATGCCTGTGAAAAGCCAGGCAACATGGATGATAAAGCCGCTGACATCATTTGAGCCGCAGTGACCTGCTTTCATTGTTGTGTTAGAAGGATTACTCCAGCAGCACTGGGGAGGAAGGACCGAGGAGGGCTCAGACTGAAGGCTGGTCTACTTACTAGGAAGCTATGGAATGATCTGGGTGACCAGATGGTATTGCCTTAGACTAGGACAGTGGCAGTGGGGATAGATTTAAAAGAAAATTGGAGTGTAGACTCAGTAGGCCCTGACGGTCAATGGGATATGGAGGATGAGAGGAGGAGGAAAAAGGCTAGGAGGACTCCCAGGTGTGTGGCTTATACAGCTGGTAGGTGATGGTGATAATCATGGTCAGGAACACAGCAAGAGGAACAGATATGGCAAGAGGAGTATCTGAGTTAAGTTTTGGATCTGCTAAATATGAAGTGCCTGTAAGACATCCCATTGGAGAAATCCAAAAGGCAAATCCCTCCCATGCCCCTGAGACTTCAGGCTGCCTCAGCTCCATGGCGGTTTGTGGTGGACTCAGGGGAAAAGTCCTCCCCTCAGTTCTGTGTCTTCTTTTACCCATAGGCTACTAGAACAAGGCTGCTTTTGCCCTGAGTCTCGGAGTATTGTGAAAATTGGCTCCTTCGGCATCTGATTCTTTCTAACTCCTTTTTTTCCACAGTGGTTCAGAACCATTCAATGTGACCCAGCAGAGCATTCCCCATGCCACATTCTCTGTTGTCCTTTTCTCTTACCCCTGGGTTTCCATGTATATTCTCTTCTTTCTTCCTTCACCCAGAATGCCAAAGTCTCTGTGCACATGGATAACAAAACACAAATATATGTCTGGCTGAGTGTAAGGAGATGTCCACATACCCAATCTTCATTAAGGAATTCCCCATCTCTGCTACACATATGTATGGAATAAAGTGTAGGAAATGAGTGAAGATGCTGACAGTGGTTATCTCTATGTGGTGCGATGATAAGTAGTTTTTGATGTATTTTTACTTCCCTTTGTTTTTAAAATCTGGTATTTGTTTAACAACAAAACATCAAAAACATTAAAAAATATAGAATTTGTAATTTCCCCCCATTTGTCCTCAATGCCTATACCTGAGGTTGTCCCCGTGATAATGAACCAAACCTGCCCCTGGATGCCAACCACTGATCCTGCACACTCCAGTTTTTATTTCTGTTCAGTGCCTGTTCTATGATCAACTGGAAATCATGTTCAGTGAAAGGCAGAACCCATATGAAAGAGAGCTGATTACTGTGAGCATTCACTGTATTATAGTGAGTGTGAAAAGAGAAGTGTAGCAGGCTGTAATCAGAGTGAAAAGGAAGCTCCATTCCTCATCAGCTGTGACGTCATCGCACATCAAATGGAAACCATGGCAATGAGTTAGTAATGTGAAACCACAGTTGCCAGAATGCTGCAACTAAGAGAGGGTGGAACAATGGAAAGGTAGCAGGAAGGAACAGTGTCACCCAGTACAAATGTCAAACACTGGATCCTGGTGTAATTAAAGCTGGGCCCTCAGAGATGTGGCAGAGGCTTACAATGGTGCCACCACCCTGTACATTACTCACCTGGTGCCTGTCAGGTGACACCTCAGCGTGAACAGGAATATCGCCTGACACCATAGAAACACTGTCCTCTGATTCAGGACTCACCAATGGGGAAGTTAAAAATTAACCATGGCATTTATGCTACCCCTACGCACACCTTCAGACTTCAGAAATGTCTCCTGGCAGAGGCCTCTTTGGCCTGATGGTACTGTACCCTTCATAGAGTTATTATTTTATGGTTTTATTTTTTCATAGCAAACAGCAACACTATTTCTGAACTGTGGCTGTTTCTACAGAAAGGCTGAGTAGTAGGGCCAAGGCTATCTTTTGCCCAGTGTCCTGGGACTCTGGGGTATTGTGATAGCCCCAGAAAGTGAGCAGCCCTTCAGTGACTGGACTTCTAGAATCTGCCTCGCCTGCCCTCCAGCTTCCCTGAGCCCCTTCTGACCAGGGTTATGTTTACTTCCTCACAGCCACTTTTACTTCTAGGTGAGTGTTCTATATGCCTAGATTTGGGGACACCAGGAAAGTTTCTCTAATTCTCCAAACAGTTTGACCATGAACTAATTCAGACTTAAAATTCCATAATTAGAGTCACCACTGTCTTTTGACCATAGTTAAAATTCAATTAACTCTACAAGCATATTAATTTTGAACTGATTCTCTAGTTGGGACAATTTTGACCTCCAGGAGATATTTGGAAGTGTCTGGAGACAGCTTGGGAAGGTGGTACTAGCATCTAGTAGGTAGAAAGCAGGACAGCCCTTGCAACAAAGAATTAACCAGCCCGGCTGAGGTTGAGAAACCCTGCTCTAGTCAATGGATGTCACCTCTGCATTTTCAGTCATATTAATATTATTTCAAAGAAAAAAATGCAATTAACCCTAAAATGAAAGTATTAAGCCTTGTCAGTTATCTACAGTGTGGTATGAATACGTTTAACAGATCCTTTGGGAGAACAGTTTTAATAAGTGGAGGAAGACTATTTGGATGCTGGTGAGGAGTGAGGAGTGACAGTGGGTGGAAACCATTCAAAATTGAAACTTACAGGTGAAATATCACTTTGCCGGAGACAGATGCCAAAGGATTACTCTCTGATTATTTGGTTTCTTCTTCTAATGCAGTTGGTTAGTTTAGCAGTGTACACATCAAAATCCCCTTAGAAGTTTTTTAAAATTAATATGCTTAGTCCCCATCCCCAAAATATGTTTAGGGCTTGGGCATGTGCTTTTAAGGCACTCTGCAGGTGACGATGATGTACACTCTTGGTTTCCAGCCACTGTGCTTAACACAATTAGCTAGTTAGGCCACCATGCTACATTTTCCCATTTTCCTTTCGAAACATGGAAGCCCCATTTTAAAAGAATGACCCATGATTATTCTGCTGCATGGCCCTGTAAATTAAGATGGAAAGGCCCTTCCTGTCCCGGCTTGAATCCTCTTGTCTTGAGAAATAATAACCCCCCAGGGCCATCTCCATTAAGTTTCCATTACCAGGCCATGCAGCAGAGGCAGTGTTACCTGAAATACAACTTCTACTCAGAACAATTTCTGAATCCTGAAGATTGAACATGCCTGAGAGGAGGAGCACCTCTCTGGGCTCTCAGTAGCTTGTTCATTACGCGGGGTTTCAGACTTTCAAAACGACTCACTTGCCCTTTAAAAAATGTCCTCTTTTATGTATGCGCTCACTCATTCCATCAGTCAGCCAACAGCTGTATTTTAGACTCCTTGTCCATAAAATTATGCCATGTGTATTTGAGATCATGATATTACAAAAATAGTTTCCTTGGAGGAACTCACAGTCTATTAGGGGCAAGACATGAAACAAAAACCATGTAAAGCTGAAAAAACAAATAGAATAAAAGAGAAAACACTTAGACCCTGTTCAACAAGTCATTTATCTTTTGGTCCCAATTTCCTCGTCTGTATGACAATGAGGTTGGATTAAATGGTCTTTAAAGCCCCTTCCAGCTTTCAAATTCTCTAAATCTACAATGCTGTGTGTTTGACCTGAGTGTTTGTGTATTTATTGATAGAGTTGTAGCCCCAAGAAGGATGTCAAATAAGGGAACGAAACACCCTCCAGAGAGATACCTCCAAAGCTCACCTATAGAGGTCAACCTCTGCCAGTCCTTTGGGATGAGGTCATGAATGCCTTTCTGCAGTGGAAAGCTTTGCCTTCTGCAGTTCGTGAGTCAGTTGTGACATGGACAGCATATAGTCCTTCAACCTCAGCCTGCTCACTGGTGGGATATGGACCTATTCGAGTCTGCTGCCTCAGATATATGGGCTATCATTATCCTAAGTGCCTGCACACCTACCCACCCCTGACCTGCCTGCCCTGCTCAGGATTAACTCAGTCTGGAAAGCTTCGCTTGGCTTTTGCTTTGTTTTCTTCCATTTGTTCATCCACTAACCATTAGGTGCATGCATGTTCATATCAGGCACTACTCTTGGCACCCAGATACAGACATAGACATAAGAGCAGGCCCTGCCTCACAGAGCCCACAGTCCAGCTCTGCCTACCCCTGGGCTTTGGGCAGGGCTCAAAGCCCACTTTGTTGGCTGGGATTCTGCTGTGGAGGAATGAATGCCTAGAACCTCATGGTCAAGGCTTTGGCTGACTCTCCTAATTTGTCAATTAGACCCCTGCTGATATGGACGCCTGTCTATATCTCACACTAGTGCGCCTTTCTCTTTTCTTCTGGATCCTCTGCGTGGGCCTCCCCAAATCCATGTGGTCGACTGACATCTCCCCACCCTGGACCCTGTCTGGTCCTGGTTTCTTCCACTAGTACACCACTCTGTTCTTGAAATGTCAGCTGTAGCCAATTCCACCTGAGTAATGACAGGATGGAAGAATCAAGTCACCCTCACTGCCCCAGTCCTTCATAACTAGGAACATTTTTATTCAATATGTTCTTAAAGCATCTTGTTTGAAATGTGTCACAATTAAAAACAGGAGCCTTTTAAACAGATGTAGTAATGGAGCATTAATGGCATCTAAGTGATATCTGAGAGAGTTTCCCACCACATACAAGTGTCTAGAGCCATATTTTGCAAAAACTGAGTAATGGGAAATGTTCTGCCAAGACTCATCAGTTTGCTCTTTCTCTGCAGTCATGCTGCCAGTGCAAGGATGATGCTGGAGACAGACAAACCCAGCTTCCCTAGGAAATATCAATTCAAAGTTTCTGTTATCTGTCCCTCTGCATTCCTCTCTCCCACACCACCCCCATCCTAGTAGGAGTTTAATATGCAACACATATGTGTTTCTCTTTTGCTGGGGTTGGGGCTTTGCTCTGGGGCCTGTAAGTCTGCCTTGCAAACATATGGGCAAATCCTCCCTTTCCAGCCTCCTCTACGCCCAGAATCCCCTCCAGCATGGAGAGGGAAGGCAACACAAGCTCACACCACAATATGGAGATGTTTATCCAGAGTCACTGGCTTAGTCTCCACTCCAAACCCCTAAACACACTGTCAGCGAAAGGTCAGTCTCAGTTTTCTTTAAGCAAGGAGACTTTGAAGCTGCTATTTCCCAATCCAAGGAATTCCAGAGGAAAGTTGCAATGGAAATTGCTGTGACCAAGGCAGCGGGCTATTAATAACATTTTAAAGTCAACGAGCATGTCGTCATTTGCTCTCATATCATTTCTTTCAATCCCCACGGTCCCACCCACTACCAGATGGGTAGAATCTCAAGTCCCGGGCTGGTAACCCATGGTTCCCTCCTCACCACTGAAAGTTACAACAAAGACACAAGGAACAGTTAAAGAAGCTCTACATAATCACCTCCCTCAAACCCCTAAAGAGTATGCTAAATTCCAAGTCATCACTAGCCAGCCTAGAGAAGGAGGAAAGCCAACTGTTAACTGGAGCTAAATAGCTAGATTTCCAAAAAGTCTTTGGCCAATTGTGTCTGTCTTTCCTCTCTCATTTTCCCCCATGGGCAAAATGAGAATAATACTTTACCTGCCTAGTCCATATAACTAAGATTTGAGAAGCGCTTTGAGATCCACAGATGGGCAAAAGCTAACACTTCAGAGCCCTCCTATGGGCTAGGTCTTCACTGGCATTCCTCATACCTACCTTGTAAATTAGATGTCATCTCCAGTTTTCAAATGAGGAAATCCCATTCCCAAGACCCCAAGAATTTGACCCAAGTCACACAATTGGTAAACTGAGCTGGGAATCTAATCTAGAATCTTGTAACTCCAAAGGCTAATAGCTGAAATAATTTAATTTCCCCCTAAAAGTGGCATATGTACTTTTATAAATTTATTTATTCAATAAAATAATTCTTAAGCACCTACTATGTGCCAAATATTTGTGATAAACCAATGAAGAAATTAAACAAAATTCTTGGCCTCATAAAGGTTATCCTCTAGGGAGCAGAAACGAAGGAAGATATTTCAGGGTTCTTTTTGCTTAAAACTCCAAAATGTGTATTGCTATTGAAAACACAAATAGACACTATAAAAAGTGCTGCATGAAGAATGCGATATTCCTAAATGAAGCTGAATTGGTTACAATGATCAAATCCAGGAAATTTGGCCATTAAAATAAGAAACCATAATAGTGAAGAAATGGATTTCCATTCCTATAGTAGATGGCTGACAATTGTTGAAATTCTGTATCATCAGTCAGCTTTGTAAACCAAAACACTTAAAAGGATGAAGTGTCTGTCAGTTGATGATTTCTTGCCATAACATTCAAAGGTTTGTGTTTCTACACATATTTCATAAATAAAGACAAAAGTTCTCCAGGGGATGAATTGCTCAAAGTCACTCAGAGATCATTTCTATAATGGCAAAGTGCAGTCCTGAGTGGAAAATTAAATGACAGATTTACCAGCAGAGGTGTGAGAAAAATTTGATGAATGCTACAAGACATGCTCTTTTTAAAGAAATTTCATTTAAGTTTCTGGGTACATGTGCAGGATGGGCAGTTTGTTATATAGGTAAACATGTGCCGTGGTGGTTTGCTGCACCTATCAACCCATCACCCAAGTATTAAGCCCAGTATGCATTAGCTATTTATCCCGATGCTCTCCCTCTCCCTGACCCCCAACAGACCCCAGGGTCTTGTTCTCCTCCATGTGTCTATGTGTTCACATTGTTATAGTGAGAACATGTGGTGTTTGGCTTTCTGTTCCTGCATTAGTTTGGTGAGGATAATGGTTTCCAGCTCCAACCATGTCCCTGCAAAGGACATGATCTCATTCCTTTTTATGGCTACATAGTACTCCATGGTATATATGTACCACATTTTCTTTATCTAGTCTAACATTGATGGGCATTTGGGTTAATTCCATGTCTTTGCTACTGTGAATAGTGCTGCAATGAACATATGCATGCATGCATCCTTATAATAGAATGATTTCTATTCCTTTGGGTCTATACCCAGTAATGGAATTGCTGTGTCAAATGGTATTTCTGGCTCTAGGTCTTTGAGGAATGGCCACACTCTTTCAGAATGACTGAACTAATTTATATTTCCACCAACAGTGTAAAAGCATTCCTATTTTTCTGCAGTCTCGCCAGCATCTGTTGTTTCTTGACTTTTTAATAATTGCCATTCTGACTGGCATGAGATGGTATCTCATTGTGGTTTTGATTTGCATTTCTCTAATGACCAGTGATGTTGAGTTTTTCATATGTTTGTTGGCCATATATATGTCTTCTTTTGATAAGTGTCTGCTCATGTCCTTTGCCCAATTTTTAATAGGGTTGTTTGTTTTTTTCTTGTAAATTTGTTTAAGTTTCTTGTAGATTCTGGATATTAGACCTTTGTCAGATGGATAGATTGCAAACATTTTATCTCATTCTGTAGGTTGTCTGTTCGCTCTGATAAGTTTCTTTTGCTATGCAGAAGCTCTTCAGTTTAATTAGATTCCATTTGTCAATTTTTGCTTTGTTGCAATTACTTTTGATGTTTTCATCATGAAATCTTTGCCTGTGCCTATACAACACATGCTTTTAACTTTCTCTGCTTCAAGCAATAGGAGTGAGCATTAAGTAACACCTATGTGATGATCCTACAGAAGTCAGACTTCCGCTCTTAAAAGCTCTGGCTTCTCCTCTAGAATGAATAGTTCTGATAATAGGAGTCCTAGAAAGTGGGCCACCTAGTATTTCTCTACTGCTCAGCATAGAAATGACAAATGACTCAGCATCCAGAATGTGAAGTTGTGGCCCACATTCTAGGACTCCTGTTATCGCAACTTTTCATTCTAGAGGAGAAGCCATAGCTTTAAGAGGAAAAGTCTGACTTCTGCAGGATCTTCACCAGGCGTCACTTATCCTCACTCCTATTGCTTGAGGCAGACAAAGTTAAGAGCATGTCTTGTAACATTCATTAAATTTTTCTCACACCTCTGCTGGACCATGTAACTTTACTTTACCAGAGCATGTAAAGATCCAAAAAATGTTAGGCGATTGTTTTGATGATCACTTTACTTTTGGCTGTTGTAATGAGTGTTTACCAGCAAGTGGTACCACTAGTGGTTCAAATTCTGACTCTGTCACTTAGCAGTTGTGTCATTTTGGATAAACTACTTAACTTCTATATGTCTCGGTTTCCTCATCTAAAAAGTAGGGATAAAAATGGTACCTACCGGCCAGGCGCAGTAGCTCACGCCTGTAATCCCAGCACTTTGGGAGGCCCAGGCAGGCAGATCATGAGGTCAGGAGTTCGAGACCAGCCTGGCCAATACAGTGAAACCCCATCTGTAACAAAAATACAAAAATTAGCTGGGCATGGTGGCATGCACCTGTAGTCTCATCTACTCAGGAGGTTAAGGCAGGAGAATCACTTGAACCTGGGAGGCGGAGGTTGCAGTGAGCTGAGATCACACCACTGCACTCCAGCCTGGGCAACAGAGTGAGAACCCGTCTCAAAAAAAAAATAGTATTTACCTCATAGGGCATTGTAAGGGTTCACTGAGTTTATGTGAAAGCACTGGGTTAATTCATGTCTGGCACCAGAGTAAGTATTCCATATGAAAGAAGTTATTATTATTTAGGATTGTGCATCCAAGTGGAGTAATGGGGAAACGTTCCGACATAGCTCGTTTGCTCTAATAGCATTTGAAATTTCCTTTTCTTCAATGGTGGCTGAAGACATGCAGAAACAACTTCCTGGCATGTCTGAAAGATCATGAGATAACTAACAGAGCTTTTTTGTCTATCTCAACAAAAAAAATCGGAATAAACTATCACGTAGCCCTTCAGGTTACTGTGTACAGAGTCATCCACACAGATGACTGAATACTGAATTTCCTTTGGGTGGTTTGATTGCCCCATCTAGACCTGACCTGAGAGTGCTGACATCCATCAAGGCGCAGACCAGGCAGTCATGATGCTTCAAAAGGAGCAAAAGAACTAAGTGCTACTGAGCAGAACTCTGTGCCAACATGAAAATAACTGTTAAGAATCCTTTTCTGTTCATATATGGGGTAAATTTCAGAGGCTAGGTTAAGAAACGACATTACACCAAATTGCAACGATCCAGTTGCAGCTTGAGAAGAAAGCACTGAGATGAAATATTTGTTTCCTCATGAGAGGTTATTATCTCTGGCAGCCTTCTGAGTGATTTGTTAAAATGGAACACAAACCAAAAGATGAATCCGATGAGACTTCCTAGTTGTTACAAATGGGGCAAGGTATAAATTGTGAGGCTGACTGGTTCTTTTCACATGTACTTGGGCAACAGCACAGGTGTCCTCTGGGCAAAGAAGGAAATAGATTGCTGTTGAAGGAATATATATATTTTTTAAATGTCACAGCCTGAGTCCCAAATAATGACCTTGATGTGCCCCTGCCAAAAAAAAAAAAAAAAAAAAAGAAGAAGAAGAAGAAAAATTTCCTGAGCACCTTCACCTTGAGCTTTTGGCCTGAAACAAAACCTTCACTTGCCTCTGAGAAAGAGCTTCCCTTTCCAGATGGAAATCTGTGTAGACACCTAGTTGGCCAACATGCTTTCTTGTAGCTCCAAAAAAAGATCAGGCACAGAAAGACAAACTTTGCATGTTCTCACTCATTTGTGGGAGCTGAAAATTAAAACACTGGAACTCATGGAGATAGTAGAATGATGGCTACCAGAGGCTGGGAAGGGTAGTGGAGAGGGGAAATGGGAAATGGGGGTAGTTAACGGGTACAAAAATAGAATTCGATACAATGAGTAAGATCTAGTATTTGATAGCACAACAGAGTGACCACAGCCAGCAATAATTTGTTGGACATTTTAGAATAACCAAGGGAGTACAATTGGAATGTTTGCAACACAAAGAAATGATGAATTCTTGAGGTGATGGAAACCCCATTTATCTTTTTTCAATGTCACAGCCTGAGTTCCAAATAATGACCTTGAAGCGCCCCTGCCAAAAAAAAAGGAGAAAATTTCTTGGTGTGATTATTACACATTGTAGGTCTGTATCAAAATATCCCAGGCACCCCATAAATATAGATACCTACTATGTACCCATTAAAATTAAAAATTAAAAAAAAGATTAAAATATGCCAGGAAGAAGAGTTGGCAGCCCCACTACTTCCACAGAAAAAAGGAAAACAAATTTTTATTCCCTCAGCTCACCACAGTCTTTCCAAGAGTTTATGATAGTCAGTATCTTATTGAAAGATTCATTAATTGAGTAAATGTCCAGCAGTAAAATTGAGTAGACAATAAAAGGTTATGTACATGCTATCGTATAAATTAAAAATTAAAACAACCTATTAATTTCAGCAAAATGAATATGTTTCCTTGGGCATCAATGTATTTCAGTTCAAAATATTTGGAGGCCTGCGATGTCTATAAAGTATCCTCAACTAGCATCTTCAATTTCCTAAGAGAAAGCCTGGTTTTAAAATATATATAAAACTTTCTTTTTTCTTTCTTTCTTTCTTTTTTTTTTTTTTTTGAGACCGAGTCTCTCGCCCTGTCACCCAGGCTGGAGTGCAATGGTGTGATCTTGGCTCACTGCAACCTCTGCCTCCTGGGTTCAAGCAATTCTCCCGCCTCAGCCTCCTGAGTAGCTGGGACTACAGGTGCCCGCCACCACACCTGGCTAATTTTTTGTATTTTTAGTAGAGATGGGGTTTCGCCATGTTGGCCGGGCTGGTCTCAAACTCCTGACCTCGTGGTCCACCTGCCTCAGCCTCCCAAAGTGCTGGGATTACAGGTGTGAGCCACCACACCTGGCCAAAATAATATAAAACTTTCTAGATTCATTTCCATTTTTTTTGCTATATATTTACTCACAACTTGCTTGGTGGCTAAAGAAACTTAAAAATCCCTTGCGAGCTTTGGATTAATTTAATAATCAAAAGACAACTCCAGGTTTTATTAAATGTCCCACTGTATACTATTTGGCTATCTTTTTTTTTTTTTAAGTACAAGGACTGAGCCTGAGAGTAATAATGAAAATTATGATTATTACCACTAATAATAATATTATCAGTAGGAAAATTCTCTATATGTATTCAATCAAATATATTTTCAGGGGGTAAATTTAACCCTAGAAAATAGCTGAATATTATGCAGAATGGTGTGCTCCCGCTATAAGGCATGAATGGAGTTCATCACTATCACTGGTGAATGGAACTGAGAGGAGCATGGAAGGACTCAAGCTGGGATTATCATCCAGAGAAGTAGGAGTATAGCAGATCTAGAAGCAAAAGGACACAAAGAGTAGGCATTGAGAAAGATGGAAACCTAATCACAGGTTCTAGAGAATTCCCCAACACAGTTTCAGGCCCTGCCCTCAGTGCTTCATAGAACAAGTAGGATGAGACTTGTACCAGCACACATACATCTTCTGGACCTGGCTGTCAGAGACACAGGGGCTGGGCATGGCTGAAGCAAGGCACAGACTGATGGACACTGATTCAGGAAATATCTACTTGTCACCAGGATAGCAGGTCAAGTGAATTGGTTTGACCAAATAACCAGTTAATTTGATATAAAAGGGTCAGATTGGTGGTTTGAAATTCATTAGTCGGTATTCAAAGCGAAGAAAACTGTAGCCTGTACAAACTTATAAATAGGTTTTTGGTCTAGCTATCAGGGTAAAAGAGCTGCAAAATTCATCTGAAAAGTAATAAAGCATATACAAATGTCAAATATTATCACTATGCTATTATTTTCCTGCACCTCCATTATTGGATTCATTTATTCTAAGTATCACACTTCCAGTCTGGGCATGAAAGCTAAATTACTGTATTGCAGAAAATGTACATTTTGGGACCTACCCTGGATTGTTTTAGCATGCAAATAAAACTATATTAATTGCCACTGATGGCAGTCATGGATTTCTTAGGACTTTTTATCTGCAACCAAACTAATTGGCCTTGAATCCATTCTGACAACATTTTAATTATTCACTAGTTAATAATTCTTAAAAGCAACTTCAACATTAAAATGTCTCTAAGAGCATGTATAAAGCTATTCAATCCCAAATAATAATTTTATACAATATTCATATCAACCTAAATATTCTCTGCGATCTTTATAAATTTATGTAACATATTTTTGTATTCAGAAAATAACCTTAAAATTCTATGGCTGTGTATAGCACCCTTTGCATGATATGTATGCATATTCCCCAAACGCCTTGTTTATTCACATAGTTTGAGTTTCTCTGATGTCAATTTAAAAAGAAAATGAATTGAGAAATCATTTTTTTTTTAAAAAGCCTAGTTCCTACTGTTTGTACAACTATACGATGGAGAGTATGAAGAAACACAAGTACTACACTCTGTTGGAGGTCTGCTCATATCCCCCAAAGAAACCTTTACAACGAGTCAACACAGGAAAACAATTGAAAGTAAAAAATATATATAAATGCCACTAGACAATAATAGATTTGTTTCCCGACTTAAGCTGGGATCCCCAGATGAGGATTTGTGTGAAAGTGATTTGGGGAGTAGGAAAGTAGGACCAGGAAGGGAAATCCCATAAAGGGTAACTTCCGCTCAGTCTTTCAGTCTTTGGAGACCATGTTCTGGTCCGGGGCCAGGGAGCTGGGGTAATTATTCCTCCTGTCCATCAGCCCTTAAGATGAGGCACCCTGGGTCGGGAGAGTGATGGCCACTTATATTAAATAAATTTCCAGGCACTTCCTGCTGTCTGCACTAGCAGGAAAAGTGGGTCATCACTGCTTAAAAGTAGCCTTACAACAGAGAGATGTGGGTGCTTGCTCTAAGGAGTGGAAGCTCACACTGAGAGGTGACAGCGTGCTGGCAGTCCTCACAGCCCTCACTTGCTCTTGGCGCCTCCTCTGCCTGAGCTCCCACTTTGGCGGCACTTGAAGAGCCCTTCAGCCCACCGCTGCATTGTGGGAGCCCCTTTCTGGGCTGGCCAAGGCCGGAGCTCACTCCCTCAGCTTGCGGGGAGGTGTGGAGGGAGAGGCGCGAGCAGGAACCGGGGCTGCGTGCGGAGCTTGCGGGCCAGCTGGAGTTCTGGGTGGGCGTGGGCTTGGCGGGCCCTGCACTCGGAGCAGCCGGCCGGCCCCGCACTCGGAGCAGCCGGCCGGCCCTGCCGGCCCCGGGCAGTGAGGGGCTTAGCACCCGGGCCAGCGGCTGCGGGGGGTGTACTGGGTCCCCCAGCAGTGCCGGCCCACCGCCGCTGTGCTCGATTTCTCGCCAGGCCTTAGCTGCCTTCCCACGGGGCAGGGCTCGGGACCTGCAGCCCGCCATGCCTGAGCCTCCCACCCTCTCCGTGGGCTCCTGTGCCGCCCGAGCCTCCCCGACGAGTGCCGCCCCCTGCTCCACGGCGCCCAGTCCCATCGACCCCCCAACGGCTGAGGAGTGCGAGCGCACAGCACCGGGACTGGCAGGCAGCTCCACCTGCAGCCCCCGTGCTGGATCCACTGGGTGAAGCCAGCTGGGCTCCTGAGTCTGGTGGGGATGTGGAGAGTCTTTATGTATAGCTCAGGGATTGTAAATACACCAATCGGCACTCTGTATCTAGCTCAAGGTTTGTAAACACACCAATCAGCACCCTGTGTCTAGCTCAGGGTTTCTGAATGCACCAATCGACACTCTGTATCTAGCTACTCTGGTGAGGTCTTGGAGAACCTTTATGTCTAGCTCAGGGATTGTAAACGCACCAATCAGCGCCCTGTCAAAACAGGCCACTGGGCTCTACCAATCAGCAGGATGTGGGTGGGGCCAGATAAGAGAATAAAAGCAGGCTGCCCCAGCGAGCAGAGGCAACCCTCTGGTTTCCTTTCTACTGTGTGGAAGCTTTGTGTTTTTGCTCTTTGCAATAAATGTTGCTATTGTTCATTTTTTGGGGCCACGCTGCTTGCATGAGGTGTAACACCGCGAAGGTCTGTAGCTTCACTCCTGAACCAGCGATCCCACGAGCCTATTGGGAGGAATGAACAACTACAGACACGCCGCCTTACGAGCTGTAACACACACTGGGAAGGTTTGCAGCTTCATTCCTGAGCCAGTGAGACCACGAATCAACCAAAACAAAGAAACTCCGAACACATCTGAACATCAGAAGGGACAAACTACAGACGTGCCACCTTAGGCGTGCTGTGAGCTGTACCACTCACCACGAGGGTTCTCGGCTTCATTCTGGAAGTCAGTGAGACCAAGAACCCACCAATTCCGGACACAACATCAGTGTGATCACTGTGCCTGGAAATGGCCAAATGTGCTAATGGGATATAAGCAGACCTCTGACAGCATCTGATCACCTCTAATGTGGTGGTATTAGGCTGGACATGATCAATTGCCAAATTATTAGCTGTATAGGCAATTATCGCTGGAACAGATGAGAGAAAGAAGAAATCTGATCACAGAAGCATCTGCTCAGGTTGCCTTACTGTAAATTTCACAGGGACAGATTTGCCCCAGTTCATTGTCACCTGTGATTGGGTAAGTCCACCTACTTCTGGGGTTTGGTGTAAAGAAGACACTTGCCCAGAGATATAAATCACATTCTACAATAATGCATTATCAGTGTAAAAAAAAGGTGAATTTTGATCTCCATCTACTTTACTCTCTATATATTTCTTAATTACACGAGTACTCAGGTGAGGAAATGGAGTGCTATTTATTGGGCCTTCATGAACCTCAATAAACAATAATAATTAACATTTATTGAGTGCTATGTGCCAGGAAGAAGTCTAAGTACTTTACAAAAATGGTCTTACTGCATCTTTTCAACAGCCCTATGACATAGGTCCTTTTTGCACTTTTTAAATTGTGGAGACTGAGGTACAGAGAGGTTAACTATCTTGTCCAAGACCACACTGCTGTAATATGAAATGAGGATTTTAACACAAAGTCAATCTAGTTATGAAGTCTATACCTTTAACCACTAGATTAAAGACAACTGAAGTGAGAGCAAGAAGATTTACAAAGGCTTCTGTAGCCAGAGGATAATGACTGTACCACAGAAGCCACAGGATAGGTTTTTTAGTGAGGACCATGATGGAGAATTAGAACTTACAGGATCAGTGAGACCCAAGGTAGGCTGAGATCACAATGAGAACCACAGGGTTTTAACCCAGCTGAAAGAACAAACCAGAAGTTTGCTAGCCACACCTCAGTGGACAGTAGTGTAAAGAGACTCACAGACCCGACCAGACCAGAAATCTATCACCTGGGACCAGAGAAGTCTGAGAGGGGAGTTACAAGGATAATCAAAAGGTACCAACTTCTCTTCCTCCAATGCCACAAGGTTACATAGGGACTCACCATTCCCAATAAACCCAGATTTCACATTGATTGGTTTACACCGTGTCTCAGGTGTAACTATTTATTCTGCTTTGGATTCATAGTGCTTCTCAAATCTGTGGATTGATGCCTTTCATCAGTTTTGGAATACATTCTTGTAACAATGAATGATGGGGATACATTCTGAGAAACATGACCTTAGAAAACATTGTCATTGTGTGAACAGCATAGAGCATACTTACACAAAACTAGATAGTATAACCTACTACACACCTAGGCTATGTGGTAGAGTCTATTGTTGCTGGCTACAAACCTGTGCGGCATCTTACTGCACTGAATACTGTAGGCAACTGTAACGAAATGGTAAGTATTTGTGTATCTAAATATAGAAAAGTACAGTAAGAATATGGTATTATAATCTTTTTGGACCACCTTTGTATTTGCGGTCTGTTGTTTACTGAAACATTTTTATGTGGTACGTGACTGTATTCTCAGCCATTATCTCTTCAAATGTTGTTTATTCCTCATTCTCACTTTCCTGCCCTTCTGGGACTCAAATTAAAATGTTTTAAGCTTTCCATCATATAAATATTATCATTTATTGTTAATTACTTTTTTAAAATATTGTAATATTGGGGGATTTTCTTCCATTATAGCTTCTAGGTGATTGTGATTTCTGTATCTGATATGTATTGGTTTCTTTATGTTAATTTTGTGCCCTTCCTTCTTGTTGAATTATTTTATTGTTTGTAATAGTTTTGCAGTTGATTCACCTAGGTCTTCATGTTATCTGAAAATAGTAATAGCTCCATCGATATATAAATGGATTCAGAAAATATGGTATATATACACAATGGATACAATTCAGTCATAAAAAATAATGAAATTATGTCATTTGCAGCAACATGGATGGAACTGGAGGTTATGTTAAGTGAAATAAATCAGGAACAGAAAGACAGATGCCACATGTCCTCATTCATATATGAGAACTAAAAAATAATTGGCCTCATGGAGATAGAGAATAGAATGACAGATACTAGAGGCTGGTAAGAGTGTTTGGGTGGGAGGAAGAATAAAGAGAGGTTGATTAGTGGGTATAAGCATACAGTTAGAACAAATAAGCCCTGATATTCAATAGCAGAGTAGGGTGACTATAGTTAGCAACATTGCATAGTATTTTTCAAAGTAGCTAAAAAAGAGGACTTTAAATGTTACCAACATATAGAAATGATCCTCAGGGTGATAGATACCCCAAACACCCTGACCTAATCACTACACATTCTGTGCACGTAACAAGTACTCGTGTGTATCCCGTAAATATGTAAAATATTTTGTATCAATAAAAAAATAGTAATAGCATTACCTCTTCCTTTCCAATTTCATACTTCCATTTTTTTTCTTTTTGCTAATTGCACCGACTACTACCTCCTGCACAGTATGAAATGACGATAGTGGGTATCCCTGTCATGTTTCTGACATCAAAGGTAATAATCTCAGTTTTGGGGCAAAAAAACAAAAAAGCTTTATCTTATCATTTTAAGGATCTGTCTTTTCCTATCATACTGAGTTTTGTTTTGTTTTAAGTCAATAATGGTTGTTGACTTTTGCCAAATCCTTTTCAGCATTTATAGAGAGGATCAATAGTTTATCTTCTAAAAACTATTAATTCGATGAATTATATTAACAGATTTCCTAGGTCCAGGCATGGTGGCTCACCCTGTAATCCCAGCACCTTGGGAGATTGAGGCGGGAAGATCACCTGAGGTCAGGATTTTGAGACCAGCCTGGCCAACATGGTGAAACCCTATCTCTACTAAAAATAACAAAATTAGCCAAGTGTGGTGGCACATGCCTATAATCCCAGCTACTCGGGAGGCTGAGACAGGAGAATCACTTTAACCCAGAGGTGGAGGTTGCAGTGAGCTGAGACTGTGCCATTGCACTCCAGCCTGGGCAAAAAAGACCATTCCCCCCATCAAAAAAAAAAAAAAAAAGATTTCCTAAACCATTTTTGCCCTCCTGAACTAAATCTTACTTGTCCATAATATTAATTTCATATTTTTATGGATTATATTCTCCAATATTTTATTCAGGATTATTGCATTGACATTTATAAATGGATTTGATCTTTAGTTATGCTTGGTTTTTTAAAAGAAGAAAGTTTTTACTAACACAAGTTTATCTTAATTCACATTTCAATTTTAATATTAAATAGTCCAAGATTTTCATTTATTAACACTTTATTCCAGTTTAGTCCTCTTAAATTCATTTGCTTGCTGTGCATTTATATTTAACAGGTAAAAGCTATGAATTACCAGCTATTTTTTTAAAAAGGTAACTAACTTTGGGAGGCCAAGGCAGGCGGATCAGGAGGTCAGGAGATCAAGACCATCCTGGCTAACACGGTGAAACCCCATCTCTACTAAAAATAGAAAAAAAATTAGCAGGGCATGGTGGTGGGCACCTGTAGTCCCAGCTACTTGGGAGGCTGAGGCAGAAGAATGGCGTGAACCCGGGAGGCAGAGCTTGCAGTGAGCTGAGATGGCACCATTGCACTCCAGCCTGGGCGACAGAGCGAGACTCTTTCTCCAAAAAAAAAAAAAAAAAAAAAAAAAAGTAACTAACTGCACTGGAAAATGGAAAATGAAAATTTATAAAATTGTATCATTAGATCAGAGTTTAAAAAATCAAAAGATAAGGATTTGTTTAACAATCTTTTATTATTAGGGCATTACACCTTTTCAGAACAAGGATAATTTGCAGAAATTATACAAGATAACTTTTTATCAAATATCAATATTTAGCAAAGTTTTATTTAGCTGAAATGTTATTTCACTAGTAAAAACTATCTTCAGTTACAAAAAAAATCAGAAATCTTATTAAATTTAACCTGCTTTTATAAATGTGCTAAGAAGTCTTAAGCTAAACATATTTGAAGTAGAAAAATGATAATTTTAAAATATTTTGTTATACTGTTTCTGTGGTTGATGTACATATATTAACTGATCTCTTTGATAGGAAACATGACTAGAAGTTTATCACATTAAGCACTGTAAAATAAAAGTGAGAGCTAGTCATCTTCTAGCAAAAATACTTTGTATACAACAGTTGCAAATGTCAAAGCTATTATTAAGTGGTTGATTATTGCCTGCTATGAAATATTAAACAAAGCATATTTACTGGATTGTTTTTCAGTTTGCAGCTGCCCTCTGAGATCCCAAACAAGGGGTTCCCACAAATAAAAGCTGCAGTGCAGTTCACTTAGTGGTTAGTTTCAGACCAATCCTCTCCCCATCATTATTCTTGTTCTTCCCCACTGCCCCCAAACTCTGCAGTGGCACCATATTAGTAAAAACATTAAGTACCTGGGATTTATGCTTCAGAACAAAACATCATTTGAGTAATTTCAAATGATTTACAGTTCCTTCATGTAAAAAACATGTTTTGTGGTCACACCTACTTCAAAAAGTAATTATATTCACATGACCTGACATATCATGCCTTAGCAATTACAAACCATGATTTTGACACATGGCAATTTTTAAGTTAGGCAAATGTGAAGTGCTAAAAGATGTGAACAGCTGTTCTGTTTAAGTTAGAGTGCTGCAAAACTCAGGTAATGACTGTATTTTTTCAGTTAACATAACCAGCCCATGGTACGGCATACTAAATCACAAAGTACAAATCCAAGGAAGATAATACCTTTACTAAGTTACAAACTTTGGCAAATCAATACAGTATTTTTTTTTTTTTTTTTTTGAGATGGAGTCTCGCTCTGTCACCCAGGCTGGAGGGCAGTGGTGCGATCTCGGTTCACTGCAAGCTCTGCCTCCCAGGTTCACGCCATTCTCCTGCCTCAGCCTCCTGAGTAGCTGGGACTACAGGCGCCCACCACCACACCCGGCTAATTTTTTGTATTTTTAGTGGAGAGGGGGTTTCACCGTGTTAGCCAGGATGGTCTCGATCTCCTGACCTCATGATCCGCCCGTCTCAGCCTTCCAAAGTGCTGGGATTACAGGCGTGAGCCACCATGCCTGGCCTACTGTATTCTAATATAATGAAACCATACTTCTGGCTTGGCACAGTGGCTCATGCCTGTAATCCTAGCACTTTGGGAGGCCAACGTGGACAGATCACCTGAGGCCAGGAGTTCGAGAGCAGCCTGGCCAACATGGCAAAACTTCATGTCTACTGAAAATACAAGAAGTAGCCAGGAGTGGTGGTGCATGCCTGTAGTCCCAGCTACTCGGGAGGCTGAGGCACAAGAATCGTTTGAACCCAGGATGGGGAGGTTGCAGTGAGCTGAGATTGCTCCACTGCATTCCAGCTTGGGTGACAGAGCGAGACATTGTTTCAAAACTAAACAAAACGCAAAACCATACTTTTGTTGGAGTCATATGTTACTTTAGTGACAATTTTCACTCTCAAAATATTTAAGTACCAAATCAAAACACTGGTTTTTAATGGTGGTTTATAGCTGAGCAAGTTATTTTACACAGAATATAGTTTAAAACCATGCAATTTCTCCTTTTCAGTGAATTCCCTTATGCAAGCTATTGAAGCGTATACAGCAGCAGGGCAATAGGAAGTGGCTCTGCTCTGTTCTGGGGTCGGTCCAAAGGCAGGTGGAGTTCCAATGTATGGAAAGCTTTAAAATTCTACCTTAGAGAGATTTAATGTCAATACCAATTTCCAAGGACTTCTTGTTAATTTTTCACATAAATACTGGAACCCTCAAAATCAGACAGTAATTTCAAACAACATTAATTTCAAATGATCCCTTTTATTTAGAAGCCTTTCTGTTTTGATCAAAAGTCACATAGCCTTATATCAGCTTAACAAAAAAAATCTACCTAAAGTATAGTTGTAATTTTAAAATGACAAATAAATATATGGTCAGCTGGGAGAGACCTGGGGTACCCGATGTTGTCTGTCAACTTTCAGGATCCCCTTTCTGCAAATGCTGCTGCTGCCATTGCTTCCTCTTGCCGAGGCTGTCAATTCTTCAATCTCTACTTTTTTTTTTTTTTTTTTTTTTGAGACGGAGTTTCACTCTTGTCGCCCAGGCTGGAGTGCGATGGCAGGATCTCAGCTCACTGCAAGCTCCGCCTCTCGGATTCAAGCAATTCTCCTGCCTCAGCCTCCTGAGTAGCTGGGATTACAGGCACCCACCACCATGCTCGGCTAATTTTTGTATTTTTTAGTAGAGACGGGGTTTCACCATGTTGGCCAGGCTGGTCTCAAACTCCTGACCTCAGGTGATCTGCCTGCCTTGGCCTCCCAAAGTGCTGGGATTACAGGCATTGAGTCACCGCGCCCAGCCCACTCTCAGCATTTAATTTGTGTATTACCCATTCCACTGCTTCTTCACCTTTACTAGCACTTGAGGATATTGTACTTACCATCAGTCCTTCAGGGTAACCACTAAGGCTAACTCCTTTCATGGTGATTACGGCTTGTTGAGTCAAAATGGTTCCTTCTGGGTCCTGAGGATGTGGTTTTTATATGTCTCTCATCTACTGAAACCATATTTGCAAATGAAATATTAGTAGATTTAAGTTCCATTGCTTTCTCTACAGGATCAACAGAATGTTCTCACACACATGTTTTGGTTTTTGCTGCACCAATAAGAGACTTCACAATGGACAGCAGTCCCTACTCTGTGCTGGGAAGTCTATGGCTGTGCAACTTTCCAGACAGATCTATATGTCTGTCCAACACATTAACTCCAACCACACTTGGGCTCATAGGGTTTGAGTATTTCTGCATTGCAGCTGTTGTAACAGTTTCCTATGGGTGGTCAAAGACGTGCTCCGAAGTCCAGATCTTCATGGTGCTGGTGGCCTGAGCAATGTCTGGTGGCACCAGGGAACAATGAGGCGCAGAGTTTACACCTGCCCTGGCCCACCTCCAGCACCCCAGCCAGCCCTCAGAACACAGAGAGGAGCTACCCACTCTTCTGAGCTGTTCTCAGGCCTAACATGAGGGACCTCCTGACACGCAGCCCAGTTATATCTGTCTCATAAAGAGAATATGGAGGTTTTGATATAGGAGTGCTGAGAAGGGAACAGTGTGGTCCCTTTAAATGATAGGGAAGTGGGGAAGGGAAGTGGTGGGTAGAGAAAGGTGGGTCCCTGGCTAGGGCTCCACCCCCACTGCACTCCAGCCTGGGCAACAGAGCAAGACTCCATCTCAAAAAAAAAAAAAAAAAAAAGTCCCTCCCTCTCCCTCTCCCTCTCCCTCTCCCTCTCCCCACGGTCTCCCTCTCCCTCTCTTTCCACGATCTCCCTCTGATGCCGAGCCAAAGCTGGACTGTACTGCTGCCATCTCGGCTCACTGCAACCTCCCTGCCTGATTCTCCTGCCTCAGCCTGCCAAGTGCCTGCGATTGCAGGCGCGTGCCACCACGCCTGACTGGCTTTCGTATTTTTTTGGTGGAGACGGGGTTTCACTGAGTTGGCCGGGCTGGTCTCCAGCTCCTAACCGCGAGTGATCCGCCAGCCTCGGCCTCCCAAGGTGCCGGGATTGCAGACGGAGTCTTGTTCACTCAGTGCTCAATGGTGCCCAGGCTGGAGTGCAGTGGCGTGATCTCGGCTCGCTACAACCTCCACCTCCCAGCCGCCTGCCTTGGCCTCCCAAAGTGCCGAGATTGCAGCCTCTGCCCGGCCGCCACCCCGTCTGGGAAGTGAGGAGCGTCTCTGCCTGGCCGCCCATCATCTGGGATGTGAGGAGCCCCTCTGCCTGGCTGCCCAGTCTGGAAAGTGAGGAGCGTCTCTGCCCGGCCGCCATCCCATCTAGGAAGTGAGGAGCGCCTCTTCCGGGCCGCCATCACATCTAGGAAGTGAGGAGCTCTCTGCCCGGCCGCCCATCATCTGAGATGTGGGGAGCGCCTCTGCCCCACCGCCCCGTCTGGGATGTGAGGAGCGCCTCTGCCCGGCCGCGACCCCGTCTGGGAGGTAAAGAGCGTCTCTGCCCGGCCGCCCCATCTGAGAAGTGAGGAGACCCTCTGCCTGGCAACCACCCCGTCTGAGAAGTGAGGAGCCCCTCCGCCCGGCAGCCGCCCTGTCTGAGAAGTGAGGAGCCTCTCTGCCTGGCAGCCACCCCGTCTGGGAAGTGAGGAGCGTCTCCGCCCGGCCAGCCACCCCGTCCAGGAGGGAGGTGGGGGGGTCAGCCCCCCGCCAGGCCAGCCGCCCCATCCGGGAGGGAGGTGGGGGCGTCAGCCCCCCGCCCGGCCAGCCTCCCCGTCCGGGAGGTGAGGGGCGCCTCTGCCCGGCCACCCCTACTGGGAAGTGAGGAGCCCCTCTGCCTGGCCAGCCGCCCCGTCCGGGAGGGAGGTAGGGGGGTCAGCACCCCGCCCAGCCAGCCGCCCCGTCCGGGAGGTGAGGGGCGCCTCTGCCCGGCCGCCCCTACTGGGAAGTGAGGAGCCCCTCTGCCCGGCCAGCCGCCCCATCCGGGAGGGAGGTGGGGGGGTCAGCCCCCTGCCCGGCCAGCCGCCCCGTCCAGGAGGTGAGGGGCACCTCTGCCCGGCCGCCCCTTCTGGGAAGTGAGGAGCCCCTCTGCCCGGCCACCACCCCGTCTGGGAGGTGTACCCAACAGCTCATTGAGAACGGGCCAGGATGACGATGGCGGTTTTGTGGAATAGAAAGGGGGGAGGGGTGGGGAAAAGATTGAGAAATTGGATGGTTGCCCTGTCTGTGTGGAAGGAAGTAGACATGGGAGACTTTTCATTTTGTTCTGTACTAAGAAAGATTCTTCTGCCTTGGGATCCTGTTGATCTGTGACCTTGCCCCCAACCCTGTGCTCTCTGAAACATGTGCTGTGTCCACTCAGGGTTAAATGGATTAAGGGTGGTGCAAGATGTGCTTTGTTAAACAGATGCTTGAAGGCAGCATGCTCGTTAAGGGTCATCACCACTCCCTAATCTCAAGTACCCAGGGACACAAACACTGCAGAGGGCCGCAGGGTCCTCTGCCTAGGAAAACCAGAGACTTTTGTTCACTTGTTAATCTGCTGACCTTCCCTCCACTATTGTCATATGACCCTGCCAAATCCCCCTCTGCGAGAAACACCCAGGAATGATCAATTAAAAAAAAAAAAAAAGCCATTGGAATTATTTGCCCTTTAATGCCTTTATCAAATTCATCTGTAATACTATGGGTCTTGTTGCCTTGATGGGGGTGTAACTCTTTGAAAGTTTTCTTGATTTCTTCTATAAAAATCAGACTGTTTAGATTTTCCATCTCTTCTGGAGTCACTTTTGATAAATGTGGTGAATTTCTAGAAAGTTATTCATTTCTATCCAGGTTTTAAAATTCATTTGCATAGATTTCAGCCATCTTAAATGGTTCTTCTAATGTGGTTATTTCCCCTTTATCATTTTGTATTTTGTGTATCTCTACTTTCTGTGTTTTTTTCTTCAAGTTTCCTAGGCTATTTCTCAATGTTGAATGTTATGTGCCAAATTTTCTGGAAATTGGAATTCTAAGCCAATGTCTAGGTACAGACCTAGGTATATTTTAAAAGTTAGTTTATGATAAAAGTGACATTTTAAGTCAGCTGAAGAAATTTACCAAATTGTGTTAAGAGAAATAACTATTAATATATATTTGGGGAAAAAATTGACTCCATACCTAATGGCACTCACTGAAATAAACTCCAAATAAATTTAAAAGTTATTCCTGAAATGTATGTGAGAAGAAAATATAGTAGCGTATTTTTCTAACTTTGGAACAAGGAAATCATTTCTAAACAAGGCAAAAAAAGCCATAAAAATAATTGTAGATTGAATCAATTAAAACTTCAATGCAGTAAAAGACATCATATGTAAAATTAAGTTACATTACAGGGAGAAAACTTTGCAAGATATTTAAAGGGCTAATAGTTAATAATCTAGCATACATTGAATTCTTACAAATTAATAAGGAAATGCCAAATAGCCTATTTAAAAAACGGACAAAAGATGGAAAGGAAAATTTACAGAAAAAAGTTAATAATCTAGCATGCATTGAATTCTTGCAAATTAATAAGGAAATGCCAAATAGCCTATTTAAAAAATGGACAAAGGATGGAAAGGAAAATTTACAGAAAAAGTATAAACAGAGAATAAAAAGATATCCAATTTACTGTCATCTGAAAAGTGCAAATTAGAACAAGTGTACCAGTTTTGCCTATCAGAATGGTATCAACTAAAATAATTGAAAATATTAAATGTTTAAGCAGAAATGGATAGGAAATATAAAATATAGAAGGGAGTGAATCTGAAAGATCACTTTAGAAAAATGTATATACCCTTTCATTCAGCAATTACTCCATTCTAAAGAAATACTTACATAGCTTCATGAAGATGCATACAAGAACATTCATTATTGGTTATATAGAGAAATGGTCAAACAATACATATTATATGCATAATATGAAATACTGGTTGTCATTATAAGAAGGAGCTAGAGCTGACTGCAGTGATGTGCAAAGCTCTAAAGACCTATTGTTAAATGAAAAAAACAGGTTGAATGATGATCCATATATTATTATCATGTGTGTAAAACAAATAGCTAAACTGTGTGGTGTGTAGTGCATATGTATAAATGCATTTTTTAAAAAGACCGAAGACCAAAAGATGTTGTCTTAGTCCATTTAGGCTGCTATAACAAAATACCTTAGGCTAGGTAATTTAAAAGCAGCAGAAATTTGTTGCTCACAGTTCTAGGCTGGGAAGTCCAAGATCAAGGAACCAAAATGTTACGGGATCTCTGGAGCGTTGATTTCTTTGACTGGAAACCTCTGTGGCCATGGTGCCTTTGCCCAAGCTCTTGTCCTGCATCCAGACAAGTGAAGGGTGAAGAAGAGTTTTATTTAGTGATAGAACAGCTCAGAAGAGTGGGTAGCTCCTCTCCGTAGGCAGGTCATCCTGTCGAATGTTCAGCTCCCAGCAGAGAGGAGGTCCTGGAGAGGGTGGCTCCTCCATGCAGGCAAGTCATTCAGATGTCTCTGTAGGTGTCTGAAACTCTCAGCAGACAGAGCAGCTCCTCTCTGCTAGCAGGTCATCTCTGCTGCTGTCAGTGGAAAGGGTACTCCTGTCTGCAGCTGATTGGCCTGTCTGTCTGCACTCTTCGTCCTCCAGCCATCCTCTGCCCTACTCTGGCTGAGCCCAGGGCTTTTATGGACCTCAGAGGGGAGGAAGTGTGTGCTGACTGGTCCATGGGCGGCCATGAGCAGGCTGGAAGAGGCACCCCGAGTTCCCACTCTGGTGGGAGAAACTAGCAGCCCAGTCCCCAGCCTTCAGGCCCTCCACTGCCTGAGGGTGGGGCCTTATTGGGGACCCCACCCCTTCTGTCTAGGGCTCTTGTCTGCCTCCAGCTGCCATTCATGGCCCCAGGGCTTGGCTCCAACCCCACTCTGAGGTTGGAGAGGGTGCTGGGAGCCGAGAGAAGCCAGACAGTGGGAGCAGACACCCCTGAGCCTGCAGGGATGGGGATGAGGGGGACCTTCCTGGGGTGCCCAAGGGCTCCCAAGGGTGCAGGCTGCAGAGATCCCCAGGTCCTGTACTTGGGAGGGCAGCAGCAGCTGCACCTGGGAGCTCCTGCCCCACCAACTTGGAAGGGACAGGTTTCCCGCTTGTTCCCTGCTTCTACCGACTTCCTGAAGCCGGAGGCCCAAGTCTGCAGCCACAGGTGCTGCAGCTGCAGCGACACCTGGGAGGGCAGATCCTACCTGTTCCCAGCTCCCCCAAGAGCACAGGGAGGCTCGGATCCACAGTTGCAGTTTGCGCTGCTGCAGCCCCGGTCGGGGCTCCTGTCTGCTCTATAGAGCAGGAGGCCTGGGTCTGCAGCTGTGGTTTGGGCAGCTGCAGCAGCACGGGGAGCTCCCATCCCAACTCAGAAGGGGCGGGGCTCCCACTTGCTTCCTGGAGCGTGCAGTCCCAGCTGCACTTCCCTGCTGCAGCCGGCATGATGGCAGCAGCCACTGCCATCAAAAGGATTCAGTGTCTGTGAGTGCCTGTTCCTCATGAGTAGCGCCTTCTTGCTGTGTCTTCACAAAAGGGGCAAACAGGTTCCCTCAAGTCTTTTTTATAAGGGCACTAGTTCCATCTCCCAAAGGTCTTACCTTCCAATACCATTACCTTGGTGATTAGGTTTCAACATGTGAAGTTTGGGGTATACAAACATTTAGACCATAGCAGAGGTTTGGCAAAACGTTGACATTCTCCCCTCTAGGTAAATAAGGCAGTGTGGGAGGAATGAAGATATTCACATTTCTGTTTATATATTTCTTGTACTTGATATTATTTGAATAATTTACAGTAAGAATGTATTAAATATTACTAGTATCATTTTTTAAAGGCAGGAAATATAAACAAAAAATACAACTGATGGTATGACCCTGCCAACAGGGTTGCTGAGCCTGTGATTCCAGCTCTTCTTTCATACTACTTGACAAAAGACAACTAGAGAGGATATAAATATATATACAGGGCAGGTTTGGTGAGGACCAATTACATATGACCCATTGTCATTCGACCAGGAGACACTTCCATGTTTCAGTGAAACACTATGTAGTACAAAACAGTTCCTTCAGTAAGAAACAAATATATTTAAATCCTCTCTGTCTGTATCTCACATACATATGCACACAAAGACACATATTCATTTATTCCCCAGGTGTTTGTTGATTATAGACCTAATTATAATGCTGCCATATGAAGTGGTAACACTTTCTCATCACCCTGTATAGGTAAAAATATGCATTTTATCAAACCTCCTGGGTCACCATGCCAGCTGTTAATACCGCATGGATCTGCTTCTGTTGGTGATGACGGATGATTTTAGAAAATTTGAGATGAGCTGTTCTTCCTCACCCCACACCCACCTCAGTCTCCAACTGCTTATGCAGAGGTGAAGGAAGCAGGTGTTAGGGTGAGAGAGAGTTTAGGAAGGATCTATGCAAAGATATGTGTAGTATAGCCATCCCACTTTAGCTATAGAAAAGAACTAGTCTAGATCAATGGTTATGAATTCATTTGTTTGGGAGGTAATGGGTTGTCACAAGAAGGAAATAGAACATGGGGTCAACAGATTTTATAGGGGTGTTTGTTGCTTCTATAGATAGGGCAGTGGAAGTGACATCAAAAAGAGGCAAAAATTGAGAGCAGTGAGAAAAGCAGGATCTGAGAAAACAGCAGCAGAGGTTGGGTCATTTGCCTCAAGTTACAAGAAAAGAGACTAGTTTAAGAAAATGTGGGTGCATGATCCAGAGAAAAGATAATAAAAACTTTAGGGTTGGGGTGGGAGCCAAACAAAGACTTTTGCAGGCCTTAAGCACTGAAAAAGATTAGGAGGTGCTCCAACATTCTTCCCATGCGAAATTCCTAATAAAAAATGATACTAATGCAAAGCCAAGTAAAATATAGAAATTAGCAAAGTTTTAACAAATATTTTGAAAAATATATTGCCTTACTTTTTCTGGTATATCAAGCATTTTCTTAGACTACCTACTGTGTCATCTGTAAGATTAGCTTCAACTGTGAGGCTGAGGCTGTGTACCAGCCTGAGAAGACTTGTCCTCAGGAACAAGAACACTGAGAGTCCACCTAGCTGGCTTGAGGCCTAAGGAAAGGAAGTTATCTTAAAGGATGGTATAACTACACTGGGCCACTTAAGATAGCGGTGGGATAGGTATTGGGTAATTTTGGAGAATAAACACGAAGAAGCCAAGAGAACAGTTGGTGAGAACTATTCTATTCACTAGTGGAAATATGAAGTGGCCATAACCAAAGGGAATCTCAAGTCTGCCATGAGAGGTGCTGAGATTGCCTCTCCATAACTATGAAAGAGGTTAAATAAGTCATCTCTAATGAGGGATGTCATCTGGTTTCAAAATCTGTGCTTTATATCTCCATTGCCTACCTTTAATTGCTTTCTTCTGCAGGTCTTCAGGAGGCTCCAAGACCAGCAGGCATATAAGCAAAACGGAACATAGACACTGGAAGCAACTTTCCTGTGTTAGTAAGCCAGCAGCATCCTCACACCATGCGACTTTACAACAACTGCTGCCCTATCCTCAGAGCCTCTGCCCGGCATGGACTGGGGCACTCAGAATGGTATCCCTTGATATAATGCATATACGATGGCACTGTCTACCACCTCCTCATGCCTAAACATTTCTCAGTTTTCAGATTTAGAGTCTCAAAACTGTTTCCACAGTATTGAACTCCCAGTTTTCTAAACCCCAACACGTTTCTTTCTTGATCACGGATCGTCTTTTCGGATGACAGCATCCTGGCTTGAATCCAGAGCAAAAAACCATTGAAGTCAAATTAAAACATAATTTTATGATGACAAATTTATTAAAGTTAATAATTCAACTCACTATTTGCTTGTATTTGTAACTTCAAAAAATTATTTTTGGGGCTTTAAAATTCATTACTCTCACATAAGTTCTATTTTAATGGGATCAATCTGATGAATTTTAGCTCTGAAGCAAGCCACATCTTTGCACTGGGACAGTCCTATTCCCTAAACACAAATGGATTATTCCATTCTCAAGTGGGTTCTATTTGTGAAAATAGTGGGTTCTCTTTGTAGGATGGTCATGCATTACTTGAACTTCAGAGAGTAAAAGCCATTGTACCATCACTTTCATTCAACTATATTGGATATTCAAAAAGAACATTTAATTAACAGAAAAAGGCTTAATAATCCCATATCTTTTAGGTCAAAATTTCAAGGTAGTCCTATCAAAGAAATATACTTTTGAAGTAATCTGCCTTTGCACTCTAACTAGGTAAGATAAACTAACTTAATTCTGGCAAGTAAGGTGGAAAAATTGAAGTATTTCCATTTATCAATTACGCATTTTTAGAAGAAGTCTGTTGTTTTTCTGTGGTATTAGACATGGAAATGAAGCAAGCCTCCCTCTGCCTCTAACTTGGTTTGGTTTATATGTACCATCTCAAAGGAGTTATGGTGGGTCCATGTGACATGAAATGAACCATATCTAACCGGCCTAAGATACACATGGTGAAATGGGCCTGACCAGAGAAGTCTGAACTAGAAAACTAAGAGGACATACTATTAGGAAAAACTCCAAGTTCAGGAGCTATTGATGGGTCATTCTATGGGAAGACAAATGGTGAGCTTCCTAACATACTGTAATTTATTTAGTGGCTGCAAGTAATTGCGTTATTTATACTCTTCCATTCATAGCACATCATCATCAATGGTCTGTGGAACTGGTCTTCCTTTATCTTTTATTTCATTTATTCTACACATATTTATGAAATATTAATATATGCCACATGCCAAGTATTTTTTAGGAAGGAGGGATACAACACTGAGCAAAACAAAGATCTTTGTTCTTACAGAGTTTACATTCCAGCAAGGTCATACAGACAATAAATAATATAATGAATAAGTAAATTATATAGCATGTTAGAAAATGATGTGTGCTATGGAAAATCTGGTAAATTCCTTCCCAAATAAGATACAAACAAATGCAGATTTTAAAAATCAGAATGTTGGAGAATCAGGAATCATACCTTTTAACTGGAACCACATTTAAAAAGTTACTTCATTCTTAACTCACATTAAAAAAGTTACTTCATTCTTAAGCCCCAGGGCAAACATACATAAAAGAGAACACATGAGGACAAAGATAGAAACTTGGAAAGACATGCTCTGTTTCAGCAATTCTTAGAGTTCCAAAATATTTTAACAGTGCACTTAAATAAGCCCTTGGATAATTTTAGAGGGACATTGCTTAATCATTGACTGCAGTTACTGTCTTTTATACTATAATGTAATTTTTTCTCTTCAAATTGAAGTCAGACAATTTTAACCAGATCTTAAGTTTAAATTGTAGACCACTCCAAGCACAAAAAGGCCCATTTCAACTGTTGTTAAATGCAACATTGACAGAAATGCAGACAGGAAAGCCCTATAGTCTATTTAATAAAGTGCACTCCATGACCCTAGCAAACCCAGTAACCAGCATTCATGCCACAGTCCTATCTTATCTGTTTTCCCCATTAGCTGCAAAGCCCTTAAAAGCAGGAACTATGTTTTATTTTTTGAATTCTTGGACTCTAGCTCAGTGCCTAGCATATAATAATTAATTTAGAAATATTTAAAGAATGAATAAATGAATGTTCTATGAGTTCTAATTCTATGAGTGATAGAATTGAAGGGGTTGATAAGGAGTTGGAATTTCTTATTTAAATAGAAACATAATTTATATGGCCTCCACATTTCAGATCTATACATCTCTGGTTTTTAATGGTAATATTTTTGCTCTCTGGAGTCCATGACTGCCTTGTCCCTTCTGCTCAGCTGCAGATAGTGATGCAGAACTTTGCTCCTTAGTGCAGCGAAAACTGGGTTCTTGTCACATGACCAGGAAGAATTAAGAACACGGACACATTGAAGGGTGAAGGGAATGAAATTTATTGGGTGAAAAAGGAAAAGAAGAAAAAAACTTCCAGCAAAGCGAGAGGGGATCCTGCTAACAAGGACTCCCACTTCACCCACTGATTCCAGGCCACACACAGGAACTGCAGAGGCTAGGCTCCTCACCCCTGTACACGCATGAACTTGCCCTGGCTCCACCCCATTCTCCCAGTGTGCAGGCAGGTCAGAGATTCTCTGGGGACCCTCTCCCTTATCTGCCTCCTGCATCTATCAACAGGAAAGACCTGCATCCTCAACATTTAACCCTGCCTTGTTACTGACTCAAACTTAACTCATACTGGAATCCCGTTTTCATCAGCATGTGTGTTTGTTTTGTAAACAAGAAATAAAATCTTAATTCCTCCAACCAACTGAACAAACCCCCTCTTGGCCAATGAGATCCCATAGAAACCTGAAAAACTGAATCCCAGGCCATGAATGGAAGGGAGGCTGGACAAACCTCATTATACACAACTGACCAGCACTAACATTAAAATAGAAATCAAAAGACTGACGAAGCAGACTGTACCAAATTCCATCCTGTCTTTAGTATAACATCACATGAAAGATAGCAGATCTTGAAGGAAATCAAAATATTTTACCCCACAATATATTTGACATATTTTGTTATGGCCCTGCAAAGCCATCTTTTGTGGGGGAAATTTGCATTTATAGAGAGCCTCCGTTAACGCTGCCAGGCATTTCCTGGATGTAGCAGAGATTAAGATTAAGAGTTTGACACCTTTTTGTTTTTTTTTTTTTTGAGACGGAGTCTTGCTCTGTCACCCAGGCTGGAGTGCAGTGGCGCGATCTCAGCTCACTGCAACCTCCGCCTCCTGGGTTTAAGCAATTCCCTGCCTCAGCCTCCTGAGCTGCTGGGATTACAGGCATGTGCCACCATGCCTGGCTAATTTTTGCATTTTATTAGAAATGGGGTTTCACCATGTTGGCCCAGCTGGTCTTGAACTCCTGACTTTGTGATCCACCTGCCTCAGCCTCCCAAAGTGCTGGGATTACAGGTGTGAGCCACCAAGTCCGGCCAAGTTTGACAACTTTTAAGGTCCAAAAAGAAACATTTGCCATTTATTCTGTCTGAGGGCTGCTACCTGGAGGCTTCAGCTACATAACAAGAACCTTGGTTTCCACAACCCCTCTCATCTTAAGCATTTCTTTCTACTGACTGAAAGTCTTTAGACAAAACATAACTCTATCAATCAATTGCTACTCAGAAAAATCTTTGAATCTACTTATGATCTGTAAGCACACCCCCACCCTCCTTCAAGATGTTCCACCTTTCTGGGCCCAACCAATGTATACCTGAGGTGTGTTGATTTATGTCTTTGCTTGTAACTTTTGTCTCCCTAAAACAGGTAAAACCAAACTGTAAGAGTCAATCACCTCGGGCACACTTGAGACTGTTCCCCAGGCCATGGTCACTCAAATTGGCTCAGAGTAAGCCTCTTTAAATACTTCAGAGTTTGGGTGTTTTTCACCAACAGTATGTTGAAGTGGAATGGAATGGACTGAAGTGAGGGTGTTAAGGGAAGATGTAAAATTAGCCTAGATGCTCTCATCTGATACTATTAGAGTGAACTATGGTTATCTATTCAAGATATTGTCTGCTTGATTCATATAGCTGAACTTCTGCCTTATAGTCTATAGAAGGTGCTATGGTGTGCCACCCAGATCCTCCATTCAGGAAGGCCATCAACCAAAGGGAGCTGCCTTGCCCAAGATTACAGCCTTTCTTTGGGGGGTAGCCCATATCCAAGAGCTAATCAGCATGGTAGCAAAAGCCCAAGTCTTCTTGCCTCATTTGGACATCTTTGAACAGCCATTCAAGTTTCAGGGCTCTATGAATTGAATGAGATTGCAACTATGGTATTGAGTGAGACCTCTGTTACAAAGGCACTACAACTTCACTTTTCCTTCTGCTGAATCATCCTTCCCTCATATTCTTGTAAGCATTGTTCCCAAGAGCACTCTCCAATAAACTACCTCCATTCAAAATTTCAGCTCAGTTTGTTTTCCTGGAAACTTGTCCTACAATAAAACAGTGCTACCCATACTCAAATGATCCACCTGAATCTAGAGTTTGCTTCAAATCTTAGCCAACGTGGCTGATGATAATCTCTGTGAAGACCATCCCTGTCCTCTCCCACAAATAGTTCACTCTGTTACAGGAGGTAGCTAGTCAGACATGAGCAGGGCAGGAAAGCCTTCCCCACCTACCCCCAACCACCACTAGGAATGTCAGGCAACAATCACATGATGGTCAGGCAGTTGTAAAACTGTCTCTCTAAAATAGTAATTGAATGCAGGCAGCGCCAGGGAAAGGCAGTCTCCCATTAGATAGAAAAAAACCCTGAAACTGTTGATCAGCAACTTTCCAATAAGATCTCAGGAGCTGGGTGGGTGGGCTTAAGTACGTGTACTAAGAGGCAAAATGGTGGAGTTTAACTGGTGCATGACCTTATAGGAACACTTGACTGGGAAGGGAAAAACGCATTAAGTGAGCATGTGTACAACTTCAGTAAACACGCTCCCAATGCAGCCCTCCCAGTGGCTGTGAAGCCACTGCGCATGCGGACAGCCCACCCCAAGGGAAGCATCAAGGGAGAAGGGATTCAATCCCCTGGAAGCATGCCAACGTATAAAACCCCCAAGTCAAAGGTCAAACGGTGCACTTCTTGGTCCTCTTCCAAGTGTACTTTACTTCCTTTTATTCCTGCTGTAATCTTTTTAATAAACTCATTCCTGCTCTAAAACTTGCCTCAGTGTCTCATTCTGCCATATTCCCCTTGGTTGAATTCTTTCTTCTGAAGAGGCAAGGATTGAGGTTGCTGCAGACCTGTATGGATTCACCACCGCTAACAGATCCTATATCCCATGACCTTAGTAAATGGGATGATAAACCATTTTTTAAATATACCATCACCTGTAAGATTTAGAAGATTCTACTTGCCTAGAAACTCCACCATTGCACCACATTTAGTAACAGAACTGGCCAAAAAAACCATTTAGACACTGATTTGAGCTTCTGGCTACCAGTTTTGGATTTGACCTGCATTCTGGATTAACACAAATTATTGGACTTCACGTTATTATTGGATCAACATTTCTCACTATCTGCCTCCTCTGCCAATTAAAATTCCACTTTACATCCAACCACCACTTTGGCTTTGAAGCTGCCAAGCTATAAGTGAATTTATAGCCATTACTTGGCTCATTTCAAGATTGTTTTTCCTTTCCTAATGACTATACATACATTGCTTGACTGAACCAACAAGGATAGTAAATCCAACCTTCTCTACTACTTTGCATTGACATGCATTCATATACAATGTAATATTTTGATATAACTCAGTGTCTCTAATCTTCCTCACATAGAACATTCCCCAGAAAAGCTCTAGAGAGCTCTCACTCTGTCCTTTATGATGTGAAATATGTATTTTGGCATAGATAAATACATAAGAATAAGAGATCTAAGATATTAGGATTTTCACACATATGAATTATGCTTGGTAAATAAAATGTCAAGTTAAATCCTTTGACTCACTTCCAGTTTTAGAGGCTTAGGAAACAAGAGCACAAAGATAACATGTAAAATAATAATTGTCACCACACTGTTTTATGTTAATAACTTTTTTAAAAAACAAAGAGAATAATTTGTAGAGACTCCATCAATAGAGGATTGGATAAATAGATTATGATACATTGATAAAAGTATGATAATTTGTTGAGACTCCATCAATAGAAGATTGGATAAATTATGATACATTGATAAAAGTATGCAACCATGAAAATGATGGTATAAAAGTACATTTATTTATATGGAAAGAGGTTCGTATCATAAAGCTGAATTTAAAAATCAGTTTATTAAACAATATGAAAGATACGATTCATTTATATAAGATATATTTGGCATGGACATATAAAGAGATAGATAGAAAGAAGATCGTCACCATATTACCAGTGATTTTCTCCTAGTGGTAGAATTTAGAATGACATTTTCAGAGTTGCTTGAATTTTTATGATATATATTCAAAAACAAAATTACTTTATTTTGAACTTTTCCTCCCAACAATCCTTCTACCCTCCTGCCATTTTCCCATTCTCCCATCCCTTTTTTTACATATTCTCCAAAGAAGGGGAGCCAAGCTCCTATTGATAGAAGTATCATTCATAACATCCAAAAGGTGGAAGGAACCCAAGTGCTGATCAATCAATAAATAAAAATATGAAATATGCACACAATAGAATATTATTCAGCCTTAAAAAGAAAGGAAATTCTGACTTATGCTACAACATGAATAAACCTTGAGGATAGCATGCTAAGTGAAATAAGCCAGTCACAAGTAGACAAAAACTGTACGATTACTTATATGAGGTACATAGAGTTGTCAGAAAGTAAAGAGACAAAAAGTAAAAAGATTCCCTGTGGCTGGGTTGTGGGGTTATTATTTAACTGGTTCAGAGTTTTTGTTTTGCAAGATAGAAAGAGTTCTGGAGGTAGATGTCGGTGATGGTTGCACAATGTGAATGTATTTAATGCCACGGAATTGTACACTTAAAAATGGTTAAAATGGTAAATTTTATGTTATGTGAATTTTATCACAATTAAAAAATAATGAAAGAATTTTAACAGAAAAAGAAGAAGATTTGACTTTTCTCATGCGATCTTACTGGAATATCCAAACACTCTTGGAACACCATTCTTCCAGGGGAGTGGAGGAGAGAAGATGGTAACCTGACGTGTGCCTCACAGAGGAAACATTTATGGTATTCTTTTCAGCTCCCAGAGGAGGTAGGAACAATGGTAGCTTTGTTAAGCATGTGAAGGGTGGAAGAACCACAGGGAAGAAGGGGAAAAGGCAAAAATTAATGCAGAAAAATAAAAGGGTATGTTAATTCAAGCACACAGGATACCTGCCTCCAATGTTTCTCTTGTACTGGCAAGGAAGTATAAACACCTCTCATCCATAAAAGGCAGAAGATGTTGATAGCTCAGAGAAATACTCCCTGATAAATCCTGTTATAATGATCGTTCCCCAGTTCAAATTAACACAGGGTGATGACCAAACCCAACAGATTTACAGCTACTCTGTAAAGATTTTGTGATGGTGATGTCCTTGGGGTTTATGACAAATGGAGCAAGTGTTATGTTTAAGGAGACTGGTTGAAAAATGGAGCATAAACAGGGTTCATTGTGGTAAAAGGAGGTGAACCAAACACTGGACTTAACTATTAGAAAAATTCGCTTGGCTTCCAATGCTGAGATGCTGGTGGGATGGCCTGGCAGCAAAGGAGGTGGCATAAACTAAACCTGGTCTTCTAGTGAGAAGCCCTGCTTGCCAAGCAGAGCCCAACTCATGAAAATGCCACCTTCTTTTACCCATGCTTCTGCAAGAATCATCCAAACGATTCTTCTAGGTCTTCTTCCCTTCTGCTGCTTCCAAAGCAAAAATATGTTCTGACCTCAAGTACACTTTGAACCTGCTGACAGTGAGTGATTCTAATTTCCCTGAATGGTTGGTGCTTCTTTTGGGCTGGACCAGCGGAGAGAACCATTATACAATTTTGCCTTTCTTTAGTATTCCAGTGTGATAGGCATACTGGGCTGGGATATATCATGTGTCTTTAGAGCAAAGGAGACTCTAATTGCTAATGAAGAGGTTTGAGAGGTAAATACAACCATTTTTATGGGAAGGGATGTCATCTGCCCAGGTGGTGTTGAAAGGCAAGAAGTTTGGGGTGTGAATGGCCAAAAGTTCCTTTCTTTGGATTCTAAGTAGGGGTAAGAGAAAGCTAAAGAGGAATTTGGGGCTAGGTCAACTAGAAAGCCTCTGACATAATATCTTAGTATTTTGAAGATTTGAGAGAATGCTGACTGGTTGGTGAAACTCAGCTAATGTTTTTCACTACAGGTTCTAGACGGTCCAGATATTTAAGAGCCATGACCAAACAAACTGGAATATTCAGAATTAAACTTAAACTAACTCACTATCTAAGTTACTCACTGAGAATACCAAGTGCAGGAAGCTAACAAATTAATGAAATAAATTTATTAAACTTCTGTTTTATTCTCTTAATTCTACTACATTTTTTGTACCCTTTCTACGAAACTTCAACTCAGTCTCTGCTTCAGATTCTAGCACTCATGGCTTGTGCAAGAATCCAGCAGTTAGTTCAGTTGCTACTTCTCTTTTTAACAAACATTAAAGTCATTGCTTGCCTTTTCCAAATCAAAGGGATTCTCTGCCATATCTGGCTGAGGAGTATTTCTCTGGTAAAAAATATTTTATGTATAGATATTTATTAGCTCTATAACCTTAATTCACATCTGAAGGGATTTGGCCAATTCATCTTATTCCTTATATTTGGTTTGGAATGTTCTATTCCAACTGATTGTCAACTCTGTCTTTTGTTAACTGTTCCTATCAACATCTATTTTTTTCAGATACAATTTCCCATCAGCATACAGAGAGTGGTTAGATAACATTTAAATAGATTCACATACTTCGAGAGAAGAGAGTCTGCTAGAGCCAGGCACTGCTGGAGAGATCAAAGGCAAAGTTTCTTGTCCTTGCTCAATGTGTATCCAGACACGCAAATAGCAACAACAGCCCAAGGCACAGGGTGATAAAGGTCACTGGGCTAAGTGGAGGATGAGATCACAATTACTGCAGGAATCAGAAAAAGCTGAAGGCAAGAAGTGAACTGGAGCTACACTCTCGAGGATGGAGAGCAGAGATGGAGAGAAGGGAATTCTGACCGCAGAAAATCATAACCCAAAGAGAGCAGGTAGAAACCAGGGAGTGTCCAGGTACAAGTAACAGTCCAGTCTGGCCAGAATGCAGAATATTTGAGGGGAAAATGTCAGGAAAGGAAGGAAAGAGAGGTTAAGGTTGCAGATTAACTATAAATGGGTTCTGAAGAGACCGTCAATGAACTCTCAAGTGAAGTGATTTTAGGAATGGAATACTGAAATGTAAATGTGACTATCACTTGCTTCATACCATGTTAGGTGATTGGCAACTTAGGGTCAGAAATTAGCAGCTCCTATTCAAGCACTGAGCAGAGAAGAAAGCGGTTCTTCACACTGGTGCAAGGATCTGTTGCCCTGAGGTTCATGCCTCTATGGTGGAGACAAAGCCCCAGGCTCCTAATCACCTCTGATCATAAAACCATTGCCCCTTGTTCTAACTCTGCAGTCACCAAACAATCTTACCATGTAACTTTTACAATGTTTATTCATTGTAAACTCTACAACAAGGTATATGAGGCCACACACACAGATCCAAATGCAGCCTCCTTGACCATTCTTAGCTCTTTAATCCCTACCCATAATTAACTGCAGCGGAGATGAAGGAGGCTAAATCTTAGAATTGATCTGGCTCTGGGCTTGAGGCTGAGATACTCCCACTGAAATGGGGTTGACTTGAGAGTTACAGAGCACAGAGCCGAGGGAATGCCAAACACAGCACTGGAAGTAAAGTCAGAACCGAAATGCAACCAATGTGTCTAGCCACAAGGCTGCACAGCGAAACAGAAGCCAAACATGGAAACTAGAGTCACCCAGGCAGACAAGTTTACTTAATATTGTGTGTAGGAGGCAGACCCTGGAGAAATTTCAAGGTTCTGGAGCATTTTCCCAGAGACTTCTTTACATGGTTATCTAAGGTTTGGGGATAATAATATACCAAAACAGCTCATAGAGATGTGAGGTTCCAATGAATTAATGTCTGACATCACTTACGAATGAGGAGAAAACTACTAATGGAAAGTGATGACCTTCCAGGAATCTTTCTTTGTATTTCCCTCTCTCTATCACGCACATCTTCTCCCCTCAGCCCCTTGTCAAGCTCCTCTTTTACCCTTCCAAACCAGACTTAAATATAATGTTCTCTTTGAAGCTTTGCCTGATTCTCCCTGGCAGAAAGATGTTCCCTCCTCTGAGTTCACAAAGTGCTTTGTACATAATCTTACAGCCAAAGAGACCATCTTTTCCAAGTCAGAAGTTGGTGCATATATTTTGGAAAGTATGAGGGACAGTATTTTAAATGGATACTGTTTAGGAAAATCAGGTTCATGAGCTTACCATATTTATTGCATTCTATCATAGCCTATAGTGTCTTAGCTTCATGTGTTTCTGCCTGACTTAGTTTCATGTTTCTGAAGAAAAGGAATTATATTCATTTACCTTTGTAGCTGTTCTCACATTAGCAACATGCTTGACAGGTGATAGCTTCTTGGCTTGTCGGTCAATAAATATTTATGGAACAAATAATCTGTTTTTAAAATATATACAATAATATTACAGTATTCCATGTCTTAGTTTGTGTTTAATACTATGTCTAGTCTATAAAACTTCTTTTTAACTAAAAATAATAACTTTTAAAATCTATTTTATCACACAGGTGTTTTAAGCCATTTTGTTTTCAAACTCCAATCATGAAGCATGAATTATTTTATTTTTTCCTTAATAAGAATCAAAGCATGCAAACAATCACACCCTTGTATCCACCTCTGCCTTTAAAAAAAAATGTTAACCTCTGCTAATCAGCAAAGTTACCTTTCAGGAGGCAGAGCTGGGATGGGAGAAGAAACTAAGATAAATTAGACAAATTATGTTAGAGGTGAACCAAAGTCAGAGCTCTAGAAATGGATCTCAGTGTGAACTGCAACTCCAAGAAGCAAGAGAGGAAAACAAACAGTAGGGGTTGCCAGCAGGATGAGGGTGAGAAGCAGGATCTGGTTGGATGAGAGAACCTGGCTGAGGAAGAAGATTCAGAAAGTAATGCCATGCCCCCAACGGTGTGCTGAATGCCCCCGCTTTTGAGGCGCTTAGTGTGTGGTGAGGGAAAGGGAGTGAGTGACATAAAGCAGCTCTGCAGGGCGGGACCCAGTGAGCCTGGCATCATTTTTAGGGTGTTCCTCTCCTTCATAGAGCCTAAAGGATGCACCAAGCTGTGCATCAGTAATTATTGCTCTGCTGTCTCCATTGTTAGACGCCATTTTGGGTTACTATCCTTTTGGCATTTCTTTAATGATATCGGGAATCAAGTTCTGGGATACCATTGTATTACTTTGAATACTAGTTCAGCAGCTGAAACAAAGGACAGAAAAAAAAAGTAGTTAAAATAAGAGAGAGGTTTCTCTCTCTCTCAGGAACAGTCTGAGAGTAAGCAGCCAGTCTGGACATGGAGGTCCCGTGGTGGCAAGGACCCAGGCTATTTCCATCTTTGTTGCTCTTCCTCCTCAACATACAGCTTCTATCTCATGGTCAAAGGTGGCTGCTCTAGTTCCCTGCCCTGAATTCACATTCAACCTTCAGGAACATGAGAAGGAAAAGAGAGTGTATGCCTCTCTCTCTCTCTTTTCTTTTTTTTTCTTTTCTTTTCTTTTTCTTCCTTCCTTCTTTCTTTCTTTTGAAGGAGAATGTGTATTATTTTAACTATTTTTATGTGCAGAAAACTCAACAGTGTATATTTTACCCAGTTTGGTAGCAAGTTCTTCAGCCTTTGCCTTTTCAAGCTTGGCAATGCAAGCCACAGACTTGGGACCCAGGACATTGCCTCCCCAGTGACAGCGGATCTCATCATATCAGTCATTGTAATTGGTCTTGATAGCTTCCACCAGTTTAACCAAAGCTCCTTTGTCTCCTGAGTTAACCTGTGTGAAGGCGACAGTGGTGCAGGTCTTCCTGTGGACTACATGTCTCAGTCTTGCCTTCCCCTTGATAATGCGTTAAGGGATCCCCGTTTTGTGACACAGGGCAGGCAGAAAGACAACCAGCTTGATAGGATCCACATTGTCTGCAGTCAACACGTGATTATGCTCCTTTCATTTTAAGGGCAAAACCTAGAGGTTGCACACATGACTTCTGCTGACCCATTGGTCAGAATCCAGTCACATGCTCTGCCTACTTTCAGAAAGACTGGGAAATGTGGTCTTAAGCAGAGTGGCCACAGAAAGTGAGAACAAATAACAGAGGGACTTTTCTCTGTCACAGAGGCATTCAGCCTCTCTGCTGTGTATACTATTGCCCTTTTCTACCCAGAGCTAAAGGCGTTTTAGAGAGTGAGGAAAGAAACCAGAATGCTGCAGAGGTCTGGCCTAGGGAGGGCTGAGCATTTCCCGAAGTGTGTTCCATAGACCACTAATAAAGAGAGGTTAATGAATTTGGCAAAAGCCTGGATTAGACAAAATAAGAAAGATTGGTTCACCACATAGATTCTTAAGCTCAAAAACTGCTTTTAAATTTTACAAACATCCAATAGAGATAGTATCTAACCTTAGAATCATCTTTTCTATAGTCCATGTTTTGCTGGAGATCATCTTATGAGAGTGATCCATCTCTACAGAACATAAACAGATAGGTACTACTCTAATTATTTAACTTCAGTCCTTTGTTCTGTCTTCTCTTTTTCTGGGGTCCAGGCCTTATTTCTGCTTTTTCCAATATCTGCATTCAGAACTGTGTACCTGATCTCTGTGTACCTGTTCTGCTTCACATACTCAGAAGCTCTGCTTTATTTTCTGACCAACTCACCCTCACCCTTCTCATCTCCAACCCACTCCCTCCTCCATCACCTCCTTGGAATTCTTAAAATTTCCTGGACCAAGAATTTTTTTTATGCCCTTGTGTGAATTTGGTCAGTGGCTACTGGCCCTCTCTCTCAGGCCACTGCTCCTGTTCACTTTTGCCCACCCTCCTTAAGGTAGAACTCAGAAATACAGATGTGGGCTTCTAATGCAAAAATATATATACAATTTTAAAATATATTTATATATATATACTTTATCTATATGTATTTTATATATAAAGTATATATTTATATAAATATATAAAGTATATTTATATATAAAATATATATATACACACATACACACATACATATTAGGCCACTTCTGCACCTGAAAAAGTGAGCAAGCAATTGGAGTAGGAGGGGAGCTGCCAAACTTCGTGTTTTGAGAAAACAAAACAATTGTTTGATTAATTGAAGTTCCCACTGTTTCTGTTACCGCAGCATCAAATCAATAAACAGTCATCATTTATTGAAACATAATAGGATTTGAAAGGAATAAAAAATTATAAAATAAGGTCTCTAGAATTCAGGAAGTTGTGGTCTGGATAAGGAGAAAGAGAATAAAAAGATCTCATACTGATTCTTGAGATCCCACAACAAAGAAGCCAGCTTACCTGATCATCCTCTAACAAAGCCCACCAAAAGACAAGCCCTGCCCCCACCATTGTGCTTTCAATCAATATTTTAATACCTTACTTGTAAATACCAACAATCACAAGCCATTCAAGGACAATTTCTAACATCAAAGAAAGAACCCAAGATAAACAAATAGGTAGAACAAACATACAGAAATTGTGAAGAACACAGAAGAAAATGTCAAAAACCATTTAAAAGGTAAGAGTATATTGCTTTCCTAAAACAGGAATATAATGTTATGAAAAGAAACAATCAGAACACTATCAAAGGTTCTTGAAAAGTAAATTGTGAGCCTAATTTTTCTGAAACACAATAGAAGGGTTGTATGTTACAAATCAAATAAGTTTTCCATAAAGTAGATCAGAAAAGAGAAAAACTTAAAAAACAGTAGAAAAAAGAAACCTAACACCATAAGTCAGAGGGAGAGAAAAGAGAAAAATGGAAGAAAGGAAATTATCTAAGAAATAGCTCAAGAAAAATTTCCCCAAACAAGCCCTAGCAAATGCCCATCAAAATGAAAGAAAAAAAAAAAAGAGACCTACAAAGACACATTATCACAAAATTTCCCACCACTAGGTTAAAATCTTCCAAAAAAGTTTAATAGATAGGTCACTTCTAAATTAGCAGGAATCGGAATGACAGCAAGTTTCACAATGGCAACACTGGTAGTTAAAAGGCAGTAGAGTATATATGATAAATGTTTTCTCTTTATTTTGAGATGGGCTCCCTATGTGTTACCCAAGCTGGCCTTGAACTCCTGGGCTCATGTGATCCTCCTGCCCCAGCCTCCTGTGTAGCTGGGATTATAGGCATGTGCCACCATGCCAGGCTTGATCAATTGATTTTTGACAAGGATGTCAGGACCATTCAATGAGAAAATGATGATGACGTATTTTCAATAAATTGTACTGAGAAAACTAGGTGTTCACATACAAAGCAATGAATTTGGACCCTTACTTTATAACATATGCAAAAATTAACACAAAATGGATCAAAGACCTAAATGTAAGAATTGAAGCTATAAAGCTCTTAGAAGAAAACAGGGAATAATTTCTGACATTGGATTTGGCAAGATTTCATGAATATGACACCAAAAGCACAGGCAACAAAAGAAAAAAATAGATAAATTAATCAAATTAAAGACTTTTGTGCATCAAACGTTATTATCAATAGAGTGAGAATCCACAGGATGGGAGACAACTTTTGCAGATCATATATCTGATATGGGATTGATGTCTAGAATAAAGAACTTCTACAACAAAACAGTAACAAAGACAACTCAATTTAAAAATGGGCAATGGACTTGAATAGACATTTTTCCAAAGAAGATACACACATGGGCAATAAATATGAGAAAGAATTATCAGAATCACTTTTCTCCAGGGAAATGCAAAACAAAAGCACAGTGAGATACCTCTTTGGATTTATTAGAATGGCTATTATAAAAACAGAAAATAACAAATGTCAATGAGGATGTGGAGAAATTGGAATGAGGGTAGAAATGTAAAATGGCACAGCCGCTATGGAAGTTCTTCAAAAAGTTAAACATAAAATTACTATATGATTCAGCAATTCCACTTCTAGGTATATCCCCAAAATAATTAAAAGCAAGGACTCAAACAGATGTTTGTGTTCTAGTATTCATAGCAGCATTATTCACAATAACCAAAATGGTGAAGCAATCCAAGTGCCCACTGGTGAATGAATGAATAAACAAAATGTGGTATATACATACAATAAAATATTGTTCTGTCTTAGGAATGAAATTTTAATACATGCTACAACATTTATGATCCTTGAAAACATTATGTCAAGTGAAATAAGTCATGCACCAAAAGATAAGTATTGTACCATTCCATTTATGTGAGGTTATCGGGGGAAGCTGTCCCCAGTATTTCATCGTAGGTTCTTTCTATTTTCCATAAGTGTCGACCGGCTGAGAAATAAAGAGAAAGAGTACAAAGAGAAGAATTTTACATCTGGGCTGCCGGGGGTGACATCACATATTGGTAGGACCGTGATGCCCACCTGAGCCTCAAACCAGCAAGTTTTTTATTAAGGATTTCAAAAGGGGAGGGGGTGTAAAACAGGGAGTAGGTACAAAGATCACAGGTGTAAAACACGGAGTAGGTACAAAGATCACATGCTTCAAAGGGCAAAAAGCAGAACTACTAATAAGGGTCTAACAAAGATCACATGCTTCTGAGGGAACAGGACAAAAGACAAAAGCAGAACTACTGATAAGGGTCCAACAAAGATCACAAGGCAAAGGGCAAAAGCAGAACTACTGATAAGGGTCCAACAAAGATCACAAGGCCAAGGGCAAAAACAGAACTACTGATAAGGGTCTATGCACTTATCGTCTTGATAAACCCTTAAACAACAGAAAACAGGGTTGGAGAGCAGAGAACCGGTCTGACCACAAATTTACCAGGGTGGAGTTTTTCCCCACCCTAGTAAGCCTGAAGGTACTGCAGGAGACCAGGGTGTATCTCAGTCCTTATCTCAACTGCATAAGACAGACACTCGCAGAGCAGCTGTTTATAGACTTCCCCCCAGGAATGCATTCCTTTCCCAGGTTATTAATATTCCTGGCTAAGAAAATAATTTAGTAATATCTCTCCTACTTGCAGGTCCATTTATAGGCTCTCTGCAAGAAGAAAAATATGGCTCTTTTTGCCTGACCCTGCAGGCAGTCAGACCTTATGGTTGTCTTCCCTTGTTCCCTAAAAATTGCTGTTATTCTGTTCTTTTTCAAGGTGCACTGATTTCATATTGTTCAAACACACATGTTTTATGATCAATTTGTACAGTTGACATCATTATCACAGTGGTCCTGAGGTGACGTACATCCTCAGTTTACGTAGATAACAGGATTAAGAGATTAAAGACAGGTGTAAGAAATTATAAAAGTATTATTTGGGAACTCATAAATGTCCATATCAAAATGAAATCTTCAAAATTTATGTTCCTCTGCCGCAGCTCCAGCCAGTCCCTCCATTCGGGGTCCCTGACTTCTGGCAACATGAGGTATCTAGAATAAGTAAATGCATAGGGACACAGTGGAATGGTGGTTACCACAGGACAAAGGGAGAGAGGAAGTGGAGAGTTATATAATAGGGGCAGACTTTCTGTTTGGGATGATGAAAATGTTCTGGAAATGGATAGTGGTAATGGTTGCACAGCAATGTGAATATACTTAGTGGCAGTACATTGTACATTTTTGTTAAAATGGTGGATTTCATGTTATGTTTATTTTAACACAATGAACAAAATTTTCAATGAGAAAATACCTTCAAATTTCTAAAAACAAATGACCGTCAAAATAACATTTTATCATTCAAATCAAACTAACATTCAAAGATGAATGTAGAATAAAGACATCACTAGTCATGCCAACATTTGAAAAATGTATGTTCCATAAACTCTTTCCTGGGAAGTTTCTGAAAGGTGTTTTGGCACAGATCAGCTCTGGTCCTTCTTTCCTAAATAGAAGGAAACGAAGACAAGTAGCTTGATCAGGTATGTGATATGAAAAGCAGCCTGGATGCAGATAGCCAAAAGAAACATAACGTAGACTCTAGAGATAGCACAGATAATTCATGAAACACAAAAGAACTAGAAACAAAAAACCTTTCTGCTTAATATATTCAGAAGATTTGAAATGATATTATATAATATTTATAAAATAATGAAACAAAATAAAAAGAAGACTATATAATTTTTTCAATATAACAACTACAAATAAAATCAAGAAGATCTCCTTAGAACAATAGAAGGACAATCTAAAAGATCTGGTCAGATGAATATGAATCTTAGGAAGAAACCAACAGAGAAAATAAAAGGAAGGAAATCTTTAAGGAAGCAATAAATTTAAATTTTCCAAAGGTAAAGAAAGATATAATTTTTTTTTTTTTTTGAGATGGAGTTTCACTCATCCCCCTGGCTGGAATGCAATGGCGTGATCTTGGCTCACTGCAATCTCTGCCTCCCGGGTTCAAATGATTCTTCTGCCTCAGCCTCCCAAGTAGCTGGGATTACAGGTGCCCATCACCACACCTGGCTAACTTTTGTATTTTTAGTAGAGAAGGGGTTTCACAATGTTGGCCAGGCTGGTCTTGAACTCCTGACCTCAGGTGATCCGGCTGCCTTGGCCTCCTAAAGTGCTAGGATTACAGGTGTGAGCCACCACTCCCAGCCGAAAGATATAATTTTTTAGAGGGAAAGTGCCCACTGAGCATCAACATAATTAACAAAAACAATAAAAATCCTCATGCTTCAACCTTTTTATATGAAGTTTCAAGACACCAAAGACAAAAGAGAGATATTAAAGCTTTCAGAAAAAATAAAACAAGTCACCTGGAAAAGAATAAGAATTGGTTTGCCATCAAGTTTCTCCAGCAACACTGGATGTTCAAATATTTGTCTTCAAAATAGTTTTTAACCTAGAGTTCTATATACGGCACATTATCAGGCAAGTGTGAGGGGAGAAAAAAGTATTTTCAACAAAAAAATCTTTCCCTAGGAAATTACTTGGTGATAAACACAGCAAATAAAGGGTAAAATGAGAAAGACATGACATGGAATCCAGAGGACCCAACTCAGGAAAGCAAAGAGGAGAATTCTCAGATACTGGCTGTGAAGCTAGCTTAAGTTGGATCAAGGACTCCAAGAGGAGTCCTGGTCTCTGGAAAAGACATATAGAGGAGATAAAATGAGTTAAAGATTGGAAACACTTGAAGATATGATAAATTGTAAGAAAATGAAGCAGAAAATTATCAACTCCAGGAAAAACAGAAAGTTATCCAAGAAACACATAGATCAAGTACTAAGCAAACAAAAACATCTTGAGATTTTAAGCAACTGATGCAACCTAAAAGAGAATAGCCATTTGACCTTGAAGCTAAGAACATTCTATTTAGCCTGTGGATGTTTCCACTGGACTCCCAGAAAAGAATGTAATCCCAGCCCTCAGCATAGCGTAGAACAATCAAAGTAATGTAAAACATGTATTGATTTTTACCTTTTAGAGCCAACTATCGACTCAACACAGAAGACTTGATTTTTGTTGCAGAAGCAAATGTAAATGTTAACAATTTCAACACAATGTAAAAGTAGAAAGATTTGCCTAGAATGTAGGATGAAATAAGCAGGGAGAAAAAAATAACAGAAAAAAATGAAGATGGCTGAGTGCAGTGGTTCACGCCTGTAATCCCAGCATTTTGGGAGGCCCATATGGGCAGATCACCTGAGGTCAGGAGCTCGAGATCAGCCTGGCCAACATGGAGAAACCCCGTCTCTACTAAAAATACAAAAATTAGCTGGGCTTCGTGGCAGGTGCCTGTAATCCCAGCTACTCAGGAGGCTGAGGCAGGGGGAATTGCTTGAACCTGGGAGGCGGAGGTTGCAGTGAGCCAAGATCATACCACTGCACTCCAGCCTGGGTGACAAAGTGAGACTCCATCTCAAAAAAAAAAAAGAGAAAGGCTGCCTTTCTCTTTGAATAGGTGTTGAATGGCCGAAAAGGAGGAGTATAGCAATTGTAAACAAAAAACTGACCACCCCATCTCAAGAACCCAATTCTGTTTATCTTAAACCAACCCACACTCTGTGTTTTCCTTTGATTGAGGCACTAGCTCCATTCCTCTTCGTTTGGTGTCTTTAAAATAGCCTTTCCCAAGAACTTGGCCCTGATCCATTTTCCTGGAACTTACTCACCCAAATTGCTTGGGTCTCCTAGCAGGAAGCAATGCTGCTCCACCCTCCTCATCCTCAAACAACACACATCAGCACCTTCCTCACCGCCACAATTTCCTTTCTTCTGCAGAGGATAAAGGAAAATGCCACACAAGATTTGGGTTCCTTCTTCAGGGGATATCACAGTGCACATGAACCCCTTCTCCCTTAATCTGTCTTGGCAGTTGGGTCATTTGTCTGTGAGGTTAGCCTATGGCTTCTCTGGTGCCTGCCTGTCATTTCCATACTGTACCTTCCAAAAGCTGCATGAATTTTCTTCCTTGCTTTCTTCCTCCTGTATTAAGAGTAGCTCCAACTCCGCTTTCCCACAGGCAGATCCTCTGTCTGCTCAATTATCCCTTTCCTGCTCCCTCCTGGGCCTGAATTCCTCTCCTCTTTCTCCCACTGGTTGTCCATTGCTGGCTTCTCGTCCTGCCTCGATCTTAAGCATAGACCCAACAAAAAGATGTAAATAGCATTCAGGCAAAGAGAAGAACTGTGAAAAGGCAAGACATGATTAATTGCCAGATATATTGTGCAGACAATAATTGCCATAGGATATCAGGGAAGACACATTGCGAGCATGCTAATGAACCATTTCTTCTTCTCACTCTCATACTTACCTGTTGTCTCCTTAATCATTACATTGGTTCTCAAAGTGTGGTCCCTGGACCAGCAGCATCAGCTTCTCCTTGTTAGAAATGCAAATGCTTGGGTCCCACCCCAGATCTGCTGGGAAATAAGCTCTGGAGTAAGGTCCAGTAGTCTGCTTTAACAAGCTCTCCAGGTCATTCTAATAAATCCTTAAGTATGAAAGCTATTGTCTAAGTGTGCAAAATCTAGTCCAAACTCTTACTGCAAATAGTGGTCTGAGTTTTAAAAAAGTTGCAATGATTTCTGTAAACTTAAAGATGTAATACATTATTTAATACTTCACAGCTTAGGGATCTGTATCTCATATCTGCCGCAAAACCCACCACTTTCCAGAGGTCTCAAGATATCCATCTCCCTTTCTCTCCTCATACTTTCAGAAGGGAATTTCTTTTTTCTAGCTCTAAATGCTTGAAGACAAAAATCAAACAACCGTGTCATATCTTTAAAGACAATAAAGATCAGAGATCGAGCTAGGATTTCTCTTCCTCACAGAAACTTCCTATTATTGAATTCTTCATGGAGGATATCAACAGCAAGAATCAATTAGAGGCAGCTTAACCCAACAGGTACTGTGCTGAGGGCTTTACGTGGATTTGTACTTAATCTCCATTACAACCCTATCAGGTAGGTAGTGGTATCCTTCACCATTCAGAGGAAGAAACAGACTCAATAGTTGAGCAGTTTTCCCTCAAGGTCACATAGCTTAGAAGTGGCATACTGAAAATCAGCTTGATTCCATAGCTAATGGACTCAACTTATAAACTGAGAGTTTGTTATCATCCATTTAGTTACATGTTGCTATTTAGCTACAGGTTGCGACATGGAATTGTTGACTCCTTCTAATATATGCAGAGCTTGGTCTCTCTTCAAATAGCTTTTAGGCAAATCAAGAGCAGGCTGAGCATGGTGGCTCACACCTGTAATATCAGCACTTTGGGAGGCCTAGGTGGGTAGATCACCTGAGGTCAAGAGTTCTAGATCAGCCTGGCCAACATGGTGAAACCCTGTCTCTACTAAAAATACAAAAATTAGCCAGGTGTGGTGGCAGGCGTGGGTAATCCCAGCTACTCGGGAGTCTAAGGCAGGAGAATCACTTGAACCCAGGAGGCAGAGGTTGCAGTGAGTGAAGATCATGCCACTGCACTTCAGCCTGGGTGACAGAGCAAGACTCCATCTCAAAAAAAAAAAAAAAAGAGCAAAGCATGCCTCACTCTCCAGTTTTGGTTCTCCCCATCCCCACAGTACTTGTGCTTTCCAGTAAATATTTGAAGAATGAGTATATGGAGGAGGTAGGACAGGATTCCCTCCACCACCCTCTTGCTATGCCATGGGATTGGAGAGGTGTCATTGAGGGTCAACTGTGCTTCCTGAGGTAATCAATGAGTGGCAAGACTCTGGTGGAGCACTAGGCCTTCTGTAGTTATCCAGCCCTATTACAGAGTCAGGTTCACTGTCTCCCTACTGCTTACTCCTCTAATGTTCTGTGTATTCAGATTGGGGGTTCCCAAGGGAAGAACAGAAGATGCATTTATTCACTTATCGCAGCTCACCCTGGTACCCTGATTCCTTGATCCTGTTCTATGTCCATATTTCCTTCACAGCCATCCTAGTTAAGCAAGTAACTGCTATGGAGAATGTAAAAGAGCATTTTTGGATGTTACTGGATCTAGTGACTGCATTGGGGATCTGTATTAGTCAGGGTTTTCCAGAGAAAAAGAACTGAGAATAGAAAGAAATGAGTTATAAGGAGTTGGCTAACATGATTATGGTGACTGCCAAGTCCAAATCTGCAGGGTGGGCCAGCAGGCTGGAGACCCAGGAGAGCTGCGATTCTAGTTCCAGTCCAAAGGCAGACATCTTTTGAACCAGAAAGAGCTGATGCTGCAGATGAACTCTGAAGGCAGTCTGCTGAAGAAGTCTCTCTTGCTTGGGGGAAGCCGGTCTTTTTTGTTGTCATTCATGCCTTCAACTCATTGGATAAGGTCCACTCACACCCTGGAGGACAACCTGCTTTATTCAAAGTCTGCCGATTTAAATGTTAGCATCATTCAAAACACTCTTATTGAAACACTCAGAATAATGTTTGAACAAATATCTGGGCACTGCATGCCCCTGCCAAGCTGACACATGAAATTAACCATCACAGGAACATCCAAGATCAATGTGGAGTAAGAAAGCGAGTCTGAAAAGTAAGATCAATAGCTGCCTTATCCTGAAAGGCTGTGTTTGTCTTGTTCATTAACTTTTTCTCATTGTCTAGTAGGGTCCACAGTATAAAACAAGTGAGAAATAAATACTGGTTGAAGGAATGAAATAAATATTGGTCCAAAATGATCAAAACCTTTTGACATCTAAGATGTAAGAAGTGCTTTCATTGCTGTCTCTTTCATTGAATCAGACCTTGTCTAAGGAACAGTCAGTTTCTGGACCTGAAATTCACTCTATCTCTTTAATCTCCAGGAAAACCTAGAGAAATAGATGGTAAATTCCAAATGGCTGGTTTCAGGTTTCTCTTGGCAAATTGAGGTAAGAAATTTTTCTATCCTTCTATTTCTCTGTGACCAATTAAGTGCCATGATCCACAGTTGGCTTCACTTAGGTAATTCAAAGAAGATAAGTAAACACATCACACCACAAGCAGCAGTTACCTGGTCCACCTGTTGGAGACTGTAGCTTCAGAGCGGTATTGATAGATTGATAGATTGGCTAGTTTCTGCTCCTGGGTCAAACTGCAATAGAATTTGATAACCAATTAGCCTCCAAGCCACAGGAAGCTGATTCTTAGAGCCCCATTGCTCAAAGCAGTTAATTTCAGAAAATGGTGCATAAGAATCACCTGGGAAGCCTGTTAAAGCTACAGACTTTTGGGCCTCAACAGCAGAGATCCAGCAAACCTGAAATGAATCTGCATTTTGAGCATGCATCCCCAGGAGATGCTAATATATGAGATGTAGGGGACACACACAAGTGTGCAAATGCACAGGCACACACACACCTGACTTACATAAGGGAGAACACTAGCTCACTTAAGAACCTACTCAATTCATGAAGAAAATGTTAACACACGCTGGGAAACTTGCTATTACCTGATACTATTTGTTATACTTTATTGTTAATGTCACTAACAGTAATATCTTTCCTTTCAAAAGACTTTGCTATTTCAGAAGCACTACTATTAGGTTGGTGCAAAAGTAATTGCAGTTTTTGCCACTACTTTCCATAGTATAACCACAATTACTTTTGCACCAACCTAATACTTACATATCATCTTGCCTCATCCTCCCAGTTACCCATTATGAGGTAGGCTGAGAGAGGTATAAGTCTCCCCACTGGGGCGGTGAGAAACAGACGGATTAAGGTGGTACTGATCAGCTAATAAGTGGCTGAATGATGACAAATTACTTGAGAACAGCAATATTATTTTTGTGTGGTCCCAAGAGTAGATATTAGCCAAACTCTGGAACTTCCTTTTGTCATGCCAAACCCCTATTAACTCCAATCAGGATGGCAACAGGTTCAAGAGGCCAAAGAAGAGACCCAGAGCCAGCAAACGAGACATGGGGCTTTACTGGGGGCTTAATACAGGGGAGATTGTCCGGTGGCAGTGGGCTGGACAAGATAACTGCATGGCCCAGGGGTGGTGGGCTGGGCAGGAAAACTGCAACAACTTGCAAACAACCTGCAGTTTATACAGCATTTTCACTTAACACCCTCCTCTTAATGACCTCCATGTGACAACCTTCATTTAACCCAAAACTCAGGGCCTTTATCCCCTGTACAACCATGTTACCTGGGATGGGATGGGGGTTTAGCTGTTCCTCATAGACAAGGAATGAATCTCCAGGTTGGCCACTCCCAGATTCCCTAGCTCAACACACATTCAGGTGCATCTGCTTAGGATGTGCTTAAGTTATTGCTGTCAGGTGCCTTTACCGTACACCTTTCCAGGCCCAAATTTAGCTTCATTTGTGCCAGGTGCTACCTGTTTCCAGCGCCTTCGAAAGGAGAGCACAAAATCTTTTCTTGGAAAATCTATCAAGACAATTCCTCTCCCATCCTAGTCTGAACCCTGGCTCTGTACTTTGCCTGTTTCTAAGCTTCTGTTGGTTTCAATCAGGATTGTTCCCATCCTTTTCTATGCTTGTGCTTGCTCTTTAAGCCTTTGGTGGTCCCTGGGTCTGTGTGAGCCTTTGCCAATACTCAGGTATCATTTCTCCAACTCCATAAGACACTTTCGTTTTGTTACTCCAAGCCTCTGAGGGTACCCCTCAAAACTTCTCTCCAGAATGCAGCTTTGCCTCTAGCTTGAAGGCCACTTTTGTCCCACCCAGATGGCAGATAGCACTCTAGAAAAACTGAAAATTCTCTTAATGGGAAATAACACTTTCTATTAGCAGAGAACACAGCTGTCTCATCTTTTGCTGTCATACACAGAGGCTTTTACATGCCACTTTGCCTGGGAAAGTCCTATTTTATGCCTGGTGCTCAAGTGTGATTATTAATAGCTCCCTCTTTCACTCTTGGAAGTGTCTTAGATTGGACGATAAATTAGATGACCAGCCTACTCATTTGACATCTCTCCCCAGGAACTCAGCTCCTATGTTTTAGAATAACTGATGGCATTTGGTGCCTCTCAACACTGGTTTAGGCAGCAGAATTATCCAGGGATCTTGTTAAAAATAGATTTAAAGCCCCTGTCACTCCCCTCACACCAAAAAACTACAACAGCAGCATTTTTGGAGTAGAACTAAAGAATCTGTAGTTCGAGAAAGTTCCCAGATGATTCTCATTGTGTTCTTCTACAGACCCAAGTTTGGGACCTACTCCTCACTTGCATTTCTGCTCTACCCCTCCATAGCTGTGTGACCTGGGCAGATTACTTAATTGCTCTAAATCTATTTCCATTGGTGAGAGTAGGCAAACTGCTGTAAAAAGCACTCTGAGAATCTTGGTGGCTTAACACAATATAGATTTATTTCTCAGTCATATCACAAAACAGTGCAGGCTGGAAGGGGTTTCCATCTCAGATGGATATGCAGGTCTAGACTCCTTCCATCGGGCTCCATGCTCTCCTCAGAGTTATCTGCTGGATTTTCTAAGCCAAGCTGGAAAAGAGAGAGCATGGAGCATTGTACAGAAGTTTTTATGAGTCAGGCCTCGAATGGCATGCATTACATCCAGCCATAGTCCACTGGACAAAATTCAGTGACATGGTTGCCCATAACCACAAGGAAGGATAGAAAATTGTCATCTGGTTATATGCTTAGGAGGAAAATGAGTGATCAAATAAACAATTATTCAATCTCTGCCGTAGACCCCCAATCTGGTCATCAAATATTTGTGTAACCTTCCTCTTGTAGGCAATCCAAAGGAGACAACCCCAAAGTCCCTCAAAACCCCACCCAGTCTCTGCACCCAGATTAAGTCTAGGATCTCCAAGGGCTGCATGGTCCCCTCCATCAAGTCTAGATGTGACCTCTTCTAGTCTAGAGATCTGTCACTTTGGATTAAAAAACCAATTTACCTGCTTCCCATTCCCCCTCCCCCATATAAACCCAATATACTATGATGGGTTAGGGGCAGGGTATTCTCAATAGAAACTCTCATTTAGAAAGGGATAGAAGAGAGATGTAGCAACATTGGCCCTTATCTAGACAGTCAGTAAGAAGGCTCCCTCCCCTGGGGTAGAAGAAGTAATTTAGTTACAACGTAATTCTGCACTCTGGGAAGAACTCCTTTGTCCTTCATTCTCTAGGGCCCCTGGTTTGGCCCTTTGTGGTGTTTTTTCTAGTTGATCATTTCTTTGTCCCTGTCTGAAGTCTGGAGAGCCGCAGTGTATGTGCTTATGGAGTTTATGTGCTTGGAGCTTTTATAGGAGTGAGGCAAATCTGGAAGTCCAGGTGTTGTTTTGTACCTTGGAAAGTCCAGGCTCGTGATTTCCTTGGCAATAGAATGCTTTCAAACACTTCCTAGGCTTCCAGTGTACTTTCTACCAGTCAGTCCCACGGGCCAGTAACAACACCCAAAGTTCTTTCCTAGATGTACTCCTCAAGCCTGGTTTCTTCCTTTCCTTCTTCATCTCCATGATTTATTCTCTCTATCTCTCCTTAACAGTGGCCACCTTGAAGTTGTCCAAAACAAGATGAAGGAAGGACACACACCTAAAGTGACTTTTTTCTTAAAGGGCTAAGTCACTCTGTTCAGTTGAGGAATGTTACTAGATCTTTGTCACTCAAGGTCTGTATACATTTTACCTTTTAGGATCAAGAAGCAGTTAATTCTTTCACACCTGATGTCCAAAATTTCTGGACTCCTTCTACACTCTTCCACTGTGGCTCGTAAACTGGCCAGTTTGTTTAGCTTACCTTTTTTCTTTTTTCTTCTTCGGGTAGTACCTTGTCAAGGAGAGCTAATAATAGTCATACTCTCACTAACACTCTGTTATTTTCCAACTATTTCCCCTGGAGCTACAGCTTCAGTGCACATGTAAACTCTGTGCAAATTAAGCGAGGTGACAGTTTTACCAAATGTTTCACCACTGCATAATGTAGGTTGCCATCTTTCCAGCCTTTGATGTCAGTTTTCTTGGTGTCCATTACTCAACTGCTAAGCCAATGTCACATGTTTTGGAGTTTTGTTTTGAAAGACCCCCATACTTCAAGGCATCGATATAAGTGTGCTATCTAATATAACAACCAGAATAAATATTTATTTCTTGCTTATATTGCCAAGGTGTGTTCTATTTCACACATTCATCCTGGGACTCAAGCTCCTTCTATCTAGTGGTTCTAAGTTTCCCATGGAGTTCCCAGGCTTTGGAGTTTTCTACTGGAGTCTGCCTTCATTCAGTAGGTAAGGAAAGAGACATAGGTTGGAGGATTGGGTGAGGGGTTTTTATGGGCCAGTGGAGTACACCACTTATCCCCTAGCCTTATCTAACTGCAAGACAGCCTGGGTTGTGAAATTTGTCTGTATCCCAGGGAGAAAAGAGAAGTGGTTTGATAAATAACTGATAATGAAGCAGTCTTTGCATGCTTTATCTGTGAAATGGGAATAATAATAATATCTACCTCAATGGATGTTGTGTGAATTACATGAAATAACTAATGTATGTAAAAAACTTAGTTCAGCATCAGGCTCACAGTAAATGCATAATATATATGCTTATTTTTAGTTATTATCATGCACATTTTCAATGCTGGCTGAAATTAAACATTCTGCATAAGATGTCTCTATCTAGCTTGAAATTGTTGAGCTCTCAACTACTCAACTGCTCCATTATGAAAGAAAATCTATCAAAGGTGAATTCCTGCCTCAGAGACAGGGCTATTCTAGGGAGTTCACAAGTCACAGACATTAAACTCTTTCAATAGAGAGAGTCACACCAGTGAGAACAACCCGCAGAAAGTCATTCTACAGGAAGAGCCAGGACAGCAGGCTTCACTGTGGTCCAGAGTAAGAGGATAGATGTCAAGAGAAAAGGTATACACTGCTGAAATTCTGAGCTAGAAATTCCACTCAGAGAAGAGATTAATCTTGAGCCCCCAGCTGTGTGCCCGGAATGTGAGTAGAGGGCATGAGAGAACAGGCACACCACCATTGCTATGTACAAAGAGCCTGGGACCTGGACCATTAATTTGTTATGTATTTGGAAGACAATGGTTTGTTTCCCTAGGTCTACCCATGAAAGGCTATTTTGCCCATTAGTTAGTGAATTTAGAAGGATTCAAATAGATGTAATGATAAGAGTTGATAGCCCTGGTTTTCCATTTTAGTTCTTCTACCAGCCAACTGTGTGGCATTTAAAAAAAAATCATTTTAACCTTCAGATTCTAAGCTTATACCTATTAAATGAAATAATGCCGTGGTGGATTTGTATCGTGTCAATTTAGCTAAATTAGAGCTATGTTTCCCAGAATTTCTTTCTCTGCACAGTTCTAGGTTAGCTTGGCCATAAGAGACATTCTGTGCACAATTTGCAAGGCAGAAGTGAAGCAGAAGCCATATTTATCTCAGGCTCAGATTTGGTGCAAGACACCAGGTGCTGTTGTAGCTCATGAACTTTGTGACAGCTGATCTGATGACTCACCTTGATGGCACAGTGTGGCAGCCAGGCCTGTAGCCACTCTAGCTCCTGCTGAATCTTCCTTCAGCCTCTCCAGCAACTGAGTCATGTGCTTGTTTAGCTTTGTGATGAAAGGTCCCAGTTTCTCCTGCAGATCATGCATCATCAAAGATGAAGGCTTAGAAGGAGCGTAAGACCCATGCAAGTTCCAGTCTGTCCTTTGGTTCCAGCTTATCCTTAAGGGTTTCAGACTGTCTTTGTTCTCCTCCACTTCATGTCTTGCTTTTCTTCTTATATTAGCTGTCTGTTGCTGGACAACAAAGGACCCCAGATAAGAAGTTTGAGACAACAAAATTTATAATTTCACATGGTTTCTTAGGGCCAGAAATCTGAGAGAGGCCTAGTGGGTGATTATGGCTCAAGGTCTCTCATGAGGTCTTGGTCAAATTCTTGGACAGGGCTGCGGACTTACTTGGGCCCGGAGAACCCACTTCCAAGCTCCCCCAGTGTTTGCTAGCTGGCTTGTGTTCCTCGCTGGCTGTTGGCCAGAGATTTCGGTTCCTTGTCACGTGGGTCTCTCCACAGCATTACTACAACGAGTCAGGTGGCTTCTTCCAGAATGAGTGATCCGAGAGAGAGAGAGAGAGAGAGAGCAAAAGAGAGTGACCAAAACAGAAGTCACAATTTATCTTATAACCCAATCTCAGAAGTGACATGCCATCACTTCTGCTGTATCTGTCAGTCACTCAGATTGCTACTGGCACCATATGAGAGGGGACTACACAAGGGTGTAAATACCAGGAAGCAGAAATCACTGGGGCCATCATAGAGGCTGACAGCTGCAGTTCCCTAACCCTTGCCCTACTCACTTCAGGACCCAGCACCAGATGCAAACAAAGCAAAACAAAACAAAAACAAACAAAAAACAGTCACACATACATTGTTTAACCAGATCCTACAATTGCAAAAGGCTAAATCCCCATAAAAATTCCTTATTCTTTATGGCTCCTAGTGGTCCTGCCTCTCTGACTTAATACAAGTATCTCTAACTGATACAAGTATTTACTTCACAAGATTCTTGTGAAAATGAATTAATAGGCTGGGCACAGTGGCTCACGCCTGTAATCCTAGCACTTTGAGAGGCCAAGGCAGGCAGATCACTTGAGGTCAGGAGTTTGAGACCAGCCTGGCCAACATGGTGAAACCCTATGTTTACCAAAAATAAAAATAAAAAATTATCTGGGCGTGGTGGTGGGCACCTGTAATCCCAGCTACTCAGGAGGCTGAGGCAGGACAATTGCTTGAACCCAGGAGATGGAGGTTGCAGTGAGCTGAGAGATTGTGCCACTGCATCCTAGCCTGGGCAACAGAGCAAGACTCTGTCTCAAAAAAAAAAAAAAAAGAAAAAGAAAAAGACAAAAAGACAGAACATGTGTTAATAATGTATATTCTTATATTCCAGAAATATAAATTGTTACTATTATTAGACTCTAGCCACCACATATAACCATATCTGTGGAAAAATACATCAAAGTTTCCAACTTGGGATGCTAGGAGCACATGTCCTCCCCTTCCTATTAAAGGATCTATTTCCCAAAGTCTTTGGCTGAGAGTGGAGGAAACTTAGGGCCAGAACTTTATGTGATATGAGTTTTGGGGTCCATGGCTTCTTTCAATAGAATCCACAGAAATACTTCCTTGGCCAGGCTGATTCCCAGGCACCTGCTTGATTTTCTTTTATTTTCACCAGTTGAAAAACAGGACTTGAGAACCCTAGAAGCTCAGAGTCTGGAGAGGTCTGTGATCATCTAGTTCCACTCTGGTTTTCCTGTTCATGAGTCTCAGGCTAGCCAGGGGGCAGACCGTCTCTGATGATAGTGCTCAATAGAGAAAACAGTATGGCACTTCCTCAAAAAATTAAACATAAGACTACCATGTTATCCAGCCACTACTGGGTATTTATCCAAGAGAACTGAAAGCAGGATCTCGAAGGGATATTAGCACTCCCATGTTCACTGCAGCACTATTATTACACTTAAAAATTTGTAACCATTCCTTTGTTTAAAAAAATCTATTAAATAATATAGGATATGAATGAGTCTACCTCATTCACCCAAAAATAACACTGTAATAATAAAATTTAATATTTTCTGAGTACTTACTAAGTCCTACTCCCTATGCTAAATGCTTTACATATAGTATCTTAACTACCCTTTATAACAATCCAATTAAATAGTAACTGTTCTTGACTTTATTTTACAGCTAAGGAATCCAAGACTTGCCCAAAGTCACTTACCTAAAATGCTAGGGCCTGGGTCAAGCCTGGCTGTTGGCTCCCTCAGAGCTCTGTTCTAACCATGTACATTCCTGCCTCATAGTGGAATGCCTGAGGAATGTGAAATAAGCAACTCCCACCCAGGCCAGGAGAAGAACCTGCCTTCTATTGACCAATGCACAATCCAATCCCAGGGACAAGTCCTTCCCAATAACCACACTCAACCAGTCCACTGTGGTTCACTTCTCTACCTTTTTGGCTGTAATCACTGAGGACCATGCCTTAACTACCTCAGTGTCTAAAAGGCTGTGACCCAGAACCTCACCTATTAACCTATATAAACATGCCATTGTTTTTCAGGAAATCCTTTAGGTCATTACTAGGTGAGGGTTTCTCTCTCTGTCTCTCTCTCTCTCTCACACACACACACACACACACACACTCACACACACCCCTGCAGTGTTTTTTCTGACCTTTTTGTCATCATAATTACTAATTTCAATTCTTAATACAACTTGGTATCCTCCAACAATCTCTGAGAAGTTGCTGTTGTTTTGTTGTTTTATTTTATAACTCCTCCTCAAAAATCTTTATTTTAGACTTTGAACCTCATACTACTTTCTTTTTAAAAACATTCTTGATTAATTTATTAAAATTATCATTTGCAATACATCTTCAAAGCATTTTCTTTTCAACAGGAAACTTTACTAAGCAAATATTAAATAAAAGACATTATTATATGAAGAATAAATTGATGTATGTATCCAGATCTCTGCCATGTATAGTCATTAATATCTGGAAAATCTTAAATAAATTGACAATTCTCTCTCCATCTGGGATCAATTAAAACCCAGCGACATCTTCAATTTCCTAGTTGACAAAAATCACCCCATCCTGAGAGGACAACCTTCCCCACTCTCTTCCCCACAAGATTGCTGACTGCCATTGTTATTCTGCCTCTCCAAAATTTCCACTTTCATTGTATGGCAATACATTATTAATAGACAGGATCTGATTAACTTTAAGTTAATGGGATCGAAAGCTTAAAGAAGGCCTTACTTGGGTCTTAAACTTAGAAGACCAACACTCCACTGTTTATAGTCTGTGGATAGAATCCGTTTTCTGCAGTTTCCTCATCATCAACACTGGGACTTATCCAATTAGATTTATATCTATGTAACCCATGGTACATTTTGAATCTTTTGTTTTCTTTTTCTGCAGACTGTGTCCACAGGTGAGCTTTTATAGGAAGAGGAGCCGTCTCTTCAGGAATTAGATGAATCTCTTTCATTCATGATCCCAGGAGCAAAGGTGGGACTAGGTGCCAAAACAGGAGTTGGTAGAGTTGATCTGGAAAGACACGACAGCATTATAAAAAGCAGATTATTGTGAAGCGAATCAAACTTGAGCTTCAGGGCCTGTCACTTGCTTTGGCTGCTTTCAAGTTTCTGAGAGGGACCCTAGCCATTTTTATTTGTCCACTTGTACCATTTTTCTTAAAGATTGATCCCCTCTCCAATGTTATAAGATTTAGCCCCCCAAATCTGTATGCATTCTTAGGTATTGCACTCCACACTAAAAAGAAAAAGAAACCCCTTGCAAGGGGAGGTAGTTCCCTTGCATAATCAGAATTGGACTCAGAATATGTGATCAGAGCCCTGGATGAATGAGGTGGGAGGGAGGGCAGGGGATGCCATCCTGAGAAATCAACAGCCTGGCATGGGAGGTCCCCCATATGGATGATAGCCATGACAGAGTACATACTCATAAAGGAGCACCTTATTAAGGCCCTTCATGGAGGACAGCCCCAAGGTGACCTGAGGCAGGGAAAAAAGAGCAGGAGAGCAGGGGCTCTGGCAGTCAGGAGAGAGCCCTGTGGGCCCAGTGGTCATCTCTTAACTCAAAGTCATCTTGTTTCGTGGAGTTTCAAAATTTCCAGTAGGTGCCCAGATGGAGGAGGCTGCATGGCAGGTGCTCTGCCCCCCAATTTCCACCTGAAAAGCATAGCTCATATCTGTCCTGTATACTGGCGTTCTGAATAAAATTTCTGTATGGGAAGAAAACAATTTCATTTCTTTAAAACTCCAAATAAAGCAATGATGTCAGGGTAATACTTCTGAGAGACTGGGAAACACAGAGGCATATTGTAGAACTCAGGTCTGTTGATGCAATTTCCTATTCATCAAATCTTTCTCTAACATTAAAAGTCCTTATAAGAAAATACTTGATTGCTCTGTAGAGTGTATTTTTCCGGATTTTTGGCTCTAGCTAGTGTAAAAACCTACAGAATATAACTAGGGAACTCTTTCACAAATAGATTATACACAATTGGTAAAAATTTGTGGCAATAAGGAAGAAGATGATATTAAGAGCCTCCAAAATCAAGATCGTGGGCACATTTTCTATATATATCCTCCCTTTTCTTCTCCCCAGCATACCTGAAGAAGAATTTGAGCCACTTGTTTTCCATTTTCCTTCTTGCCTGTAATCTCCACAGATTTGCAACACTGACAATTGACAATTCTACAGCAATTACTGCAAGGTTATCCTACTGTAATAATATTTCTTTTAAATGACTGCCAATAAGTTATTATTTGAGTCTCTATCAAAGGGACTGGGATTTTTTTTTCCAACCTGTTTCTAGCCATGCTTCATTTTCTTTGCCTTCTAGTCTCTGGAAACAATTCCTAAGAAATAAACAATAGAACACACTGAGAGGTAATGAGGATAATATGTTAAGAAAAATGTGAATGCATCTTAGAAGTCGAGTCTATAATTAAATATAGCCCGCTGGTTAAGGTTTAGTTGTTTCAGCAGTTTGGAAAGACATTTGCTAGTAACACAGATGTGCCAAAAGGTTTCTCAAGTAAATACTGACTTCAGTCGATAAAGCCTGACATTTCCTCCAGCTTTTCTGACACTAGTAAGACACTGGCTTCATAGTACATGCGTGAAGATGGAAGGGTAAATAAGCTAGCAGATGGCTAATGACAGTGCAGGATAAAAGCAGGGAATAGTCCACAGAGGATAGTACTTTCCCCAAGGCAGTGGTTCTCAAACCTGGGGTGGCATTTGGAAAGTACAGATTCCTGGCCAGGTTCTGACTCAGAAAGTTTGGTAGATTGCCCAGAAATCTGTATACCTTTAAAGTCCCCAGGTACATTTGATATACAAGCAGATTTGGTGAATCACAGCCCAAAAACTCCTACTACAATTACAACTGTTGGCCCAACACTTACGTCAGTAGAGCTCATGGGGGCCAAGATGGAATAAGACTTGAAGGGCGCATTAACCTTGTGTTCTGCAAAGGAGGTCCTTCAAGGATAGGGTGGAAGCACAAGGCCACTGTGTCCATTTCTTGCATAAATAGTGGAATGTATCCTGCAGGCTGCCAATTTGGCACCCATTTGGAACATTAAATTCACTTAGCAAGTCAGAAAGGGAGGCTTTTAAAATAACACCATTTTAGTTAGGGTAAATTTCAACTGACGGTGCCCATGTCTCTTTATTGTAAACAGCTGTGGTTGCTCAAACACTAACCACAGCACATAACTACACCTTGTATTTTCAATATCAAGGATCTAAAAGTTCTTTTGAAAATCAGTCAATTGACCATCCTTAGGAAATGCCAACTATAGTCAGAGTAACAGATAAACCAGATATACCGCTATAGTTGCTCAAACACTAACCAGAGCACATAACTACACCTTGTATTTTCAATATCAAGGATCTAAAAGTTCTTTTGAAAATCAATCAACCATCCTTAGGAAATGTCAGCTATAGTCAGAGTCACAGATAAACCACTGGAGTTAATCAGACGTGGGTTTGAACACAGGTTCAACCTCTTGTTGGCCATGACCATGGACACAACCCCTTAGTCCTTGTGCTCCAGTGCTCTGCTCTGTGAAGTGGTGGTAACAATAGTATTTACCATACAGGGTTATCATGAATTATAGTAGCATATGGCAAAAGATAAAATTACAACAAATTTAGTTGAAAGATCTCAACTGGCTTTATTTGCAATTCTAGCATCAGGTGACACCTCATTCCATAAAATAGAAAGTGTTCCAATGAGCTGAACAAAGAGGTTGGCTTACAGACACAGAAGGACTGAAGAAAGCAGAAACAAAGAACTAAAAGTGGATTGGTCATTTCAAAGTGACTTTCCATGTAAGGTGGGCACAGAGCGACAGGACAACAAAAAGATGATGACTGGCTGGTTAACATTAGGTTACTTCAGGTTAAAACAGAAAGAACTTCCTTAAGCTGACTGAAGGTGGAAACTGGCCTGTTTGAGAAACTGGCTGTTATCTCTTTCCTGATTTCTCCCAAGATCAGATAACAACTTAGTTTAGGTTTGATGACATGAAACTTTAGCATGAGTGACTCAATTTTCACTTTTAGTCTGGTTCATGTTAAGGGCTAGTGCAGGAGCTTAGTCCAAAACAATGGCCTTCTCTACTTTTTATTTAACACATAATACAAGTAGAGCTCCTAGGTCACTGCCTGGCACATAGTAAGCAATCAAAAGTGACAGCTATTAGAATAAAATAATAATGATCATTATTATATTTGACACATAGCCACATGATAATGATAACTATGGTGGGGCCAATGGAGATTGTTCTTACAACCCACCAAATCCACCTCTGAGGATGTTTTTGTTTGTCTGAAAAAAATTTTATTTCACCCTTATTTATTTTTAATTTTGGGGGGTATATACTAGGTGTTTACATTTATGGGGTACATGAGATTTTTGATATAGGCATGCAATGTGTAATTATCACATCATGGAGAAAGGGGTATTCATCTCCTCAAGCATTTATCCTTTGTGCTACAAACAATCCAGGTATACTCTTTTAGTTACTTTTAAATGTACAATTAAATTAGTATTGACTATAATCACCCTGTTGTGCTATCAAATACTAGGTCTTATTCATTCTTTCTATTTTTTGGTACCCATTGACCTTTCCCACCCCCCAACACCCCCACTATGCTTCACAGCTTCTGGTAACCATCCTTCTACTTTCTAGATCCATGAGTTCAATTGTTGTGATTTTTAGATGCCACAAATAAGTGAGAACATGTGAGGTTTGTCTTTCTGTGCCTGGCTTATTTCATTTAACATAATGATCTCCAGTTCCACCCATGCTGTTGTAAATGACAGGATCTCATTCTTTTTTGTGGCTGAATAGAGCTCCATTTGTACATATATCACATTTTCTCTATCCATTCATCTGTTGATGGACACTTAGGTTGTTTTCAAATTTTGGTTATTGTGATCAGTGCTGCAACAAACACAGGAGTGCAGGTATCTCGCCAATACACTGATTTCCTTTCTTTTCGGTATATTCCCAGTAGTGGGATTGCTGGATCATATGATAGCTCTATTTTTAGTTTTTTGACTCCTCTGAGGGTTTAAGAAGTAATTAGACATGGTGCTCTTCAGTGTTAAGTTTATTTAAGATGGTTTGTGAAATAACTTAGGGCAGAGAGGGAGCCATCAGCTCTCCCTCAACATAATAAAGCTGACAGAAGTATTTCACAAGAAAGAGAGTCAAAGCTACAACAATAGGAGGAATAACAACTTCCCCTGCAGACTAAAAGGAGGGAAGTTGGGAAAGAAATTGATCTTCATGGTAGTGTTTGATTTGCAATACATTCAAGGAAACTAGCCAGTCTGGAGAAGAAGTCCACTAGTTCCCACCTCTCCATTCATGGGTCAGATCATAAGGGACAGGCAGACATAGGGATGGTGCCCCACCATACCACCATTAACATTCAGTGATAAAGATCGTGAAATGTACAATACCTGAGAGAAGACCTGGAATTTATTTTCCATAAGGAAGGCATCCTGAAGGCAGGTGGGGAGGAGTGAAAGGGCAAGGACCTTTAGAAGTAGGAGGTAAATAGAGATTTCAGGAACAAGAGAAATCTGCAAGGTACCCTCAAATTGCCTGGGAAACATGAAGGTAAAGTAGGCCTAGGCAGATGAGACCTGGCACCTTGTGTGATCCAGAGAGGCCATAGAAATAACCTGGGGGAAATGCCAATTCTTCCTCCATCCTCTTTCCCACTCTATGCAACTTTGGAATGACCATTTAAAGACCTTCATTAAAAAGGTCTTGCATCTTATTGAGGTCCAGTGTGGGGTTACCCCAGGGAAAGTCAGGTGTTCCCTGTGACTGTTCCATGGGTACAATCCCTATGGTGGACCATGGGGCAGCAAGAAGTGACCATCCATAGCCTGTCATCTGGCACTGCACCTTCCCCCTTACCGCAGGACTGCCCTGGCTCTTCCAAAGGGATAGCTAGAGACACACCCTTTTGGACCAAAAAGGGAGAGCCTTCTTTACATTAGGAGTTAATTGGTAGTTTTCTGATAGATGCTATAGGACCTAAAGGCAGCACAAACTATGTTACAGGTAAAGCCTTTCCAAAATTCAAGTAACTAAACCTCTGAACACATTACCAAAGATATTTGTGAATTTTCCACTTATGGAAACTTTCAAATACAGTTGTCCCTTGGTATCCATGGGGGATTGATTGGTTCCAGGAATCCTGCATATACCAAAATCCATAATGCTCAAGTCCCTGATAAAAAATGGTGTATTATTTGCACATAACCTACACACATCCTCCTGTATATTTTAAATCATCCCTAGATTACTTATAAGACCTAATACAACGTAAATGCTATGTGAATAGTTGTTTTACTATATTGTTTAGGGAATAATGACAAGAAAAAAGCCTGTACATGGTCAGTACAGATGTAACCACCCATTATTTTTTTTCCAGCCACAGTAGGTTGAATCCAGGGATGCAGAACACATGGATACAGAGGGCCATCATCTTGAACAGTTTAGATTTTAGTCTTGCCTGACATAAGAACTTACACCCCTTGACCCCTCAGGTGTCCATAGCTTCAGCTCTTTGTGCTTATGAATTACCAGCAGAAAAAAAAAATGCAGAAAGTGACAATGTCCAAAGCCAATTCACATAATTATCTCCTTTTATCCTCAAAATCATGTTATGAGCAAATGAAGCAATTGAGATTCACAGAATTTAACTTGACCCAGGTCACAAAGCTTCCACTGAGTGTTAAACCCACACCCAAAGCTCCTGACCCTAATCTCACACCCATTGACTTTGCCAGGGAGGCAAAGGAGGAGTCAGCAGAGGCCTAAAGTCTCTTCATCTCTTCAACATGCTTCCGGGAGGTAGGAACACGGAACACAGATGCAGCCCAGACCACCGGTCTGTGTGGCTTTAACATATTTGAATTAAAATATAAAAATTCACTTATCAAATAGGTTTTTTGTTTTCTTTGAGACAGGGTCTCACTCTGTCGCCCAGGCTGGTGTGCAGTGGTGCAGTCATAGCTCACTGTAGCCCCAAACACTTGAGCTTAAGCAATCCTCCCATCCCAGCCTCCCAAGTAGCTGGGACTACAGGTGTGCATCACCATGCCCAACTAACTAAAAAAATTTTTTTGTAGATATGGGGTCTCACTATGTTGTCCAGGCTGGTCTCAAACTCCTAGGCTCAAGCAATCCTCCCACCTCAGCTTCCCAAAGTGCTGGAATTACAGGCATGAGCTGCCGTGCCTGGCCATAGATAATTTTTCACAATACTTTTTTGTTTTGTTTCTTCACTCAAATAATTATTGGCCACTTTATTTACCTCAGTATTCCCTGACTCCCTTCTATGAAGAGTATCATGCTAGATGTTGTAATCCAGGGTAGAGGTGGTTGTTTCAAGAAGGATGGCTGGATATTGGGATTTTGAACAGGAACATGGGAATTCAGTCAGTAAGGCAGAGTTTATTTCAGTGGAGATGCGCTGCCCCAGGACAAAGGTGTGGTTGGACAGGTAGAATGAGCTTGTGTCATGGTCAAACATAGAATTCAAGCTACGATCTTCAAGATAGCTTGAAAGGTAGTGTGGGCACCATGCAGATCAGCAAACAAAGATCAGCAAACAAAGGGGATCCTAAACAGAAGACTGGGCAGGCTTCAACCACTGAGGTAGACAGAAACCGTGTTGCTGCCACCCTAACACAAGACCCAAGCCAATGACCCCTGAGATCTGCTTGGTTAATACATCTTTTAAAGTAGGACCTGCATATGACATCTGTTCTAGTTCCCCAGCATCAGATTAGGTGGGGTTCTTCCCTTACTACCAGTACCCAGTGGTACTGATATGTTCTACAAATGTATAGGGATCTCTGCTGGTGTGTGTGTGTGTGTGTGTGTGTGTGTGTGTGTGTGTGTGTCTGTGTGTCTGTGTGATACAGAGACAGAGACAGAGAGATAAGAAGAAATGGCCTCTCATGGGGGCCCTCAATTTCTGCAGTTCCTCCAATCCCACAGCCTCAGAACCGCAGAGAATCCTTAGGTTCAGTCCTTGACTCCTTGGTCTTTGTAAATGTCTTGTGCACCTTGAAATGCTCAGCCATTTCGCTTGCAAGAAACAGAAATAGAAAACTGGTGGAGAGGAATGAGAAATAAGGTTTGAAAGGTAAGATTTGGGCCAAATTATGGACACCCAGGATGACGGGCCAAGGGACTGTTTGGAGGAACATTGTTTTTTCTTTTAGAAATACATTTTGGAAACCATTAGGGATGTTTAGCTTCTTGTAAACCAAAGGTACATGTGGCTAACTGCTAGTCAGCCAAAGATTTTATTATCATTTAAACATCATCTTTGTACATTTGCCACAATTTATGCAAAGAATGCATTCCCCAAAGATTGTGTTCAGTCACATGTTGTAAATCAAATCATATTTTAAATGTACTCAGGGACTTTTCTATTTAAAGAACCCCTTATTAAACATTTTATCTACTGAATACACACACACGTATTTAGTGTATTAATATATGTATCTGTGAGAGTGTGGGTATGTGTGTAAATAGTAAATTTGTCTTGGCTTAAAATTGGATACAACTGTGGTTTACTCACTCACTAAATTTACCATTTACTAAACTCTTGCTTTGCTGTCCTCTCCAAGGGTTTAATGCCAAAGACAGTAAAAACCACTGCCCTGAATATCTGACATATTTTCAGACAGGAAGACACCAGTTCATTGTCATCTACTTCATACCCACATAAGCTACTGTCAGCAAGATACCTGATGTGTAAAATGTCTAGTGAAAATGTGTTTTATTTTTAAGGGTATAAGAGGGAGGAGAGAAAGAACTGCCTGGATGTTCTCTGGAGGTCTATGTGGAGTATTGTTTGTCTGTTTTGAAGGACTCAGTGAGCAGGTGAAATGGGGAGGGGAGGGAGAGGCTGTTCAAGGCAATGACCTGCTGGTGGGAGGAAGAGATTGCTAAATCCAGCTCAGAGGACCTCCACAGATCACAGAACTGTTTTACTTCTAGACCTTTCTGAATTGCTCAGCTAAACCGACAAAAATGGGTCTCTTGTTTTAATTACCCAGCTCATTGCTCCAGTTTCCCGTTTTGCTTTGTCAGCAAGAACCTTTCCCATATACATACAAGCACCGCCCACATTCGCATGCAAGAGCCATCTGTTTCTTCTGCATCTGGCACAGCTGGCCCTTCTATGAATATTTTTCTGGTCATCTTGAACCTGAACAAGTCCTTTAACTGTTCGAGCTCAAGGCTCTTTCCCACAAGACTTTTTATTCTGGAATAACTTTTCCCAGAGCACAGATGAGCAGTTTGCAAGGGAAATAAAAATGCTGCCAGAGCAGAAGTGGGGCCACGGCCCATCCTACCTGTACTGATTCTGCACGTTCACAAGCTCCAGGCTCATCTCCACCATTTCCCTCTCCATGCATATTCATTGTCCATCACAAACTATGAACTGCAGGGAGAAAGATGTTTTGCTGGTAATAATTGTGCAACTGGAGACTGTTTACCAACCCTGAAACAAATTAATGCCAAATCCGAGGTTATGTTGATGTGGTGTTTAAAAAATACATTTAATTCAGTCCAATGACTGAATTGATTAACTAAATTCCATTGATTAACTAAAATTCTGTCACCAGGGTTGACTGTTTTTTTCACAAAATTGACTGGCTCTTTAGTGCCTTATTGACACTTCCTGTGAGTAGTTTATCCTCACAGTGAGGATTTACTCCTCCTTCCCAAACCAAACATGAGACCTTGAAGAGTTCAGGAAAACTAAGAAAAGAACATCGAGATCTGTGGAAAGAGTAACTGGGGAGGGAGGTAATTTAAACGAATGCTTTATTTTTGATGTTTTTATTTTTTGCAAATTTGTGTTTGGAATCAGAGAGTTTAAGAATACGAGGCCAGGCGCGGTGTCTCACGCCTGTAATCCCAGCACTTTGGGAGGCCAACGTGGGCTAATCACAAGGCCAGGAGTTCGAGACCAGCCTGGCCAATATGGTGAAACCCCATCGCTACTAAAAATACAAAAATTAGCCAGGCATAGTGGCAGGCACCTATAGTCCTAGCTACTTGGGAGGCTGAGGCAGGAGAATCGCTTGAACCCGGGAGGCGGAGGTTGCAGTGAACTGAGATTGTGCCACCACACTCCAGTCTGGGTGACAGAGTGAGACGCCATCTCAAAAATAAATAAATAAATAAAATAATAAGAATTTGAAAAGGAGTGGGTCTCCATGCACCAAGCAGGGATACGAATAATCTAAATTTCTAATTGAATTAATTATATTATCACATTCCTTTCCAAATATTCATTCCATCATTGGCTTTCAATCAAATAGATCCCTATAGAAAATTTCTATACTTAAAGCCACTTCTACATAAGAATGAGAGCCTGATATTTTAATAATAACATATTATCTTATATAATTCATAACACTAGCTACCATTATAGAATACTTAATCAGTGGCAGGCCTTGTATCAAGCACTTTTGCAAACATTATCTTGTTCAATTACTCTTCACAACAACCCTATGATATCTGAATTTCTAATCCCATTTTCCTGATGACAGTAAGTAAAGTGTGATACAGTAGAGGCGTACTTCAGAGATATTGCAGGTTCAGTTCCAGACCACTGCAAAAATCAAATATCACAATAAAGCAAGTCACACAAATGTTTTTTGGTTTCCTGGTACATACTAAAGTTATGTTTACACTATACTTGTCTGTTAAGTGTGCAATAAAATTATGTCTAAAACAATAATGTACATATCTTCATTTAAAAATAATTCATTGCTAAAAATGCTAACAATCCTCTGAGTCTTCAGTGAGTTGTAATCTCTTTGCTGGTGAGGGGTTTTGCCTCCATGTTGATGGCTGTTGATGGATCAGGGTAGTGGTTGCAGAAGGCTGGGGTGGCTGTGGCAATTTCTTACAATAAGATAACAATGAACTTTGCCACGTTGATTGACTCTTCCTTTCATGAAATACTTTTTTGTAGCAGAAGATGATGTTTGATAGCATTTTACCCACAGTAGAGCTTTAAAAATTGGAGTCAATCCTCTCAAACTCTGCTGCTGCTTTACCAACTCTGTGTATGTAATACTCTAAATCCATTGTTTTTAATTCAGCAACGTTCATAGCATCTTCACCAGTAGATTTCATCTAAGACACCACTTTCTTTGCTCATCCATAAGAAGCAACTAATAACATGCTCAAGTTTTGCCATGAAATTGCAGCAATTCAGTCACATCTTCAAGCTCCGATTCTAATTCTAGTTTTCTTGTTATTTCTACTACATTTTCAATTACTTCCTCCATTGATGAATTGAAACCCTCAAAGTCATCATCCATAATGTTGGAATCAATTTCTTCCAAACTGTCATTAATGTTGATATTTTGACCTGCTCCCATGAATCATGAATATTCTTAATGGTATCTAGAATGGTGAATTCTTTCCAGAAGCTTTTCTATTTACTTTGTGCAGATCCATCAAAGGAATTACAATCTATGGCAGCTACAGCCTTACAAAATGTATTTCTTAAATAATAAGACTTGAAAGTCAAAATTATTCCTTGATTATGAGCTACAGAATGGATGTTGTGTTAGCAGGCATGAAAATAACATTCATCTCATTGTACTTTTCCATCAGAGCTCTTGGGTGACCAGGTACATTATCAATAAGCAGTAATATTTTGAAAGGAATCTTTTCGTTCTGAGCAGTAGGTCTCAACAGTGAGCTTAAAACATACAGTAAGCCATGCTATAAGCAGCTATTCTGTCATCTAGGCTTTGTTGTTCCATTTATAGAATACAGGTAGAGTAGATTTAGCATAACTCTTAAGAGCCCTAGAATTTTCAGAACAGTAAGTGAGCACTGGCTTCAACTTAAAGTCAACAGCTGAATGAGCCCCTAACAAGTGTGTCTGCCTGTTTTTTTAAGCTTTGAAACCAGACATTGATTTCTTCTCTGCAGCTATGAAAGTGCCAGATGGCATCTTCTTCCAGTAGAAGGCTTTGTCTATGTTGAAAATCAGTTGTTTAGTGTAGCCACCTTCATCAGTGATCTTAGCTGGATCTCCTGGATAATGTGTTGTAGCTTCTACATCAGCACTTGCTGCTTCACCTTTCACTTTTACGGTATGAAGGCAGCTTCATTCCCTAAACCTCACAAGCCAATTGCTGCTGCCTTTCAACCTTTCTTCTGCAGCTTCCTTGCCTCCCTTAGCCTTTATAGAATTAAAGAGAGTGAGGGCTTTGCTCTGGATTAGGCTTTTGCTTAAGAGAATGTTGTGGCTAGTTTGATTTTCTATCCAGACCACTAAAACTTTCTCCATATCAGCAGTAGTGCTGTTTCACTTATAATTCGTGTGTTCTGAAGTAGCACTTTTAATAATTATTATTATTTTTAAGACACAGTCTTGCTCTGTCACCCAGGCTGGAGTACAGTGGCATGATCTCAGCTCACTGCAACCTCCACCTCCTGGATTCAAGTGATTCTCCCATCTCAGCCTCCTGAGTAGCTGGGATTACAGGCACACGCCACCATGCCCAGCTAATTTTTGTATTTTTAGTAGAGATGAGTTTCACCATGTTGGCCAGGCTGGTCTCAAACTTCTGGACTTGAGTGATCTGTCACCCTCAGCCTCCCAAAGTACTGGGATTACAGGCATGAACCACTGCACCTGGCCTTAATTTTCTTCAAGAATTTTTCCTTTGCATTCACAACTTGGCTGTTTGGTGCACAAGGCCTAAGTTTCACTAATTCAGCTTTTGACATACTGTCTTTACAATCCTTAATCATTTCTAGCTTTTGATTTAAAGTGAAGGACATGTGACTCTTCCTTTCCCTTGAACACATTGAGGCCATTGTAGGATTATTAATTGGCCTAATTTCAATATTGTTGGGTCTTAGGGAACAAGGAGGCCCAAGGAACGGGAAAGAGGTAAAGAAACAGCCAGTTGGTGGAGAAGTCAGAACACACACATTTATGGATTAAATTTGCCATCTTATGTAAATGTGGTTTGTGGCACACCAAAAAGATTACAACGCAACATCAAAAATCACTGATCACAGATTACCATAACAGAGACAATAATAAAATTTGAAATATTGCTAGAATTACCAAAATGTGGCACAGAGGCTGGGTGTGGTGGCTCATTCCTATAATCCCAGTGCTTTGGGAGGCCAAGGTGGGAGGATTGCTTGAGGCCAGGAGTTCAAGACCAGCCTGGGCAACATAGCAAGACCCCATCTCTACAAAAATAAAAATTAAAATTAATTAGCTGGGCATGGTGGTGCACACTTGTAGTCCTAGCTACTTGGGAGGCTGAGATAAGAGGATCACTTGAGCCTAGCAATTCGAGGCTTCAGTGAGCTATGGTAGTGCCACTGCACCTCAGCCTGGCTGACAGAGTGACACCCTGTCTCTAAAATAATACAAATAAGTAAAATAAACAAACACAAATTTTTTTTAATGACATGAAGACACAAAGTGAGCATGTGCTGTTGGAAAATGGCACCAATAGAACTTGCTCAACACAGGATTGCCACGAATCTTCAATTTGTAAAGGATACAATATCTGCAAAGCACTGCAAAGCAAAGTGCGATAAAACAACTACACCTGTAGACAGGACTTATTTTGGTCTGCTTAGCTTTCCTTCCCTTGAGAATCAACCTTTCCCCTAATCTGTAAACCACTAGGGTTTCCATCTCAGCTTTATCAAGACACAGGACCACGGGAATAGGCACATGATCAGAACAGGCCAAGTAGAATCCCTATCCTGAGAACTTAAATTTGAATGAAGATGCATCCCAGGACTCAAAAGCGGCTACAGTGGAGTTGTCAGAGCTGAGTATCCTAAAGATATAAGAGGCTTAATGTCACTATCAAGATCCTTGGAACTTTCCTAGACTCTGTCTCTTTACACAGCTTGAGTTTCAGCTCTTCCTTTTATTCTGTGAATGACCCTGTTCCCTCCCAACAAATTCCTTTTGGAGGTATTTATGTTAGCCAGAGCTAGTTTCTATTCCTTGCAATTCAAGAACAGCACCAGATATGCTTAAACAGTTTTTGTAACTGCTTAGGTCTGAGAGCTATGGAGTGGCAAGGTCAGGATTTTTTTTTTTTTTTTTTTTTTTTTGTCTTTTTCAGACAGGGTCTTCTTCTCTTGCCCAGGCTGGAGTGCATGGGCATGATCATTGCTCACTGAAATTTTGAACTCCTGGGCTCAAGCCAACCCCCACCTCAGCCTCCCAAGTACCTGGGACTACAGACACACACCACTATGCCCAGCTACATTTTTTTTATTTTTTGTAGAGATGGGGTCTTGCTATATTTCCCAGGCTGGCCTTGAGCCCCTGGCCTCAAGCAATCTTCTCACCTTGGCCTACCAGAGTGCTGGGACCACAGGTATGAGCTACCATGCCTGGTCCCAGGTCAGGATTTTAACTAGGGCCTCCATGACTACAAAATTCCATGAGTAGTCATTGGTTATGCTGATTCATTTACCCTGTTATGTGTATCTCATGGCTTTAATTATTCTTGTAACAACAGGTTTTGTCAATTTTTGCTTTTCCACTAAAAACTTTGGCCAGTTTCTTACTAGTAAAACACATCAGCCAATATCATGGTTGTTTTGTTTTGTTTTATTTCTCAAAGCACTTTAGTAATACTAGTCCTATAATGTTGGACAAATTACTTCACCTATGTGTCTGCCTCCTCATCCGTCTGTGACATAAAAGGGGGAAAAATGTCATATAATTGCAGGCTACCTTTTAAGAAGGAAGGATGCAGGTCATTTGAGGGTCCTCTCTTTGCTGAACAGGGATGAGGAGTGAGACAGTTGGGTGAGCTTAGAGTTGCTGAGACATATCTAAACTGCCCAAAGATGGAACAAAGACCATCCAGGAGCCTGGGCCTACAGATGGGGGATAAATGAACTCCACAGTTTTCAAACTTTTTTCACATCCATGTGTTAAAACTTTTTGAGCATGCACCCCCAATAAAATACATTATTTTTGTAAATATAAACATGTACTATGGAATCATTGTCATATGTTATAAAATATATGCAAAAATAAAATGTAAAAGGATACATTAAAAATATAAACTTGTTACAATATTTTATTTCTGCAGCAGCATGATTACTTTGTGCACCTGCTAGAGTATTATCCCAGGCTGTTTTGCATTGCTATACAGAAATAACTGAGACTGGGTAATTTATAAAGAAAAGAGGTGTGATTGGCTGATGCTTCTGCAGGCTGTACAAGCATGGTGCCGGCATCTGCTTGGCTTCTGGGAAGGCCTCAGGGAACTTTTACTCATGGTGGAAGGTGAAGAGGGAGCAGGCACCTCACATGGTGAAAGCAGGAGTAAGAGAGAGAGTGTGGGGGAAGTGCCACACACTTAAAAAAACAGATCTCACAAGAACTCAAGGCACTATCGCCAGGACAGCACCAAGCTCATGAGGGATCTGCCGCCATGATCCAAACACCTCCCACCAGCCTCCACCTCCAACATTGAGGATTACAACTTAACATGAGATCTGGAGGGGACATCCAAACGATATCAGGTACCCATACTTACTTTGGACACCACTGACCTGGGGATCAAGAGAGAACATCCCTATAATAACTCCATGGGCCAGGCACAGTGGCTCATGCCTGTAATCCCAGGACTTTGGGAGGCTGAGGCAGATGGTTCACTTGAGGCCAGGAGTTCAAGTCCAGCCTGTCCAACATGGTGAAACCCTGTCTCTACTAAAAACACAAAAATTAGCTGGGCATGGTGATGCATGCCTGTAGTCCCAACAACTTGGGAGGCAGAGGTGGGAGGATCTCTTGGGCCCAGAGGTTCAGTGGACTGAGGTTGCAGTGAGCCGAGATCACACCACTGCACTCCAGCCTGAGTGACAGAGTAAGACCCTGTCTCAAAAAGAAAAAAAAAAGACATATTAAAAAAAAAGAAATAACTCCTGACAAATTTCTTTTGGACCATGATTTTTGCTGAAGGACTTTTTAAGGACTTTTTCTATCTCTGAGTTTGCAGGTAAAAGTGGTGTTCATATTACTAATTTTAAAAGTGGTGTTTATATTACTAATTTAGCATGTAGCATATACTATTTTAGGTATATTTTCCTATTAGATTGTAACATTCTTATGGGCAAGGGCTGTGTCCTGTTGCTGGAAGTCAGGGATCCCAAACGGAGGGACCGGCTGAAGCCATGGCAGAAGAATGTGGATTGTGAAGATTTTATGGACACTTATTAGTTCCCCAAATTAATACTTTTATAATTTCTTATGCCTGTCTTTACTGCAATCTCTAAACATAAATTGTAAAGATTTCACGGACACTTATCACTTCCCCAATCAATACCCTTGTGATTTCCTATGCCTGTCTTTAATCTCTTAATCCTGGCAGCTGAGAAGGATGTATATCGCCTCAGCACTCTGTAATAATTGCATTAACTGCACAAATTATACAGCATGTGTGTTTGAGCAATATTGTGTTCGGAATTGGTGGGTTCTCGGTCTCACTGACTTCAAGAATGAAGCCGCAGACCCTTGCGGTGAGTGTTACAGCTCTTAAGGCGGCGCGTCTGGAGTTGTTCGTTCCTCCCAGTGGGCTCCTGGTCTCGCTGGGCTCAGGAGTGAAGCTGCAGATCTTCACAGTGAGTGTTACAGCTCATAAAAGCAGCGTGGACCCAAAGAGTGAGCAGTAGCAAGACTTATTGCAAAGAGCGAAAGAACAAAGCTTCCACACTATGGAAGGGGACCCCAGCAGGTTCCCAATGCTGGCCCAGGCAGCCTGCTTTTATTCTCTTATCTGGCCCCACCCACATCCTGCTGATTGGTAGAGCCGAGTGGCCTGTTTTGTCAGGGCGCTGATTGGTGCGTTTACAATCCCTGAGCTAGATACAAAGGTTCTCCACGTCCCCATCAGATTAGTTAGATACAGAGTTTCCACACACAGGTTCTCCAAGGCCCCACCAGAGCAGCTAGATACAGAGTGTCGATTGGTGCACTCACAAACCTTGAGCTAAACACAGGGTGCTGATTGGTGTATTTACAATCCCTGAGCTAGACATAAAGACTCTCCACGTCCCCACCAGACTCAGGAGCCCAGCTGGCTTCACCTAGTGTATCCCGCACCGGGGCTGCAGGTGGAGCTGCCTGCCAGTCCTGCACCGTGCGCTTGCATTCCTCAGCCCTTGGGTGGTCGATGGGACTGGGCGCCGTGGAGCAGGGGGTGGTGCTCATCGGGGAGGCTCGGGCTGCACAGGAGTCCATGGAGTAGGTGGGAGGCTCAGGCATGGCGGGCTGCAGGTCCCGACCCGTGCCCTGCGGGAAGGCAGCTAAGGCCCTGCGAGAAATCGAGCACAGCGCCGGTGGGCCAGCACTGCTGGGGGACCCAGTACACCCTCTGCATCCACTGGCCCAGGTGCTAAGTCCCTCATTGCCCAGGGCCAGCAGGGCCAGCCGGCCGCTCCGAGGGTGGGGCCCGCCAAGCCCACACCCACCCAGAACTCCAGCTGGCCCACAAGCGCTGCGTGCAGCCCCAGTTCCTGCTTGCACCTCTCCCTCCACACCTCCCTGCAAGCTGAGGGAGCCGGCTCTGGCCTTGGCCAGCCCAGAAAGGGGCTCCCACAATGCAGCCGCTGGCCGAAGGGCTCCTCAAGTGCCGCCAAAGTGGGAACCCAGGCAGAGGAGGCACCGAGAGCAAGCGAGGGCTCTGAGGACTGCCAGCACGCTGTCAGTCACCTCTCAATATGAAATCTGGGCACTTTGAAAAAAGAACAAGATAACAGCAATGTTTAGGAAACAAGAGAGATAACCTTAAACTCTGACCGCCAGTGAGCTGGGTGGAACAGAGCCATATTTCTCTTCTTTCAAAAGCAAATGGGAGAAATATCACTGAATTCTTTTTCTCAGCATGGAACATCCCTGAGAAAGAGAATGTGTGCCTGCAGGTAGGTCTCTAAGCTGGCTCCCCTGGGCGTAGCTGTCTCTTATGATCGAGGCTGCAGAGATGAAATAGACTCCAGTCTCCCATAGCGCTCCCAGGCTTATTAGGAAGAGGAAATTCCCACCTAATAAATTTTGGTCAGACCAGTTGATTTCAAAACCCTGTCTCCTGATAAGATGTTATCAATGACAGTGGTGCCCGAAACTTCATTCGCAATTTTAATTTCACCTCGGTCCTGTGGTCCTGTGATCTCGCCCTGCTTCCACTTGCCTTGTGATATTCTATTACCCTGTTAAGTACTTGATGTCTGTCACCCACACCTATTCGCACATTCCTTCCCCTTTTGAAAATCCCTAATAAAAACTTGCTGGTTTTTGAGGCTTGTGGGGCATCACGGAACCTACTGACATGTGATGTCTCCCCCGGACTCCCAGTTTTAAAATTTCTCTCTTTTGTACTCTGTCGCTTTATTTCTCAAGCCGGTGGACACTTAGGAAAAATAAAAAATAACCTACGTGAATATCGGGGCAGATTCCCCGATAGTGTCCTATTTATTTTTGCATTCCCAGTGTATAGCTCTCGCGCAGTACACAGCACAAGTAAGTGCCCAATAAACAATTGCTTAATTTAATAGGCCCCTGCTTCCTCTGCATCTTTCTTTCCAGAGTTGCCAGCCCAGATACTCAGTCTTCTTTCCATTGGTAGGGCCTGGGCCACCACTGGGACAGTGTAACTGAGACCTTCAGAGCCTCACTTGCCTAGTGTCCCAAGCCCAGCAGTTCTGCTCTTAGCCCAGGCTCACTGAGCAACTTGCCGTAGAGCAAGTGATCAATCCATTTTAAGCACAAACAGATGCATATAGTTGAATATCAAGAAGTTAGCCTTAGGCCTGGAAGAAGGAAATTATTAAATAGCAATATCTTAAAATCTATCTTTGCCTTTGGATACAATCTCTATTGGAGGAAAGGGCAAGGTTTCCAATATAGAGTTTCTGAATTTATTGTGCAATGCAACAAATACTAAAGTGTTACCTCCAGGTTCTCCCCGATAGTTATTTTAAAAGAAACCTCTGTGGCAGGAGGATTCCTCCGTGGTGAATTACATTTCCTGTGTCTGTAGTTATTTGGTTTTGAGGCACTTAACATTTTACAATCGAGATCTTTAACTGTGCTCAGGTCAGGAAATAGTGCATATGTTTCTTAGTTTCTCTAATCCCTTGACTATTTATTATTAGAGTTCATGGAGGCAGAGGTCGCATCTCACATTTTTGTGAAATTATGCAATTCAGTCTTCCTTGGCGTCCCACAAGAAGCCTGGGAAAACTCGAATTTCAATCCTTTCTTGTTCCCCTAGAAGAAAGTGGAATTCTATTCTTTTGTCCTTGCTGTTTTCCCCCGACAGAGGAAAGAGTGTTGTACAAGAATAATTCAGAAAATTCAGATAATAATTGGACACTACATTTATATCCTCGGGGAGCGAAAAAAATTAATCAGATTCCCAGGGCCAGAGACATTTAATCTGTCTAATTTCAAGGACTATTCTCTCCTCACATATTTTCAAATGTTGAAACAAAGGAATGTCAGACCACATCCCCTGTCTGGTGAAAGAGGTGGAACAAACCGAGCAGGAAAGAAGAGGGAAAGACAACGTACGCGGAGAGGATGGAGGAATGGAAAATGTGGACACTGCAATCCCATGAATAGATGATTTAACCTGTGATAGGGACTATTTCCTTTGACATGAGATGTTAGTTCTGAATCCAGAAGGCTCGCTCATTGAGGCTAGAGTCCTCGGGCAGGCAGCACTCAAGGATTTGTTCAAACCTCCTCTCCTGCACAAATGCTGCCTCAGCTGTTTGTGGTGGGCACTTTCAGATGCAAATGTAATGTTGGTCGCTCATTGCTAATCTCACTTGCTATTCTAGTTGCTCCTCTGTCCAGGAGAGAATTGGCTGGAACACCAATACTACCCCCACAACATGCAGTGTCACGTCTCTGCGCCTACTGCACTTAAAAAAAATAAAGAAAAGAAAAAAGTCTTGATAGCATTTCCCCCTCCCACAGGGCCAATTAGCTATGGACTTTCTTTTGGCTTGATACTATTCAGTGAAAACCAACCACATGGAACCCCCAACCCCTCCCCTCCCTGAAGTTTTCTAAGAAATTCACAATGCACAAACCAAGGGAGCGTCTTTCCTAGGGTGAGTTTTTCTCTCTCAATCTGTGGACGAAAATATTACTGCAGCATTTATGCTTCTGAGCCTTAGCTTTTCCCTCCCTCTTGCACAGAAGACAATTGCATTCGTCCTCCTGAGCTTGGAGGAGAAGAAAATGTTCGCCCTAGTTATGTTTGGAAATTCTCTCCTTGAGTCCTTGAGCTGGATTTGGTTCTGATCATGGACAGATTTGCAATGTGAGTTTGAGTGGTCTTCAGGGCTGTCAGCAAAATAATATCACTCCTTTGTGAAACAGTGACAGGCTATACAAAGAGTGTGGCCTATTTTATCTCCTCATGCTGGCTGCCAACTTTCTAAAAAAAAATTTAAATATTTTCCCATAGAATATATGCTAATTGAAAAAATACATGTAACATAAATAAGCCAAATAAAGGAGCAGAAAGGATCAAACCTAATTCCCCTACTTAACGTAACCACTATTCACACTTGATGTGTCTATCTCGTCTCTTATTTACATGTGATTTTTCTTTTTTTAAAAATACTGTTTTATATAGACTTTTTAAGAAAAATATTCTGCATGTTTCTCATGTCAGATATTTTTCTGGAAATTCACTTATAAAGCATTGTTTTTGTTTGGCCTTATGAATAGACCCTAATTTACTTAACCAATCCCCTATTTTGAGGACATTAAATTTTTTGTGGTTGGAAAAACTTCTTTGGATAGAATCTGAATTTTTAACACATTTATGATAATTTTCTGAAAATCAATTACTAGCAGTAGAATTTGCTATTCAAAAGTAAACAAAATGTTTTTTACTCATCCCCAAATTGCTTTTCAAAAAGATTATATCAATTTACAAGGCCACCAGCTATGTGTGAAATTATTTTTAACCTCTGGCATTTTGACAGGCACCCACTAGAATGCATCCTAGTGCTTTAATTTGCATTTATTTAAATAGATAATACACTAAGTATTATTGCTTTTGAATGCCCATTTGTAGTGCCTCTTTTGTGAATACTCTATTTTGTGAATATTTTTACCCAGAGTCCTCAGATGAACAACATGTGTGGAACTGACTATTGAGAACTGAGTGTTTTTCATATTGATGTGTCAGAACTCTTTACATATTATATGCTGAAAGGTAATCTATATGTTGCCATTATTTTTCCTCAGTTTGATGTTTGACTTTCAATATTGTTTTATTGTATGGAACATATAAAATAATTTCTATATGTTTACTAAAAAAATGTAAAATACAGAGAAGCGATAGATAAGTGAACCACAATCACCTAAATATCACCACCCAGAGATAACTAAGACTTGCAGACATTTTTATGGTTAATGTAATTCAAATCATTTCAATATTTTCTTTTATGGTTTTTATCTTTCTTGTTATTCTTAGAAATATATTTCTTACAATCACCTGCATTTTTAAATTCACTTTTTATTAATATGTAAATGTTTAATTTATCTGGAATAGTTTTGGTGTATGGTATAAGGTAAGAGTATAACTTGGCATCTTTTTAATTCTCTTTCTTCTGCCCAATATATTTCTGTCTAAAAAGTTTATAAATGAGCCCTGGCAACATAGCGAAACCCCGTCTCTACAAAGCAATTGAAAATTAACCAGATGCGGTGTCATATGCCTATAGTCCCAGCTACTCAGGAGGCTAAGATGGGAGGATCATCAGAGCCTGGGAGGTCAAGGCTTCAGTAAGCTATGATCACACCACTGCACTCCAGACCCTGTCTCAAAAACAAACAAACAAAGAAAAAGCTTACCTGTGTAGCTCTTTCTTGCTGTATAAGTGTGGAAGAATCAATAGAAGGAACTGTGAGTACACCAAATAATTCTGCAAAAGCAAGAAACTGTGCCAACAACAATGAAGACAGATCAGCATGAGTGGTCATATATAATGACCATGTCAAAGGGGGTCCAACAATGTGTGGTGCAATGATGGAACAGCCACAGACGCCAGGAGGTGAGCTGCCTGTTCAGTCCATCACTGGCCCTGTGCCTTTTCCTCTACCACCACCACCTACTACCCCCTTCTAGGAGGTAAAAACACAAGCCATTAAGGGAAAATGGCATTAAGACATAATGAAATATGTGAAGCAAAGAGGAAATTTTCATGCCCAGGACTTAATGGGCATGGTATTAGATAGTTGAGACACCAGGGGAGGTATCAGACTTTGTCCTCTGCCATCTCTGGATGACAGAGTAAAAAACTATGGTTCTTTGTATAAGGAAGATTATTAGTGGCTTTCTCATTAAATAACTTCCCTTTGCCTACTCCCAGTTGCACAAGAGTTACATAGTTTTATGATTTAGTTCAGATTAACTGCTTCACCCTCCCTGGCTCTGCCCATGTCTCTGTTTTAGGAAACACTCCCAGCACTGCTCCATCTAGAATCCCCTCCTATTTGGTTGGCTATCTTGAACACTAGCCCCAGGCTGTTCAATTAGAGGCCATGTCCATTCCAGTATCCCTCAGATGAACATAACTCTCCAACTCTGTTTTTGTCTTCCCTTCTGGACTTTGATACTAACACAGCACTATCTACTCCTGACCTGTCAAGCTCTTACCACATCACCTGCTGGGCCTGATGCACACCTCAGTCTCTCTCCCTCTTGGCCACATGAGCCTTCCAGGAGCCAAGACTGGATGCTGACTGACCACTCCTCTTTATTCTAAACTTGTCTGTAAGTGATGGGGAGATTTCCAAGAAAGTTCGAATAAAACCTTGAGCTTATTGTCACCTCTGTAGAAATTCACAACAATTTTTTAAAATGCTTTCTTTATAAAGTTTTTTACCCAAGTCTTTTTGGGGCTAACTCCTTTTTTTTTTTTTTTTTTTTTTGTTTCAAGTGTGTTCATGATTGCTCACTGAAGCATTTTTACAATGGTTGCTTTAAAATCTTTGTCAAGTAATTCTAACATCTTTGTCATCTCTCTATTGGCACCTACTAATTGCCTTTTTTCAGTCAGTTTGAGATCATCTAAGTTCTTGGTATGACAGGTGATTTTTGGTTGAAATCTGGACATCTCAGTTATTATGAGACTCCAGATCTTACTTAAACCTTCTGGTCTAGTGGGCTTTCTTTGATCCTGCTCCAACAGGAAAGTGGGGATACCACCTTGTTACTGCCAGGTAGGGATAGAAGTCCAGGTTCTCCCTCTGGCCTCCGCTGGCACTCGAGGGGTTGCTCCTAGTTACTGATGGGGCAGGGATGGAGGCACTGGAGTGCTTCCTTCCTACTCCCCATGTGGCCTCCACTGGTGGAGGGTGGGAGGAACCTCTTTAAAATGAGGCAGTGGTAAAAGCCTGGACTGTCCCCTAGGCCTCTTCTGACACTTTCCCAAGGGAGGGGGAAGGATGCATTTTGTATCGCCAAGCAGAAATCAAGATTTCAGTTCCCTACTACACCTTCTTGGGCAGCATCCCCATTATGGGGGAGAAGCTAGGGCACCTCATTATAGCCTGCTAGGGGTGGAAATCTGGGCTCCCTACTTGGCCTTTGCTGGCATAAGCAGAGTGCGGCCACAGTGTTTTCTAAGGTGGAGTACAGCGATTCTTGTCTAAAAGTCTGTCTTGCCAGGCTGTCCTTTTCCTAGTCCTTTGGTTAGGGAAAGTAGGCTTTTCTTAGAGCTTTTGGTTTTTATCTGTGCCTATTGGCATTTCTGGGTTGCCAGCTTCTTCAGATTCAAAAAGAAAACACGGTCATTCCTTGGGTCCTGAGGTCCTTAGCCAGTCTGCCTTCTGCATACCTTTCAGAGCCATCTTATGTTTGTTTTATATATAATGTTCAGGATTTTTAGTTGCATTTAGTGTAAGACATACCAAAAAATATGTTCATTCCATTTTTCCGATCACCTTTTGTCTTAAAAACAAAAACAAAACAGATAGATGCATACACAGACACACACACACAAAAACACACACACATGCACACATATATAAATGTATAATTCTTATCATGGGAACAACAAAGCCCATGCTTTTTTCATCCAGTTTAATTTTCCCTGATATTTAAGTAAATATGAATAGTTTGTGTTCAGAAGAATTCTCATTCAGGAAGAGTCAAAATCAGCTAAATATGGATCATCACTCTGTTTCAATGCCTAATTAGACTTGTCACTGTCAGTCCTTCCTTGGTTACAAATCATCAGTAGTTCTTATAATTATATCTTTGTAATGAAAGACAGAGTGCTTCTCCCTGATGCCAGCAATTCCAAGCAATATCAAAGCAACTAAGTACTCACATGGAACTTATAAAATATCAAGGGGTGTGTGTGTGTGTGTGTGTGTGTGTGTTTGTACACACATGTGTACATATCTTACATATATGTATATACTTACTGATACCAAATGTTTAAAGTCATGCCAAATTTTTTTGAGTATCATTTTAGAAAGAAGCATAGTTTGTGTCTTCTTTATAGAAACAAAATTGAGAAATAAAATGTAAAGATGTCTCCACCAAAGCATATTTGATCAGGGTAGAGCTTACCTGAAAAGCAGGCTGAGTAGTGAAATAAGTACCCCATTGAGGTTGGGGGCCTCGATTTGCTATTAGAATCTCAGCCAAATGTATTTGAATTAACCAGTTGTTGGACTGAACTGAATTAGCTCCTCAGCTCAGTTCCATATCCTAGACCTAACTTTTATGTCTCTCAGGACTTTGGTGGTGGTGGAGGTGGAGGGCCATTAAGCAATGACAGAGCTGCAAAGAAAAAGATGAGAGGAAAAAAGAAAGAGCCTCCAAGACCGAACCTGGGTGTCATCAATACTGAGTCATCAGACCTGCATTACAACGGTCATTGGCCTTCAAGTTGCAGTAGGAGCATTTCCTATCATCTGTCCACTCACTTGGGAGGCCTAGCACTAGAGGAAAATGAGGAAGCAAAGAAGTCTTCTGTAGAAGTATATCTCTGATTGTGGCAAAGACAGCATCATCATCCTTGTAGACAGCTTTGTGAGCATTAAGGAGACCAGACTTTCCCCATATGGCAGCTGCATCCTGTTTCAGGCCCTGAAAAATCTAAATCGAACTTCACACAGGATATGTAGAATAAATAAAGAGACATTTGTGAGAGGCCCCATTTCATGTCTGCCTTGATGCAGATCCTTCAGTTCATCCTCACTTACTCATGCATTCACCAGCCCATACAACTAGCCCAGGAAAGTCACACAATTAGCCCAGGAAACCCTATCTCCATCCCAATTTCAATACTACCACCCTGTTTATCCCCCAAATACTATTGTTTAGGTCCCAAGACAGCCAATATTGCTTGGCCCTGTGGACTTGCATTTTGCACATGGCTGCTAGGGTTTAAAATGCAGCTCTTTCGGAAACAATCTGACCAGGTTTGCGTTCCTGGCTCTCTACCTCCTTGCACCACTTCCACCACACAATGGTACTTCAGGTAGGACCTCACCCCAGCTCCTCACCCATAGAAGCCAATCCTTAGCCTGAGCTACCTGCCCCACAGCTGACTACATGTGGCCCTGAGCAAGAGATATACCCTTTCTGAATCTCAACTTCTTCATTTATAAATGGTACATTATGCCACTTCAAAGACTTCTTTAATGTTTTGATAAGATATTGCATGCAAAGTATTTAGCACAGTTCTTTGTGCATAACAAGCCTGTGTGTGTGTCTGTGTGCTTATCCATATTTGAGATGGTATCAGAATTCTGTTTCATTCTAGGCTTTACTCACTTTCAGAAGGGCATTGATAAAGTAGAGTATCCAAAAGAAAATCAGCCTCAAGATGGAGAAAATACTAAGAACCATTATTGAACACCTGTGTGCCAAATATTATACTAGCAAACTTGGTAATTTTGCCATTTATTCTTGACAAAAGCCCTAAAATGTAGCTATTACTATCTTTATTTTCCTAATAAAGAAACTGAGACAGAAATGGGCAACTTGCCCAATATTATAGAGTTCAGAATAGCAGAAATGGAATTCAATCCCAGATCAATTTGATTCCAAAGCCCATAGTCTTTCTACTACATCACTCTGCTTCCTGCCATACGATGTAAGAGAAAAGTGAGGGGATTAGAAATATTTACCAGGTCATCAGGGTGTGAGAGGGAAGGGTGCAACATTGAGAAATCTTCAATAGCTCATCCTACTCTGAGGTTCTGTGATCTAATGAACACCAGGACATGGAACCAAACTAGAGGAAGCTGTGATGTGTGGCCCTGATGCAGATGAGGTTCTAGTTTCAGCATCTTGACTTTTGGTATTTTCTTTTCCCGCAAACTTTACTTTTCTCTCCCTGTCATAAAAAAGTTTCCTTTTTCTTCTGACACAAGCACAGCACATTAATAAAGTGCTGATTTTCAAAGGAAATGGTCTCTATTGTTTAGAACTGCTGGGAAGCCCCTGCAAGTAGACATGCTGACCAGACAAATAAGCTGAAGAAATAGTACCTGAGATGGCTCCTAAGTAGTGATGATGGAAATAAAAGATAAAGAATTCAAAGCATGGATTTCAAGGAAGCTCAATGAGATCCAAGACACCACAAAGAAACTTCTAAAGCAATTCAGGAAATGAAGGAAGAGATAAACATCTTAAAAAGAAATCAATCAGAGCTTCTGGAATTGAAATACTCATTTAAGGAATTTCAAAATACAGTTGAAAGTTTTACCAATAGACTGAACCAAGCAGAAGAAAGAATTTCAGATCTGAAAACTTGGTTTTTGAACTATTCCAGTCAGACAAAAATGAAGCAAAAAGAATTTTAAACAATGAACAAAGTCTACCAGAAATACAGGATTATGTAAAGTGACCAAACCTATGAATTATTGGCATTCCTTAGAGAGGAGGAGAAAAAGTAAACAAATGGGAAAACATATTTGAGGGAATAATTCAAGAAAATTTCCCTAATCTTGTTAGAGAGGTAGACATCCAGACACAAGAAATCCAGAGAACACCTGCAAGACACGGTGCAAAGCAAATATCGCCAAGGTATACATTCACCAGCCTGTCTAAGGTCAACGCTAAAGAAAAAATCTTAAATGCAGCTAGACAAAAAGGTCAGATCACATACAAAGGAAACTCCATCAGGTAAACTGTGGACATCTCAGCAGAAACCTTACAAGCAGAAGAGATTGGGGACCTATTTTCAGCATTCTCAAAGAAAAGAAGTTCCAAACAAGAATTTCATATCCCACCAAACTAAACTTCATAAACAGAGGGAAAATAAAATTTTTGCCAGACAAGGAAGGGCTAAGGAAATTTGTTACCACTAGGGCAGCCTTACAAGAGATCCTTAAGGGAGTTCTAAACATAGAAATGAAAGAACGATACCTGCTACTACAAAAACACACTTATGTTCATAGCCTACAAATCCTGTAAGCTAATCACACAATAGAAACTAAAACACAACCAGCCAACAACTTCATAATAGGATCAAAACCTCACATGCCAATATTAACCTTGAATATAAATGGTCTAAATGCCCCACTTAAAAGGCACAGAGTGGCAAGCTGGATTGAAAAAAAAAACAAACAAACTCATTAATCTGCTGTCTTCAAGAGACTCATCTCATATGTAATGGACACCCATTGGCTCAAAGTAAAGAATTGGAGAAAGATCTATTGTGCAAACAGAAAACAAAAAAGATCAGGTATTACTATTCTTATATCAGATAAAACAGATTTTAAAACAAAAAACAGTACCAAAAAATGTGGGGGGGGGGGGGGGGACAAAGAAGGGCATTGCATAATGATAAAGGATTCAATTTAACAGGAAGACTTAACTATCCTAAATATATGTGCACCCAATATTTGAGCACACAGATTCATAAAAAAAATAATTCTAGACATAAAAAAAGACTTACACAGCCATACAATAATACTAGGGGACTTCAACACCCCACTGAAAGTGTTAGATATATCATCAAGGCAGAAAACTAACAAAGAAATTCCGGATTTAAATTCAACTCTTTATCAGCTGAAGCTGATAGACATCTACAGATTATTCTATTCATCAACTACAAAATGCATGTTTCTCTCATCTGAACATGGAATATATTCCAATATCAACCACATGCTCAGCCACAAAACAAGTCTCAATAAATTCAAAAAAATCAAAACCAAATCAGCCTTATTCTTGGACTACAGTGGAATAAAAATAGAAATCAATACCAAGAAGATCTCTCAAAACTACACAATTGCATGGATATCAAACAACTTCCTCTCAAATGACTTTTGGGTAAACAATAATATTGAGGCAGGAATAAAAAAATTATTTGAAATAAATGAAAAAAGAAACAGAACATACCAAAATCTCTGGGATGCAGCAAAAGCAGTGTTAAGAGGAAAGTTTATAGTGCTAAATGCTGACCTCAGAAAGTTAGAAGATTTCAAATTAATGATTTAACATCACACCTAAAGAAACTAAAGAAGAACAAACTAACCCCAAAGCTAGCAGAATAAAATAAATAACTAAAATCAGAGCAGAAATGAACAAAATTGAAACCCCAAAATCCATACAAAGAATCAATGAAATCAAAAGTTAGTTTTCTGAAAGGAAAAAAAAGATTGATAAACTACTAGCTAGATTAAAAAAGAAAAAAAGAGAGAAGATCCAAATAAGCACAATCAGAAATGACAAAGGTGACATTACAGCTGATCCCACAGAAATACAAAGATCCTCAGAGACTACTAGAAATACCTCTATACACACATGCTAGAATCTAGAGAAAATATATAAATTCCTGGAAATACACAATCTCTCAAGGTTGAATCAGGAAGAAATTAAAACCGTGAACAGACAAATATTGAGTTCTGAAATTGAATCAGTAATTTAAAACCTACCAACAAGAAAAACCCCAGACCAGATGGACTCACAGCTCAATTATATCAGACGTACAAAGAAAAGCTGGTACCAATCCTACTAAAACTATTTCAAAAAATTGAGGCTGAGGGACTCCTCCATAACTCATTCTGTGAAGCCAGCATCACCCTGATACCAAAAACTGGCAAAGACACAATGAAAAATGAAAACTTCAGGCCAATATCCTTGATGAACATACATGCGAAAATCCTTGATGAAATACTAGAAAACTGAATCCAGCAGCACATCAAAAAGTCAATGCACCATGATTAAGTAGGCTTCATTCCTGGCATGCAAGGTTGGTTCACTATACACAAATCAATAAATGCCACTCACCACATAAACAGAATTAAAAACAAAAACCATATGATCATCTCAATAGATGCAGAAAGGCTTACAGTAAAATCCAACACCCCTTCATGATTAAAAAACCCTCAAGAAACTAGGCATCAAAGAAACATACCTCAAAATAATAAGAGCCATCTATGACAAAACCACGGACAACATCATACTGAATGGGCAAAAACTGGAAGCATTCCCCTGGAAAACTAGAACAAGACAAGGATGCCCACTCTCACTGTTCCTATTCAACATAGTACCGAAAGTCCTTGCCAGAGCAATCAGGCCAGAGAAAGAAATAAAAAGCATCCAAATAGGAAAAGAAGAAGCCAAACTATCTCTCTTAGATGATATGACTCTATACCTAGAAAATCCTAAAGACTGCCAAAAGGCTCCTAGAACTGAACATGACACCAGGAAAATTTCAGGATACAAAATCAATGTACAAAATTTAGTAGAATTTCTATACATCAGTAACATTCAAACTGAGAGCCAAATCAAGAACACAATCCCATTTATAAAAGCCACACACAATATAAAATACTGAGGAATACATCTAACCAAGGAGGTGAAAGATCTTCATAAGAAGAGCTGCAAAACGCTGCTGAAAGAAAGCATAGGCAACACAGGGCCTGGTGCAGTGGCTCACACCTGTAATCCCAGCACTTTGGGAGGCCGAGGCGGGCAGATCACCTGAGGTCAGGAATTTGAGGCCAGCCTGGCCAATGTGGTGAAACACCGTCTCTACTAAAAATACAAAAATTAGCCAGGTGTGGTGCAGGCACCTGTGATCCCAGCTACTTGGGAGGCTGACGCAGGAGAATCGTTTGAACCCAGGAAGTGGAGGTTGCAGTGAGCCAAGATTGTACCACTGCACTCCAGCTTGGGTGACAAGGATGAAACTCCATCTAAAAAAATAAAAAAGAAAAAGAAAGAAAGAAGAAAGAAATCATAGACAACACAAACAAATGGAAAAACATTCTATGATCGTGGATTGGAAGGATCAACATCATTAAAATGGCCATACTGCCCAAAGCATTCTACAGATTTAATGCTATTCCTATCAAGATACCAATGTCATTTTTCACAGAATTAGAAAAATCATTCTAAAATTCACTTGGAACCAAAAAAAGAGCCCAAATAGCCAATACAATCCTTGCAAAAGGAACAAAGCCAGAGGGACTGCATTACCTAACTTCAAACTATACTATAAGGCTACAGTAATCAAACAGCATGCTGCTGGTACAAAAAAAGATACATAGACCAGTGGAACAGAACAGAGAACCCAGGAATAAAGCTGCACACCTACAGCCATTTGATCTTTGACAAGGTTGACAAAAATAAGCAATGGGGAAAAGAATCCCTATTCAATAAATAGTGTGGGTATAGCTGGTTAGCCAAAGGCAGAAGAATGAAACTGGACCCCTACCTTTCCCCATATATAAACATTTATTCAAGATGGATTAAAGATTTAAAGGTAAGCCCTCAAACTATAAGAATCCTGGAATTAAAATCTAGGAAATACCACTGTGGACATCAGCCTTGGGAAATAATTTATGACTAAGTCCTCAAAAGCAATTGCAACAAAAATAAAAATTACCAAGTAGTACTTAATTAAAGAGGTTCTGCACACCAAAAGAAACTATCTACAGAGTAAACAGACAACATATAGAATGGGAGAAAATATTTGCAAACTATACATCCAACAAAGGTCTAATATCCAAAATCTATAAGGAACTTAATTCAACAAGCAAAAAGCAAATAAATCCATTAAAAAGTGGGCAAAAGATTTCTCACAAGAAGACAGACAAATGATCAATAAATATATTAAAAAATGCTCAACATCACTAATTATCAGAGAAATGCAAATCAAAACCACAATGAGATACCATCTGATACTAGGCAGAATGGCTATTAATAAAAAGTCAAAACAAAAACAAAAACAAAAAACAAATGCTGGTGAGGCTGCAGAGAAGAGGAAGTCCTCATACACTGGAAATGTAAATTATCTCAACCACTGTAGAAAGCAATTTGGAGATTCAGAACTACCATTTGACCCACCAATCCCAATATTGGCTATCTATTCAAAAGAAAATACATTTTTCTAACAAAAAGATACCTGCACTTGTGTGTTCATCACAACACTATTCACAGTAGTAAAGGCATAGAATCACCCTAAGTGCCCATTAATGGTGGACTGGATAAAAAAAATGTGGTACATATACTCCATGGAATACTATATGGCCATAAAAAAGAATGAAATCACATCCTTTGCAACAACATGGATGCAGCTGGAGGCCATTATCTTAAGTGAATTAAGAGAAGAACGGAAAACCAAATATCACATGTTCTCACTTATAAGTGGGAGTGAAACATTGGGTGCTCATGGACCTAAAGATGTCAACAATAGACATTAGGGACTATTAGAGCGGGAAAGGGAGGGGAGAAAAGGGCTGAAAAACTACCTATTGGATACTATGCTCAGTACCTGGGTGACGGGATTATTCACACCCCAAACCTTAGCAACATGCAATATACCCATGTAACAAACCTGCACATGTACCCCCTGAATCTAAAATAAAAGTTGAAATTATAAAAAAGAAATATACCATCCTGGCTAACACGATGAAACCCGGTCTCTATTAAAAATACAAAAAAAAAAAAAAAAATTAGCCAGGCGTGGTGGCACGTGCCTGTAGTCCCAGCTACTTAGGAGGCTAAGGCAGGAGAATCGCTTGAACCTGAGAAGTGGAGGTTGCAGTGAGCCAAGATTGTGCCACTGCACTCCAGCCTGGGCAACAGAGTGAGACTCCATCTCAAAAAAAAAAAGAGAAATATAAACTATTTTATGAAAAATATCCGTTATTTGTTATAAAATGCATAAATTATAAGATTATAAGGAATTTCAAGATTTAAAAAAAGTTTTCATTTACTCATGAGTTTCATTAACCAGTTTGTCAAAAATGTCCCATTTCTAGTGGTGTAGTGTGTGTTTCATGTTAACTTAATGCTAGTATTTTATCTAAAATCAGCAAGATTTTCAAGGTTTTTGCAACGTGTTCAGATGACACACTCCTCTTTGTTATTAGTATTATCAAATAATTCTAAAGCCTTTCATGGCTTCTGCTCGAAATTTATTTCTCAGACATAATGAATTTCTGTTTTGGGTCTGATCTGAAAAACATGGTTTTACATTTTACTCTCATTATCAGACCAACTATTTTATTTTTAATATACTTTTTTTTTGTTTTGTTTCATATTTCATTAAATTTTTGTCTGTATTTCTTTCATGTTCTATTTAATAAATACATTTTAAAATGGTTGAAACAGAAAAAAAGAAGATATGATACACACACACACCATGAAATACTACTCTGCCATAAAAAAGAATGAATCATAAAAAGGAAAGAAATCATGTCTTTTGCAGCAACATGGATGGAACTGGAGGCCATTATCTTAAGTGCGATAACTCAGAAACAAAAAATCGAATACAGCATGCTGTCACTCATATGTGGGAGCTAAATAATAAGTACACATGGACAGAGAAAGTGGAATAATAGACATTAGAGACTCAGAAAAGTGGGAGGGTGGGAGAGGGGTGAGGGATGAGAAATCACCCAACAGGTACAAGGTACACTATTTGTGTGACACTTATATTAAAAGCCCAGATTTCATCACTGTGCAATATACCAATATAACAAGACTGCATTTATGGCCCCTAAATCTATGAAAACAAATAAATAAATTAATTAAACTAAATAAAAAACAGTGATGATGCTGGCCACAGTTTGGAAAGTGCTTCCTGTGCCATGGTCCCTGTTGTATGAGCTCTAGGTGTGCTGATTTATATAAGCCTCATCACAATTCCACGGCAGTTTCTAAATAACATCCTATGCTTCTGATATTTTGTCTTCTGAAATTTTCTTGCCCTGAGTATGTGAGTTTAGACTCAAGTGATACCTCATTTTTTGATACCTCATTTTTAAAAATTAACACTCAACCTTTAGAACTTATTTTTCGGTAGGGCACAGTATCTTTAAGAGTGTGGACTCTGGAGGCAGCATCACCTGCCTCAATTTGAATCTCAGCTGAACCATTTCCTACTGTAAGATTTGAGGATCCTATAATATTTACCAATAAGATTATTAGGAGATAAGGAAATTTACGCATATTTCCCAAGATTCCACAACTAGTGAGAGAGCTGGAACTTAAACCCTGGTGGAGTTGTCTTCATGTCTCCATTCTACAAAGGGGCTGTTGGTGTTCGCCGGCTCCCTGCAGTCATATTTGCACCGTTGGCATGTCCTCACAGACAAACTTCTTTGCTCTCTATTTAAAACCAAAAAGAAAGAGAAAAGAACTTTCAGCAACCTGCCAGTGGAAGTCCTTGGTACTTCTCTTTTATTGATTAAAATAGACCCAACATATAGTGACTGAAGAAGCTACTACGTGCAAGGCACTATTTGAGGGACTGGGGATACAGAGTCCAATAACACAGCCCTTTTCTGTGAGTTGCTTGTAGTCTATCAAGGGAGAAAACCTGAAAACACATAAGCTAAATGTAGTATGTGAGGCAGGTGGCAATATTAACATTTCCAAATTGGAACTGATTCATTTTTAAACACTGTTATTTCTCTCCTTTGCCTTATCCTTGCTAAGGCAAGGAAGCCAATCCATACCCACGGTCACAGAGAAAGGATGTGGCACAGCAGAAAACAGAAAGGAAGGAGCCTTCCCAGCTCCACCTGTACTAAAGCATTGGCAATATAATTGAAGACAAGTAGCTGATTGCTGGAAGCATTTTTTTCGCTTATCCACTCAGCATTCAGTCACTTACTGTTTTACTCAACTCTTGTTTATTAAGTCACTACTATGAGCCAGGTACAGTTTTAGGCACTGGAGATACAGCAGTGAACATAATAAAGTCCCTGTACCTCAGGGTGCTTGTATTCTCAAGTAAAAAAGACTGAAAATAAGCAAACAAATATATATGAGTCATCAGATGATGATAAATGCTGTAGATAAAAATAAAGCAGGGGAGGGGGAGGGGAGAGGTATTGCTGGAGGTGCAATGGGGAGGAGGTTGCTGTCTTATAGAGAATGGTCCAGGAACAGCCTCTCTAGCTGAGTGACTGGAAGAGGTAAGAGAGCAAACTACATGGCTTACCAGGGAAAGAGCATCTCATACAAGGGGAATAGCAATTCAGAGGCCCTGAGGCAGGAGTATACTTCATGTTATTCATGGGGGCCAGTGTGGAAAGAGTAACTGAAGAGGACAGAGTAGGACATAGACGTCCAGATTATGTAGGACTTCAGATGCCACTGAAAAATGGCTAGCCCTTCCAATGAATGAGATGGGAAGTCATTAGAGTGTTTTGTGCAGAGAAGGGTCACGATTTGACCTTATTTTATTTTATTTTATTTTATTTTATTTTATTTTATTTTATTTTATTTATTTTATTTGAGACAGAATCTCCTCCCTCTGTCACCCAGGCTCTGGAGGGCAGTGGCGTGATCTCAGCTCAATGCAACCTCCACCTCCCAGGTTCAAGTGATTCTCCTGCCTCAGCCTCCCAAGTAGCTGGGATTACAGGCACGTGCCACCATGCCCAGCTAATTTTTGTGTATGTTTAGTAGAGACAGAGTTTCACCATGTTGCCCAGGCTGGTCTCAAACTCCTGACCTCAAGTGATTTGCCAACCTTGGCCTCCCAAAGTGCTGGGATTACAGGCATGAGCCACCATGCCCAGCCTTGCCTTGACTTTTGTTTTAAAAAGACATTCTGGTTCCTGTATCAGTGATTGGGAGCAGGTAAGGAGAGAAGCAAGGAAAAGAGTCTGGAGACTATTAGAGTAATCCCAGGGGGGAGGATGGTTGCTTGGACCCAGCAGTAGCAGTGATGTTGAGACCACAGGATATACTGATGGGCAAAATGTGGGGTATGTGACAGAAAGAGCTGTTAAGCATTCCAGCTCCAAGAGTTTTAGCCAGAGCAAGTGGAAGCTTAGAACTTTAGGCAAGGTGAGGTCTTGTCATTCATCCATTTCAACCCATACATTCACAGTTGTGTGAGAACACTGAGACCTAGAGAGATGAAGTAGCAGCTGCTGATCACATCGGAAATGAGAGACCACAGTAAGATTTTCTAAATCCCAGAGCACTGCCACTTTCTGTCTCTCTTTTGGGATCATCAAGTTGATTTCTCTACCTTGGAGAAGCTGTCACAGGCAGTATTCACTAATGCTCTGGCTGAAGAGAAAGTAATATCTACAAAAGACAATAAAAATTAGGAAACCAATGAATCTGTGTTTTTTAAAAATAATGGCTCCATCTATTGTTTAAATATTTTTGTTTGAGAATAGTTTTCAGTTTACAAAAAAATACAGAGATTCATATACCCCACACCCAGTTTTGCCAGTATTAGTGTCTTAGATTAGTGGTACATTTGTCATAATTGATAAACCAATACTGATACATTATTATTGACTAAAGTTCATATTTTGTTGGGTTTTTCTTTGTTTTTCCCTAATGTCCTTTTTCTATTTCAGGACCCCACCTAGGACATCACATTATATTCAGTCGTTACGTCTCCTTAGACTCCTCTTGGCTATGACATTTTCTCACACCACCCTTGTTTTTGATGACTTTGACAGTTTTGAGAAGTACTCATTAGGTATTTTGTAGAATGTTCCTCAACTGGAACTTCTCTGATGTTTTTCTCATGATTAGAATGGGGTTATATGTCTTTAGGAGGAAGAGCACATATGTCAAATATCATTTCATCACATCCTATCGGGGTACATACAATCAATACAATTTATCACTGTTGATGTTAACCTTGATCCCCTGGCTGAGGTAGTGTTTATCAGATTTCTACACTGTAAAGTTCTTTTATTCCTCCTTTCCATACTGTATGCTTTGGAAGGAAGTCACCATGTGCAGCCCACATTTAAGGATTGGGAAGTTATGGTTCTATGTAGACATATGTGGAATATTTATAAATATTATTTGGAAATCTTCCGTATTGATTTATCTACTCCCCACACATATTTATTTATTCAATCATTTATTTATATCAGTATGCACTGGGCAAGACACCAACAGTGTCCATTATTTCTGATGCAGACAATGAATGAAAGAGTGGTTGGATGAATGACAATAGTTACAGTTGACAATAGAAATGGTAACAGCAAGCATATGTCCACCCAAAACCTTATATGCAAATGTTCCCAGCAATATTATTCATAATAGCCAAAAGGTGGAAACAACCCAAATGTGTATCAACTGATAAATACATAAACAAATTGTGCTATATCTATTCAATGGAATATTATTCAGCTACAGAAAGGAATAAAGTGCTGGTACATAATATAACAACATAGACAAACCTTGAAAACATGGTAAGTGAAAGAAACTAATCACAAAGACCAAATATCATGATTCCATTTATAGGAAAAGTCCAGAACAAGGACATTAAATCTATAAAGACAGAGAGTAGCATAGTAGTTGTTTAGAGCTAGGTGACTGGGAATTAGGGAACTCGGAGGAATGATAGTTACAAGATACAGAGGTTCCTTTTGAGGTGAAGAAAATGTTCTAAAATTGACTATGGTGATGGTTGCCCATGTCTGTGAACTTACTAAAAACCACTAAATTGTATACTTTAAATAGGTGAATTGCATGTTATGTAAATTATATCTCAGAAATTAAATTAAAACAGAAATTGTAACAGCATGCAAGTTGGGAAATACAATTTGGTCTCTCTTATTCTAATGGTAGGCTGATTTGTACTTTAGATCCCTGGTTACCTTTGGCGTGGAAATGGACAGAAACAGAACATTTCAAAATGTTAGGCAACAATTCAGAAACATTCATATTTGGTTCTAGAAAACATTACAGTGGCCAGGTGCCGTCGCTCACACCTGTAATCCCAGCACTTTGGGAGGCTGAGGCAGGCAAATCACTTGAGGTCAGAAGTTCGAGATCGGCCTGTCCAACATGGTGAAACCCCAGCTCTATTAAAAATGACAAAAATTAGCTGGGTATGGTGGCCCGCGCCTATAATCCCAGCTACTTTGGCAGCTGAGGCAGCAGAATCACTTGAACCTGGGAGGCAGAGGTTGTAGTGAGCTGAAATCACACCACTGCAGTCCAGCCTGGGCAATAGAGGGAAACTTTGTGAAAGAAAGGAAAGAAGGAAAGAAAGAAAGAAAAAGAAAGAAAGAAAGAAAGAAAGAAAGAGAAAGAGAGAGAGAGAGAAAGAAAGAAAGAAAGAAAGAAAGAAAGAAAGAAAGAAAGAAAGAAAGAAAGGAAAGAAAGAAAGAAAGAAAGAAAAAGAAAGAAAGAAAGACAGAAAGAAAGAAAGAAGGAAGGAAGGAAGGAAGGAAGGAAGGGAAGGAAGAAAGAAAAGACATTACAGTAATTCTGAGGTTGCCGATACCCCTTTCTAATTATGTTTTGCCTAGGTGACAATATAAATGTATCATCCTTAAGTTAAAATAAAAGACATACAAGAAGAGATGGGCAAGACATTTTCTAAATGGAAAGTCAACTAGGGATAAAATGTGTTTCAAGTAATCCACAAAGAGGAAGAGCAATATGTGAATAATGGAGAGTTGAACACACATATGCACAACACACCAAACCACACCACGTTTTACCCTTAAATTCAGCTGACTCTGTCTCCTTCCTGTGTCTTCCTTCATTAGCTTGATTACCACCTCAGCTATGAATAAATGACACCACACTGTTCTGCCTAAGGCTCAATGAAATGGGCTATTTAAACATTCAATGGAGCCAAAGAGACATAAGTGGGGGGATACAGTGCTAAGCATATGAACTCGAACTTGTTGGCAGATTCTGACCAGCAAATACAGAACACTCTTACTGAGCAGAAATTAGCTCATCATTTGTCTGTGGAGTTGGCCCAGGGCAATCATTTATTTCCAAGTTCCATCTGCAGCCCTGCCATCCCTGCAAAATGGGGTTGGCACCCTCCCAGAAACATGTTTTCAAAGAGGACTCAAGGAATTGCCTCCAGCATTTCTCACAACCTGGCATCTTGCTCTTTCTTTAAGGTAGGACTCACCTAAAAATAACAAAAGCTTTCTGCGTGGGGGAAGGGAAACACCTTAAAGGACTGAGCCTAGCAGCTGGGTGACAGAGGTGTGCTAAAGAAAATATTTTCTCTCTAATGAAATCATACACCACTGCAATGGGAGGAGAGAGGAGAAGCTGGGTCCAGTGTCAATATGAGGGACTGATATATGTTAGGACACATGAGAAAGAAAAGGAAATCTTCCAGGCCAAACAGAGAGCTTTATTCCATGAAAAAACAAGCAGCTGTTAGAGGCTGGTGCTCCATTCCCTGCTGGACTCCCTATTGTGGTCTTTGACACAGTGAAGAAGTATAGAAGACAGAGTTGTGAGGAGGAGTTAGAAAATAAAGAATTCTGGCCCAGCCTTTGCCAGTATTCTGGACCAGTATTGCCAGCTAGTGTCTGCATTCCCGGCCAGTGTCTGCTGAGTTGCTGAGTTTGCTCCCCAGTCTGCCCAGTCCACTCTTCTCCATCCTTGGCACCACTCAGACTTTCTAGGTCAGTCCTAATTTCCAGTACTCTTTACTGTGGCCCCATAAACAACCAAAATTGCAGGAAATTCTAACTTTTTATAAACCAAACTACATCTTTGAGACTATTGCCTGCATCTAGAAATGGATCATGTCTTATTCCATTTGGGCTGTGATAACAAATTACCATAGGCTTGGTGGCTTAAACAACAAACACTTATTTCTCACAGTTCTGGAGGCTGGAAGTCCAAGGTCAGAGTTCCAGCATAGGTGCACATGGTTGAGTTACTGGTGACAGCCTTCTTCTGGTTAAATCCTCACATGGCCTTCTTTTGGTGTACATATGGAGAGTGAGTGAGAGAGAGAGAGAAAGAGAGAGAGATTGTGTGTCTTTTCCTCTTTTTATAAGAGCACTAATCCCATCACGGAGCGTCCACCTTCCAGGCCTCATCTAAACCTAATTGCTTTTCAAAGACCCCACTTCCAAAGAAGTGGACCATCACAATGGGGATTAGCACTTCAATATATAAAATTAGGGGGAAGGGGATACAAACATTCAGTCCATAGCAGACCACAACCCACCAACTGTATATGCTATGGTCTGAATTTGTCATCCAAAATTCATATGTTGAAACTTAATGATCAATGTGATATTATTAAGAGGTGGGGCATTTAGGGGGTGATTAAATCATGACGGTGGAACCCTCATGAATGGGATTTGGGTTCTTACTACAGGGCTTGAGGGAATGGGCTTATTTTCTTCTCCTCTTCGGCTGTGTGAGGACACAATATTTGCCCTTTCTGCCATGTAAGAATGCAGCAAGAAGGCGCTCACCAGACACCAAATGCCAGCACCTTGATCTTGGATTTTCTGACCTCCAGAATTGTAAAAATAAATTTCTGTTGTGTGATATTTTCTGACAGCAGCACAACCTGACTAAGACACCACATACCTCTACTTGGAGGCCAGGCTATGGACAGAGAGAAGGGAAGAGTGAATTTCCTCTCCTGGAAACTCTCCCCTTTCCCTTTGCTCATAGGAAGCTATCAGCTTGCTGGGCAGAGACCATTGTAATATGCACTATGTTGGGTCATTGATGGGAGTGGTAGGGTGGGATAAAGAAAAGCAAATGTTAAAACAAGAATAACATCTTCAGAGTTTCAGCATTGCCTATATTGGCACATTCAATAAAAAATATAACTTACGTGAGTAATCTGGAATGACCTTTTCACGACTCCCTACGCTCCAAAGTACTTGAACGGGACTCTTGCGAAAACTCCCAGAGAAAATTCTTACTTAAACTCACTCCTCCCATCCCCTTCCCTTAAATGCAATACTTGGCACCATCCACTTCATTAAATGACACTTTCTAGGAGCTTGGCAGATGTTTCTGCTCACTCACCCCAGGAAATCCATTTGCCAGGTGCTGTAACCTTAACCAACACAACATTTTACTATTGAACTTGTCATTGATGTGGAGAACATGAATCTAACAGATGAAACAAATGAAAACGCCACAGGGTCACACAATCCTCTTTTGGTAATCTAAGAGATTTGCTCATCATTTTCTTCTCTCTCCTCTTTGTGGAAAAGTTATCCATATCCTTTAGCAGACATTCAAGGCCCTCTGTGATGGTCATTCCAGCCTCCTTACACTTCCAGCCACTCTGCCTAATGACAAGGGCTGTAGCTATGACAAGGGTAGCTCAGCTCTCCCCAAGCATGCTCACTTCTTTCTCACTCCAAAGTCTTTGTGTTTGCAACTTCCTCCCTCCATCAGAAGTGCTTCCTCTCAAATTCCATCTGTTGAAATTCTACCTATACCTCAAAATTTAATTCACATACCAGCTTATCCATGAAGTCTTCCCTGATCTACATCCTCCACCTCTATCCTCTATTGTAATGGACCTCTCTTTCCTCTATGGCCATATCTGTGTATGTATGTGATCATCAAATTTGGCCTAACAATTATCAACTGTTAGCTATCAACAAATATTTTTCACATGCAATCATATATTTTGAAGGATTTTAACTAGACCATCTTTGTGACTATCATGGTACCTAGAAAATCATCTTGCCTGGATCACTTAGCATGTGATAAACTGATAGTATGTAGGACTGGATCTCCAGGTTTTATGAATATTTAATGAGAAGGAACTAAAACAATTGTATAAAATAACTGCTTTTGTTTAAGAACTGAACCTGGCTTTGAAAAAATAGTACGATGCTACATATTTATGGGATGGTCCTGTTACAGATCACAGGATTAGACCACACTCTGGTGGGTGGAGATGAACGATCCTTCGAAAGAGATAAATATCCAGGTTGCTTAATGGTGGGAAAAGAGAACAATCCAGGGTCAGGGAATGAAGACTCAGAAGGAAGGTCTTAGTTTGGCATGAAGGGAAAAATCCTTTTGTGTTTTAGAGCCAGGAATGAGTGGGACTCAGGCTTGGAGACATGGAGATGCCTATAGCAATTCCAGAGGTGGAAGGAGAGCTCCCCTGGACACATGAATGCTAGTTGCATGTGAGACAGAGAGCAGGTGTGAGGTGGGAACCCCACACACTCTGGCCTTGTGCAATGTAGTTATTTCCTTTTTATTATACCCAAATTTTAATAAACTCTCATTATTTGTAGCAGCCTGCTGTATCATATAAAATTAGGTGGAAAGTCAATCTTATACTTCAGATGAAGAGAAGAGAGGGAGACCAATACCCTTGTCGCTATATTCAGAAGGATTATCACAATGATGGTAACTCAGCATAGAGGTGATCTCATGGGGGATTTGGGGAGCTGAAGGAGTCAGCCAGAATACACATTGGCCATTTGGTACTAAAAAGAATGTGATATTAAATCCTTTGTAATTAATTACTTTCTAATTAACAAGTGTGCGGCACTTTATATGTCAGGTATTCTTGACATGTTTGATAACTGTAATTTATTCAAGCGATTACAAACATACATCAGAAGTTAACACAACTCACAGAGGTGCCATTAAACATAACAGAATGCCCAAAATGTTTTTAGCACTTTTCTTTAGGGAATATGCTACTTGAAAGGAAGATGTCTCAAAAGTCGATATTAAATTAGGTTAAAGATAATTACTAGCAGAATGTGTATAAAAGAACAACTCTAATTAATTGCTAAAATTGATATGCCAAAGGTTGACTTTTTGAAAATAAAGTCCAGATTGTTCTGCAGTTTAGACACTATTAGCATTGTCCTCAGCCTTGGGTCACTTCTATCTACAATGTGGAACAATACTGAGCAAAAATGTATTGATTACCTACTAGAATCACTGGCCACACATTGCAAGACCCTTTAGATAATTAAAATACAATTCATATTTCAAGGAGTGCATAGCTTAGTGGAGAATACAGACCCCTAAATAGATTATTAGAAAATAATTTAGTGACTGCACTGACTGAGATATGCAAAGAATAGCATAGAAATTCCAAAAGGAGGGTAGTTATTGAACACTTTTTGGTGAAAAATCTGGAAAACTTCTTGCTTACATATGTTTCACACTGAATTAATTAGTTTTTAGGTCATGCAAATAGACTTTTAATTGCAATTATTTTGCTGCCATACCAAGCAGTCATTCACCTGGTTTTTGTGGCTGGAGTTTTCTTATAATTAATTATAGCACCAAGTGCCAAACAAAGGTGGTAAGAGGGCTAGTCACTTTCTGAATGGTGGAGTGAGGACATTGGCAAATCCTACCTTAGAAAGCACTGATAAAACTAGCAAAATTATCAAAAGCAGTCATTTCAGAACTCTGAAAATAACCAAACACATAGATAAATTGAAATACATTTATTTAAGAAAAACTACTGAATCTTGGTAGGAACAATGGGATCTGTGACATTTCAGTTTGGAGCTGTTCTCATCCTTCCCCCTTGGTCAATGATACAGTAGTCAATGAAGGCTAGCAGCCTCACTGTCGTGGAGGGGGTTGAACTGATTTGAAACTCCCCAGAAAAGCCCCATGCCTGGGACATGGTCAAATCTGATAGCAAGTAGTGACAAACAATTGGGAAACCCAACATTGGGAAAGCCAACTGCCTAAGCCTGCAGTGCTGGTAGGGATAAGTGAAAGACCGATCAGAATTTAAGAGGCATAAGGGGGAAAATGAGACAGCCATGAGGATTTTGAAAAGCTCTGATATATTCCTGGGGATCTGGAAGATTGTACACATGCACAGGATTGCATTTACACTCAGGAAAGACTAAAGAGGGCCCCAGGGCCTTTGGCTGACCATGAGACTCTGTGCAAGCAGAAAGTGAAAGTCAAAGTAGAATTGTGAACTGTCTAAACTTTGAATGTATGCACCATCCCAAACATAGATCCCATGGCATAGAGTGGAAACCTTGTTAACTCAGGGTGTTTTAGGTAAACTTCTGAGCAATCATTGGATGACTGTTCAACTATGCTGACTCAGGTGTGACTATTAGGAAGCCTACTCAAAAATAAAAACAATAATTTAAAAAATCTAAAAACCTAATCAGAGACTTCAGTGGCCACACATTGAAGAGTTTCTACCAGTTCAGGCAAGTCACTAAACAGGTAAACAAAGAAAAGACCAAAAATAAAGATTCTGGCCAGGCGCAGTAGCTCATGCCTGTAATCCCAGCACTTTGGGAGGCTGAGGGAGGCGGATCATCTTAGGTCGGGAGTTTGAGACCAGCCTGACCAACATGGAGAAACCCCATCTCTATTAAAAATACAAAATTAGCCAGGCGTGGTGGCACATGTCTGTAATCCCAGCTACTTGAGAGGCTGAGAGAGGAGAATCGCTTGAACCCAGGAAGTGGAGGTTGCATTGAGCCGAGATTGTGCCATTGCATTCCAGCCTGGGCAACAAGATTGAAACTCAGTCTCAAAATAAAAAAAAAAATAAAAGTAAAAATAAATTTCTTGGGAAGATCAAATTCCAGAGGGGCCACAATATGATCTAAAATGTCTAGTTTTTTTAATTACCAGAAATATAAAAGAGCAGGAAAATGTAGCCCATATACAGGAAAATAAGCAGTCAACAGAAACCATCTACAAGACAGCCTAGATGTAGGACTTAGTAGACAAAGACTTCAAATCACTATTATAAATATGTTCAAAGAACTAAAAGACTCCATGTTTGAATAGTTACATAAAAGTATAACAACAATGCCTCACCAATTGGAGAATATAAATAGGAAAATAGAAATTATAAAAAGAGCCAAATGAAAATTCTGGAGTTGCAAAGTAAAATAACTAAAATGAAAATTTCATTAGAGGTGTTCAAAAGCAGGTTTAAACTGGCAAGAAAAAAAAAATTAACAAGCCTGGAGATAGAGTTTGTCCAACCTGAAGAACAGAAAAAAAAAGTGAAGAAAAATGAACAGAATCTCAGAGACCTGTGAGATAGCATTAATCAAACCAATATCCACATGGTGGGAATACAGGGAGGAACAGAGAGAGGGAGAGAGAGAGAGAAGAAAAATATTCAAGGAAATAATGGTTGAAAGTGTCCCAAATTTGATTAACAAAACATTAATCTACAAATTCAAAAATCTCAACAAATCCCAAGTAGGATAAAACCAAAGAGATCCACACCTAGAAACATCATGGTTAAATTGTGAAAAGACAAAGAGAAAATGTTGAAAATAGAGAGAGAAAAATAACTCATCACATACAAGGAATCCTCAATAAGATTAATAACTGACTTCTTATCAAAAACAATGGAGGCCAGAAGGCAGTGGGATAACATATTCAAAGGGCTAAAAGAACAAAAAACTGTCAAGCAAATATTCTATATCCAGCAGAGCTATACTTCCAAAATGAAGGCAAGATAAACACATTTCCTGCCAGGCATGGTGATTCACATCTGTAATCCCAGTACTTTGGGAGGTCAAGGTCGATGGATTGTTTGAGCTTAGGAGTTTGCAACCAGCCTGGGCAACATGGCAAAACCTGGTCTCTACAAAAAATACAAAAATTAGCCGGATTTGGTGGTGTGCACTTGTAGTCCCAGCTGCTTAGAACTAAAGGGGGAAGATTGCTTGAGCCCAGGAGGCAGCAATTGCTGTGAGCCAAGATCACATCACTGCACTCCAGCCCAGATGACAGCATGAGACCCTATTTCAAAAAAACAAAAATGTTCCCCAGGTAAGTAAAAATTGAGAGAATTAATGGACAGCAGACCTGCCTTACAAGAAATGGTAAAGACTGAATAGAAATGGCACAAGATGGTAACTCAAATCCACATGAAAAAAATTAAGAGTACCAGTAGGAGTAATTATGTAGGAAAATATGAAACACAGTATAAATAAATTTTTACTCTTTATTTTAAGAGAACTGTCTGCATAAAATAATAACTATAACACTGAAGAAGATGATCCCAATGCCTCTCATTCCCATCCCCAAGGAGGATCATGGTTCCAGTGCAGATCTAGGATATCCTTTTTGCCAAAGTCATGGCCTGTGAGACCAAGAGGTAGCAAACAGTAAAAACAATAAGAAGCAGAGAACCTCTTCTCCAGGATCAGAGCTTACATACTTTGTTGTCTACCCATGATGTTCTCTCTAACTCTACTGAATACCTGCTTTACTTTTCCCAGCAGACTTCTCTAGTCTGGACAATATACTCTTCTGAATTTATCCTGTGAGACCCTACTTAACAGCTAGACTCCTAATCTTAGTTACTTTTAGCAAAGTTGTTCACTTTGCTATCGCCCTTATCTTGGTTTGACCAAGATTATTTTAACTCCCTAAGTAAGCAAATGGCTGGAGAAGAAAAAGCTAAGATATCTTTACAATCTCTAGGAGAACTTGTCTGTCATATTCCTCTCTGTATATCTGGCATACAAAGTTAGAATAAATATTGGCTAAATGAATGAATAAAACTCACACACTAAAGAGGTCATGTGGTCTACAGCTCAGGATTTCTCAAAGAGATAACTGACAAGCTTTCAGTGATTAGGTAAAGTTTGAAAGGCAGTAGTAAATGGTAGTGTAAAACTACCTTTTTCCCCATGATCCTTTCTTATACAGTAGCTTTTACCTTGCTCATCTTTCTCCTGTCAACCACCATTCAATGTTATTTTGACTTGTGAAGAAGTCAAGAAAGAAAAAAGCAAAGCTGAAGAAAGTGGAGTAAGGAAATTCTGGTGACTGCTAGTTGTTTCTGTTTGAGAATTTGCAGTTTTCTATTCTCTGTTCTTTCTCTGTATCAGAAGGACTTATGACCACTTGAAAAACACTATTTTAGGCTATTATTATCTAGAAATTGGAATCAATTAACAAAGGAAAGAAGATAGATCATCTGCCATAGATGCCAAAAGATAAAATAATTCTAACCATCAAAGCTGAAGTAAAATTTGACCATTCAGTTTGGATGTTGGTATTAAATAATTATTGATGATTAAGCTGCCATTCCTTTTAAACTCTTGTGTTGAAGACTGATTTCGCTTATCTTTTGTTTCCTTTACCCTTTTCATTTCTGCAGTTAGGAGGTGGCAGACTGGAGGTGTTACTCGAGTTGCTGTGGAAACTGTTCATCAGAAGCTAGTGTTGAAGACCCGGGCAACAGGGTGGAAATGGATGAGCAGTGGTGGTGCTCAGATCTGGTTACCAATTTGGAAGAGCAGCTGGAAAAGGAGTCTCTTTGAGGTACAACATATCCCCAGGGATTGTAGAGATACTCTCTCAACCTGTCACTGATCTTCAGCACGTAAGTGTTCTCTTTGGCATTGGTGAAGAGAACAAGTAAAAGTAACTGCAAATAGCGAAGAGAGGCCCAGCTTAGAGGAAATGGCTCCAACTCCCTTTTTGATGTAAAGGTCTTAGGAATTACTTTACTACACAGAAGTTTTCAAGAACACAGGAGGGCTATTCATAAGCGCTCTGAAACATGAGACATACATATGCAAGATATGTCAAGGACAGGGCTGTGCTCTGTGCTCAGCACCATCTGGAGGCATTAGCAGGAGTGAATCCACTTGTCTTTTTTGTCCTTTTGTGAATTTATTTTCCATACTTATGTATCCTGTTCCGGGCTGTTCATGCACAACAAATTTGACTTTTACAAAATCTAAGGCCATCGGATTTTTATAAAAGTCAAATTTTGGTCCCTCTCCACACTTACCCCAAAGAAAAAACATTAAACTTTGATCTAATGACAGAAACATTCTCTGCACACATGATTGGTTTGATCACTATAATGGTCAAGAAAATGGTTTAGCTTATTTTAACATACTCACTCTTTACAAAGCTCTAATTAGTGGATAAATGTGTGTGTGTGTATATATGTGTGTGTGTATGTGTGTGTGTTTGTATGTCTCTAAATGAGACTCATAAGCCCTTTCTTCTGTATGTAACAAACAATACAAACATACCTGATTGGTGAGTAAAAGTCTGTCCCCACCCCCTGCAAATAAGTATTTCTGTGCAAGATGAAACACACATTTCATCCAGAGAGAAGAAGCCTCTCTACAGTAAATGGAGACATTGGATTTATGGTACCAGAAAATTTAACTTTGAATTGGTAGGCCATACAATGAACTCGACAATACTTTTTAAGCTCAGGAAGGGACTGGATCACAAAATATCAGCTAAGCCAAACAGAGGTGTTCACTCAACCCCTTCCATCATCTCTGTGTCCTTCCATAGGAAAAGGTCTATAAAGTGCATTTCTCTGAGACATGGAGAAGCATAACAAAGGAAAGTACTCTTCGCTTTCCTCTGGCTGTAAGAAGGTAGAACATCTTTTTGTGAATGGTTTAAAGTTAAGGAAAATAGATGTTGTAGATTCAGGATTCTCCTTTGCTCCATGCAAATAAAGGAATGACGTGAATAGATTCTTGGATATTTTACATCCATTGATGGACACAGATTTGGGGTACACAGATTTAGATACAAATATCTGCTATTCCCCTTTCTCAGTGTGTGCTTTAGGAAAAAAGTTGCTTAATCTCTCTGAATCCCAGTTTCCTAATCTGTGAAATGGAGATAATAATAGTAAGGGAGGAGACCACCCCTCATATTGTCTTATGCCCAATTTCTGCCTCCAAAGAAAGAAGAAGTAAAAACTAAAAGGCAGAAATGAAATTCACAAGCAGACAGCCTGGCGCCACACCCTGGGCCTGGTAGTTAAAGATCAACCCCTGATCTAATCGGTTATTTGCATAAAAAAGCACTATGAAGATCCCTGTCCTGTTCTGTTCTGTTCTGTTCTGTTTTAATTACGGTGTATGCAGCCCCCAGTCATGTACCCCCTGCTTGCTCAATCGATCACGACCCTCTCACCTGGAGCGCCTTAGAGTTGTGAGCCCTTAAAAGGGACAGGAATTTCTCACCCAGGGAGCTCGGTTGTTGGAGACGTGAGTCTTGCCGAAGCTCCCGGCCGAATACAGCCCTTCCTTCTTTAACTCGGTGTCTAAGTGGTTCTGTCTGCAGCTTGTCCTGCTACAATAGTAGCCACTTCATGAGAACGTAATGGGAACTGAAAAAGATGGCACTTGTAAAATGCCTACAATGTGCTCAAACAGCTGTTACTGGCTTGAGAGAGCATATCTCTTCGGAATGCCTCTTTCAGATTCTAATTCTCAACTCTTCCCAACTTTGGTAGCTTGAAATTGGCCACAGTGGGAGTATTTACATCATGGAAATTGGGCAACAATACAAATCAGGACTTTGTTTTTAGTTTCACTGAAGCAGTTTATTAGCACACCACTGTGCCTATCTCACAGTAAGTGCTCAATAGTAGCAACTTATGTTATAGTTGATGACAGTCCATTGTATTTCTAAAACACCCAAAGTTCTGAGCTAGTCCATTTGAAGCTGAATATGGAGAAAGAAATACCTGTAAGTGAATTCAATCAGCTTTCTCTGACTGGGTGGCTGGGGTTGCAGAATGGTAACTTCACTAATGTTTCCAGTGATCACAAAGATTGAAAGATAGTGAGCAGTTTGGTCAGCACAGACCTTTTAAAAGAAAACAGCAACTGAAATACAAACTTGCTTTCATATGAAAGGGTGGCCTGGAAGATAAGACTCAGACGGCAGAAATTGACACATGTATCTCTGAAGAGGACAGTTGCAGTTTCAACCTTCAGATAATGTTAAACGCAAGTTTCTTTAGTAGCCTGAGGGTTGAGCTATGTAGCTCTTTTGCTTGGATAGAAGATGATGAGACGTCCTAGAACAGCAAATCTCAGGAAATAGATCTTATCCTGCAGTAGGGACCCAGATGACCTCCTGCAAGAAAAGGGCCAGTGTTTGAGAGTTCATGATGATACCACATCTGTTTTTATACTTGTCTTTCCTCTGCTTATTTCCTGTTAGCCACCTGAGAAGGTGGAGTAAAAATGATTCCATTTACAAACCAATTTCTTTATCTCTTTTCCCCTTTTCCCTCCCCCATTTCTTTCTCTTTCTCTTTTTCTTAGTCTCTCTCCAAGCCTAGCAAAGAGGTGACTAGCAGGGAGAAGGAGATGCTCCTACCTGGATTAGGTTGGCAGTAAAATATCCCACATAGGGGAGAGCCAAATCCTAGAGACCCCAGGTATATTAGTCCATTTTCATACTGCTATGAAGAAATACTCAAGACTGGGTAATTTATAAAGAAAAAGAGGCTTAATGGACTCACAGTTCCACATGGCTGGGGAAGCCTCACAATCATGGCAGAAAGCAAAGGAGAAGCAAAGGCACATCTTACATGGTGGCAGGCAAGAGAGCAAGTGCAGGGGAACTGCCCTTTACAAAACCATCAGATCTCTTAAGACTTATTCACTATCAAGAGAAGAGCATGGGAAAAATCTGCCCCCATGATTCAATTACCTCCCACCAGGCCCCTCTCAGGATGCATGGGGATTATGGGAGCTACAATTCAAGATGAGAGTTGAGTGGGGACATAGCCAAACCATATCACCAGGGATAGCAAGAATTCAGGCATCACCTAAAAGGCAGATGTATAGGTAGGTAAGTTGTCAACAAGAAGTTCAGCAGTAAGTAGCAAAGACTGAGCCATAGTGATACAGGAGGGTGGCAGGGAAGTGCAGGGAGGAGAAGGACGGATCCCTGGCGAGGGCTCCACCCCCAGGCTGTGCCCACAGACAGGTCAGGACAGGCACTCCTGTGTTGGCGCCCAAATGTTGCGTTTTCCAAGACCACCCTGGCCTGCCACGCCCCCATCCTGTGCCTATAAAAATCCTGAGACCCGGCCGGGCGCGGTGGCTCATGCCTGTAATCCCAGCACTTTGGGAGGCCGAGACGGTCGGATCACAAGGTCAGGAGATCGAGACCATCCTGTGAATGGTGAAATCCCGTCTCTACTAAAAATACAAAGAAAAATTAGTCGGGCACGGTGGCAGGCACCTGTAGTCCCAGCTACTCGGGAGGCTGAGGCGGGAGAGTGGCGTGAACCCAGGAGGCGGAGCTTGCAGTGAGCTGAGATCGCGCCAGTGCACTCCAGCCTGGGCGACAGAGCGAGACTCCATCTCAAAAAAAAAAAAAAAAAAAAAAAAAAAAAAAAAAATCCTGAGACCCTACCAGGCAGACACATAAGCGGCTGGACGTCGAGAGGAACACATCGGCGGAAGAAGACACAAGCGGCTGGATGTGGAGAGGACGTGGAGGGGAGCACACTAGTGCAAGAGCACACGACAGATGCTGGCAGGCCATCGACTGGTGGAACAAAGAGGAGTTTGGCCAGGGCAGTCGGAGTCTCCTCCGACTCCCTGAGGAGTTTGCCGCCCAACTCCAGGGGAAAACCATCTCCCTCTGGCTCTCCCACCTGCTGAGAGCTGCTTCTACTTAATAAAACCTTGTACTCATTCTCCAAACCCACGTATGATCAGATTCTTCCTGTACACCAAGGTAAGAACCCCGGGATACAGAAAGTCCTCTGTCCTTGCGATAAGACAGGGGTCTAATTGAGCTAACGCAAGCCACCTACGGATGGCTAGACTAAAAGAACACCCTGTAACACACACCCACTGGGGCTTCAGCTGTAAACATTCACCCTTAGACACTGCTGTGGGGTCGAAGTCCCACAACCTGCCCGTCTGCATGCTCCCGCTAGAGGTTTGAGCAGCAGGGCACTGAAGAAGCTAGCCACACCCCCATCACACACCCTGTGAAGGGGACAAGGGAAGTTTTCCCGTTTCAGTGGGAACTAGGGAAAATGGGAGGATCTCAGTTCCTAAAGGTAATGAGCTATATGGGGAGTGAAAGGCAAGAAAGGACCCCATCTCAGAGGAATTATGTTACAAGGAATCAGGGCAGCATTTAGATGTAGGAATAGAGAGGAAAAAAACTAGAAGTCCAGCATGAGTCATGAGGAACACAAGTCAAAATCAGAGCGGGATTAACAACGAGACTGGCTTAGTGCAGACTGCCTGGCCCAGGGATCTTGAATCAGTGCAAAATCTATATAGAGAGTTGCTTTGGTAACACCATCTACTGCAAAAAGAGTGTGCAGACCCAGAGCCAGGAAAACAGGTAAACTATTGCAATACTTAGCAGTGTGTCTACACAGAGGCCTCAGATCAAGGCTGGTTTTTCATCCAATAAAATAATCTCGCCTTATCAAACTACAGTGACTAAATTAACTCTAAACACAATATGTATAGGCAGCAGCTACTCTGCTTTTGGTAACAGTATGATTCTAAGGAAATTAATTACCAGAACTTTTTATTCTCGAGCTAATAAATATAGCATGTTTACTGAGGACCACTGTTCATTTCACATGCTTTTGACCTGGAATATTTAAGTTATTTAAGTAGCAAATAACTAAATCCCACCAGAGACCTAGATCTCCCAAGAATTTCTGGGTGATCCAGAATGGTTTTCACGAAACATATATTGGTTAGAGGGTCCAAGTTTGTCCATAAGCAAAGTAGATAGTAGCCTATGTATGGTGAAATCCTTCCCCAGTCAGCTACCTTCAAAGACTTCAAGCTCTTGGTGTGAGTTGCTGCTTCACAACCCATCTCAATATTGAGCACCTACTATATGCCAGGTAATGAGCAAAGCTTTGGGAATATGAAGACAGATGAGCACTGGCTCTTGCCATTGAGGAATCCAAGAATTAATAAGGAGTATGAGTAAGTATGGAGCAAGTGGTAGTTTGGGAAGCAAGGAAGAGGACCTGAGAGCTCTAGATATCTGAAATGTGGATCATCAAAAAGGGAGGGAAGGTCAGGACCAGGATGCTGGCCCAGGATGCTGGGGTAAATTCAGCAAGAAAATACTATACAACTTTGCTCGTTTATGTGTTTACTCATCAAATACTTATTAAATATCTGTTATGCCCAGTAATTGTCTGAGTTTCCCAAGTGTGAAAAAGTCACCCTATCTCATGAGAAGACAATTAATAAGCCATAGTAATAACATACGAAAACATAGAGAAGTACAGTATAGGAAGACATAGCATGACAGGGATTTATGTCTTTTCTTATCTCACTGATGTATCTCCACCACCTAGATCAGTATCTGGTACACAATAGGACTCAATAAACATCTTTTGAATGAATGAATGAATAAATAAATAAATAAAAGGAGCGCCCATCTAACTGAGGAGCTGGGCACTGCATATCTGGGAAATCTTCCAGCAGGAAGTGACATTTAAGGTAGGATATGAGCCGGGCGTGGTGGCTCATGCCTGTAATCCCAGCACTTTGGGAGACCTAGGCAGGCAGATCACCTGAGATCAGGAGTTCGAGACCAGCCTGGCCAACAAGGTGAAACCCTGTCTCTACTAAAAATACAAAAATTAGCCAGGTCTGGTGGTGCTCACCTGTAATCCCAGCTACTCAGGAGGCTGAAGCAGGAGAAGCGCTTGAACCTGGGAGATGGAGGTTGCAGTGAGCCACGAGATCACGCCACTGCACTCCAGCCCAGGCAACAGAGCGAGACTCCGTCTCAAAAAGAAAAAAAAAGATAGAATGTAAAGGAGGGAAAGGACATAGGCAAAGAAGAGAAGCAGCTGAGTTGCAGGCATAAGAAATAGAAAATTGGGAGACAGTTTTGTGGGTTCAAGAAATTTCTATAGCTAAAGTTTAAGAGCAGGACAGGGAAGCCACCTTAAAGTATTTGAACTTTTTTCTTAGTGCAATAGGAAGCCAATGAAGGATTTTACTCACAGGATAAATGCCACCTATTTTTGCTTTTAGAGGGATTTTTCTTGCTGCAATATTAAATAATAAATGGAAAGGACAAAAGCCTGGAGTCAGGAATGCCAGCTGGGAGGCTGTCACAGCTATCCAAGGGAGACATGCCAGCAGCCTGGATTAAGGTGGTATCTGGAGAGATATAAAAAGATGAATGCACTTGGTAAATACTTAACAAATATTTATGAGGTAGCCCATAGCTAGTCCTATACACAAAATTTTTAAAATCAAGGCCAGGGCCAGTGGCTCACGCCTGTAATTCTAGCACTTTGAGAGGCTGAGGTGGGTGCACTGCTTGAGGCCAGGATTTCAAGACCAGCCTGGGCAACATGGTGAAACCCTGTCTCTACCAAAAAAAAAAAAAAAAAAAATCAATAATAATACAAAAGTTAGCCAGGCGTGGTGGTGCATGGCTGTAGTCCCAGCTACTCAGATGGCTGAGATGGAAGGATCGATTGAGCCCAAGAGGTGAAGGCTGCAGTGAGCCATGGTTACGCCACTGCACTCCAGCCTGGGCAACAGAGTGAGATCCTGTCTCAAAACACACACACACACACACACACACACACACACACACACACACACACACATAGAAGAATCAGTCTGTTGAGATGAATACAATACTTAGTTCTGTGTTTTGTTTTGTTTTATGTGGAGTCTCGCTCTGTCACCCAGGCTGGAGTGCAGTGGTGCAATCTCAGCTCACTGTAACCTCCGCCTCCCAGGTTCAAGTGATTTTCCTACCTCAGCCTCCTGAGTAGCTGGAACCATAGGCGTGCACTGCCATTTGCCCAGCTAATTTTCGTATTTTTAGTAGAGACAGGGTTTCACTGGCCAGATTGCTCTTGAATTTCTGACCTCAGTTCATCTGCCTCAGTTCGTCAGCCTCCCAAATTGCTGGGATTACAGGTGTGAGCCACCACGCCCAGCCCTTTTTTGATAGTTAATTTTATGTGTCAATTTGGAGAGTGTTTTGTGTAAGATTAACATTTAAATCTGTGAACTTTGGGTAAAGCAGCTTGCCCTCCATGAAGTGGGTGGGCCACATCCAATCAGTTGAAGGCCTGACTAGAATGAAATAAGTGCCCCTCCTCCCAAGCAAGAGGGAATTCTTCAGAAGACTGCCTTCAGACTTCGTTTGCACCACTGGCTCTCTTGGGTCTCCAGGCTTCCAGCCCACACTGCAGATTTGGACTTGCCTGCCTCCATAATCACATATGTCAGTTCCTTCTTTTCTCTCTCTCACTTTCTCTCACCTTCTCTCACCATATATATCTCCTATTGGTTCTGCTTCTCCAGAGAACCTTAACGAATACATCTTTAAGACAAGAACACAATAAATAATGATGCAGATTTCTCAGACGGTTCATCTCAGGAAGCCATCATTGAAATCTACTCTAGGCAATATGTTATCTCAACATACGCTATCTAACCAATGTTCAGAAAATTGATCTAAAAAGTCAGCAAAATGTGAATATAAAATTGCATCAAACTCCAAAACAAATCTGAGGCTGATATGCTGAATGGCATTTTACTTTTAATACAGCTCTGATTCATGAGCCTGACAACTTTTTGAGGAATTAAACATGATCGTCAGAGCTGGGTAAGAATTTGCAGATCGTGTGGTCTGACCCCATTACTTTATAGCTGTGAAAATTGCCTGATTTCTTTCATACTCCTGAGCACTGCCTGACATTAAATGGTCAGAAGGAAACCCTGGGAGGTAGCCTCTCACCAGCTTGACACCAGTGTTAGAGCACTGCCCTGTTCCGCTAGACCTGTGGGGAGCAGGGACCACCAGGGAGCATGTGAGTGGGGCATATTATCCATGGATGATTAACTAGATCAGTTCAAGCACAACATTAATGATGCCAATGTCGTGGCTCTAAGTCTCATGAGCTAATTGACATCAGTTATATCATTTTGTCATGGATGATATTATTACTATTCTCTATTCATTTTTCTGTCAAAAATACTTGCTATGGGTCACAACAGGCAAGAGAATATGGCTGATTCAGTACAACTTTATGCCATTGCTCAAAATAGTAATTACAGTAGAAATCTGTTGATTTTTATCTGCTCTACATCTCATCTCACCTTAAGGAAACAGCAGCCCTTTCCTCAGTGGAACTCCCTTTCTGATGCGTGAAGTCCCATGGCGGGCCACACATCACAGTCCTCTTCACCCACCTGGGTTAACAGGGTGGAAATATCCAATCTTGGCCAAGCAGATTCTCTTTCCTGGGAATTTGGATCCTAATCAGAGACACAGAACTTCTATGCTGTTGCTGCTGAGTCATGCAGTGGTTGTGTCCCATGGTTCCTACTACCCTAGACACATAGTGATGGTCTGTGGGCTCCTATACTGAGATCCCAGCAACTGACCTCAGTCCAGTTCTCCCTGAGGCCAGGTTGCTCAACCCTTCCTTCAGTTTTCTCCCAATACATTCCTGTTTCTCATTTAAGGTGGGTCTTTGTTACTTTCACCCAAAAACCCTAACTGATACAACAACTCAACATGCCCAGTTTTCACTGGTTTTTCAGAGACCTCTTCTCTGTATATGGAAGGAATATTTCTATGTATGAACCATAGCTTATTCATTTATTCATTTAATGAAATGAGAACACACCATATTTTGACATAATTTCAGATGTGTTGAGTTTTTTATCATAAAGCTAACACATGCTTATAAAACTCAATCAATACAGCAATATACGCCAAGCAGAATGCTTGTCTCCAGTAAACTCATCTCTCTTACAGAAATAATCACTGCATTATAGAGTTTGATGTATATTTGAATTACAGTTTGATATACAGAACTTTCTCAAAATGGGATCATACTATAAACTGTTATAAAACTTTGTTTACTTTTAACAACATAACCATAATGTCTTTCCACATCAGTGTCTATAGATCTACTTCACTCTTTGAAATCGCTGCATATCATTTTATAGGTTGTTTTGAATTTAACCATTGCAATGGTTTGAATCTGTACCCCAAAAAGCTTGTGTTGAAAACTCAATCACCATTGTAAAAGTATAAAGGGGTGGAACCTTTAAAACATGATTAGTTCATGAGGGCTTTGCTCTTATGAATGAATTTAATGTTGCTATTGCTGGAGTAGTTTCCTTATAAAAAATAAATTTGGCCCTCTTCTCAATCTTTCTCTTGCCCTCTCTTGCCCTTTCACCATGGGATGATGTAGCAAGAGAAGCCCTCTCCAGATACTGGCCCCTTGATCTTGAACTTTCCAGCCTCCAGAACCATAAGCCAATATATTTCTGTTCATAATAAATTACCCTGTCTGTGGCATTCTGTAATAGCAGTACAAAATGGACTAAGACAAGGATGTTCCTATAGATAGGCATATAAATGTTTCTAACTCTTTGCTAACTCGGCAATGCTACAATTTTAAGACACCTGTGAGCCAGAACTGCTTATGAGCTTTTTGAAGAGGACTGCCCATCTGGAGGAAGAGAAAATAGAGATATCATCAGGAATATTTCCTTGAATCCTGGGAGCAAGGAACAGATTAGATGCTAAGTGACAATGGGCCAGTGCCTGGATATTAGGAAATTACCTGATAAGCTCTTTGCCATCAATCTATATGGGATCACTGGGTTCCCCCACATTTTACTGAAATTCAGGCAAGATTAGGAGTTGCTATCCAGGGTTCCTGCACAACAAATTGGATTAATATTTCAAGTCACATCATGGACACAGAAATGTAGTAACATGACGAGGGTTCCCTCCTACTTGCTAAACCCTTCTTCTGCCAACATATTCCAAGAGAAAGTGAGCTGCCTGCTAACACAGAAAGGAGCTTCCCACAGGGGCTATTCAAGAGCTGAGGCCCTGGATAAAGATTGAGAAAGCTCGAACCCTAGAAGAAGGAGGAGAAAGCCTGGAACAAAGTAACCGCAAGGTCAGGTGGTGTTAGTGTTCTCATGGGTGAGGCTGTGTTGACAGAAAGTTACACATGGTACCTCTGACTCCAGGAGTGCCAGCAAAGGAGGTCACAGAACACATCCAGTGGCAGCCCAGGGATAGCACCATTATGCACCTTCCTGTGGCCAGAGCCACAGATGCTATCAACAGGGGTCAGGTCATGAGCTCCATGAGGACAATGACCCCATTTTAATCGTTTCACTAAACCCAGAGATGAATTATTGTTAAGTGGTTGTTCAGTTGAATGTAAATAACAAAAGCAGCTCAGCCTTGGTCTACAAGCATCACTAGCCCCATGCACAATACCATGCTCCGGAGAGCCAGGGGTTATACAAATGAAATTGGTGAGAAAAAGTGGCCACCGATGGGGAAGCTTGGTCGGGGCAGAGCTCGGCTTAGGTTTATTTGCTCAAAGCAGAGGCAAGGCATGGGAGAGTAGGGGTACTTGTTGTCAGCCAGAACCTGAAATCCTGGGCTCCGCTGAAGAATTAAAGGAGGGCAAATGAGAAGGGGCAAGGCTTGACCTCGTCTCAGATGAACACACTCACACTTCCAGCATTATGGCTGCTCAGAAGCATCAAAAATGGAATTAATTTTCCTCTGGGAAATCTCAGCTGATTCTCAACTTACAGGAGAGAGGAGAGATAGCAGACCTGCTTTATAATCCCTCTCAGAAGTTTCTGGATCCCTTTTATTTCTGGTAAATATGTATAAGGAACTAACCAACAATGTTAGCTAAACAACAAATGGATAGGAAAAGAAAGTTCCAGAAAGTTTTAAATTGTAGAAGTTGATGTTCAGATTGCTGTCTTCCATACTTGGTGCAAATTTTCCTGAAGTAGCCAGTTAATACATAGGGCTCAGAGAACGGAAAGATGACAACTATTTTATCAGCAGCTCTTCAAATTGCCACAACTTTCCCCAAAAGCAGTGTTTATTACTATTCTTCTAACTTTTAACTTGACAAAAGACTCTTATATGGGGATCTCAAAGCTCCTAAATAACAGTGATGCTTGACATAAAGACAGTGAAAGGAGAGTTCAAAGCTTTGCACAGATACTCCTTAGTGCTTTCCATATCCCATGATCCTTCTGATGAAATCCCAAAGTCCATAGAGTCTCCAGCCTGTGTTACCACTTCAGGGCCTCTCCATCAACCTCTTACAAATATGAACAAAGCCCCTGGGCCCCCAGGTGACTGATCCACTGTCATATACTAGTTTGGCGCCTGGGCAAACAAAATGTTCCATGGCCAAGAGGACTTCTGTATCTAGTCCAACAACAGTCACACACTGACTGTAGGAGACCTTCCAGCTATACTGGAACCTCTGTCTTTATTCCTTCAGAAGCAGGGTGCACCCACAGGTTTCTGGCAATTTCTTACCCAAGGACCCAGGGCAACCTACACCCACCTACACTCAGGGCCACCTACACCACCTTGTGGTTAATCGTAAGGGAGCATGAAAGAAGAGCACTGCATCCTGCCTGCGATCAGGGCTTGCTTGTATTCCTGCTCTCTGGGACCACTGCCTCAGACCCCTCTACCTGTGGAACCCTGAGCCTCCGGGCCACTGTAACCTTACAGACATAGCTAAGACCACTGAGCCTTGCTATTCTCCTTGGACTTGCCACATTCTACCTACCCCATCTGTCTTATCTTTTCAGTTTTTCGAGTCCTGGATTCTCAGCATATTTGTCTGTCACCTCAGGTAACTACCTGCCTGACTTTGTTAAATTCACCTGAATCCTCAGACTCCCTGGCCTCACACTACTTTTAATCACAGCAGTGTAACCTGGAGAGGTGGAGAGGGATAGAGTGACAGGTGCCTGTCAGCCAACATTAAGAATGTCCCTTGCCCTCGAAGAGTCACTGGGGCTGACACAAACAAGACATAGCAAAATGAATTGGTATAGGCCAGGGTGCCATAGTTGAGGTCCAGCCCAGTTCCTAGTCTGGGGTCCCCTCTTATTCCCATAGCAGGGGACTTTTGATTCTTACCTGGCCCAGGCTTATCTCCATCTGCAGAGCCTATGCTGGAGTAGGAGAGATTTAAAGTATCTCTGCCTAATCAAGAGTCAGAACCAATCACACTCACACTCGCCACTTGTCCAACCTCGGGACCTAAAATTCTGCCTCACTTCCAAAGACCAGTGCCCACTCTGGGTCCTGTTTCTGATATCTGGGACCTGGTCTTCCCTGTATCTTTGCCCATGTCATGCCATTCTGAGTAAACCTTGTCACTCCCTCTCCCAGGACCTGGAATGACCAGGATTCTGGTTAATCAGCTTGTGTTCCTTTAATCCTGAGCCTTTCTTAGAATCAGAGACAAAAAAAGAGAGCCTGGTGTGGGTGTGTTGAGAGGGTGTGAGGTGAGAGTGTAGGTGGCATGATCAATCCTACAGTAATGTGTGCTCCCGGCCCTGTGAGCCTGCTAGCCGCTTTCACAGCTGCTGACTAATACCTTCTCCCAGCCTCATCTTGGGAATATGATCCCTTTCACATGCACTCAGTGAGTGCACTCGCAATGACCCCTTAATTGGAAGTGCCAGGACCTCTGAAAATAACCTAGGGAGAGACAGAGCTAGCCAGCCTGGGATAATGCAGTTTCCTAGCACTTGCCACTGGCTCAGCTTAAACTGACTCCATGTGGAAGATTTGGCTACTGTGCTTTAGAGAAAGTGCCTCAAGTCTTGCTTGTTTTTGACAAATGGGCTCCAGAGTGGCTGGGCCTGATCCTAACATTTGGTTTGCATTACACATACATTGCACAAATCTATCTGCCCTGAGGGAACTGCTCTCTATTTTTAGGGTGGCTTCAATGAGAAGGCAGAAAGAGTGAAGAGAGGAATCACTATTTGGACTCAAACATGGCCAAATTGCTGATACAGCAGATAATACTTGGGGCCGACCTGGTGATCTAGTCATCTTAGAGTTCATGAATCAAGGAAGGAAACGCCTGGGGATAGCCTAGCAGGGAGAACGGAAGTCAGGCTCTCAGAGACAACATAAGGAAAATACTAAGCCCGGAAGTTCTAAAGGGGATCATGGTTAATAGAAGGTGAAAGTTTTCAGAGTAATTTAAATATGATTCTAATAATGTAATCCCAAACAATCTCAATGATGATTTAAGTGGGGCTGGGACAAGTAATTTGTGTGTGTGTGTGTTTAGTTGATATTTGCTGCATTAAATTCTTAATGTATACCTGATACCGTGCTAAACTCTGTATAAACATTTCCACATTCAATCCTTAAGGCAACTATATTTAGTAGGTACTCTTATTACACCCATTTTACAAATGAGAATACTGAGGTTCACAAGGTTAATTGGCCAAGGTCATACAATTGGTAGATTTCCCAAATCTGGATTTGAAGCTAGACCGTCTGACTCCAGAGCCCGTGCTCTTAACCATTACCTACATGAAAGAGAGGCATAGTCCTGACAGAACAATACCAGGATGCATAAAGCCTTCTAGATTAAGCTAGAAGTTATGAAAATACTAAACAAGTTATATCCAAAACAATACTAACACAGTAAGGATAGGCCTACTTTTTGGAGGCAAATGGTATAGCCCAGGATAGCAAATAGGTTTCAACATGCATAACAATTCCAGTTGACGGGGCAAGGCTACCTGGAGCACAGTGTTACGGAAGTATCTGAGACAGTGTCCAGGCTGAATTGGAAAGAGTGCTGAGGCTGATTACCAAAATCTGTGATGGATGAAGGAGAGGGGAAGGATGGCAGATGTGCTATGTATTTGCCATTCATAACAGAAGTCCACAGGTGTCAGAGAGAGGGAGCAGGATTCCTACAAGAAAACAGGCAAAGGTTGAGATAGATATGTAGCCAGCAACAGAGAGGTCTAAACAGGATGAAAGGTGCCTGCCTAGAAGGTGGCTGCACGTGGCATTGGCAAAGTATGCACGCTGCTGGCTCTCCCAGCTTGCTCTTCAGCAGTCACCAGTCAGGTATCCAAGAGTAACTAGGAAAGACAGTATTCAGGAAAGAAATCAGGCAGTGACTCTGGGACTTGATATGTGGTCTCAAAAAAGCAAGAGCCAAAGGCTTGGTCCCTAGAGGACAAATCAGAGTGAGGTCAGCAACAAGGCTGAGGAACGCTGACAAGTGATGGATTTTGGGTCTGCAGATGTCTCTCCACGCAGGGTCTGAAATGGTTTTAGAATACAGAGAGGGGCTGAGCCAGCCAATAGGAATTAAGTGGCCTTGTTTGTTTGTGAAGCTTGAGAAAGGACAAGGCAGGAAGCAGTATGTCCTCACACCCACCCTATGAATAGAGAATGAGGGAGAACTGGTTTGGCAATCAGTCAAGGGAAAAAGGCTGGGAGGCTTTTGGTTGACCACTAACTTAAAAAGAAACAACAGCTAACAGGGCTGCTACGAAAGTAAATACAATCTGCACCAGCCCCAGTGTGGTGTCCAGATCAAGGGGAAAGAATACGTATTTTGCATTTGTAAAACCACATCTGGGGAATTGTGCCTAGGTCTGGACAGCCCACATTAAGGGGGCTGGGGCAAACTACAGAGGATAGCGTGATCTTAGACAAGGTGCAGTTGTAGTGACTGAAGCTGGGTTTTGTTTTTGTTTTCTGGTCCAGAGAACCTTTGAGGAACATGTTAGCTTCTTCTAGCCAAGGGGCTGACCTTTGGAGCAAGGATTTGACTTATTCATAGTAACTCCTGAGGGAAGTAGAACCAGTGGGTGACAGTTACAGGGAGACTAATTTTATGCAATAAATGAGGATATTTCCAACAATTAAGACAGCTTTCCCCTAGATTATTTCCCCACGGGCTACTCTCCAGCTGAATGCTAATAGCCATGGGTAAGTCTGGGGATCTTAGAGTTAGTCAAAGTAAGCAGGTTTCTTCATTGCTGGATTCGTCAAATCCTTTAATGTGTTAGTATGCTTTAAATTTCTCCAAGAAGCTGTCCCAAACTTAACTGACCACAGAATCAAACTCTTCTTTTATTTATTAATTTAGTTTTCATGACTCATCTCTTAATGTCTCCTGAAGCAAGTCCTCTGTGAAATACCCTTGAGAATGTTAGACTAAAGTCATCCATCCTATAAGGAAATGGGTCACTTTGTGAAGAAAGTGAGAGACCTGTCCCAATTTGAGCGGGTGTCCTTCAAACTCTATCTGAGAAAAGATTGTAGAAGAAATTGCTTCATAGAGAAGAAGTTTGCATTAGATGACTCTTGATTCCATTGCCTACTTTAATGACATTTGTGCCACAAACAAACATTTCCAAAGGAGGCTGAGTTAATTTCAACCTTAACAGATCCCTAAAATGATATAGCGGTCACATGTGAGAATATTCAGCTAGTAACACCTCCTGAGATTGTATAGGCCTAGCAAGAGTGTGTTTTTGGTATATGTGGGTTTGTAATGTTTTATAGGGCTAGTGCTGCCCCCAACAAAATGCCTTACCAAACTTACAGAACCTTCCGGGAGTCCTTCATGTTCATCTCAAGTTGATTTCTGGGAGTGTTTTTCTGCTTCTGATTCTTCAAATCTTGCAGAGTTGCTTTTATCTAAGATATATCCATGACTAACCTTTAAAATGACTTAACTCCATCTGCTATGGACTGAAAGTTTGTGTCCCCCCCAAAAAAATCATATTTTGAAATCTAACCCCCACTGTAATGATATCTGGAGGAGGGGGCTTTGGGAGATAATGAGAGCATGAGGGTGAAGCCCTCCTGGATAGGATTAGTGCCCTTTTAAGAAGAGGTCAGAAGGCTATGGAACTCTCCCTTCACCATGTGAGTATACAACAAGAAGTCAGCAGTCTGCAACCTGGATGAACCAACCATACTGGCATCCCAATCTTGGATTTCTAGCCTCCAGCACTGTAAGAAACTTGTTATTTAAGCCAGCTAGTCTATGGTAATTAGTTATAGCAGCCCAAACTGACAAAGACCACCATCTTAAACTTTTAGAAAGGGGAATTGGGATATAAACTTTAAAATAATCTTAAGAGCTGTACGTCTACTGTAAGCATAATGTACAGTGGCATAACTAGCAAAAAAATAAAAAAAGGTGGGGGGACCCAGTATAAAATCTGATACACCTGGGTTGAATGAAAAAGACCCCACCCTTTTCAAGCAAAGGACAAGGGTGTAGTTACACAAGGTCAGGTTCTGGTTAAGGGATGGGCTAAGAAAGAGCACTTTCTTCTCTGAAACATAGCTAAACTGATTAGAAAGAAAAGACAGATGCCTCAGTAGGACAACAATATAATTTTTATATTACTAGGTACCACTCTTCCATAAACATCCTAGGCAGTCGTGGAATTGAGGCTCATCCTCTTGTCAGCAACTGGCCCAGCAAGGGTGACTCCACTGACTTTCCCTGTCAGAGGATGTGCTCCTGCCTGCACTCACCCACCTAGCCTCAGCTCCCCTAAAAACAACAAAGCTGGCTCTCAGATCCGGCATATTCTCCTCACTCCCGTGCATGCCAGCTATTGGGAAAGGGAGAAAGAACAACTCCTTACCTGAGCTCTGAGGCCTCTTGTGATCTGATCCCTTCCCACCCCTGTGACCTCACCTCCCACTCCTCCTCTCCCATCATTCACAATCCTCCAACCACCCCCAACTTCTTGCTGTCTTTGAACCCATCAAGCCAGTTCCTATTTCCAGGCCTTTGCATTTGCCATTCCTGCTGCCTGGAATTCTCTTCCCCAACCCTTTGCACTTGTCTTATTCTCACTTCCTTTAAGCCTCTGCTTAAATGTCACCTCCTCAAAGGATTCCTCTCATTACCCCAAAATAACCACCAAATCTTCACTCACGATCCCCTTATCCTACTTTATGTTTCAGTAGCGTTTTTCATCACCTGACCTTAAATTATACATCCATTTGTTTCCTTGTTTACTTCAGGCAGCCCTAAAGCGTACGTCTGCTGGAGAGATGAGATGCCCAGGAAACAGGCTTTGAGAAACTGGACTTCACTCCACCCAGTACTGCAGCAAGTGCACCAAAACACCCAAGGTGGCTCCCTGTCATTGCTCTTGGTGGACAAGCATACATCAGTTCCAGCCTCCAGCACCGTTGGGAGGGTCCTGGAGGACCAACTCCTAGCACCTTCCAGTCTGATTCATTCATATGAGAATCATCAGCTGCTGAGGCCCCCCAGGACCAGAAACCCAGGAAAACTGCCACCTTGACTGGAGTCCCACCATATTCTATCTCTGCAGAGCTGTCCTTCTGTGTGGGGTCAGTTGCAACCTTTATGTGAAAGAGAGAAAACAGATTCTTTGCTGGTAGCTTTTGGTATCATCATATCAATAACCATAAATCACATCACTGTCTCATTGTCACAACTGAACAAATCAGAGCTGTCTGTCTCGTTCCCCATTGTATTATCAGTGCATAAACAGTGCCTGACACATAGTAGGTGCTCAATAAATGTTTTTTATGTCCAAATAAAAGAGCAGTGGAAGATCCTCTACAAGTGAGAGGGCAGAAAATTATAAGGTAAATAGGGAGGAACGGGGGGTGGAGGGCAGCCTTCCCCTTCAGAGGGAGATGACTCCAGAGGTGCTCCTGACTTTATGACAATAGCTTATAGCTTATGACCCTCACCAATACTCTCTTACCCAGACATGACTCACAGGCTTCTGGGGTCAATGTGCCCATTAGGGAATTGCCTCCAGTGCTCAGCTGGGATTCTTCCCTGATGATGAACTCCAAAATTTATGAAATTAGAAGACATCACCCTCATTGCTCAGGAGAATTGTAAACTTCTTCTACCAGACTTGCTCCCAATCTCCTTCTAACACAGACCACCAAAACTTGCTGTCAGGCTATGACCTTGAACTTGCCCCAATGGCTCTAAGCTCTGACTTCCCTCCTCCATTATGGCTCACACCTGTTTCCTGGCCCAGCTCTGCTCCTGGGGCTTGTTTCCAGTGCCTCCTCTTATTTCCTTTGTCCTCCACTAATGGGACCTGGAAATGCACCCCCATAGAGCATCCACACCGCTCCAGGAAACAAGACAAATTGATAGAACATCAAAGGGACAAAATCAAATGCTCATCTCAACATCCTGTGTGGAAAATGAGGCGTGCCTCCAGTGGACGTAGCTGATGACCCTGGAGCAAGCTGATCATGGGGAAATGATCTGGTTAAAAATGAATATGAGAAACAAAGGTAGAGGTAAGGAAGTTAACTCCAAAAACTGTAAGTTACAGCACTTTAAACTGTATCGAAAGCAGGAAAGACTTCTATTTGCTACAAGTTAGCTTGGTTTTTGTTGTTGTTGTTGTTGGTTTTTTTTGAGATGGAGTCTCGCTCTGTTGCCCAGTCTGGAGTGCAGTGGTGCGATCTTGGCTCACTGCAAGCTCCACCTCCCAGATTCAAGCAATTCTTCTGCTTCAGCCTCCCGAGTAGGCGGGATTACAGGCGTGCGCCACCACGCCTGGCTAATTTTTGTATTTTTAGTGGAGACAGGGTTTCACCATGTTGGTCAGGCTGGTGTCGAACTCTTGACCTCGTGATTCGCCCACGTTGGCGGGATTACAAACATGAGCCACTGTACCTGGCCAGCTTGTTTTTTCTTGTTTTTCTGTTTTGTTTTGACCCCATTTGAAACCACACTCCGCTAAAAAGGGTTTGTGTAGGTGGATTACTCTGGGACACACACACACACACACACACACACACACACTGCATTTCACTACACCTTTAAGGAAGTATAATGAAGCAAATGGAATGGTCAATCTGACCTTCCATTAAAAGGTCATCGTAAGGGAGTTTTCTAAACCAAAGTGAATGTTACAATAGAGATTGAGCAGATAAAAAAGTCACAGAGCCAACAACTGTACTTAATGGGAACTGGAAGCTTTCCCATCACTGTTCCACCCAGGAGGCTCTCAGAGCCAGAGAGCACTAGATGGAGGTCTGTCCTATTCAGGGCCTGAGATGTTGTGCTTAAGTCTGGAGGGACATATGGGTCACGTGGTTCTAATCGGCCCCATGGTGGTTTAGAATCACTGGGATAGTCTCAGCTGTCACTCATCTCACACACACACACACACACACACACACACACACACACACACACACACACTGCAGCAAGCAAATGATGCTTTCACAGGAGGAGATAGTATTAAAATCTCAAGAGGGGAGATAACATCTGGTTTTCAAAAGCATGTTCAATGTGCTCCTGGTTTACTAATACAAATTGCTGAGAGCAAAGCTCCAAAGAAATCTCTGTATTGATATGCATTAGCAGACAACACAGTGAGTGAGAAGACTTTGCTTGGACATGACTCTTAAAAAGTCATTGAGAACCGCTGCTTGAGTTTGCACCTATCCTTGGTGAGGTCACTAGAGACAGAGCAAGGCAGAGGATGCTGCAGGGCCCTCCGTCTGCCCACGGCACATAAGCCTCAGCATTTGGAGGGGAAAAAAAGGAAATCTGACCTCCAAGCAATTGAGCCCACAGGAAAATCTGCTTGCATTAACCAGCTGGGTGCTGGAAAGATTTACCTCTGCCTCATAAAAATTATTTCACTAACAGATGTCTGATCTCCACCTGAAAGGATTACTGAGCAAATAGCAGATTTGCTTCAAACAGCAGCTTAGTGAGTCATCACAGATGTCAGGCAATGCATTAGCTGAAAACATTTAGGAAACGGAGGGGGTTGGTTGCAATCTCCCATTAGGCGGTATCTTGATGGGGAGACAACACTGGAATCTATGTGATTGGAATTTTAATTCATTGAGATTTTCTACAAGGATTGTAGAATGTCAAAGCTTGTTAGCTGCAAATCAGTGCATTGATTCCAGAGTTGAAAATAGTTCTTCCACCTAAAAAATAAACATTTAATATTCCAACTGTCTTTACTTGGCGGCGATATAAAGTTTTTTTTAAAGCTAAGCTCTCAAGGTTGAAAGTGACCTCAGAAGTGATTTGGTCTAACCAATCAAGAGGTCACCTACAATAGCCCCCAAAGAAACTGAACTTGAGTGAAAGAGGATGAAGTGCTATTCTGTATAAATACTGATTTAAAAAAAAGACCTATTGAATACATTCCAAACCCTCCACAAGTAAAAATGTGTCTATGTGAAAATGTTCACACATACACACATGTTCACACACTTCACACACATACACACACATGCTAAGACTCTTGTAACTCTCCATCTATGACAACCTTGACGCTCACTAGAAGTATCTGGGGAGCTTTCAAAAATCCTGACGCTTAGGTCTGCACTGCAGACCAATTAAGTTAAAAGCTCTAGGGGTGGGACTCGTGTATCAGTACTTTTTTAAGTTCCCCAGGTGATTCCAACGTGCAGCTGAAGTTTAGAACTGCTACTCCAGAAAGAGTATATTCATTTGTTCACTCATTCATTCAACAAGTATTTATTGAACTTTCAGTATATGCCAGGCACCACACTAGATGCTAGAGATAAAATGGTGACTGAAAAACATCACGATCTTGGATCTCATGGAATTTTCCATCTAATGAGGGAAGATTAATTAGCCACATAGTGAATATGTCATTTAAAATATACTAAGTGTTCTGGAGGAAAGACTGTGGTTCTAAGAGAAAATATAATGAAGTATCTGATGTAGATTTGCAGTCAGAAAAGTCTTCCCTGAGAAGTTGACATTTGCAACATGATCTTTTGATTGAGAGGAGTTAACTGGCAGGGAAGGGAAGAACTCTCCTGCTCTTTCTAAGAGGAACAGCGTGTGCAAAGATTCTCTGGCAGAAGGAGGCTAAAACATTCAAGGAAATGGGGGGAAATAATATGGAAGACACCCAAAAAGCAATTAGCAAGAGTGGTCTGGAATGACAGACAGGTTGGCAGAGACCAAATGATCATGGTCTTTAGGCCACCATGTTAGTGGCAGTTTAAGCAGAATGATAGAAACCACTATGAACATTTAAAACAGAGAAAAAACAAGGTAAGGCATTGGTTTTACAGGTGAAGAAAGAGCTGAAAAGAAAGAGGATGATGAGGGAACCTAGAAATTAGCAACAGCAGGAAGCCATTCTCAGCCTTAGTCTGGGGGGCACAAAAAAAGGGATAGTGTTTCTGCAGCCCAGGGTCTGGACTCACCTGGTGGAAGCTCAAACCTTTGTGGATCTATGTAGTAGGCCAGCTCCTATGGTAATTCCTGCTTCCTCCTAATGTGAGGCACTAACCATTATACAAACAAGATGCTTCTTCCTCTTCCCTACAAGAGAGAAGAAACTCTCAGCAGTCTTTGTATTCATCTCAAGTCTCCAGGTGACATGAAGTCTTCTCCATCAGGTCCTGATGCAGCTCCTGTGGAGGGTGAGGATATCATGAAATGTGTGGTGAAAGAAGGAAACCATCATTCAGCCATGACCCCAAGATCAGCCGGTACCTACACCGGGCAGAGAGTTCCTTACCTGATGCTGGCTGAATCACTATGGACAAAGAAGGAAAGCCCATGCCCAGAATGAGTGTCTACTCCACTGAGGACCAACTGCTTTGCCCTCCGCAATGGAAAGGCTCTGTATTAGTTTCCTGGGCCTGCCATAACAAAGTCTCACAAATCAGGTGGCTTAAACAATAGGAATTTTATTTTCTCAGAGTTCCAGAAGCTAGAAGTCCCAGATCGAGGTGTCAGCAGTGGCAGATTCTTCTAAGGCCTCTCTTCTTGGTTTGTAGATGGCCGTCTTTTCCCTGTGTCTTCCCATAGTCTTCCCTCTTTATAAGTCTGTGTCCAAATTGCCTCTTCTTATAAAGACACCAGTCATGTTGGATTAGGACACACTTTAATGACTTCATTTTAACTTAATTACCTCTTTGTAGAACCTATTTCCAAATACAATCACATTATTTTGTACTTGGGGTTAGGACTTCAACATATGAATTTAGGGAGGATACAACTTAGTCCATAACAGGCTTCAGCGTAATTAATTTGCCTTCAGGTGGCTGGTTACTTTCCCCATCCCACTCTCCAAAGAATGAGGCCATGTCCATGCCCATTGGCCACTAATATGGGCAGTTGGGCACTAAGCAGTAATAGGTAGTCAAATCAACCTTGGAGCAGAGAATTCCATGCCGATGAGCCCAACCAGCTGTACTGCCAAAACTCCTACCTAGTGGGAAGATCTTCACTGCTGTAATTCACGGCCACCCCTGCTGGGCCTGTATGCTGCAACAGTCCACTCTGGGTGGACCAGCATACTGAGCAGCCCTATCTATAGCAGCAGATGTTGTGAGTGTCTGGGCCACTGGCTCATGGAACTTGCTAGTGCTTTCCAGACATGCTCAAACCCAATCTTATATATCCCACTTCCACTTGACAATTAATTGTGCTGCACACATTATGGTCTGGTGAATCAAACAGTGCCCACTTTAGGATGGACAGCTTAGGCCGCATGGTCACTTGCTATGCCATGGTAATGTGTTCAGTGTCTCCTGGGGTCCAGAAGCAATGCAGAAGATGCTTTTCAAAAGGAGAATCAACAAACGAGCACATGGCTCTGCTTCCAAATCCTAGACTGGCCAGAGGCTTTATCAAGAGAAGTCTGTAGAGAGAAAGAGAGAATTCTTATTTTCCGCTAACATTCTGAATTCCATTGAATCTTTTGATCATGAGGCCTAAGTGGAAAGGTGGCTCACACCACAACCTGGGCCTATTGCAGAGCCATCTCTCACTGTGGCCGCATGCTAAACTGTCAGCCCATTAGGCTGCTTGGCAAAGGGCTGAGCAGCACACACATAAGTGGTACGTGTTGCCTCCAAAATCCAAAGATACTCAAGACCGGTATAGCTACGTTATTATAAAAACAATGAGAATAGGGGAGTGGCATGGTTTGACTTACACTGTTTTTAAAGATTGCTCTGGCTGCAATGTGGGTAAGTGATTGGAGGGAACCAAAGCCCAACTGAGAAGTCTAGGTAGGAAGCAGTACAGTAGGCCGGGGAAGAAATGATGGGAACAATGGAGCAGAGCACAGAAGATGGACAGAAATAGAGTGTTGAGGGCTATGAGGATGAAAGAGCGACAGGACCCAGCAATGCTCGGGAATTAGAAGAGGTGAGAGAGGTGAACCTTGTCCCCCAGGTCCTGGCTTCCCACACCAGGGCATGCTGGTGCCATTCACGGAGATAAGAAATACTGGAAGACCAGTGAAATCAGGCTGATCTGGACCTGAGTCACAGCTCCATCAAATGCTGGATTATTCAGGAGAACTTGTATGATCTCTTCAACCTTCTAGATGAGCTCCATTTGTTAAAATTACATTAAATAATATATAAAAAGTGCCTAGACCACTCCTTGACACATAGTAACTGCTTATAAATCTCAGTATCACTACTACTTCTCTTTCTGCTGCATACACCAGCATAGATATCAAGCGTCTGTGCTTTCAAACTATCCAGGAAGAACTATACTATGGAAGTGACCCACAGCATTTACAGAGGAAACACAGATATAGACAAATATAAATCCTAAGTAAGGGAGTGTGTATTAGTCTGTTTTCACGATGCTGATAAAGACATACCTGAGACTGGGTAATTTATAAAGAAAAAGAGGTTTAATGGACTCACAGTTCCACGTGGCTGGGGAGGCCTCACAAGCATGATGGAAGATGAAAGACATGCCTTACATGGTGGCAGGCAAGAGAGAGAATGAGAATGAAGCGATAGGGGTTTCCCCGTATAAAGCCATCAGATCTCATGAGACTTATTTACTACCATGAGAACAGTATGGGGGAAACCACTCCCATGATTCAATTATCTCTCACTGGGTCCCTCCCACAACATGTAGGAATTATGGGAACTACAATTCAAAATGACATTTGGGTGGGAACACAGCCAAACCATATCAAAGTAGTAGGACTAAAGGAAAGAACACATGAAGTGCATATTAATTATTTTTCTGAAGAAACGTGATGAGCTTTGCATAAAATTATAAGTGCTATATAAAGTAGTATTGTATCAATCAACATAAATGTGTGACTGCTGGGCAAACATACCTCTGGCTTCACATCCTCAACCCTCACCTCTAAGAATTACTGACCAAAAAGTACTGGTGAGAAGCATTTGAGTCTGGGGTTTGTCAAGCAGCAGGATAACTGCCATGGCACTGCTAGAAAGAGATTGCTGGTGTCGGCTGGGCGGGATGGCTCACGCCTGTAATCCCAGCACTTTGGGAGGCCGAGGCGGGCGGATCACGAGGTCAGGAGATCGAGACCATCCTGGCTAACACGGTGAAACCCCATCTCTACTAAAAATACAAAAAATTAGCCGGGCGAGGTGGCGGGCAACTGTAGTCCCAGCTACTTGGGAGGCTGAGGTAGGAGAATGGCATGAACCTGGGAGGCAGAGCTTGCAGTGAGCCGAGATCGCGCCACTGCACTCCAGCCTGGGTGACAGAGCAAGACTCCGTCTCAAAAAAAAAAAAAAAGAGATTGCTGGTGTCTTCCTTGCAGATACCTCCCAGTAAATGGAGCAACCTAAAGTGGCAATCATGATTACACAGAAAGTGAGGGAGATCAAGGCTGAGATATGGCTCACTTTCATTCTGCTTTAACTAAAAACACCACCTCCAGTTTCTGTGACCCAGAAAGGATTAACTTCCCAGACGGAATTTAAATCCTACATTCATCCACTGACTGATGTGATCCCGGGAGGAGCACTGTAGGTTTACCCAGTTCATCATTCACAAGTTTTCTGCTGTCCCTCTTCACACCAAATCATAGAAGATTCATGACAATCATTTAGGTACCTTCTTAAGAACGCACAGGATAGTGTGTGTCAGAGAATAAGGGGCTCAGTCTCACTGGATTCACAGAGTAAGGGTGTGGTTTCTGGAATTGGAGTGGCAAGGTCATTGGCCCTCTTCACAATGACTTAGACTTTGCTTATCCTGACAAATCCACCAAAATGGTGCCAAAAATATACCCTGACTTAGCAACACTGTTCTTGCCTTTTTGCCACCTAAGTAAAGACCACGAGGTTTGACACATGTAGGTGTCTGACTGTTAAAGCAATAGTCAAAAGAGAATCTAGAAATCTTGCCACCATTTTCAAGATTCTGATATATCTTTCAGGCTTTTATTCATTCATACTTACTGAGGACCTACCATGATTCAGGCATTATTTCTCTATGCTAGTTATGGGGCTTTACTAGAGGCAATAAAGCAAGATCCTGCACTCAAGGAATTCACACATCTAATTAGGGAGTCGATGAATGCCACTTGAGCCCAATGCAGGGGGTGATATGATAGTGCCCTAGCAAGGGTTGCCACAGGGCTCTAGGCTCCCTATGCATGTGATTCAACTGACCACACAGCAGTATGGCTTTTCATTTACCAAATAGTTGCTGGATGTCTACCATGTGCCAGGAACTGCTTAGAACCTGAGGATTCAACGGGGAACAAAAATAGACACACTCCAGGCCTTCATGAAGATGAAGTCACAGTCTTTGGAGTTATAAATATCTAGGTTCAAATTTTATCTCTACTCTTTAGTAGCTAGGTTATCTTGGGCATATTTTATAATCTCACCAAACCTCTGTTTCTTTATCTGGAAAATAGGTATAATAATAGCACCCACATCTCACCTTATTATAACAGAGTAAGAGAAATGAGAAAACACATATGCTGGTCACCATTCTTGACAGAGTACATGCATAAGTGCTAATTTTAGAATGTCTATGTGTGTGTGATTAAAACCAAGATGTTATCTTTATTCAGGCCTTAGAAAATTAACCTGAAATAAAATGTCAGAGCCGAGAGTCCTAGAGAGTACGAAAAGGACCAAGATTCAGGACAAGTGTGTGTGTGTGTGTGTGTGTGTGTGTGTGTCTCAGTGATTGGGTTCCTAGCTTCTCACCACCTACAAACACAGCATGCTATACCCACATGTACATTTCCATTTAACTCACTAGTGAGATTTGTTTAGGGTAACAATTTAAAAATATATATTTTTAGTCATAGCCAAGAAAATATCAGAATCCAAATATCAATATCTGTTTAAAAGATAAGGTTCCCAGGCCAGGCGCCGTGGTTCACACCTGTAATCCCAGCACTTTGGGAGACGGAGGCAGGCGGATCACCTGAGGTCAGGAGTTCGAGACCAGCCTGGCCAACACGGCGAAACCCCGTCTCTACTAAAAATACAAAAATTAGCCAGGCATGGTGACGGGCACTTGTAATCCCAGCTGCTGGAGAGGCTGAGGCAGGAGAATCACTTGAACCCGGGAGGCAGAGGTTGCAGTGAGCTGAGATCATGCCACTGCACTCCAGCCTGGGTGACACAGCGAGACTCCATCTCAAAAAAAAAGACTCCATCTCAAAAAATAAATAAATAAATAAGGTTCCCTCTGCTAATCTCAGAAAGCTAGAGGTGTTTTTCCACAAGGGACGTGAAGTATGAAAAGTATAAAAATCTTGTCAACCATGTAAGTTACATTCATTTTTTTTGGCCCGGCTATGTTTTGAGTCCTTGTCTCTCCTAGGTAATCAGTTTTTTAGAGAGACAAATAAGGACCCAGGCATACTACATCCAAAAAATCTTAATATAACATATATAACAAATTATTCCTAAGTTAACATAAAACTATGAAAATGGGCATTTATATGAAATTATGTGTTATTCTACATTTTTCACTTGTCTGTCATGTAAATGCTATTACTTACACAAAATAATAACAGAACTAGCTAGGGTGAATTAGCAGCAATTAATAGTAGGACTAAGTAAACAAAAAATATGTGTGAGAAAAATATAAAAATATTTTTATAGTGTTTAGTCTAATACAGCAGGGGTCCCCACAGTAGCGGCCACAGACCACTACTGGTCTGTGGCCCGCTGGGAGCTGGGCCACACAGCAGGAGGTGAGCAGCTTCCAGTGAGCTTTACTGCCTGAGCTCCGCCTCTGGTGAGATCAGCGGGGGTGTTAGATTTTCATAGGAGCATATATGTTGTGAACTGTGCATGTAAGGGATCTAGGCTACATGCCCCTTATGAGAATCAGTTTCATCCCCAAATCATCTGACCTCTCCCCTGCTCCTCTCAAATTTGTCCCTGGAAAATTTGTCTCCCACAAAACTGGTCCCTGGTGCCAAAAAGGTTGGGGGCTACTGTAATACAGCAATGTATTTTAACTCTTCAGTTTTTGTTTTGTTTTGTTTTGTTTTTAGAGAAAGATACTTGCTCTGTCATCCAGGCTGGAGTGCAGTGCCACAATCGTAGCTCACTGTAATCTTGAACTCCTGGCCTCAAGCAGTCCCCCTGTCTCAGCCTCCTGAGTAGCTAGGACTACAGGAATGTGCCACCACACCCAGCTAATTTTTCAAAATTATTTTTTATAGAGATGGGGTCTGACTATGTTGCCCAGGCTGGTCTTAAATTCCTGGCCTCAAGAATTCAGCCCTCTAAAATGCTTGGATTACAGCCAGAAACCACCACACTTGGCCACTTCTTAAGTACTATAAGCTATATTATTGTGTGTTCTTAAGATACATAAATATAAGGCTTTTTTTTTAACGTAACAGAACATAACTACAATTGGACTAATTGAACTGATATTACCAATATTTAACAAAAATTAACAGTGACGTGTTTCTTTCTCTACCAAGATATAGTAGGCTATTTTACTGTTTCCTTTTCTAATGATCCTTCTCTGGACTGCCCATGGCCTTTAGTAAATTCTTTCCTTCTTTATGTAGTGATAAACTGAATAATCAAGTTCACTTTGACCCATACTTCTGATCTTATCAAGCACATATTTTCAATGGCCAGCACCAGTGATAGCTGTCCTGTAGGCACACATCTAAGGATATCTCCTTCCATGCCTACAAAGTTAAAAATCTTACTGAGTCCTGCTGCACATTTTAGGAAACTGAAACTTAATCGACCAGGCATGGTGGCTCATGCCTGTGGTCCTAGCACTTTGGGAGGCCAAGGCAGGAGGATCACTTGAACTCAGGAGTTTGAGATAAGCCTAGGTAACCTAGTAAGACCTTGTCTCTATAAAAAATAAAAATAAAATTAGCCGGGTGTGGTAGCATATGCCTGTAGTCCCAGCTACTCAGGAGGCTGAGGTGGGAGGATTACTTGAGCCCAAAGAGTCAAGGCTCCAGTGAGCCTTGATGGCACCATGGCACTTCAGCCTGAGCAACAGAGGGAGACCTTGGGTCAAAAAATAAAAAAAACTTCGTAAGCAAAGACTATATCTTGAGCAATATTAAGCAAAATCATTCTGTAACTAATAACCAAAGTCTTATTATAAAAATGAAGATGTGTAATATAGAATAGGGGTCTTCTGCATTTCTTGCTTGCATGCCCAAGAATTTTGAAAACTACGTACCCTCTCACAGATTTTAACGTTGACATATAAAAATCATATATACATTTGCTGGTATATTTAAATATGACATTTCAACATAAAACTGTTACATTATCCAATAAAATGTAATATCACAACCATTTGATACCCACCATCATTCACTTTAAAAACATAAGAAAGCTTATTTTTTAACATTTGGAAATTTAACATATTTCTTTATCCTATTTAAATTCATGTTTCTCTTCTGCTTCCCCACAAAAAAAAATCTATCCTGATATGTTTTACGGTCAAAAGTCTTTTGTTTAACTTCTTTGATCACCTCATGATAGCTACAATTTTTAAAAAGTATATTAATTAAAATTTAGAAATTAAAATGTTCGATTTATTTCCAGTGACCTAAAGTGTTCAATGTTTTTTAAAATATTGAATTGCATTGAAACTATGATGATCACAACCAAATAAATATTTTTATAAATATTGATTATAATAATATATAAAATCATATAGGGAATACGTTTCCTATAAATATGAATCATGATCAATTTTGATCTTTTCTTGTATATAGATTTGTCACTAGCACATATCTTTATTGTTTGTTAATGAGTTTTAAATAATTTAAAAATTTTATAGGATAAATAAGGATTGGTTGTAACTGTAATAAATATTTCATATGACTTTATAATATAGGTTTTAACTATCAGATCTGAAAAAGAGATCACATAAAATTTCATCTGTGTTTTTGCTAATGTATCTTGAAAAAGCTTCTTGTTACAATGAAAAGAATTAGTGTCACTGAAACAGGAAAAGTTCCCTTGTGCCCCTCACAGGGCGTGCGATGAGGGTGTGGCTCCTTTCTTCAGTGCCCCGCTGCTCAAAACCCCCTAGAGGGAGCAGGCAGACAGGCAGGTTGTAGGGAGCGTGGGCTCTGACCCCAAGGCAGCTTCTGGGGGTGAATGTCTACAGCTCCTGAAGCCTCGGCGGGCATGTGTTACCATGTGCTCTTTTAGTTTTTGCCGTCTGTAGGCAGCTTGTGTGAATCAGCTCAATTAGACCCTCTGCCCTATCTCAAGGACAGTGGACTTTGGGTTCTTGCCTTAGTGTACCAGAAAAATCAGATCACACGTGGGCTTGGAGAATGAGTGCAAGGTTTTATTGGGTGGTGGAAGTAGCTCTCAGCAGATGGATGGGGAGCCACAAGCGGTATGGAGCATGCAGTGGGAAGGTGGTTTTCCCCTGTAGTCGGGGCGGGCAGCGGCTGCGGTCTCCTCCCACCATCCCGACCAAACTCCACGTCGTTTCGTCGGTCAATGGCCTGGCAGCGTCTGCTGGTGCCTGTCGGTGTGCTCTTCGGCCAGTGTGTTCCTCTCCATGTCCACCCACTTCTGTCTCTGCCCACTAGGGTCTCGGGGCTTTCATGGGCACAGGACGGGGGCGGGGCAGGACAGGGGGTGGTCTTGGAAAATGCAACATTTGGGCACAAAAACAGAAATGCCTGTCCTCGCCTAGGTCCGTGCCCACAGGCCCGGAGGTGGGGCCCTCACCAGGGACCCTGTCTTCCTTCTCCCAGCACTTCTCTGCACTCCTCTGCCCTCCTCCCGTATCATCCCCACCCCATATATGTTGTTCAGACACGACTTGCTTTATAGCTATAAAGGAGTAAGCAATACTCCTTTGAAAATAACTGGGAAAAGGTTGCATGTAAATGTCTTACTGAATCTATTTTTAGCATTCTATATTCCTTATGGACAGTTTCTGCTTTCTTTTATAAGACTCTCCCTCAATAGTCAGGAAATGAAAGAGGCCAGGCTATTAAAAAAAAGTATCACTTCTCCCGCCACCCCACTCTACCATGTATCTAAATCACAACTTCCCAGCATAGGGAATGCTACTCTCCACCTTTAATAGATAGAAGAATAATGCCAGGAAAGGCAGGAAGCCTAGGGTTCATGGTCCCTTCATTACCCATCAAAGGAAACCCTCCCTTTGCCTGGCTCTTTGAGGTTTTTACATCCTAGGGCAATGTGCCCATAGTAAGATTTAAAATAGGTGAGGGAAATGAAGAGCTATTGTGAACACAGGTCTGTTCTCTAGGAAAGAATATCTCAAGTAGGAGGGTTGAAGATCCAGAAACTGATTTTCTTAGAAGTGCACACTATATACCTTCAAAAAATGTATGAAGATATACACACCCTTTGGGGTGTGTACTCCAGTTAGAGGACCACTGAATAGAAGAGTTTGGTTTTTAAATAAGTGATATGTATGTAGACCAGAATCCCAGAGCTGTCGTTGCTAGTAGCTGCGTGACCTTAGGCAAGCTGTTTAGTCTCCCTGAATCTCAGTTTTCTCGTGGGTATTCTCGTGGGTAAAACGAGAATAATGGGACATATAAAGTTATAGTGACAATTAAATAAGGTAATATATATAAAGCAACTAATACATAACCTAATACAGTGGTAGGCCCTGAATAAATAGGTTTTATTATATATTTATTATCATTATAATTATCATTATTTTTATTTTGGTACAGAAGTTACTATTATTATTCTCCTGAGGAGGCATAATATTACTAAAATAAAATAGGCACCAAAAGAGAATCCAGAGGAAAACTGAGCCTATTTTGGCAAGGAGGGAATATCCTAAGATTTCACTGCTTGATGGTGAAAAGGCATTAGTGAGGGGAATCAGAATCTGTTATACAACCAATTGGTGTGATTTTTACTACAGAGAATGGTTTAGTCCTTCTCAGTAATCCTGCTGAAGTCTTTGGGAAGTCTCTTATTTATAAACCTCTTTAGGGTTCTACTTCATTATCGTAATGAAGTTTCTGGTGCTTGTGGTTTGTGCAATTGGGTAGTAGAACCCTTTACAGAATTCTTTCCTTAATGAGGTAAAGACCACTTCTTTCAGCTAAAGGGCTTTAGAGGGAGGCAGACTAGAGTCTAGGTCTAAGGACAATTCCAGCCATAATTTACCAGCTAGGATGCTTGAGTGACTCAACTTTTTCCTAATTTGTAAAAGGCTGTAAGAATGCTAACTTTTCAGGTAGTAAGAAAAAGGTACATAAAGCCCCTAACAAAAGTACCTGATATGCAGTAGGTGCTCAACAGACAGAAGTTAGTACTATTAAAGAAGATAAGAAGAAACCCCATGGTAAATAATCATTTCTGGCAGAATGTTAAGTACCATCAAAAACAGTCAAAGGACTATGACAGTTCAAAGAAGAGAGAAGGAACAACTTTTTGTTCTGGAAAGGGTTGACGGAGAAAGGCCGTCTGAAAGAGTTTGAGATTGCCCTAACAGGACAGGTTGGATTTTGACAAGTGGAGATGGGAAGAAGGGACATTTAAAGGATAAGAGGTGGAATGAGAAAAGTGCAGAGGTGGGAGATTCTAGGGACTGATTCAAGGGATGAATACTTCCATATGTATATGTGGATGATAGTGAGAGATGCAACTATTGCCTTGTTTATGTACAGTCCCTCCCCAAATGTCAGGTAGAAAAACTCAGAAGGTAATTTGGAGCCATAGTGTGGGGAATTCTGAATGCTGGATTTGGATCTGAAGGTGAAAGAGCTGGTGTCAAAACTGACTCAGAGATGTCAGGTTGGGTGCAGGCCCTCGGCTATAATATGAAGGCAGAAAATAGAACTGGTTTTATATTCCTTACTTATATCTTATAATACCTGGGTTGAATAACATAAGGATATATTTCAGAATACTGTTTGGATAATGTTCTTAGGACAGCATTTCCCAAACCATCTTTTGGATACACAAAAAACTCTTACAGTTAACATACACATACCACGAAATAGTCCATCATGATCACACAAACTCTCTTTCTGAGTTACAATGTCCATTAACATATTAAAGATCCTGAGCAGTCCTGAAACAAATGAACCTTTTTCCTTAATTTAATTCAGCATTTCCCATATGTTTTTCAGCCTAGCATAGTGTCTTCACAGCACACTTGTTAAAGGCTTGGGAAAAGGGGTTCTGCAGACTTCATTTGGGAAATGTGTCTTATACAAGACCTGGTTAGGCAGCTGAATTATAGTTTTGAGAGGTTTGGCGGAAGCAAGGAGATGGGGGTGAGAGTGGACAGGTTTACAGGGAGAATAGCTCTGTGTGTAAAGCCAAGCTGTCTGACCCAAGAGCTGTATAGATAAGCTTCATTGCAAAAAGTTAATGAGCAGATAAAAGAATTTGGTCATCCTGAAATTTGGCAAGATTGAATAATACTTTCTTGTTTAAACTCTAATTCTTAAAAACTTCTTTAAAAACTTAAGTTTTTAAACTACCTCTTCAAATTCTGTTTGCTGGCTCTTTTAAGAGCCAGAACTCCAGACTGCTTTCTGCTTGTTTTGAAAGACAATTCTGTAGCCTGTCCAAAATTGAGTGTGAAATGGTTAAAAGGTAAAATCCCAGGTCATGGCTGCCAGAGCTCTTTTTGAACTAGTGTTGCTCCCGGCATCTTTGACTCTTTCCTAGTAACAGAGGCCTTTTCAGTTCAGATTGGAGATACACACATTTCTTCCCACTGAAAATGCAGGGGATAGAAAGCAGGTCTCCCCAACTCCCACTGCCCTGTCTTCCCTCCTCCTGCTTGACAGCCTGTGGCAAAACTTGTAGGCAGCAGTTAGAAAGCATTTAGAGAAAAAAACTGGAAAATGACTAAAATATAGAGAGAAACCCCTTGGGAGTAACATGTACCTAGTAATAGATATTTTTTTCAAATAAGATTAGAAGCTAGAAACTTTGCTAACCTGCAGTTGATAAATTTGCGTGGTTTAGAATCCAAACTTTGCGCCGTTGCAGATAACAGAGACTGAAAATTCTCTGTCAACAGAATAAGGACCTTGATAGAAAAACAGTGTGAGTCAAAAATAAGAGCATCTGCAGAACCAGACCAAAATGATCAAAAGATATCAAAACAAAGACAATTCTCCTAGACACATATGAAAATATTTCAATAATCCCTACTGTGGAGGAATTTGAGGTTAGTTATATGAGCCATAAGAGAGTATCTATAGTTTGTTGCAGATTATTATGCTTGAGTTCATTATAAAGCAAGCTATATGTCTATATGTAAATTTAGTCATTCTGAATTAGTGCTTTGTGCTGTATTTATAGTCTAGTGTTTTTAAAAAAATCTCTTTAAATACATATATTAATACATATACCTATAGCAAATAGACTTTTGTGACAACTGCAGACAAGATTTTGGTTCCTAGAATTAACAGACCAGATAATAGCATGCCTTGCAATAGACCATCTTTGCCAGGCTTACTCTTGGCTGATATGCCATAGTTATCCTGCCATATATTGGTGGCATGACTTTCTCCAAATACTATGGCTATATATTAGCTTTAGAAACCAAAACTGAGCTTGACTGTGTTTTGCTAAAATGAAATGCTAAAGGCAGCATCATGGGTTTCCTTCTACATGCATTTATGTCCTGATGAAAAGAGCATTAATTTGTAGGGACATGGATGAAGCTGGAAACCATCATTCTCAGCAAACTATCGCAAGGACATAAAACCAAACACTGCATGTTTTCACTCATAGGTGGGAATTGAACAATGAGAACACATGGATACAGGAAGGGGAACATCACACACCAGGGCCTGTTGTGGGGTGGGGGGAGTGGGGAGGGATAGTATTAGGAGATCTACCTAATGCTAAATGACGAGTTAATGGGTGCAGCACACCAACGTGGCACATGCATACATATTTAACAAACCTGCACATTGTGCACATGTACCCTAAAACTTAAAGTATAATATAAATAAAAAATAAATAAATGAAAAGCTTGACTGTCTTTCTTTCTATTGTAGGGAAGTGTGTATTATACCACAAGACTGGTTTGACTCTGAGAAATGGCACTGCTATGGGATACCTACTCTCTCTTGAAAAGTAGGACTATCAATGCATAATAATAACTTTTCCCACCAACCGCTAGGGCTGATGGCAACCTTAATAAAATATCCGTAGCAGTCAGAAACATGTTTATGCACGTGAAGTATTAGGAAGTTGTGCTATTAGGAAACAGTGCTACTACCACTTACTGTTCAAGGATCTCATTATGCTGTTGACCATGTGATACAAATGTATCTTAGAGTAGAAAAGTCAGAAATAATAAGAGAATTGCCCAGAGACAGGACAACTCAGGGACATGGATAGCAAGAAGAACGCTCTCTAAAGCTCTCGCTTCCCTCCCCTGCCCCTCTCCCAATTCGCTGTGCTGCCATCACAGCCAGACTCTCTCGCATGGTATTTTCTTTCCAGATTGTTCACTTGGCTCAGAGGATGCAGGGAAAATTCATTCACGAAAATCGAAGTGGCATTTAAGAGGAGTGAATGCTCACTCTTGCTCTCACTGGCTTCTATATATTCTGGGGAGAGAAAGAAAAAAGAAAAAAAAAACAAACCTGGGACCCAGACACACACACTCTGAATGTCCTGTGCTGACGGGAGGGAGACTTGGTTCGGCTCCAAATCATAGGCTGTTTGTTACAGTAGGTAGCTAGTCAGGTATGAGCAGGGCAGAAGAGGGCTTCCCCCCACACACCAGGAGTGTTGGGCAACCATCAAGTGATGGTCAGGCAGCTGCTGTTTCTCTAAAGTAATAAGTGGTCACAGCCAGCGCTAGAAGGTAGTCTCCTAATAGATAGAAAACACCGAAACTGATCAGCAGCTTCCCAATAAAATCCCGGAAGTATGCCAACAAATAAAACCACAAGTCAAGATGTCAAGCTGTGCACTTGGTTTCTCAAGTCACCCGCTTGGCCCTCTTCCAAGTTGTACTTTCCTTCTTTTCTCTCCTTTCCCTCCTTTCTTTCCTTACTGTTCTAAAGCTTTTTAATAAACTTTCACTCCTGCTCTGAAACCTGCCTTGGTCTTTTTCTGCTTTATGGCCCTCAATCAAATTCTTTCTTCTGAGGAGACAAGAAATGAAGTTGCTGCAGGCCCACATGGATACACCGCCGGGGTAACTCTGATACCTGCCACCGCCAACATTTTGGTGTGGTGAAACTCGGATATTTGCCACTGGTAACACCTTGGGTTCTCTCATTTCTGGCTCCCATTGCAGAAATCCAGAATGCTGGCCAGTCCCATTGCAAGGCGTCTTTCCTCTGGCCTTTAGTTAGCAGTGATTTCTAAAGAACAAACAGGTATGGAAAAAAGGCTTACCCCTCTGGAGGTACATCAGATGCATCTGGCAAAAGAGGGAAACTTTTTTATTTTTGAGACAGGGTCTTGCTCTGTCACCCAGGCTGGCGTATAGTGACACGGTCATAACTCAATGTAACTCCAATGCTCCTGGGCTAAAGCAATCCTTCTGCCTCAGCCTCCCAAAATTCTGGGATTACAGGCATGAGCCATCATGCCCTGATGGATCTTTTTTACTGTAAGATTTCCTCCCACCCTGGGAAAATTTGATACACCCTGAGGAAGGCTTGCTTGATCTTCTCTTCTATCCACTTCTGTGCAGTCACTATTTTCGGGAGATACTATTTCTCATGGGATTGGGCAAATCCTTGAGCTGTGTTGAGTCAAAAAAAAAAAAAATGGAAAAAGAACCACAGACAGATATAGAGACTCTTCACCTAACTTACCCAACTTTGAATAAGCTGAAATTTGTGCCAAAGGAAAAAGCTAAAACTCTGCTAGAAGGGCTATGACTAATTAAAATCTGAATATTGTTCAAGGTCAGGAACATCCAAACCAGACCATGAAGGATATCTAAGGATCAGGTTGCCAGGTAGAAGAAGAGCTGGGAGAATGCAGAGAGCCATAAACAGGCAGCAAGGTCAGTGACACAAAGAGAGGTTAGGCTCCTATTGCAGAATCAGTTTCAGAGCAATGGTCAGAGTTAGGAAATGGAAGGGAAAGACAATGCTTGAGGCTCTGGGCTAGAGTACAGCACAGCCAGAGAGCCAAGGGCCAGCAGAAAGGACTGTCAGATGGGGGTAAACACGTGGTGAGTCTCCCTCTTGATGAGACCCTCCATCCAACCCTTCTGCTTCTCTGACAATTTTCTAGCTGCAACACTTTCTGCTTCTGGGGCAGCTTTGCTAACAGGTGTTTTCTAATTACCTGAAGACCTCAGGTACCCTTCCTCAGCATCCTTAAGAAGATCTTTTTTTTTTTGAGATGGAGTCTCACTCTATTGCCCAGGCTGGAGTGCAGTGGCGTGATCTCGGTTCACTGCAACCTCTGCCTTCCAGGTTCAAGTGATTCTCCTGCCTCAGCATCCCAAGTAGCTGGGACTACAGGAGCTCGCCACCACACCTGACTAAGTTTTGTATTTTTAGTAGAGATGGGGTTCCACCATATTATTGATCAGGCTGGTCTCGAACTCCTGACCTTGTGATCCACCCGCCTCAGCCTCCCAAAGTGCTGGGATTACAGGCGTGAGCCACTGCGCCCGGCCCAAGAAGATCATTTTATGTGAGGAAAGGAAAGCACACTTTTCTATTGTTTGCCTTTGGTCTTCTATATGAAATAATCACAAAAATGTGTGTTGTTAAGGGCCGATTTTTTAAACAAAATATTTGGCTTTTCCCCATGCTGAATTGAATTCCACATTTAGAGAACTCTGGTTTGTTGATGTGGAGATTTAATTTATATTTCCAACTCCACATTAGCATCTTCCTGAGAACTCAAAGGCAAAACATAGTCTAAGCCACCCATTTTCTTCCTTTCCCTTAACCCTGGAAGCCTGACACCTTACCCATTCCTTAGCTTTGCGCAGATGCAAATCCTGGCAAGATGAAATGCCTGCTCAGCAAGTGCTGCTAGACAAGTGAGACGGCTGCCACAAACCATGGGTGGCCAGTGTTGAATTGTGATACCACTCAGGAGGGGCAGGATCAGGAAGGAATGTTTTGGCCCATGTTTTGCCATGTTACCATTGCAAGAATAACTGCAATGTTGTGCCATGGATCTCAATTCCAATTTATATTTCACACTATCAGGCAGATTTCAGATAAAAGAGCTTCTGACCCAAAGCCCCTTGATGTCTTATCAAGCCACATTGGATTCATGCCATTGCTTCTTGGACTCTGTCTACATCTTTGAACACACTTCATCAATGAACTAAATCTAGATCCCCTACATCTTTCTCAAAGCAGAAAGTAGGATTCATTTTCACGTTCAAATCATCAAATGGGTCAAAACTATGGTCAGAGAAGGCAGAGAAAAATGTATAAGATGAGATCAAGAGGTAATAGGTATTTGGGCAAGATTCTGCCATTTATTCTGGCCTCTCTCTTGAACTGCAGCAATAAGCACCATTAGTGCCCTTAATTGTAACATTTATAAATTAGTGAATTTCTACAAACACAAAGAAACTAGCCCTCTCATTTTCTTTACTGAACAAAATGTGCTTCTTCATGAAATTATCAAGCTATCATTTAAGGTCAGTGTCACTCGTAATTAATTCATTATGAAATAATTTTGAAGAGAAAATGATCCTTTCTTCTTACTATGATAACTAACTTATTTTTAAAAAATGGAATACATGTATTACAACCTGTCAGAGTAAGGCATTTTGATTAGTTCTGAATCATTCTTCTGGTTAACAGAGAGATGCCGTAATAAAGCTAGGGCTATTATTTCATAAGAAGGAGGGTCAGGATCATGTTAAAGAAGGTCAGTGAAAGAGCAAAATTGGGGCTTTCCATGGTATGACTGCTTTTAGGTAATTGAAGAGAAATTAGCCATGGTTTTTGCTGATGGGGTAGTATTGACTCACTCAGAGTTTCCCCCACCCTACACCACATCCACGTGGGCCAAGACAAAGGCTAAGTTCAGCCACCCCTCTCTTGGGAGCCAGCAGAAGCCCCTGGGGAAGATTCCACTAATGTCCAGCTGAAGCCTGAGATGGCTGAGTGCGCAAGACACAAGAGGGAACAGGGTTTGGATCTTCTAACCTGTGAAGAGATGCAGTGTGCCCCCAGGAAGAAAGAGGGACTTGGAGTATTCCTCATGTCAGAAGAGCATGTGGAAGACTGGGGAGATGGAGTTAGAGAAAGATAGACAGCTCAGTGAGGCCTAGCACTGCCCTCAGCCCATCCTGCCTCATTCAGCCTTGTACCCCATAAGGAAGCAAGTTCCCAAAATAAACTCATTTCCTCATCCTGCCCTCCATAATGCTTTTATGGGACACTTGATTTCTTCCATCCTCCATTCACATTTCAACGTGTGAGTTTTAGGGAGGACGCAAAAGGCAGCATTGAGCACTCCCTCAGTCATCTCCTGAAGACTGCATTCCCCTTCCTTACACTTCTCCAGGCCTTACTGTCTCTCAGGTAGAGAGTTAGTTGATTCATGACTCTCTCTGCATAGTCATGCACAAAGGAAGGATTCATAGGCAATCTTTCCCTATGGAAAAAGGAAAAGGCAGTCTCTGCAACCTAGAAAGAAAACACTCTGAGAAACTCTTTTCAACACAGCTTCCTGTGCCACTTTACTACAAATCAGAGAAGTTTGAGATCGTGTAGCTAACCCTTCTTGAATCATAGGACTCTGTTCTTTAACTCCTATTGTTCAAGGAAAGAAGTTTGGATGACCACATGTGAAAGATCAAAACTAGCTATGAATTCTTTCAACTTCTCGCATCAAAAGGTAGAGCGTATTTCCTACTCCTTAAAGCTGGACTGGCCTTGTGACCTGCTTTGGCCAATAGAATGTGGCAGAAATGTTATTTTGCTAGTTTGAGCCTAGGCTTCACAGCTTCCACTCTTTCCCCTCTGGAATGTGATGCCATGTGAACAAGCCCAGGGTTGCTTCATCTTAAAGATGAGAAACCACATGGAAAGAGACACCCAGACATGAGTGAGTGGTTCGCACTCCACAGAGTGGAGATGAGTCATACATCTCTTGGTTTTCAAACAAGTCTGCACATTTTTTTGGCTGGGCACAGTGGCTCACACCTGTAATCCCAGCACTTTGGGAGGCCGAGGCGGGTGGATCACGAGGTCAGGAGATCGAGACCATCCTAGCTAACACAGTGAAACCCCATCTCTACTAAAAATACAAAAAATTAGCTGGGCGTGGTGGTGGGCACCTGTAGTCCCAGCTACTGGGGAGGCTGAGGCAGGAGAATGGCATGAACCTGGGAGGCAGAGGTTGCAGTGAGCTGAGACTGCGCCACTGCATTCCAGCCTGGGAAACAGAGCGAGATTCCATCTCAAAAAAAAAAAAAAAAAATTAGCTGGGTGTGGTGGCACATGTCTGTAATCCCAGCTACTCAGGAGGCCGAGGCAGGAGAATCACTTGAATCCAGGAGGCGGAGGTTGCAGTGAGCCGAGATCACACCACTGCCTTCCAGCCTAGGTGACAGAGCAAGACCCCATCTCAAAAAAAAAAAAAAGTCTGCACACTTTTTGATATACCTTACATAACATGGTAGAGTTTAATTATCTTGGTCTTAGTCACTTGCTTTCAGTGAATATAATGCAGTAAAAGTGACGCCACATGACTTCTGAGGGTAGGTTAGAAAAAGCAATACATTGTCCACCAGGCTCTCTCTTGTGACACACGCCTTGGGGGCCCTGAGCTGACACATAAGAAATCTGCCTATTCAGAAGCTGCCATGCTAGAGAGAACACATGGAGAAGCTGCATGGAAATAGAACAAGATGCTCAAGGAGCCCCAGCTGTTTGAGTCAGCCCAACACCAACCAGCAGGCACGTGAGTGAGTGAGTGAGAGCCTCCAGATGACGCCAATCTTTGGGTGACTCTAGGCTGACGCCAGGAGGAACAGAGATGAGCTGTTCCTGCCAAGCTCTGCCCAAATTATAGATTTATGAGAATAAATGTTATTTTATGTACTTATTCATTTTTAATTTTATTTATTTATTTGAGACAGAGTTTTGCTGTTCTTGCCCAGTCTGAAGTGCAATGGTGTGATCTCAGCTCACTGCAACCTCCGCCTCCTGGGTTCAAGCAATTCTTGTGCCTCAGCCTCCCGAGTAGCTGGGATTACAGGCATGCACCACCACGCCCGGCTAATTTTGTAATTTTAGTAGAGAAGGGGTTTCTCCATATTGGTCAGGCTGGTCTTGAACTCCCAACCTCAGGTGATCTGCCCACCTTGGCCTCCCAAAGTGCTGTGATTACAGGCATGAGCCACTGCGCCCAGCAATAAATGTTATTTTAAACCACAGTGTTGGGGTGATTTGTTAGGTAGCAACAGATAACAGATACACTATTGCATTTTATTTATTTTTTTACTCATATTTTGATGTAGGACAGCAAAGTTTCAACTTTGTAATGGGAATATTCATAAATTACTATATAGTCACATAGTAGACAGTAATTCCAATAAATATTGCATTTTCTTAATCTGGTCTGTCATAACTTGGTGAATTCTAGTTAAGGGTACACCTAAGGCTCAGCAGCCTGAGTCAGTGAAGAAGAATATACTGAGAACAAGAAGCTAAAATTAAGAGGGGCGAGGGCTGGAGATACCTGCCTCAGCTGCAGAGGCAGCTGAAGAGTTCAACACATGATGTTTAAAGTTAGAGGAACTCAAGTGAAGGGGAACAAGCTAACAGGTTTAAGAGGGCAGTACACATTTTCAGGTAGGTGAGCAGAGACCACATGGTGGTCACCCATTCCTGGGAGCTCAGCAGGGCTAGAAGTATGGGGAAAACTGTTCTCCAACCCGGAGGAAGGACTTTTCTTCCTGTCTTATGGGACCTAGATAAAGAGACAAAAATAATATACATGAAACCTTCAGAGGGATAATGAACTACTCAGTTACTTGGACTATATGTTCAAAGAACAGAAAGCTTCAGTGTTTTCAACATTAAAATGACCTCCACACAAAAGTATGCATATTAATTCACCTATCACCAGCTGACCTGTCCTTAGGTACAAATAATTAGATTGAAGATGGGTCACAGATGCATTCTATGGCTTGGAAATGATACATAAAATTTCCTAGATATGAATGAAAAGGATTTGTGAGAATAAACCACTACTCTTCAGCAATAGAAAGGTTTAGACTCTGCAGGCATTTGAATGTGACAGTTAAATTTCTCAGCCAGCCCCAAATCATCTCTTCCTTCACAGCAGTGGTTTTTGGAAATCCATTGTATACTCTCTTTTCTTCATGAACTATTCACTCGAGCATCAGCACCATATTTATGTATAAGTTAAATGAAACCTCTCACCATGAGAGAACCCTGTGTTCTAATCAGCAAGCATGAAAAGTAATAATGGAATTGAAGTTATAGATGCTGAGTATTTGTTAGAGGTTGAAAGGTAATATATCATGTGTCCGTGACTATCTGAAATCATCCCATATTCATTCTGTGGGAGGTTACTATAGATTTTCTACACATTTGCCAACAAGAATAAAAAGAAAGAGAGCAATGTTAGAGACTGTGTTCAAAATAACTATCTGTTGCTATTGGTAACTAAGACTTGCAGTAAATTGAAATGTAGGATTCTATGTCTCTTTTTGATTTTCAGATGGTTGAAACTTTTAGAAAAGGGACTTAGTTTATTTTTGGTTTATATAGTTCAAATACTTCTCAGAAGGTCAGTAGGCCTTGGGAAGGTTTATATGCCATATTTAGAGGACTAAAGCTATGTTTTAAATAAGAATGTTTGGGACTTATCAAAAAAATTAAACTTAAAAAATGAATTGGGCCAGGCATGGTGGCTCACTCCTGTAATCCCAACACTTTGGGAGGCCAAGGTGGCCAGATCACTTGAGGCCAGGAGTTCAAGATTACCAACATGGTGAAACCCTGTCTCTACTAAAAATACAAAAATTAGCCAGGCATGGTGGTGGGTGCCTGCTCCCAGCTACTCAGGAGGCTGAGGTACACGAATTGCTTGAGCCCAGGAGGCGGATGTTGCAGTGAGCCGAGATCGCGCCACTGCATTCCAGCCTGGGTGACAGAGTGAGACTTTACCTCAAAAAAAAAAAAAAAAAAAAAAAGAATTGGAAGATAAGTAGGATAGCAGTTGGTGACCCAGCCCCTGGCATGTCCCTACTCATGGCCATCATCACAGATCTTCTCACTTCATGGCAGCTATTACTCATACTCCATGGACCTTTCCAGTGTCCTCTTACAATTGGTTTGGCTTTTTCTCTCAATCTTCACCCTGTGCTCACTCTTTGGACTTGATGAAGGCATTTGGCTAACCCAGTATACACACTGGGACTTTCGCAGTTACAAATAAGAGAGTATTCAACCCAAACTGGCCTAAACCAAAAAGGTAATGTGTTGGCTCATGTGATTGGAAATTTCAGAAGTTCAGGCACATCATGATGCAGGAGTTCAAATGATATTTCCAGGACCCATTTTCTCTCTGTCCCATGACTCAACTGCTGTATTGATTCCATTCTCAGATGGGCTCTTTCCCTGTGGCCTCAGAATGGCTGCCACCTGCTCTGGAAACAACTTATTTCTAGGTTTAAATCTGGTAGAAAACAGTGGGTGTCTTTGATTCAGAATTCTTAAGAACTGTCCAGGCCAGTCATGGTGGCTCACGCCTGTAATCCCAGCACTTTGGGAGGCAGAGGCAGGTGGATCACCTGAGGTCAGGAGTTTGAGACCAGCCTGACCAACATGGTGAAACCCCATCTCTGCTAAAAATACAAAAAATTAGCCAGGCGTGGTGGTGCATGCTTGTAATCCCAGCTGCTTGGGATGCTGGGGCAGGAGAATTGCTTGAACCTGGGAGGCAGAGGTTGCAGTGAGCCAAGATTGTGCCACTGCACTCCAGCTTGGGTAGCAGAGTGAGACTCCGTCTCAAAAATATATATATAAATAAAAAGAAAAGAAAAAGAAATGTCCAGAAATTCACACAGATAAGACCAGTCTAGATCCCACTCTTGTGCCAAGAAAACATGGTATGCCAGTTGACTCAGGCCTCAATCCAATTTCCACCCCCAGACCTAGAGCTCCATCTAGACCACAAGGAATGAAATGCATAAGGGATGAATCTCAAAATGAAAAAGGGGGCTATTGACAGGAAAGGAAGGATTGGATGCCAGGGATGCACACAAAAAATACCCATTACATCTGGTTTTGACCCTTAGCTCTCCCTGGGCTCAGATTGCACTCAATACTCCAGTTATATTGAACTCTATTCCTCTAACTTGCCGTGTTCTCTTTCCTGTTTGTGCTATCCCGCATACTGAGATACATGCAATGGAGCCTGAGCCTATTGCTTGCCCATCATGAAAGGGTGAAAATGATTTTACTCTAAGACATAGAGTAAGGCTTCCATAATTGAGGTTATTGGACTCTGCCCAGTGAAGCACCCTAGCAACCCCAGAGACCTATAGAAATGAGTATTATTGCTTCCAAAGTGTGCTGATTGTGTATAGGGAAGCACAACTACTTTTCAAAATCTATCCTGATGTAGAATGAACTATAATAGTGAAGGAGACCAGAATATGCCACCCCAAAATAGGCCTTTTTGGCATAAGGATTATTCTGAGCTGAAGGCAATTGAGGAACATCATACCCAGAAAAAGCTCTGAAGCAGAGCATAAATTTCCCTTTCTTAAAGGAAGCTTACATTTTATAAAAGAAATTTACATTTGCAAAAGTGTCTCCCTCTCCCAAACCAGGAAGGAGGAGGATGGCTGCTGCAACTCCTATCAATGGAGAAGGCACCACCTGAAATCTGCATAACAAACCTTGATAAACAACTCTTGTTTCCACACAGCCCTTGGTCACCTTGCATAACTTACCCCCTCAGCAAGCCCCAAACCTCTTTTTCTTTGTCTAGCCTAAGAAGGCATGTAAACACTAAGTTCTGGCTGCCTCCTTGAGCCACATTTTACTTTACCCAGAACCATGCATATGTGTGTAACTAAAACTGTTTTTTTCACTCATTACTCTGTCACTAAAGAGGCTAGAGGAAAAGTTTTCCCTTCCCGACAAAAGAATGTCTGTAGCAGATCTGTAGATCTGTAGTGCCCAGAAGCACTTAACATGGTGGCCAATACAATTTGGGAGTGCTGGCTGGGCACGGTGTCTCATGCCTGTATCCCAGCACTTTGGGTGGCTGAGGCGGGTGGATTGCCTGAGGTGAGGAGTTCGAGACCAGCCAGACCAACATGGAGAAATCCCGTCTCTACTAAAAATAAAAAAATTAGCCAGTCTTGGTGGCATGTGCCTGTAATCCCAGCTAATCGGGAGGCTGAGATAGGAGAATCGCTTGAACCTGGGAGGAGGAGGTTGCAGTGAGCCAAGATTGTGCCACTGCACTCCAGCCTGGGCAACAGAGTGAGACTCTGTCTAAAAAAAAAAAAAAAAAAGAAAATCTATATATATCTATATATATGGATATACACACACATATATATGCGTGTGTGTGCTTTAATCTCTGTTGTTTCAAGAATATTTAAGGATTTATCCTCAAGTAATCAATCCCTTTGAGACTACCAGGCATCTGATGTGGTTGTTCAACCCAGAGAAAAGAAAGCTGACTTCGAGTATATGCAGGACTGAGAACTAAGTAATAAAGTGAAAAAACTAGAGTTATTTTGTGATTTTTTTTTTCAGCATACAAATAGAGCTAAAAGGAGAAGTTCAAACAGAGCACATTTCATTCCATATAAGTTTATTAAGAGTAACTAAGTGCCAGAGTTGAGTGTATAACATTGTAATGACATCAATAAGATAGGACTCTCAAGTAGAAAATAGTCTAACAAGAATCAGACAAATGAACAAAACACACATTATCTCCTTATCAGAGAGTGCTAAAAAATAAAAATTAAAAAATACACACATTAACACGCAAACTAACAAATGTCGCCAAGGTGGCAGTAACCCTGCTTGAGAGTCACTACGCCCTTTCCACTTCTCTTCCAACATTCCCACCTGGAAAAGAGGTGAGCAGGTGCAGGCTCTGCAACACTCTAGTCTCTGCTTGGCGTATTCCAGCTGTGGAATCCTCCTCCCCTATTTTTGCCTTCCCTGTAAATCCTGCTGTTTCCAGGCCATCATGGCACTTTGCTGCTGCTTTCCCTACTGTTGTGAAAGGCCTGTGAACTGGAAGAAGGCTCACTGAATAATTTAAAGGCAGCTTCTCACTTCCAGAAGCAATGCTCTAGTTACCTAAGATAGCATCAGGCCACCCAGCATTCCGTCTGTGCCTGAGGCAGGTATACACTGGTGAGGCATTGTAGCTAAAACAGCCAGTGAGTCAGCAATGGCAACAACCACCCAAAGAATCTCATTAATTGTGGACTTCACTCAGAGATGGGGGATGATGCTGCATGTGGAAGAGAAGCTGGTTAGATTAATTGGTCAGCAGCAGGACAGCAGGCAAAAGTGTGCTATGTCAACACATTCATAAAGAGATACATGTTTGTGTTTGTTTTTCAACCAAGGACGCAAGTTTTATCTACTTCCTCTTTACTGCCACAAGCCTGTCAGGCTCTGTCGCCCAGGCTGGAGTGCAGTGGCATGATCTCAGCTCACTGCAATCTCCAACTCCCTGGTTCAAGCGATTTTCCTGCCTCAGCTTCCAGAGTAGCTGGGACTACAGGCGCCCGCCATCACGCCTGGCTAATTTTTGTATATTTAGTAGAGATGGAGTTTCACCATGTTGGCCAGGATGGTCTCGATCTCCTGACCTCATGATCCACCCACCTCAGCCTCCCAAAGTGTTGGGATTACAGGCGTGAGCCACCGGGCCCAGCCAGGCATTTGAATAAACACCTTCGTTAGGGAATTCAGAGGAACACAAATCAAGAATACATTTGAGTCCTAAACATAAACAGAAGAACACCTTCTGTGAGGGAAACAAAATGCAGGAAGATCCAGAACTCCCCAGCAAGCTTTGTTAATTCAAGTCCCCAACAACATTTGTTTCTAAACATTCCTTAAATTCCGCATGTACTCATAAGATTTCTAGGTGTGACTACTGAAATGTGCTGATTTAGTTAGGGCTAAATATTGAACAGTTGCTAACGTTGGAGGAAGAATGGAAACAAATCCAAGAAACAAGCTCCTCTTTATATCCACCCTGTGATGGTTGCTCTTGTTAGTTTAATTAAGCTCCTGGATTAATGCAGGTAAGCCCTTCCTGATTCATTCCTTATACATATAGGGAACCCAGCATGAGCCTAAGCTGGGTTCACTCTAGGACTCAGGCATGTCAAGGCTTGTTGCAAAAACTCATGGGTCAGCAACAGAGACTTACTTATGAGAAAGGTAGAAGAACCTCCCGGAGAAGAACCTTTCTTAGGAAAGAGAGCTTCTAAGGCAAACAAGTTTGATACAAGGACAGTGGTCCAGAGTAGGAGGGGTAAAAGGGCAAAAGAAGTGAGATGGGAGCCCCCTTGGAGGTTGAAGAAGCACCAAACTCCTTTTGTTTTTGAGACTCCTGAAATATTACATTAAGAAATACCAAAACTGGGTTATATAAAGAGGCATTTCGCAAATTTACATTTAACATATTAATGTCTTTAACATTAACACAAAACACATTGCAAATAATGGTATTATTCACAAGATCATGAATGGATTTAGAAGTATTAGTAATTGATAATTTAGTATAGTGATGTGGTCCAATATAGGGACACAAGAAAAGGGCTGTGTGGTGAGTGCTGTCTTCTTTCACTTCAGGTGGCATCTCTCTGAGATGGGATGAATAACCTCATTTGGAGTCATCTCTGTCATTGGCCTGTGTCTGTCCCTCGGAGTATCCTCCTGCTCAGCCTTCACTGACCCAGCCTGAAATCTATGCCTAGGGGCTGCAGGAAAATAGCAAGTAGAAACCACAAGAGCTCTTAAGCTCTGAGAGATGCTGAGCATGCAAACCTTCTGGTGCCAACAACTTCTTCAGCAACTTTGTTGACTTTGGCAACCACAGGAGTCAGCTCAGACATTATCGCCTTGACCAGGCATCAGTAGCCTTGGCACAGGTGTTGCTGGGCAATCACAGCAGTGGAAGTGCCTTTGGCCAACACCAGCAGCGGCTTCATCTTCCAGGCATATTGGCAACAGGAACGTGGCTTTCAGTATTGGTTATAAGAATGATGGCTGATGAAAACCAAGGCTGGCAGGAAAACTGCAATAGCCATGGGGTAACCAGGAGGATCTTGTTCCATCAATTAATTCTTCCCTGCCCTCTCTCTTGGGGGCTAGCCTTCCCCCAGATAGTACACTTTCTGTTTGTCTGTGGCTGATCTCATGGGGACAGACCATGTAAGGAATCACTGCCTTGATTGAGTGGGTGAGCCTAAATAGTTCTGGGGGGTTAGTATTCAGAAGACCCCTTGGCCATAGATATAAGGCTCATTTTCCCATATAAGCTTTATCAGTAATTTTTTAAATGTTACAACTTTGACTCTATATGCTGTTCTTTTGGCTTATTTCTAGATTGATTCATAACTCAGGAATGAGAAGTGCTGTTTTATTAAGACTCTCAAATACTAAAGGAATCATCGTTATCATCATAATCATCATCAACATCATCAATCCTCATTACTGCATTCCCAGGCCCCGGTATATTATTTGGCTTTAGCAGACATCTAAATATATATGTAGCCAGGCGTGGTGGCTCATGCTTTTAATCCCAGCACTTTGGGAGGCCAAGGCAGGTCGATCACCTGAGGCCTAGAGTTTGAGACCAGCCTGGCCAACATGGTAAAACCCTGTCTCTATTTTAAAAAATACAAAAAATTAGCCAGGCATGGTGACAGGTGCCTGTAATCCCAGCTACTCGGGATGCTGAGGCAGGAGAATCACTTGAGGGTGAGGTTGGGAGGTGGAGGTTGTGGCAAGCCAAGATTGTGCCACTGCACTCAGCGAAATTCCATCTCAAAAAAATAAATAGTCCAGGCGCAGTGGCTCACACCTGTAATCCCAGCACTTTGGGAGGCCGAGGCAGGTGGAATACTTGAGGTAAAGAGTTCGAGACCAGCCTGGCCAAACAAAACCCCATCTCTACTAAAAATACAAAAATTAGCCAGACGTGGTGGTGTGCACCTGTAAGCCCAACTACTCAGGAGGCTGAGGCAGGAGAATCACTTGAACACAGGAGGTGGAGGTTGCAGTGAGCCGAGACCATGCCATTGCACTCCACCCTGGGTAACAAGAGTGAAACTCTGCCTCAAAAGAAAAGTGTGTGTGTGTGTGTGTGTGTGTGTGAAATAATGAATATATGAGAAAATATACAATACTCACTCCAGTACAGTATAAAAAATATCTGGTTAGAATTTGAGGGATGTGTAATAAGAAAAAGGCATATCCAGAGAAGAACTGTTTGATTATTGTTACAATGACTCAGTTTTTACCTGAAGGCTGGTATATCCCAGGAAACATAGCTTATTGATTGATTGATTCATACTTTCACAAAACATATTTTGAGCATTCAACATGCACTAGACATATAGAACTAGAATGCCTACCCTTAAGCAGTTAATAATCTAGTTGGGTAAGCAGATCTGAGTGTGAGTAACTGAAATTCAGTATGATGAAAGATTTATTGATGATGTGATGTAAGCCAGTTAGTATCATAGCATAGAGGAAGTAACAATTTTGCTTGTCAAGAGAGTTAAGAAAGTTCCAGAAAGCTAAAGACAAAAAATTTCAACTAAAAGTCTATTGATTTACAGTATGGAAAAAAAAGAAAGGCTTGGGACATTGAGCAAATCACCAGTTAACTGGAAGTTTTTCTGGAAGCCAGCAAATGGAATGGTTCAAATCAACCAATGATCCATTCATTCTATAAGTATTAATTTAGGGCCTACTTTGTGCTAAGAACTGCCCAAGGCCTGGGGTTGATGCAAGTATTACAAAAAAGGACCAAGACACCTGAAGCTAGATGTGAGAGTGGAACATAGACCTTTCCCAGCTGTCATCTCAGGACTAGCTTTAACTCCGAGGCTCTACACTTGGAAGATGTTTCCTTTCTACAGGGATTCCACAGGGAGGGGGAAAAACAAGGAATTTGGGCTTCAAACCAAACTTGAACCTGATGATCCCTGACACTTTAATGAAGATAATCAAATCCAGAAAAATCTCAAATCAAAGTTGTTTTTCTTTAAAAAGACAGGGTCTACCTCGGTCACCCAGGCTGGAGTGCAGCATGGCACAATCATAGCTTACTGCAGTCTCGAACTCCTGAGTTCAAGCAATCCTCCCACCTTACCCTCCCAAGTAGCTAGGACTACGGAGCATGTCACTATGCTTGGCTAATGTTTTAATTTTTTGTAGAGAAGGGATCTATGTTGCCCATGCTGGTCTCAAACTTTCGGCCTCAAGCAATACTCCCACCTCAGCCTAGATGAAACTTTTGAGCATATTCTGTATTATCAGCAGTAGATTATAAAATTACCTTTGGACAAGGATTCATTTGCCCTGGAATCCTCAATTTTCATAGAAATAACACCTCAATTTACAAGGTACACACTGGCACAGATATTTATGCCACATGATACTTTCTCCCTGGCTATAGTAAATAAGATAAAGAGTAGCCATGTAAGATGAACCAATTTCTCTATAGAATTAAAAATGGGGCTAAGAGACATTTGCAAATTAATGATGGCTGCCTGAATTGAAGCAATATAAACTTGGATACTGTGCAGTCTTCTTTCCACCTTGTGCACGGACAAGCAGAGGGCAATTTGTGAGAGAGGAAGCTGATGCACAGTGAGAAAGAACATGAATGAAACTGGCTGCTAATGGCTTAAGTCCCTGTGAAACAGCCTCAGCTCCTGCTCTTGGGTCCTGTTGCCCTCTAATAAATCCTCCATACATCTGCTCTTCTGCTTAAGTTATTTAGCAGAGTCTTCTTATTTGTCATCAAAAGAGCCTTAGACTTAAAAAAAAAAAATGAACAGAGGCCCTCTTGTGGGATGTACGGTTTGTAACTCTCCAGCTGCAAAAGGTTCAGTTGGTTTGCATGGTCCGAAACTTCTATTTCATTGTGGAGAGGGTGGCTAAAGATGAACTTACACACATCATCCTACAAATTATTGCTTGTTCTTGGAAATGCAATTGCTCAAGGAGGTTGGCTGCTGAGACTTCAAGATGGTGGCAAGGATATGCAGGCATGGGTGTTACTTCAAACAGATAATAAAACTGAAAATAAACTGGACTGAGTTTAGCAACGCTTGCCCTAGACTGGATGGATTATGCCTCTTATGTGGTGTTATTCTAACTCAGTTGAGAAAACAACCGATGTCCTGTTATTACGCGCTAAAGGGACTGTGCTTTTGAGTATAGAGGACTTTCCATGGGTTGAAGGTTGCACTTTTTCCTAAAGGAAATAGAAATTTCCAGAACCTATCATATTGAATGGACAGATCCAGATCAGAAAGAAAAGACACAGAAGGCAGGGAACTTTTTACCTTTTGGGGGATATGGGGACATGAGGCCTGGGGCTCAGCAGAAGGGGGGACATACTGAAGGTCTTCCTCCTATGGTAGGAAGAAGAAAGCTGACCTCTACAACTGTGAGGCAGGCCAGAAACTATGCAGGCCTCAGTAGTCTACCCTGAGAACAGTCAGATCTAATATCAGTTTTACATTTCTCTAGATTGTAATTTCCTCTTGCAGAATTGAAGCTTTCAGTAAAGTTTTATTACAATCTGATCTTGGCTTAGCTTCAAGTAAAAGAAGGTGTTATATGGAATGGTAAAGGGGGCGCAGGTTTCCTCATCCTGAGGTCAGCTTTATGGTGGCAGCACCGATTGAAGGGAGGTAGAATGTTCTGGAACTGCATCAAGTGACCTGCAGAGAAGTGAATGATGGTCCATGGTAGAGTGGAGTTTGCCAGTCTGGAATCAGGCAAAGCAGAGTCATAGATGTGGCACGACTGACTTGGGAACCATCATGAGACAACTTTCCCCCACCCACATCTTGCTGAGCATGCCTGAGGGAAAGGAAAAATTATAGAAGAGATTGGCTAGATGCTCAACAATATCCTTTTCCTCCGCTGAGCACACAGATGACTACATCTTCCATTCCCTTGCATTGGCCAAGGGAACATGACTGGAAGGGATGTAGACCCTTCAATATAGGGGTGTAGACACTTTAATGTCTGGACCCTAAAATCTGCATGCATCCTCTGCTTAATCTCTCTTTGTTTGCTGGTCAGCTCAATTCAGATGATATGCAGAGGACTCCAAAAAGGCTGTAGAAGACAGCAAGCTCCATTGATAGAAGAAGCCTGAATCCCTGAGTCATCACTTAGAGGGGAGCTGCCAGAACTGTTTTGAGTTGTGATGGGAGCAAAGAATAAACATTTATTGTGTTAAACCACTGAGATTTTGAGGTTGTTTGTTACTGCAACTAACATTAATTTCTCTAATACGGCAACATAAAAAGATTCTATCTGAAGTCCTATCATTACACAGATGAGGGCCTTTGAATGGTCAAAGATTTGGGTTACATGAATCAGACATACATCCTTCCCCCAAAGAGTTTGCGGTCCAGTAAGAAGCTTAAAGAAAAAGTGACAATAGAAGGATAGGCAGGAACCTCATAAACGACTTTGTTTTTCCTGTTGTAGACTTTAGTGATGAGGCACAGAGAACCCAGAAAAGGTTTAGACAAACATTCTCATTATATTATTCCCTTGACAGAACTGTCAAGAATGGAGAGCTTGTTTTACTAAGGTGGTAAAGTCACTGAAATTCTACCCTCGAATTAAGAGAAACCTTCATTATTTTTTTTCATCTCTGATCAGGTCATAGGTTTTCGTTTGTAACCTTTATTTCTGCATTACCAAGACTGTATTTTACTTTCCTGAAACTATGGGAAAACAAAAGCAATTAAAGAGACACTATACTAGGTCAGTTATTACTAAACCAAGATCTTGTTAACACAATGCTAACATAAGTCCACAAGCAGCTACAAATCAAAATGTAACTAAAACTTAAGAAATAGTTCACCTGGAACAGATGGACTTTATTTTTTTTAGTCCCCTTTGCCCATTTCCTTGGGATCTGGATAAGGCACCCAGTCAGAGGTTTGCAATGGCAATTATTTCACAGCCTGTCAAGTAAAATTGGGTAGAAGGGGATGATATTCAGCCACGTGAAGCTGGCCTGTGACATTTTCCCCTTCTTTAATTTTTTTTTAATTTTTTTTAATTAAAAAGTAACTTACAATACATGCTATAACATGGATGAAGTTTGGAGGCATTACGAAAGTGAAAGAACCCAGACACAAAAGGCCACATATTGTGTAATTCCATTTATATGAAATGTCCACAATAGGCAAATCCGTAGAAACAGAAAGCAGATTAGTGGTTGCCAGGGCCTGGAGGGAGAGAGGGGGCTGGGGAGTGACTGCTGCTTAATGGGTACAGGGTTTCTGGAACTAGATAGTGATGATGTTTGCACAACATTGTAAATGTACTAAATGCCACTTATTTATACAATTTAAAATGGTTAAAATGGTGACTTATATGATATGTGAATTTTACCTTAAAAAATAATCCCGATTAAAAAAAAAACTGGATTTTTTTTAAATGGCTTTCCTTGGCACACACATTCCTGCTCTGTCTCCTACTCATTCTTATTCAAGCTGTAGTATAATAATGAGAGTATTAACAATACTAGAAATTAAATGCAACTCACTGCCACCCGACTGGCAAAAACACAAAACTCGGCATTAGGACAATTGACTCTGCCAAATCAATAGAAAATCTGAAAGTGGAAATCATGTGCTCTTTAGTGAAGTCTCAGGGAAGACTATGCTTCTTCCGCTTGAAGCAGATATAGAATTACAAGTTCCTAGATGAGAAATTAATAAACAAAGAGTTAAAACTGCTATCTGGGTCCCTTCTCCTTCCCTCTTCCCAGTGTGTGTTGATGTTATTTACAGGCCTTGCTGGTTTTTAAAAAAACTCTTACCTCCCAGAACTGGTTTTCATGGCAAACCAGATTTAGATGGTGAAGAATAATGACTGAAGGGCAGAAAATGGGCTGGGGCTGGGTGGTGATTGTCCTGCCAATCCATGAAGAGTCACCCTGTCCGTATGACTAACGCTGTGCCAAGCAGGTGTGTAGAAAGACATGAGGCTTGAAGAAAATACTCCGAAAAGCACTTGCTTTAAATTCCTACCTTCTCCCCTTCCCAGCCATGCTTTCTCCTCAAGGAGAGGGTTTAGCATCTCTGCCTGAGCTGGGAAATAAAGGACATGGCAGGTGAGAGGTGGTGTCACTTCATAAAGAGGCTCAAGTTCTTAACCAGAGGCCCCCGTGTGTTCTGTTAGGTGCTTTCCAGGAGTCTCAGAATGTAAGGCTATGGAGATGTCGGCAGACTTCCCATGGCCTGGCACCACAGAGAGCAAACATCATTCCTGCTTCTGGCTACTAAGTCCTACATTCGAGCTCTGTTCTGCAGAAGATGTGAAGAGAACCAAGCCAGGTGGCTGCCAGCCCCAAAGGCAGAGGTGTGCTGGAGCTGGCTTTGCTCACAATAGCCAGTTGTTAAATTGTCAGGAATTTTGCAAGCCAGTTCTTAACCAAATTATTATTTAGGAAAATACATTATAAATATTAGTAGGACTGAGAGATGTCTCAGTTTAATGATTGTAATTTGTAACAGAGTGATAAATAGTAAATAAACTGTAGACTACATTACAGATGTAATGACAATGACTTTATTGGGAAAAGATTTAGAAGATTGAAGAGTACATCTTTATTTGTCATATCACAATGGGATTGTAGCCATAGGTTGGCTGTGGATATATGAAAGCAGCAAAAAGTAACAAAAGCATTTTGTGAGTCAATCGGCTACTTGGAATTTATAATGAATTATGTTATGTATTTTGTTAGTAATAACTTGTATGCCACACACCCTTTAAATCAGTAAAATCCATAACAAACTTGTAAACTTACTTTTTTTTTCAGCAAACCGGTTGTTAAACATCACCACAACACCACTGCCTGAAGAGCTACAACCCAGGACACCTGAATTGAGCTTTTTGTTAATCTTCCCACCTGTGAAATGAAGGAAAGAAGGAAGAAAAGAGAGAGGGAGGGAGAGAGATTACTTCCAGACAATCCTACTTCTTGCATTTTAAGTCTAAAATAGTGAAGAAAATGATAGTGATGGAAAATGCAGGGCTCACTCTGCACACGTAGAACAGGTGGTCTCCTATCTGGTACGACTTGAAAGGTACTCCGAAGCCAGCCGGCCCAGACATATCTACCCCTCTGGCTTGCTCAAGCCTGCTTTTTGAAATTCACAGAATTTGAGGATGCTTCCTTTGGATGAGCTTTGTCTCCCATGCCTTTCTCTTGCCTCCAATACTCCTCATTATCACCTTAGCTCATATTTGAGTATAAATAACTAGATGTGACCTTGAAAAGCACTGAACTTCTTCCCAGGAAAAGAAGATGTAATAAAAAGCTCTGATGTGGGGAGGAAGCTGAAAACAACAACAGCAAACCCTGACGTGCCCTGACAGTGCAGGCCATAAGATGGGGATCTCAGACACCATGGGGCATAGGCACTGAGTGAACTGTTGGGAGCATAAGGGCTTTAGAAAAGGGAAACTGGAAAGATGCAAGAGGAAAGGGACCTGGTGCAGACCCTGGTATTGAGCTTGCCCCTTATACCCCTTATGAAAAATAAGGAGGTTAGAATGAGCTCTAATGAAAACTATGGAGTCTGGGTAATAATGACGTGTCAATGCAGGTTTATGGACTGTAACCAGTGCATCACTGTGACAATGAACAAGCCTGTGCGTTTGTGGGGGACCGAAGGTGTACCGGAACTTCCTGTGCTTTCTGCTTAATTTTGTGCAAACCTAAAACTGCTCTTAAAAAAAAAAAAAAAAAGCCCACTTTTCAGAAAAGGGTGGGGGGAGCTCAGGTCCTAAATGTGAGCCTCATCACAGTTCTTGTCTTCAGCAGCCCACCCAAAGCCCTCCTTCACTGCCTGTCACCATTTTCATACCCTCTAGAGTCACTTATCACAAAAGTAACAATCACAATCCTTGGAAAGGTGTCACTATACCTTAATAAATAAGCAGGTATACATGTGTGGATTTGTACATCCCAAGAGGTGGGACTGATGAGAGACAGCAGCACCCCATTCCCCCACAATCAATGAACAAACCTGGTAAATACTCTCTCCATCCCCTGTGCCCTTCAGCTCAAATATTGTGACTCTCTTTTTTTCAAATATATCTCAATCTCTTTTCAGATGTGTATTTTACCTTGTTTACTGCGACGACCCTGCTTTACAAAATACATATTTTGAATCTCTTTTCAGAGGTTTATTAACCATGCTTCCTATTACTCCTCCTCATCTCCGAATGTCTGCTTGAACTCCTCTTCAAATACTGTCATCAAATCTTTGAAGTTTGTTCACTTGTGATGTAAGGGGCTCCCTCCCTTGGATGTTCCTGGAAAGGCTGAATGATCAGGAGAATATTGGGTTGTACTTATGTATAAAACAGATCCTAGGCCGGGCGTGGTGGCTCACACCTGTAATTCCAGCACTTTAGGAGACCAGGGCGGGCAGATCACCTGAGGACAGGAGTTCAAGACCAGCCTGGCCAACATGGTGAAACCCTGTCTCTACTAAAAATACGAAAATTAGCCGGGAGTGGTGGCACATGCCTGTAATTCCAGCTACTCTGGAGGCTGAGGTAGGAGAATTGCTTGAACCCAGGAGGCAGAGGTTGCAGTGAGCCAAGATCATGCCACTTGTACTCCAGCCTGGGCGACAGAGCGAGACTCCATCTCAAAAAAATAGAAAAATAAAAATAATAAAAAATAAAAAATAAAACAGATCCTAAAGCTGATGTGAGAGTAGTCTGACTGGTCTTCACTCCCTTCCTCCCTCCCTCATGCATATATTTTAGTAAATGGCAAATGACATATATTTTTAAGGAATGACTCATTGACTGCACACAGAGAGAGTTAGCTTTCAGCAGCAACTCTAAGTAGCAGGATCAGCAGGGCCAGCTGGAAGTCAGTTCAGGGATGTGGCTCATACTTTCCCTGGGCTGGGCCTGACCTCCACCTTGCTTGCCGCAATGTCATTCTAATGAATCTTAAACCTGCTTCATTCAAAAAGATTTCTGGGATGGCTCCCAGGCAACCCACATCGCCCCTCTCCATCCAGAGCCCAGGCAACAGCTGTTCCCTCACCTGTCAGACTTGGACCTACTGAAACTGAAAATACAACCCAGTGGTCTAAGAACATTATATTTTTGGTGTATTTTTTCTCGTTTGAAAGTTCTCATGAGGACAAATTGAACCTTACTTCCATATTTTGTGAACAACTTTTACTGAACAGTTTACCACAATGGGACTATTCTGGGAATCCAGAATATGTGACCACTGTGCCTGATTCTTCTCACAGGCCATTGGTCTGCAAGCATTGACATCCACAGATATTTCCAATCCATGATTAGACTGCAGGGATCAAAACCAGAGGGCAGTTATCACTTTGTGATAACTTTCCAAGGCCGCCATGTCTTTTTCAAGATGTCACCTTCGAGAGGTTACTGCACGCTCCACGTTTTAGTCTAAGTAGGGCTCTTGCTCCTTAATGCCCTCAACTCTAAGAAAGACCCACTGGATGGACCTGTCTTTCAGGCATTAACTCTTAAGTGGATGTTTTCTATCACCCACAGTGTAAATAATCTGGCGTAGAAAGCATACCAGGGACTTGGGTTACATTTTTGACACATATTGAAGCTGCCTGTATTGTTATAGGAGAGCAAGGGAGACGATGACTGTTGAACTATTCTTCATTTAAATCCTTCGAATAATTGAACTATTCTTCATTTAAAAATAGAAACCAAAACCATGATAAAATTATGATTTCCAGTGGATTTTCTGCTGTTTGCACATGGCCATGCAGTTTAAGGTAAATGTATGACTGGTGTCTCTGCAAGCCTTTCTGGGAATATCATCCCTATAATTGCCAAATAGAGGAATTACATGACTCAGATGACTGTTTCCCTGGCTGACTGGCTCTCCAGCTCCCCTGGATCTGAAAAAAGGTGAGGGAAGAAGAGGCCAGGGAAGGATGGCCTGCTGTGTGGGGCTGGACTGGGTGCTTGGTGTGTTGAAGCCATTTCTCAGCACAAGCTCCTTACTCAGCCTGCTGGAAATGCTGATTGAACATCTGTCAGGCAGCGTCCACAAGTATCACAAAATGTAAGGAGCGTCTCCCCATAGCTGAACTCACCCTCACCAAGAAAGGGCTGTGCTGAGAGAGTAACCCCTGCTGAGTCGTGGCTTCTGGGCTGTGAGAACCCAACAGCAGAAGCTAAACCACAAGAGAGGAAATACAAAGTCTGGAGGCACCTTAGTGGTCCCATTAGTGCCCATCATGTGTTCTCTTTCCTGAGTCCTGCCCTCTCCACTAAAGCCTCCAGACTGCTATAAAATAAAAATAAAATAAAGAGTAGCAGCTGCCTGTTTGCCTCTGTGGCTTTTATATCTGCTCACTCAGAAAGGGCTGCACTCCCTTGAAGCTGCAATTAGCCTGGCTCACCAAGGGGCTGAAGGCCACTCCAGACCACCAGCCATCATTCCTGCTGGGGCACCTGCCAAATGGAGAAATTCACCGCTAAAGAAGAACAGGGAGGAATATCAGCTCATTCCTGGGAGAGTCTGGACACAAAGCTTCTTGTCTTTGACCTTGTTTCTCTAACCAAAACTCAAGACATGTGGTCTGAAAAAGGATTTTTGTATAGCTCCCAAGGGCAGGTGTCCATTGAGGGGAACAGGATTTAGAAATATAAATATTAGAATTTCTGGGCCATTTCAAGATTATGCATAAGAGGATAGCAAAGAAGAACAGTTGTTTTGGAGTCAAATAGATGTGTTTAGAAATTACATCTCCGCTACCTAAAAACTGCAGTCTTGGACAATTATTATTATTATTTTTGGAGACAGAGTCTTGCTCTGTCAACCAGGCTGGAGTGCAGTGGTGCAATCTTGGCTCACTGCAAGCTCTACCTCCCAGGTTCAAGTAATTCTCCTGCCTCCTGGGATTACAGGCATGCACCACACTACGCCCAGCTAATTTCTGGATTTTTTAGTAGAGACAGGGTTTGAACATGTTGGCCAGGCTGGTCTCGAACTCCTGACCTCAAGTGGTCTGCCTGCCTCGGCCTCCCAAAGTGCTGGGATTACGGGTGTGAGCCACCATGCTGGCCTAAATTATTCTTTTGTGACTATTTTCTCACCTGCAAAAGGGAACAATAATAATACTTTTCTCATAGGGTTATACTGAATATTGAGATAATGTGTGTGTAAAGGAGAAAAATAACAACCACACTATAAACTACCACAATTGCTTTCTAAAGCAGAGGGATCTATGACAGGAGAGTCCTCTTGTTTTCCTGAGATTCTTGCAGGGTCTGCTCAGCTTTGCTTAGTAAAGAAACAAGATGTATACACATTTAAAAAAAAGAAAAAAGAAAAGTAAGAAAGAAGAATTTGGACTTTCCAGGAATAGTCCAGGAGGAAGCTCCTGAGGAATGGGACGAAAATAGCAAAAAAGAGAAGATCCAGTGGGAAGCTGTGAGGCCAGGGAGGAGTTTGTAAGTTTAGAGGATTTAAGACCTGGGTTAGGATCCTGCCTCTGCTGCTTACTAACCATGGATCTTTGGGCAAATTATTTAGCTTTGTTTTGTTTCAGTTTCCTCATATGGAAAATTGGGATAATACCACTCCCCTGTCAGAGCTGTAGTGAAGATTAAGTGAAATAATCACTGTGAAGTGCCCAGGAACAGTATCTATTGTTGCTATTGCCACGAATAACATTGAGAATGTACAGTCTGACCTCTGTAACAGGGAACACCTTGGCAAAGGCACATTCCCTGCATATTCAACTAAGAATGAACATATTGTTGGCACAAATTCGCCAGAGTCCAGTGTCAGTTCAGATACGGTTGAGAGAACCAAAGGGACATCCCGAGGTTCTGGTGGAAGCTACCACAGCCTAAGCCCCTTGCCAACTCTCCAGTCTTTCTACCCCTGCCTTCTCCCTGTAAGACTTTTCTGGTCAATAAAAGCAGCATTGCTTTCTGGGATTCAGACGACACTTGTGAAAGACTTATATTTATGTAAATAAAATAAACTAATGTTCATGAAATAGTTTTAGAAACCAGATCAAGTCTGTTACGCAAAGTAAGGCATTAGAATTATTATAAGGAAAAAGAGGCTTAATGAACACAAGGCTGGACATCCCTGTCTTGTGTCAAGTACAGTTTTCTTCAGCTACATCATCTAGGCATTAAGAGGTTTTAAGGCAGGGCACGGTGGCTCACACCTGTAATCCCAGCACTTTGGGAGGCTGAGGCAGGTGGATCACAAGGTCAGGAATTTGAGACCATGTTGACCAACATGGTGAAACCCCATCTCTACTAAAAATACAAAAATTAGCCGGGTGTGGTGGCGTGTGCCTGTAATGCCAGCTACTCGAGAGGCTGAGGCAGGAGAATTGCTTGAACCCAGGAGGCAGAGGTTGCAGTGAGCCGAGATCACGCCACTGCACTCCAGCCTGGGTGACAGACCAAGACTCCATCTCAAAAAAAAAAAAAAAAAAAAAAAAGAGGTTTTGAAAAATTCCTCTCTAGAGCTACACCTAGTTTCTCCAGAGTAACTGAAGGAGTGCTAATTTTGCACGTGGCATCGTTATATGGTTTCTGTCAAGGTAGAGCAGACCTACTGATGTGTCATAGAGGAAGATCAGAGAGCTGTGGCTACCTCCTGCCCCCCTACCATAGGTACCTCCATCCCAGTGACTGTGAGTACCTGCTAGACCCAGGGCTAAGCACTGGGCATAAGAGAGAGGAAGACAGGCAGATCTGTGCTGCAAAGGCACCACTGTTGAAAATATCTGAGACAAACAAAAAATTAACAATATTCATTTATTTCCTTCTCAGTGAGAAGTGATACAAAGCTAATCAACAGAGGCATGCAAATGAAGACTTGGCCAAGTCTGAGAATGTGGGCGAAGACTTTCCTGAAAGTAATTAATACTTACACTGCAGCAAGAGATTAGAATGCACAGAAGAGGGATACAGAGAGCAGTCCTTCCAGGAAGAGGGAACAGCACGTGCAAATGCTCAGAGGCAGAAAGGAGTCTGGTGTTGAGGATATGAAAGAAGATCAGTGCATCTTGAGTCTGGTAAGCAAATGAGGATGGTGGGGGAACTGAGAGTGCCCCTAGGAATGAATCTCCGAGTTGTTTACCTTGGGGAATGGCGGAGATAAATCCTACTTTTCACAACTAAGGGAATAACCATCCATAATAAATAATAGAGAGGGGTAGCAGAAAAGTGAGGTGTGTGAACCCACACTTGTCGTTAAGTGTGTGAATGCTTTATTCAGCTAACTAGAACCCTGAGACATTGGGTCCAAGATCAAAGACAGACTGAGTGTTGGAGCTGGCTAGTCTTCCTCTATGTCATGGCCAGCTTGCAAAAACCTGGGCAAGAGAGAGGCTATTTGAAACTGTGGGTGATTTTGTGCAAATCTATTCCCACTAGTAGATGATCATCACAAGCAGAGAAGAGAGCATTAGACGTTAGACACCAACCAAACGTGTTGTCCCAAGTATTCCAGGCACCAGCACACCTAAGAACAGAACACAAGCCTACTCCGCAGGTAACTCCTCTGCTTCCAGGGACGTTTCCACATGGTGACTTACTTGAGTGAACAAATCTGCGCGTCAAGACCTGCTTATTTTGCCCTGACCACTTGGAGGCATGAGAACATAAGGGTGTCCCAAGCTGGCCACAGGCAGCGATGCAACCTGCCTCCAATCCTAGCACCAAAGGTCCTGCCCATGACAGCACCAGGACAGAGTAGGGTCCTCCTGCTGGCCTGTCCTAAGGCTTTTAACCCATGCACCCTGGGATGGTACGTTCTACCCCAGCACTACACAGATTTATGCATAGTCCCTCCATGTGGGACACCCCTACAAGTGTGCCAAGTGGAAATCATCTCATTCCAGCAAGGAGAATCAAGAGAAACCATCGCCCCCACCTCCTTTGGGTTCACAAGGGAAATATTTTTTCTTTGTAACACATCTGCTAAGAAACACCAGGGAATTTCCAACTCTGTTTGCCTTCCTCCTCTTCCTCCTCCATCACCACCACCACCTCTCTCTCATCCTCCTCCTCCTTCATCTTTCTCTTTCCCTCCTCTTCCTCCTCCTTCCTTATGTCTCTCTCCTTCTCTTCCTCCTCCTTTCCTTCTCCTCCCTCTCCTCGTTTTTTTCCATTTTCCTCCCCTTCCTCCTACTTATCTTTTTTTCTTAATGCTTCTCTATACATTCCAATTTTTCTATAATGAAGACTTCATGTTTGAATAAACAGGAAAAAGCAAAGGGGAAAAGAAAACAGGAAGGGGAAACTCAATCCCCAAGTCACCAAAGACTGACTACTGCGTGGCAAGAACCCTGGGGTCTGGCCCTGAACGTTTCACTAATAATCCCTATAACCATCAGCTCCATAGGAGAGAAAATGATTTGGATCATTTCTAAAGTCTGTTCCAGGTCTAAATGGAGCTGGAATATGTGAATAAGTGTATTTCTCAAGGCAAAAGAATACTTCAGAGACTTCATTGTGTTCTCCAGGAACTTCACTATAGGCCAATGAAGCAAAGAAACCAGCTTTGAACAAGGCCACTGGACTCATCCAGGGACCTATCATTTAGCCATGCTAAAAGGATTTAGCTCTCAGAGGTCAAGGTAGTCCCACCGTGGGGACAGTGAAAACACACACACACACACACACACACAAATATACACACGCATACACACACAAACACACACACACACAAGTACCACAGGAAGATTGCTGAGCTAGCAGGATTTCTTTCATCACTGATTTGCTTCAAGTTTTGTCTAAATTAGAGTCTCAAAGTAATGAACTTTTGTTCATCCTCAGCTTTAGGAATATGTAGGATTGTGGTGTTAGTAAACAGTGCCTGTTGAGTAGAACCATTACTAATCAATTATTTCTTTATTTCTGAAAATTCATTAATGCCCCACCCTGAAAAATCTTCTACTCCTTTCATACCTGGGGGAGCTCTGATAAGTGGATGCCATCAGTCTTCAGCCCCATAACTTTAAAGAGGTTCTCCACGTTCTGAGGGGACAGGTGGAGTTTTTTTTCACCCACTTGACGTCTTTGTATATATCACTCCTACCCTTCAGGAAGCCAGAGCCCGGAGGCCTGTTGGTAGAATGAAAACTAGAATTGACTTAGTTGATGCTGAGTTTCTATGGGAGCTTTATCATGTGAATACAGTAATGAGGTTCCCTCCCCATCTCTCCCTTCAATCGAACATGGTGCCGGGTGCGGTGGCTCATGCCTGTAATCCCAGCACTTTGGGAGGCCCAGGCAGGTGGATCACTTGAGGTCAGGAGTTAGAGACCAGTCTGACCAACATGGCAAAGCCTCATCTCTAATAAAAGTGCAAAAATTAGCCAGGCATGGTGGCACACCCCTAGTCCCAGCTATTTAAGAGGCTGAGGCACAAGAATTGCTTGAACCCAGGAGGCCGAGGTTGCAGTGAGTTGAGATCATGCCACTGAGCCCCAGCCTTGGTGATGGAGTAAAACTCATCTCAAAAAAAAAAAAAAAGATCGTGGTTGCACCTCACCATCACCACCACTCACTATCTGCACATCCCCAGTGCTCATGGGGATTTGCTTTAACTTGGGAATAGTGATTTATTGATGGCACCAGAGGGCTGGAACCCTGAATCACAAAAATCAATGCAGAAAACTGACTGTCTTAGTCTGTTTTGTTTTGCTATAAAGGAATACTGGAGGTTGGGTAATTTATAAAGAAAAAGAAGGTTTATTTGTTTTATGATTCTGGATGGCTGGAAAGTTCAAGATTGGGCATCTGCATCTGATAAAACCTTCAGGCTGCTTCCACTCGTGGTGGATGGCGAAGAGGAGCTGGTGTGTGCAGAGGCTGCACGCTAAGAGAGGAGGGCAGGGCAGGGAGAAGCGAGGATTGTTTTAACAACCAGCTCACATGGGAACTAACATAGTGAGAACTCACCACTCCAGAGTGGAAGGGCGTTGATATATTCATGAACGATCCACTCCTGTGACCCAAATACTTCCCACTAGGCCCCACCACCCAACATCGCTACACTGGGGATTAAATTTCAACATGTGATTTGGTGGGGACAAACAAATTATATCCAAACCATAGCATTCCACTCCTGCCCCCCCTAGCAAACTCATGTTCTTCTCACATTGCAAAATACAATCATCCTTTCCCAATAGTCCCAAAAGTCTTAACTCATTCCAGCATCATCTCAAAAGTCTAAAGTCCAAAGTCTCATTAGAGACTCAAGGTAAGTTCCTTTCAGCTATGAGCCTGTAAGATGAAAAACAAGTTATTTACCTCTAAGATACAATGGTGGTACAGGCATTGGGTAAACCCTGACAATTTGCAATTAAGTAAGAAAGCCATTTGCATATTTGGAACTTATGGTTTAATTATGTCATTTAATCTCCACAACGGAACACTTGTTATTAGCATTCCCATTTCATAGATCGAGAACCTGAGGCTCCATAAGTTGTATCAGCTATACATGAATATTAATCCATACCTTAAGAGCAGACCTAGAATAACCAGGAATAATCAATCAAATAAAGATGGAGAGGCTGAAAAGAGAAAACAAGACTATCATGAAAGTATCAGCAGATTTCACAATTCCCTGAAATCCCTAGAGCTTCACTGTATAATAGGATCACCACTATCCACAGGGGGCTATTTAAATTTAAATGCTAATAATAACTTCAGTGACCTCACATAGTAACTACAGTACTGGACAGGACAGATTTAAATAGCATCTTCATCATCACAGAAAATTCTATTGAATGGCACTGCTCTAGAAGACATCCTCATGAGTGAAGGGGTCTATTCTTAGAAGATGGTAATTTTTCAAGTGCTATTGTCCGAGCTGTATGTATGTGAAGTTCCTAGAGTGCAGAAGGGATCTGCTTTCTCCTACTAAAGGGACAAGATGAAGCAGACAGCCTTTGTTCCTAGTTTTTCAAGAACCTCCCCACCTGCTCAGGAGACAGAGTTGCTTCCATGGCCAAAAGATAGGATTCTTGGGGTCACACAGGCACACAGTCTTTCTCTGAGCTCTGTTTCCTACTCCATGTGGCGTGATAAATAAGTGGATTCAGGCCTTCCCCAGGAGGCTCTGTCAGATCTTACGTTGACATCCTTTCATCATGCAGCAAACCACAGGTAGGTAACATCCTAAGCTTTAGATTTGACCCATAGTGGGGAACGGGGATGGAAACACAGGGTAGAAAATCTCATTTATGCCTTGAGCCTAAACCAGAGGTCCACCTATCCCTGCCAAAGCTGCATTGAGTGTTAATGACATTGACTTGGGCCTTAATAAAATTGCAATTTGGTTATTATTTGATATTCCTCTGTGTACCACCCCTTGGGGAACCTGAAAGGTAGAAATTAACAAGCAGGGAAGTATGAGGGTACTTCTTGGTTGCTAAACATTAATTATTTCTATTAAAACTTCATCTGCTATAGTCTGAATGTGTCCGCTCCAAAATTCAGATGTTGAAACTTAGTGCAATGTGATAGTATGAAGAGGTGGAGTTTTCTAGAGATGATAAGGTCATGAGAGCTGGTCCCCTCATGAATGGAATTAAGGCCTTTATTAAAGAATCTTCTTGCCTCACTCAGCTGGCTTGCTCTTTAGCCTTCCACCATGTGAGGACACAGCGTTCCTTCCCTCTGGATGATGCAGAACTCACCAGAAAATGCAACCTGCTGTCACCTTAATCTTAGACTTTCTAGCACTCAGAACTGTGAGAAAATAAATTTCTTTTCTTTATAAATTATCCAGTCTCAGGTATTTTGTAATAGCAGCACAAAACAGACTAAATCACCATTTTACAATCACTAATATTTACTCAATTTTCTTTCTCTGTGACATGCTATTCTCTCCTTTCTGAAAGTCTTTATTTTCAATGACAATACTCTCTGAGTTTTCTTTCTACCTCTGTGGCTCTTCATAAAAAGTGCCTCCTCTCACCAGGTGTCGTCGTTTAAGTGACATCATCTTTAAACCCTTGTGTCTTTAAATCCCTGACACACCGCTGTGATGCCCAGGGAAGACAGGGTGACCTGGAAGCCCAACTACTTCCTTAAGATCATCCAACTTTTGGATGATTATCCGAAATGTTTCATCATGGGAGCAGACAATATGGGCTCTAAGCAGATGCAGCAGATCCGCATATCCCTCTGCAGGAAGGCCATGGTGCTGCTAGGCAAGAACACCACGATGGTCAAGGCCATCTGAAGGCACCTGGAAAACAACCCAGCTCTAGAGAAACTGTTGCCTCATATTCAGGGGAATGTGGGCTTTGTGTTCATCAAGGAGGACCTCACTGAGATCAGGGACCTGCTGCTGGCCAACAAGGTGCCAGCTGTGGCTCATGCTGGTTCCATTGCCCCTGTGAAGTCACTGTGCCAGTCCAGAACACTGGTCTAGGGCCCAAGAAGACCTCGTTTCTCCAGGTTTTAGGCATCACCACTAAAATCTCCAGGGGCGCCACTGAAATCCTGAGTGATGTGCAGCTGATCAAGACTGGAGACAAAGTGGGAGCCAGCGAAGCCACACTGCTGAACATCTCTCCCTTCTTTGGGCTGGTCATTCAGCAGGTGTTCGACAATGGCAGCATCTACAACCCTGAAGGGCTTGACATCACAGAGGAAACTGCATTCTCACTTTCTGGAGAGTGTCTGCGATGTTTCCAGGGTCTGTTTGCAGATTGGCTACCCAACTGTTGCATCAGTACCCCATTCTATCATCAATGGGTACAAACGAGTCCTGGCTTTGTCTGTGGAGATTGATTACACCTTCCCACTTGCTGAAAAGGTCAAGGCCTTCTTGGTTAATCCATCTGCCTTTGTGGCTGCTGCCCCTGTGGACACTGCTGCCATGACTGCTCCTGCTGCTGCTGCTACCCCAACTAAGGTTGAAGCCAAGGAAGAGTCGGAGGAATTGGACAAGGATATGGGATTTGGTCCCTGACTAATCACCAAAAAGCAACCAACTCAGCCAGCTTTATTTGCAGAACAAGGAAATAAAGACTTCTTTAAAAAGAAAAAAAAAAGTGCCTTCCTCTGGGCATGCTGGCTTGTGCCTGTAGTCTTAGCTACTCCAGAGGCTGATGTGGGAGAATTGCTTCAGCCCAGGAATTCAAGGCTTCAGTGAGCTATGATTGCACCGCTGCACTCCAGCCTGTGCAATAGGGCAAGACCTCATCTCTAAAAAAAAAAAAAAAAAAAAAAATTCAGTACCTTTAGCTTATGTGTCTTTTGCGACCCTTTAAATGTTGATATTCCCCAAGATTTCATATTCAACTCCTTTCCCATTCTGAATTCTCCTTGAACCATAGTACCTACATTTATGATTTTACCTACTTACCATATATTAATACTTTCATTTTCTATTTACATCTCACACCCCCACACAGAGATACTCAATGACCTACTGCATATCACCTCTTGGATGTCCCACAGATAATCCAAATTTATCTTATCTCAAACCAAACTTATCATTTTCTCTTCCCATTGGCTAAACCTTTTATTTTCTCCAGTGTCAGCCAAGACGAGTCATTGCCAGCACCACTCATCTGTGCTGATCGATTTTAACCAGAATTATGTTTGTGTTATCCTAGGCTTCTTCTAAAAGCCTGAGTCACAGCACTCCACAAAAACAATTAATAATACATCAAAGATATTTAAAAGATAATATTCCATGTTGGTGAGGATACACTGTAAGGAGCACTATCACATACTCTTACGATGGAGTTGTACATTTATACATTTCTAGAGAGCAATTTGATGATATGTATTGTTATCAATATCAGAACATTCCTTTGGAACACTCTTGGGTCTCTGAAATAATGTAGTGGGACAGAGGCCAGACTGGCAGAGAGAATTTTAAGAAATCATACTGCTCTGGCCTGCACCAAAGTGAGCAGTAAGCAACATGTCAGGGTGAAAGTCTTATTACAAAACCAGGGGTGATGAAGAAGCAGAAGAAGAACATTTTGAACTGGACATCGCTAAAGAGGTTGGCACAGATCCACAGCACTTCAGCATTACCAAGGGCTTGAAACCCATGAGAATCATGTGAAGCAAGTGGAGTCTATAAATATTCAGGAAGAAATAGTTTGATTTTTTTGGTTGATGCCTCCAGAGCTATGTTTGAATCTCAGAGTGAAGATGAGTTGACTCCTTTTGACATGAGCATCCAGGAGTTGGATAATCCAGGGGCAAAACGAATTCTAGAGCTTGACCGGTTTAAGGAGCAGCAGGGACAAAAACGTTTCCAAGACCTGATGGGCATGGATCTGACTACTCACTCAGTGAAGTGCTGTGAGTCTGTGCCAACAACCTCTTTAGCAATGTACTGTACAAGAGGAGTCATGTTGTTCACCAATGAGGATAACCCCCATGGCAATGACATGCCAAAGCCAGCTGGGCCAGGACCAAAGCCAATAATCACTGAGATACAGGCATCTTCCTTGACTTGATGCACCTGAAGAAAACTGAGGGCTTTGATATACCTTTCTTCTACAGAGATATCACCAGCATAGCAGAGGATGAGGACCCCAGGGCTCACTGAGGAATCCAGAAAGCTAGAAGACCTGTTGAGGCAGGTTTGAGCCAAGGAGATCAGTTAGTGAACACTCAGCAGGTTAAAGCTGAAGCTCAATAAAGATATAGTGCTCTCTGTGGGCATTTATAATCCGATCCAGAAGGCTCTCAAGCCTCCTCCAATAAAGCCCTATCGAGAAATAGATGAATCAGTGAAAACCAAGACCTGGATATTTAATGTAAATACAGGCAGTTGGCTTCTGTCTAGAGATACCAAGAGGTCTCAGATCTATGGAAGGCGTCAGATTATACTGGAGAAAGAGGAAACAGAAGAGCTAAAATAGTTTGATGAACCAGGTTTGATTCTCATGGGTTTAAGCCCTTGGTAAAGCTGAAGAAGCACCGTTACCTGAGGCCCTCCTTGTTTGTGTACTCTGAAGAGTCACTGATGAATTAGAGCTCAACCCTGTTCAGTGCTCTACTCATCAAGTGTCTGGAGAAGGAGGTCACAGCATTGTGCAGATACACACCCTGCAGGAACATCCCCCCTTATTTTGTGGCTTTGGTGCCACAGGAAGAGGAGTTGGATGATCAGAAAATTCAGGTGCCTCCTGCAGGCTTCCAGCTGGTCTTTTTATGTTATGCTGATAATAAAGGGAAGGTGCCCTTTGCTAAAAAAGTCATGGCAACCCCAGAGCAGGGGGACAAGGTGAAGGCTATTGTTCAGAAGCTCCGATTCAAATACAGAAGTGACAGCTTTGAGAACTCTGTGCTGCAGCAGTGTTCCAGGAACCTGGAGGCCTTGGCCTTGGATTTGATGGAGCCTGAACAAGCAGTGGACCTGACATTGCCTGAGGTTGAAGCAATGAATAAAAGACTGGGCTCCCCACTGGTGGATAAGTTTAAGGAACTTCTCTACCCACCAGATTACAATCCTGAAGGGAAAGTTAGCAACATAAAACACAATAATGAAGGTTTCAGAAGCAAAAGGCCCAAGGTGGAGTATTCAGAAGAGGAGCTGAAGACCCACATAAGCAACAGCATGCTGGGCAAGTTTGCCGTGCCCATGCTGAAAGAGACCTGCTGGGGTATGGGCTGAAGAGCAGGCTGAAGAAGCAGGAGCCACTGGAAGCCTTCACCAATCACTTCCAGAACTGACCAGAGGCCATGTGTCCAGCTGCCCTTCCACACTGTAACCAGGCTACCTGGCCTTGTTCTCAGCCAGTGAAAACAGGTGTCTCCTGATCTAGGAAGAGTCTGCCTGACAGAAGCAGAGGGACTTTATCTTCAGGAGGCTTTCTGTTGCCATGGCAATGGTGTAGCCCTCCCACTTTGCTGTTCTTTACTCTACTGCCTGAATGAGGAGCCCTAACTTTGTACTGTAAGAAAAAAGAGAGACTATACTGCCCTCCTGATGCCAAGTGTCACTCCAGCCGGCATCACAAGGGAGTAAACAATGTGATGCCTTTGTTTTTTTTTGTTTTTTTTTTTTTGTTTTTTTTGTTTTTTAAGAGACAGAGAGAGTCCTAGGCTGGAGTGTAGTGGCACAATCATGGCTCAGATCTTCCCCCGGTTCAGGTGAACCTCCCCTGTCAGCCTCCCAGGTAGCTGGGTCTCCAGGCATGAGCCACCATGACTGGCTACTTTTTGTATTTTTTTTTTAAGAGATAGGGTTTCGCCATGTTGCCCAGGCTGGTGTCAAACTCCTGGGCTCAAGCAACCTGCCTGCCTCAGCCTCCCAAACTGCTGCAAAGTTCTGGGATTACAGGCATGAGCCATCAAACATGGCATGATGTCTTAAGATCAGTTTATCAGAATGATTTTTCACCAAAGTTTATACTGAACTCATCTTCAAATCACATCATCCATGTTATCCTCTCAAGTCATTTTTCTTCCATGATTATAACAACTCACAACTCATTATGTCAGGAATCAAGGCTGATGATAGAAGTTTGGCTGCAAATGCAGACATCTCTCCCAATTTGAAGGGGTTTATGCTCATGAGTCTCATCTAGTGCTAGTTTCTTTCTCTTGCACCTTCTTAGAATGCTAGAAATAAGGCCCCAGTCAGCCAGCCTCAAGACACTCTGGTATTTCCGTTGCAATGAGATTTATATAGATCCTAAGTAGCTAATATGAAAACAGCAAAGAATTCTAACTCTGTCAAACTATACTGCAATCATAAAAGGAGACTTTCTACTCATTTGAAGGGGCACTTTCTGATGGCACCCTGGTGGCATTTTGCATTAAATAAAATTTATTTTGCAGTAAATAAAATGTAATGCAAAATGCCATCAGGCACCACCAGAAAGTGCCCCTTCAAATGAATGGAAAGCTCTATTCAGAGAAATCAAAGAAGCAAAGAATACAGACCACCTGGCAAACGAATTGGAGATATAATGTGGTACTTTAGCCTCTAGGGCCTGGTGCCCACAATGGTGGTGACTGAAGTGGTGCACCCGAAATCTGTTTAGGGATCTCCATTCTCTCTTATGTCTTCTCAACATATATCAGGAATCTCCAGAAATTTATTCTCGATTTCTCCTGAATAAATTTATCCTAAGTCAATAAGTAGAGACATGAGAAAAGATTTGTGGTCTAGGATGTTCAATGCAATATAATTTATAAAAAATTAAAAATATTAGAAACAATCTAAATGTCCAGAAGATATTATAAATTAAAATACTATGAATATTATTCTGCCATTAAAAATTATACATTGGAATAATATGTCATGAAAGAGTGCTCATAATACAATATTCAATAAAAAATAGGATATAAAAGTGTTTATAAATATCATCCAATTAAATATCTAAATATATGTGTGCATTGAAAAAAAGAGTTGAGGAAATAATGGTGAGATTAGAGGAGATTTTCCTGCAATATGTAGTTATTATCTTTAGAATAAAAAAAAGAAGAGACATTAGGTTGTCTCTGACTAATTAATTACTACCTGGTGATATATAGTTTTTATTTACATGTTCTCTTCCTCCAGTTAGATTTGAATATCCTGGAAAGTAAAGATCTTTGCTATTCTTTGGTGTTTCTGTCATAACACAGAGCTTTTTGCACACAAAGGCAATCAATCAGTAAGTCTGAGGAGAAATAGCTAATACCATCAGTTCAATGATCACTTCTAGGAAGGCCATATGGTCAATCTGTCAACAAAATGAGTGGTGGCTAACTTCATTCTTCTACAGCAATGAAAATACCAAAATTCCAAGTGTAAAGGAATAGCAATAAAATTAGGGTCACACACATCTGAGTTCCAATTCCAACTTCACCACTTAATGGCTAAGTGATTTTAACCAAGTTACCTACTTCTGTGAGCCCGTTTGAGCACAAATAATAATACCACTCCTCACAGTGGTTATAAAAATTAAAGGCGGCGGCCGGGCACAGTGGCTCACACCTATAATCCCAGCACTTTGGGAGGCCAAGGCAGGCAGATCACGAGGTCAGGAGATCGAGACCATCCTGGCTAACACGGTGAAACCCCGTGTCTACCAAAAATACAAAAAATTAGCTGGGCGTGGTGGCAGGCACCTGTAGTCCCAGCTTCACAGGAGGCTGTGGCAGGAGAATGGCGTGAACCCAGGAGGCGGAGCTTGCAGTGAGCAAAGATGGTGCCACTGCACTCTAGTCTGGGTGACAGAGCGAGACAACGTCTCAAGAAAGAAAGAAAGAAAGAAAGAAAGAAAAGAAAGAAAGAAAGAAAGAAAGAAAGAAAGAAAGAAAGAAAGAAAGAAAGAAAGAAAGAAAGAAAGAAAGAAGAAAATTAAAGAAGGTACAATGCCTGGCAAATTGTTGGTATTTTCCCTTTTGAAGCATGGCTCATTTTACTGAGAAAATTACTTTGTAAATAATTAAAATTGTCATCAGCTCCCACATTTTGTTAAATATCTTCTTTTGAAGAACTCAAAGGATTTAAAATTAAATTTTAAATGATATCTGTTTTGGACAGAATCTACCTACATCTGGAAAACTGGAGGCCAAATTTTTTCTTTTTGCTGAAATTAGATTTTTTGGTATTTTCTTGGAAATCTCTTGCTGTTATATCAAATCTGATTAAGGAGGGACATCCAACTTCCCAGCGACTAGAGTTAACATTGGATACAAAAGACACATAGAGATCAGAGAGATGAGTAAAATGTTTCAGCTCATTTATTTTCAATAGCTTCTCTAGGCAGGAGAAAAGGAGAATGGAAGGAACTTGTAAAGAATGACAAGTTTTATGAGGCAAAAAGATATCACTTTCATGATGTAATAGTAGGAAGGAAGATTACCTTTGATAAAATAGTTATCTTAGAACTGTAGTTAGAAATGGAGTGAAATGGAGTGACATTTCTTTTGTGTTCTTTCCTTACAGTATGAGGATATTATAATGAATTTAATAAGGTCATATGAAAATTTATTTTTTTATTATTATACTTTAAGTTCTGAGATACATGTGCAGAACATGCAGGTTTGTTACATAGATACACATGTGCCATGGTGGTTTGCTGCACCCATCAACCCTTCATCTACATTAGGTATTTCTTCTAATACTATCCCTCCCCTAGCCCCCCCAAACTCCGACAGGCCCCAGTGTATTATGTTCCCCTCCCTGTGTCCATGTGTTCTCATTGTTCAATTCTCACTTATGAGTCAGAACATGCAGTGTTTGGTTTTCTGTTCCTGTGTTAGTTTGCTGAGCATGATGGTTTCCAGCTTTATCCACGTCCCTGCAAAGAACAGGAACTCATCCTTTTTTATGGCTGCATTGTATTCCGTAGTGTATATGTGCCACATTTTCTTTATCCAGTCTATCATTGATGGGCATTTGGGTTGGTTCCAAGTCTTTGCTATTGTGAACAGTGCTGCAATAAACATACGTGTGCATGTGTCTTTATAATAGAAAGATTTATAATCATTTGGGCATATACCTAGTAATGGGATGGCTGGGTCAAATGGTAGTTCTAGTTCTAGATCCTTGAGGAATCACCACACTGTCTTCCACAATGGTTGAACTAGTTTACAGTCCCACCAACAGTGTAAAAGCGTTCCTATTTCTCCACATCCTCTCCAGCATCTGTTGTCTCCTAAGTTTTTAATGATCGCCATTCTAACTGGCATGAGATGGTATCTCATTGTGGTTTTGATTTGCATTTTTCTAATGACCAGTGATGATGAGCTTTTTTTCATAAGTTTGTTGGCCTCATAAATGTCTTTCTTTTAAGAACTGTCTGTTCATATCCTTCACCCGCTTTTTGATGGGGCTGTTTGTTTTTTTCTTGTAAATTTGATTAAGTTCCTTGTAGATTCTGGATATTAGCCCTTTGTCAGATGGATAGATTGCAAAAATTTTCTCCCATTCTGTAGGTTGCTTGTTCACTCTGATGATAGTTTCTTTTGCTTTGTGGAAGCTCTTTAGTTTAATTAGATCCCATTTATCAATTTTGGCTTTTGTTGCCATTGCTTTTGGTGTTTTAGTTGTAAAATCTTTGCCCATGCCTATGTCCTGAATGGTATTGCCTAGGTTTTCTTCTAGGGATTTTATGGTTTGGGGTTTTACATTTAAGACTTTAATCCATCTTGAGTTAATTTTTGCATAAGGTGCAAGGAAGGGGGTCTAGTTTCTGTTTGCATACGGCTAGCCAGTTTTCCCAGCACCATTTATTAAATAGAGAATACTTTCCTCATTTCTTGTTTTTGTCAGGTTTGTCAAAGATCAGATGGTTGTAGATGTGTGACATTATTTCTGAGGCCTCTGTTCTGTTCCATTGGTCTATATATGTGTTTTGGTACAAGTACCATGATGTTTTGGTTACTGTAGCCTTGTAGTATAGTTTGAGGTCAGATAGCGTGATGCCTCCAGCTCTGTTCTTTTTGTTTAGGATTGTCTTGGCTACATGCGCTCTTTTTTGGTTCCATATGAAATCTAAAATAGTTTTTTCTAATTCTGTGAAGAAAGTCAATAGTAACTTGATGGGGATAGCATTGAATCTATAAATTACCTTGGGCGGTGTGGCCATTTTCACGATATTGATTCTTCCTATCCATAAGCAAGGAATGTTTTACATTTGTTTGTGTCCTCTTTTATTTCTTTGAGCAGTGGTTTGCAGTTCTCCTTGAAGAAAGAAGAGGTCTTTCACATCCCTTGTAAGTTGTATTCCTAGGTATTTTATTCTCTTTGTAGCAATTGTGAATGGGAGTTCACTCATAATTTGGCTCTCTGTTAGTCTATTATTGGTGTATAGGAATGCTTATGATTTTTGCACATTGATTTTGTACCCTGAGACTTTGCTGAAGTTGCTTATCAGCTTAAGGAGATTTTGGGCTGAGACGATGGGGTTTTCTAAATATACAATCATGTCATCTGCTAACAGAGATAATTTGACTTCCTCTCTTCCGATTTGAATACCCTTTGCACTCAGAGAAACATATGAAATTAAAGGATTTATTATACTCACAGGCCCTAGAATGGGACATGGACCACACCATGGAAGGGGCCTCATGGTAAGAGTACCAAAGAAGTGGGCTCAACCAAGCAGGAGTGGAGCCAAGAGAAAAGACCCCTGGGCAAGTGGATTTACTAGGAGTCCAGGTGAAGTACACAAGCAAAAAACATGAGGGGGTTTCATCGGTGCATTTGAATGTCTCTAGGTCACAGTCAAGTTATGGTAAAAAGGTGAACTTGTAGTAGGGACCAGCTTCATCAAACTGGTGCACTTGGTTTCTTATGCAAAATGCTCACAGCCTGTTTGTGGACATGTTGAGATACCAGAAATATATGAAGCTTTAAAAATTTACAATACACCCTTCCTCTGAAAGGAAGTTCAAAGATGGTGGCAATAATAAGCTTGGGCTGTTTGTGTATTAAGCAATCCAGTCATTTCAGCAGGGGAAAAAAACAGTGATAATGATTGGCTGAATTTTAGTGTGAACCCCATCTCTACTAAAAATACAAGGCTATTTAATGCTATGTCTGGGTACGGTTCCATAAAAAAATGGTCTCATTCCCCACCGTGCTTTGGGAAATACTGCTTCTGTTAGTTATAATATCATCCATATTGCAGAATTCTTGATCCTTGTCCTACAAAATCTTTGGTATGTGGTTTTTGTTCTCCTGGTCTCAAGATGGTTTCTCTATGTCCTTCAGATACCACATCCTCATTCCAAGCAGGAGGAAGGAGTGAGGACAACAGAGCGAGTGTGCCAGCCAGTCTTTGATTTTTTCAATGAAAAATAATAGTTTTCCTAGTATTTTCACCCAATAGAATGCAGCTTGCATCTCACCGGACAGAATTATGTTTCTTGCTGATTCATAAGTGCAAAAGGAGCCTGGAAATCATCATCATGAAACATTTTTTCTCTGCAAGTTCATCGGATACTCTATCAAATCCATTTTCATCCCTAGAGACATCTCTCCTAGTATGCTCTGTCATCCTACTCCAATCTGAGCTGGATACACTGTAGGCTTGATGCTTAGTCAGAAACTTGGGACACTTATATTTCCACCATCTTACAAATTCTCCTCCTTATTCGGGTGTTATATCCTCTGTTTCTTTGCTGCTTAGTTTTTGGTTTACTCCCTTGTTTGGTGGTGCCCATCCTTCAGTAGCTTTTTGAAAGGGGAAGTAAATTTTTGAGACATTGCATGTCTGAAAATGTCTTCTATCTAGTATCAGACTCGACTGATAGCTTGGCTGAGTAGAATTTTAGATTGAAAATAATGTTTCTGGCCAGGTGCAGTGGCTCATGCCTGTAATCCCAGCACTTTGGGAGGCTGAGGTGGGCGGATCCCCTGAGGTCAGGAGTTTGAGACCAGCCTGGCCAACATGGCAAAACCCTGTCTCTACTAAAAATACAAAAATTAGCCAGGCGCAGTGGTGGGTGCCTGTAATCCCAGCTACTTGGGAGGCTGAGGCAAGAGAATCACTTGAACCCAGGAGGCAGAGGTTACAGTGAGCCGAGATCGCGCTACTGCACCCCAGCTTGGGCAACAGAGCGAGACTCCGTCTCAAAAAAAAAAAAAGAAAAAGAAAGAAAAGAAAAGAAAAGAATTTTTCTTTGGCTTTTGAAGGCATTGCTTTCCTACGATTCCAGTGATTGAGAAGTCTGGTCCCATTGTTATTCCAGAAGTTATGTATATATTCTATTTTTCTCTCTGAAGATTTACAGTGTGTTCTATCACTGGTGTTGTAAAAGTTGGCTTGATTCCTTATTTATTAGGCACTTGTGGGCCTTTGTAATCTGGAGATTTATGTCCTTCAAATCTAGGAAAAGTTCTCTTATTACTTCTTTGATCATATACTTTCATTTCCTCTGTTCTCTTTATCTAGAATGACAATTAAATATTGCACCTGTTGGATGCTCCTTTTAGTTTATTGTTTTTGTTTTCTCTAATTAACCGTCTCTCTTCTTATTTATTCTACTTTCTCATGATTAGTGTTTGCATGATATATCTTTTCTATCATTTCACTTTTAACCTACATGTTTCTTTTGATTTCATGTACATCTCTTGCAAACAAATACAATGTGATCTTGCTTTTTATCCAATCTGACAATCTTTGCCTCTTGATGGGTTTAGTTCATTTACATTTATTGTAATTATTGATATGGTTGGATTTAAGTCTTGCTGTTTGTTTCTTATTCATCCTATGTGTTCTTTGATCTTTTTACACCTCCTTTCCTGATATCTTTTGAATTAGTTAATACTTTAATACAATATTAAAGCATACAGCATTTTAATACACTATATTAATACAATATATTTAATAAAATATTTAATTGTATCTATTGCCTTTTTAGTTATACTTCTTGTTTGTTTTTTGTTCTACCTTGAATTAACATTTTACAGTTCACATGTAATGTAAAAAGCTAACAACACAAGGCTGTCACTTAACCCTACTTCCGTGTTCCTTGTGTTGATTTTGTCAAAAATTTTAGTTCTACATATGTTATAAAACTCACAATACATTATTATTATATTCACTTTGAACAGTCTATTGTCTTTTAGAATATCAAGGAACAAGAAAAAGTATTATTATTATTATTATTATTATTATTATTATTATTTTGAGACAGAATCTCTCTCTGTTGCCCAGGCTGGAGTGCAGTGGTGCAATCTCAGCTCACTGCAACCTCTGCCTCCTGGGTTCAAACAATTTTCCCCCTCAATGTTAGAGTAGCTGGGACTACAGGTGTGTACCACCATGCCTGGCTAATTTTATATTTTTGTTAATAGAGATAGGGTTTCACCATGTTGGCTGGTCTCAAACTCCTGACCTCAAATGTTCCGCCCACCTCGGCCTCCCAAAGTGCTGGGATTACAGGCATGAGCCACAGCTCCTGGCCTCAAGGAACAAGAAAAAAGTATTTTTTAATAATTACTCACATATTTACTATTTACAGTGTTCTTCATTTAGGTTTGAGTTTATGTCATTTTCCTTCATCCTGAAGAACTTACTGTAACATTTCTTGTAGTACAAGTTTGGTGGTATCATATTCTGTCAGCTTTTTTTTTTTTTTAAATATCTTCTTTTTCTTATTTCTTTTCTTTTTCTTTTTCTTTGTTTTTTTTTTTTTTTTTTTTTTTTTTTTTTTTTTTGAGACAGGTCTTTCTTTGTTACCCAGGCTGGTCTAGAACTACTGGGCTGAAGCAATCCTCCTGCCTCAGCCTCCCAAAGTGCTGGGATTACAGGTCTGAGCCACCACTCTCAGCCTTAAAATATCTTTATTACCTTCATTTCTAAAGCATATTTTCTTTCTAGGCTAATAGTTTATTTTTTCTCTCAGTACTTTTCTCCCATCAGTACAATTGATGTCATTCAGTTGTCTTCTGTCTTGCATTAGTTCTGATGAGAAGTTCAGCAGCCATATTTATTATTGTTGTCCTGTATTTAATACATCTTTTCTTCCTCTCCAATTGCTTTCAAGATTATCTTTGATTTAGCAATTTTATTATGATGGGCATGGTATGGTTTTCTTTGTGTTTATCCTGATTGAGGTAAGTTGAGCCTGTTGGATCTCTAGGTTGACATTTTCCATCAAATTTCAATTTTTTTTAGTCAAAATGTCTTCAAACACATTTTTCTGTCTCTCCTTTGCCTTGGACTCTAATTACAAATATGTTAGACCACTCAATATTTTCCCAAAGGTCACTGAAGTTGGTTCTTTTTTTTCTGCAGTCATTTTTTTTTCTCTGTGCTTCTGTTTTGCTAGCTCCTATTGATGTGTTTTAAAGTTTATTGATTTTTTTCCCTTCTGCAGTGGTCAAATTAATGTTAACCTCAGTCAATAAATTTTTTATTTCATGTTTTTTTTTAGAACTTCCACTTGCTTCTTTTAAATAGTTTCCATTTCTGTATTTACATTTCCCATCTGATCATTCATTTTTTATTTATTTTCTGTTATACCCTTGAACATATTTGTAAGTTATTTTACAGTCTTTGCTAACTCCAACACCTGTGCCATATCTGGGTTTGCTTCTACTGAATGTCATTTCTCCCTATTATGGTTCCTGTTTTCTAATCTCTTTACATATTAATAATTTCTTTTATTGCAAGTTGGACATTATAGATAACACAACGGATTTTACTGTCTTCTTTTAAGACTGTTAAGTATTGCTCTTGCAGATAGTTAACTGGTGATTTAGTTTAATCCTGCTGAAGCTTAGTTTCACTATGTATTAGGCCAGGTGAAGAGTTACCTTTACTCGAGGACTAATTTAGCCCTTCCCTTAAAGTGTAACCTTTCTGTGATCTCATCTAAATATTCAGAGTATATAGAATGGTCTCTTCACTCTGATTGGTTAGAATTTAAATGCTTCCCCAGCACTGTGTATCCTCCAGGATCTCCAGTCGATTTCATGGAGTCTTCCTATCTACATGTGCAGCTTAGTATTTGACCAAAGATTGAAGAGGACTCCCTTGCAGAATTCTAGGTCTCCCTCTCCGTGCAGCTTTCTCCCTCCCAGTACCTTGTCATACATATTTCAGCTATTTCATCCCTGAATTCCAATTTCTGTTTTCATCACTCTCTGGCTCCCTTTCCTTATGGCATATTTTGGAAATGATTCCCAAGCAGACATCCAGGGTGAATGTGGAGGTTACTGTGCATTTTCCCCTTTTCTCAAGAAGCTTAATGTCGCAGTGTTTGATGTTTAGTAACAGAAAAATCGCTTCATATATTTTGTGCAGTTTTATAGTCACTAGCTGTAGGAAAGTAAATCCATACCAGTTACTTCATTATAATTGGAACTAAAAGTCTGATTAACTGAATTTTTCACTTTTGACTTTATATTTTCAATGCATATATAATAAAATTTAATTCAACACTTTTAAAGGGACAATTTTTGTAGTGTTATCAATTCTAAAACTCCTCACCCCCAGTATTTAGTGATCAGGATAGGAAAAAGTGAGAGGTTTTAACTGAGGGTAGGTGATATAAACACTTACAGCATATTGAGTTCTCACTATAAAGTGAGGCATGGGTCAAAAAGTATACTTGTCATTGGAATAATCCAAGGCAGGCTTAAATTCCTTCCTTCACTGGCTACCCAGAGGCTTTTAACATTAGCTTCAAATAAAGTGGTTCCCAACTTAGGAACGGAGAGAAGATTGTGCCAGAATATATACATAGTGGTATTTTCTATTGTAATTCTGACACTTAGCTTAGTGAAACAATTTGCTGGACCCAGAAAGCACCAACAGACAATGAAAACCAATGTTCCAAAGAAAAGTTTATTTATTTATACTCTAATACATGCTGTGGACAGAAACAGCAGCTGGGCTTCTTTTCTAATAGCTGCAGAGCCTGAGTCTGCACTTCTGTGGTTCTGAAGGTTGTTAGTATACTCCTCACACTCTTACGGATTCAAGTCTTGCCTTTCTCAGGTGTTGAGAATCTAGCACTTGATAGTCTCTCAGCACGGGAATGCTGGGCCTAAACTAACTAGTATTCAGGTCCCAGGTGCTTCCTATAAGTGGTGTGTCCATTAGCAAGTTACCCTGTCTAAGCGTTGGTTCCTCACCAGTCACATGGTAGAAAGCACCACTCTTTCAGATATTTGCTTCTGCCCTGCCAAGCTGTTGGCACTAAAGATCCATCACTATCTAGAGGCAGTGCTTGCACCAGTGACAGGGGTCTGCTAAAAACCTCCTTCTCTTAGAAGAGGGAGCTAGGCACTGATCTCCTGCACATGCACCTGCCTCATGCCTGAACTGAGTAGTAAACCACTATGTTCCACGTAGGCAATTGACCATAGACAACTTCACCTACCAGATTGCTCTTGTCCTGGCAGTGCCTTGCTCTCTCTTGCCCCCAGGGTTATATAGAAGCTGTTTCCTCTGACAGAAATATTCTTCCCTCTCAAATCCTCACTCCAACTCCCATCCCCAACTCATCCTTCTTGGTTTACTCCCATTCTGTCTTCAGATCTCAACCCAAACATCTCTTTTCCAGGGAAACCTTCTTTGATCTAGATAGACTAGGTTTAAGTCTCTCAGCAGTTGAGTCCCGTAAGAACCTGTGCTGTAGTTGGTCAATCGCAAATCACTGCAGCCTCAACCCCCCGGGCTCAAGTGATCCTCCCACCTCAGCCTCCTGAATAGCTGGGACTACAGGCACTCACCACCATGCCCAGCTAATTTTTAAATTTTGTGTAGAGATGGGCTCTCGCTGTGTTGCCCAGGCTGGTATCAAACTCCTGGGCTCAAGTGATCTGCCCACTTCAGCCTCCCAAAGTGCTAGGATTACAGGTGAGAGCCACCATGCCTGGCCTGCTTCTCTCAATATAGCAGGCATCGCAAGTGCAAATATTTAATATCTGTTTTCTCTGCTAGATTTTAAACTCCAGGGGAGCAGGAGTCATGCCAGAGATCTCCAGGACCTAACCCTGAAACATAGTAGATGCTCAATAGGCCACTGTTGGTTTGAGTTGTTAACTTTAGTGGTGATGCACACATGCATATATATTTGGAGTATGTTGAGTGTTTGAAGACACAGTATGCAGAAATGGGAAGGCAAGGTGAGGGTTTAAGAAAGGGTTCAGCAGAAAGGTCTTTTTACAGCTTATCTTTTTATATGAAAAGCTTCACACGTCGAAGGAGTCAGATGGCAGAGTAGTGACTGAAGGATTCAGAGTTGAACAGCTGAGTACTCTGCCCATGAAGTTCCTTAAGGAACCTTTGCTGAATATGAGACAGAACAAAAACACTCAGTGTCACAGAACAACCTCTACTCATCTGTGGTTGGTAAAAATGGATGGAAACTGAAAGTATTTGAATCCTGGCCATTGTCCTGTTTGGCCAGGACTCCAGAGAAGCCATTTTACATGCTCAGCACCTGCCTTTCTTCTTTGGTGAAAATCAAGAGGCAGACAGTATGTTTATGGTAGTGACAGCTGTCTTCTTTTTTATACTGAGAGGGTAAAATTATATAGCTTATCTTTAAGTGTGAGAAAGCCAAATACAAGAACAAACTTCTTGATTCTAAAGAAGAGATTCTCAACACGGGTGAGAGGATTGAAAAGGAGAGGAGGAAGTGACCTTGATTGTAAAAAATGTGTACATTTTATCACAATGTTTCAGAAAATTGATTGATAGGCAGGTTGCTTTATTTTTCCTTTTATGTAATGTATATGTAATATTACCTAAAGGTGTGTGTGTGTGTCTGTTTAGGCAATATTACCTAAAGACATTTATGTATGTATGTGTATGTGTGTGTATGCATGCATGCATGCACACTAACGAGAGAAAAATAAAGCAAATATGGAAAAATGTTAATTGGTGAGTCTAGGTGAAGGATATATATTAGTATTTCCTTTCATTTTCTTGCAGTTTTTTGACAAATTTGAAATTTTACAATTAAAAATATCATCATAATTAATAAAGGAAAATCTTTGAATTTAAAAAACATATTTAGTCCATCCAAGAGGCTATAGAAGCTTTATTTACTGACCTTTACATTTTTCTCCCCAAGATTCCATCTCTCGTCTCACAAGAATGCATTTGAATTTCTGCTGGAGGCCAAACCCTCCCCTGTGGCCACCCCTTCCAGACATGGGGCTAGGCCGGCTGAGTCTTTAGAGCCAGTCCACTGCCCTAAAGATAGTGACATTGAAGCCACTTACCAAAGGAGGTTATGCATCATCATTCTCCTAGAGGTTTTTATATGCTTTGAAGTTTTAGATAGACTCTTCCTTAGAGGCAGAAGTTTGAACCAGATAAAGCCTCCCAAGTTCCTTTCAATTACAAATTTGTCTGAGTGCTGAAAAGTGAAGGTTTAGAGTCTCTGGAGTAAGTATTACAGTTCTCTTTCTCTCCCCTTGTGATTTGACTGCTCAGATTTTTGAAGCTGGCACGTAGCTTTGGTTTTCCTCTGCTTTGTTTTCTTTTCTGTCTCCTGAAAGAGCTGTGCTCCAGTGTCTGCCCGGTAAAGTTGCTAGTGGCAGCATTCCTGGAAGCTCCTTGCTCCAGATGATGTCAGACCTCATGTGACCCAACCATCGCACGCCCGGAAACATTACATCATTCTAAGATGTGATTCCTTTTAACACAGAGCTTGCTGTTATTGTGCTGCTGCTGTTGCTGCTGTTGTTGCTGCTGCTATGAGCAGTAAGCCATAACCTCAAGCAGAGGCTGCTTTGTACAGAACAGCAATAGACTCACCTGAGGATCATGCTGTACCCCAAAAAATGCAATGACTTCTGGGGCAGGCCACGTGCCACATTAAACATGAATAAAACATTTCATAATTAAAAATCAGAAATAAAATAAAGATGATGATTTTTTTTCCTGGCAAGACATGGTAACACGTAGTTCAAATTTTATTGAGTTAGATATTTGGGCATGTCAGGTTCGCATTATGTGGGCAAATGTACCTGTGAATGGTGCCTGCTGATTGGCTGAAGGAAACTGACCCTGAGTGTGTAATTCTCATAGGTATATGAATGGGACATGAAACCCATAGAGGGCCATTAAAAGAAGACAAGGCAGGCTGGGCACAGTGGCTCACGCCTGTAATCCCAGCACTTTGGGAGGCTGAGGTGGGCAGATTACTTGAGGCCAGGAGTTCAAGACCAGCCTGGCCAACATGGTGAAACCCTGTCTCCACTAAAAATACAAAAAAATTAGCTGGGTGTGGTGGTGCACACAGGTAATCCCAGCTACTCAGAAAGCTGAGGCATGAGAATCTCTTGAACCTGAGAGGCAGAGGTGGCAGTGAGCTGAAATTGTGCCACTGCACTCCACCTGGGCGACAGAGCAAGACTGTCAGGAAAAAAAAAAAAAAAAAAAAAAAAGACAAGGCATTTATGGCTGAGCATGGTGGCTCACACCTATAAGCCCAGCACTTTGGGAAGCCAAGGCAGGAGGATCGCTTGAGGCCAGGAGTTCAAGACGATCCTGGGCAACATAGCAAGACCTCATCTCTACTAAAAATTTAAAAATTAGCTGGACATGGTGGCGTGTGCCTGTAGTCCCAGCTACTCGGGAGGCTGAGGTGGGAGGATTGCTTGAGGCTGGGAGATTGAGGCGGCAGTGAGCCTTGATTGCACCACTGCATTCCAGCTTGAGTGACAGCACAAGACCCTGTCAAAAAAAAAAAAGAAAAAGATATTTGTAATTCATATCACTTCAAAATAATTATACAAGCAAAATCTTAGCGGTGAAGGGAGTAGAGGAATATTCAATACCCATCGGTAAGGACCCTTATAAAAACAACAATTTAAAAAACAACCATTTCTTGAGCTCTTACCATGTGCCCAGACACTGCGTCAAGCAACCTCGTGGCCTTGCTAACAGCATGACTAAGTAGAGTGCCCTTTGCTTTAGAGTGGTCTTAACCTTGTGTCCTAGGGGTGTCCCATCAGGGTCCAGTTGACCATTGCTCCCCACGCAGTAACACTGAGCTCTACTGGATCACCCCCTTGCTATTCGGAGCAACTCAAATGCATCTGCACTTGCATCAGTGCTTCCTGGAGACAAGCTCAGGCCCAGGAGAGAGGGCATCAGACAGTCAGTGGATCTTAGCAGTCCTGCAGGCACCCAGCCATCGTGGTAGCCCTGAGGAAAGCAGATGACTATTAATCTCATTCAGGTTCACCGGGACTGTCGTCAATCAAAATGACTTTTGTTTTTATCTCCTCTGAGCAATAAGCCTTTGGTGTCTGCCATCTACACAGCCTCCTGCAGTGCTCACCTCCTGTAGCACTTCATGTTGCATCCCCACCTCTCATCTATATGCTCTTCCCCGAAACTTCCTCCCTTTCCATCCCCAGCCCACCCCCATGTGTATTTACCTTAGTCTTTTAAAACTAGATCAAGAGTCCAGGAAGTATTTGTTTCCTTTTTCACTCAACTGTTGTGTTCACCCTTGCAGCTTTCCCAACTAGCTGAGCCCCTCTGGATCCTGCCTGTCTGCCACCCTGGTCTCCTAGCAACCCTCCGCTCTGCAGTCTGGGAGGTGGATGTGTCAAAGGGAGTCTGGGCGGCAGAGGTGAGAATGCAAAGAAATCTCTCCCCTTCTAGGCCCTGAAGTACAGAATCGCTGCTTCACAGTAATGAATATTTCAGAAGAAGAGATTCGCTTTCCCTGGCATAGCTGAAATAGGCCTAAGGGTAACAAATAATTTGCTAAGGAGGGCAGGGGTTCCTTTGTGCCAGAAGCAGAGATTTGTATTTGAAAGATACTTAATGATACTGCACATGGCTTGCCCTAAGGACTAATGAAAAAACAGTGAGTTAAATTGTGATATATTTTTGATATAAGAACAGAGAGGTCAATGCCATTCATAGGGGATGCATTTGAGCTGTTCTTTGATAATAATGTAATTTTAGAGCCAGAAGGTATCTTAGGATCATGTTGTCCAAGTATCACTTTTTTTGTAACCTGATAAACTAAGGCCCAGAGAAGTCAAATGTCTCAGCTGGGGGTCTTCCAATAAGAGAAGAATGGGGTTGGGACTGGACCCCTCTCTCCCGAGGCTCAGTCTGGTGCTCTTTCTGTCACCCCATGCTGCCTTCCAGAGTCAGTGTAGACATGCCACACTAGCTCACATCACTCAAAGGTACAGGTTGCAAAACAGCTGGATATTTGAGGAATAAGTCTTGTGTTGTAGACAGCAAAGAACTAACTAAGCCACCTGACCTGTGCTCTTGGCCTCAGTAGCAACTTGTCCTTCCTGGTTGAGCTGACCAAGACAGACAATAGTGAGGAAATACAAAAAGCTGATCACTAGTCACCCATGAGGTTTATACTGAAAGACTGACTTCAGGCTTATCCATCCTTAGTTTAGGGTCAGAGGAAAGGCGATATTACCCTACACCCACAGTGACTACAGACAAACTGTTAACCTAAAACAGGGGGTATTTTTTGGTATGTTTGGCCTCTAGAATTTCTCATCAAAATTCTTCATTGTGAATGATAAAAATCTAATTCCAACTATCTTTAAACAAAAGAAAGGAATTGATAGGCCCATGTAGCCAGGCATAATAAAGTAGGGTAACTTGAAGAACCTGAAAAAAGATGTTGGCTCCAGGGCTGAAGAATTGGGATCATGATTCAATTCTACATCCAGCTTTTCTCTCTGAGTCTCTGCTTAACTCTCTGATCTGCTCCTATAGCAGGTCTTCTTTGTTTGGTTACAAAGATAGTCACAGTCTTCTAACTTCATATCCTTATGGTACCATGACCCCGAGAAAACACCACTGCTTCTCTTGTTTTTAAACTCAGAAATCTCAGGGAAGGACTTTAATAAAGTCAGCTTGAGTTTTTACCTTCCCCTGAACCATTACTAAGTGGGAAGGAATGGAGAGCTGTGATTAGCCAGACCTGAAACTGGCCCCTGCCTCTGCAAAGGGAGTGAGGAGGAGGGAAGGCAGTTACCAGAATAAAGGGTGATGAGAAAGCTTGCTTGGATGACAAAAAGACAATAGCTAGCAACGTCCATTACATCTTGTTTTCCACAAGTGGTGGAATTGAGCATAATTTCCATTACCTCTTGCTATTCCTCCCTTTAGCCCACACACATATGTGTGGCTATGGACCATTCATAAATCAATGTGGATAATTGCATTGGTGGTCCAAGGAATTCTTGGTGAGTTAATCAGACTTGTCAAAATTGATCCATAGCTGGCTGGGTGTGGTGGCTCATGCCTGTAATCCCAGCACTTTAGGAGGTCGAGGCTGGCGGATCACTTGAGGTCAGGAGTTGGAGACCAGCCTGGCCAACATGGTGAAACCCTGTCTTTACTAAAAATACAAAAATTAGCCGGGCATGGTGGCAGATCCTTGTAATCACAGTTACTTGTGAGGCTGAGGCATGAGAATCACCTGAACCTGGGAAGCAGAGGCTGCAGTGAGCTGAGATCATGCCACTGCACTCCAGCCTGGGCAATAGAGCAAGACTCAGTCTCAAAAAAAAAAAAAATTTGATCCATATCCGTAGACCAGACCCTGCAAGAGTCCTCCAAGGACTGCAGGGCAGGAGGCAGGCAGTATGCTGGAGGAGAAAGCACAAGATCTGGGGTCTAGGCCTAGTTTTGTCACTGACCAAGTCTGTAGCCTTAGGGACTTGTTTAGAAAATGGGAGAAGGTGGCCCAGGAAGTCATTAAGATCCATCTAACCCTAATATCCTACAGGTGCAATTCAGGCGCAGCAGCAGAGCAGGTCACTGCCCCCTCTAGTGGTTCATTTAAAGCAGGGAAGGAGCTCAGGTAGTCTCAATTTCTCATCAAAAGGAGGAATAACTTCTCCACAGAGCCTGACAGGCACATTCCCAAGGAACGAAGTTAAAAGGCAAAGTTCTGAGGGCAGAAGGACTCCACTGCCTTATCAGTCCAAGCCCTGGAGAAGTGCTAAAAATAGGAAACTGCTCTCCAAAATGGAAATGTGTAGCCACCCTGACATCTAGTCCCCAAGACATCATGGGTTCAACCAGTAGGTGGTAGGAATTGGAAAGTGACAGTAGGGAAAAAAAAAAAACAACAACAAAACAAAACAAAAAAACACCAGTTTGGAAAGGATGTAAATCACTGTGTACAGTAGAGGATGAGAAAAAGAGGGAGACTAGCCTCAAAAATGCTATTGATCAAAACTCATTTATTCTGGAAATGTTTACTGAGCATCTATTGTGTCCTAGGCATTGATTATAAATAATAGCACTGAGAATAAGAGGATGTTACAGACTTCCTGGGGGTCTTATTCCAGTACAGAACACAAACATTACATAAATAAAAGTATAGTAAGTGCTATAAAGTGGAAACCTAAACCTAAGGTGTTCTCTGAACTCATAATAGGGGGCCCAGACCTTAGCTCCGGTATCAGAGAAGGTATCCCTGAGGAACTGATCTCTAAGCTGAATTATGTGAGTACTAGGGGGTACCAGGTCAGTTGTGTGGGGTAGACAGTAAAGACAACAAACTGTATGCACATTGTTTGTGAGAAATAATTTAAATTTTTTGAAAACATTATTTAGGCTTGGCGCAGTGGCTCACACCTGTAATCCCCCCACTTTGGGAGGCCGAGGTGGGCAGATCACTTGAGGTCAGGAGTTCGAGATCAGCCAGGCCAACATGGTGACACCCTGACTCTACTAAAAATACAAAAATTAGTTAGGTTTGGTGGCGGGTGCCTGTAGTCCCAGATGCTCAGGAGGCTGAGGCAGGGAGAACTGCTTAAACCCAGGAGGCGGAGGTTGCAGTGAGCCGAGATAGTGCCACTGCACTCCAGCCTAGGCAACAGAGTGAGACTCCGTCTCAAAAAAAAATAAAAAAAAAAATAAATAAATAATAAATGATTATTACATGCTATGCTCTGGGGATGCAAAGATGAATAAAATGCAAAGTTCTTGCCCTCACAGATAGCAATCTATGAATCACAGAGGAGAGGGTTTGGAGCCAATAATAGCTGTATTCCCAGAAGTCTGTGGTTGCAAATTGAGGATGGTTATGATTTTACTAGAAATGTTGGAGGATATAAAAGGTGAACCTTTTCTTAATAAACACCACACTTCAGGGACTTAGACCTTTCTGGACATGCATTTTGACAGAGTGCACGCCTGCAACAGCTGAGGAAGGGAGGCAGCCTGTGTTCTCAAGTGCCGCGTCCCAGCATCTGCATGTCATACTTGATACATGATGCATAAATTAATCACATTGCTTCCCTCAGACTCTTCAGCCTCATCCACTGAATTCATTCAGAATGTGGAATGGATATTGAGACAAGGGGCAGGGAGAAAGCGATGGCCAAGTAATGCCTGGCACAGAGTAGGTATTAAAAAGCGTTTGCCAAAGGCATGGTTGAATGAATGAGTACACTAATAGCTCAAACTGGTGTTGAACAACTAGATGATGAGAAAGTATAATTGTCCCTCAGAGATCCAAATGAGATTCTGAAAGGATTTTAAGAATCAAAAGAAGTCTTTTATTTGAGGCAAAACTAACTTCATGCTTTTTGTTGGCCATTCTCACTGCTCAGCATCTGAGGCTTGAAACCTTCCTGTCTGTAAGCAATAACTCAGACACTGGTAAGTGCGTTCTTCTGTTATTGTAAAGATGAAGAAATCCAGCCCCAGCTCAGCAATGCCTGGGCTGAGGACCACTTAGCAAGGTGCTGAGATAGAATAAACATTAAAATTCCTCTTCCCTTCACACTTAGACTTTATTTCATGGAGTCAGCACGTATATCAAAGACTCAGAAGAGAATATGTTGGAAATTAAATCATTCAAAACATACGGGAGGTCTCATCATTTAAAGGATGGCCATTGATGATCCCTTTTTCACAATTAACTTCTTCTAACTGATGCTCTGTGTGAACTTTCACCCTGAGTTTCTGAAAATGTGGCTGAGCTTTAAGGCTGAAATTTGTGGTGAAAAACAAACTTCAGTTTATTATCTAAAAAAGACTTAAGAAATTTTCACCTCATATCAGTAAGGACTTTTTGTTATAAATAATCAAAAACAACTCCAACTGATTTAAAGAGAATGGAATTCATTAAAATGATATGTGTGTCATAGAATCACAAGTTAAGGTTGAAAAACCAGACCAGGGCAATGAATCAGGAGTGAAGCCTCAAATCACACCCTAGAACCGGCCCCCTGCAGCCTGCACACCTTCACGCTGCAGCTTGCACCACTGACAATGCATTGATTAAGATTAACTTCAGCAGCAAGTAACAGAGACCCCAAATTACCGACCTTAAATAAGACAGATGTATACTTCTCCTTCTCATATGAAAGTCTAGAGGTCCAGGACTGATCGGTAAATTCTGTTGCTTGAAGGCCCCAGAGATGCAGGCACCTTCTATTTTCTTGCTCCCCTATGCTGGGCCTCCACTACTGTAGTTTTCTCATTGTTTATGGTACTAATCCAGCTTCAGCCATCCTGATACACATTCAAGCCAAAAGAAAAGAGGAACGGATGAAACTCCAGCTGTCCTTTAAGGAAGATCTCAGAAGAGGTCAAGCAACACTTCTAGTTACAGCTCATTAGCCAGAATTAGCCAAACCTGGCCCCCAAGGACACGGGATAATATAGTCTTTATCCTGAATGGCATGTGCCCAGTTAAGAAGAGGTTTCATTACTGTGGATGAAGGAAAGAATAGACAAGCAGCAACCTCTGCCACACATAGCAAGCATAGACACAAAGCACTACCATTACCTCAGCTGTCCCTGCTGGTGCCCAAGAACTCAGGTTTTCTATAATGCTTGGCACTGCAAGGATCTCCGGTATAGGTGTATGTGATTGGCAGGGCAAAGGTCATATGCCTACAGCCCAGGGAAAGGCAGTTTGAGAAATGAAGTGTCTGGCCTAATCAGCATTTAGAGTGGGGAACAGACTCCACATGCCACAATATTCATAAGATATGAAAATGCCCAAACATAGAGGGGGTGGAAGTACCGAGTTGCCTAAAAGAATGAACAACTCCTTTTCTTTTTTGCCACCAAGCCTATTTGAATTCTAGATAGACCCTTAAATAATTATAATTCTAGACAATACTGATTGTTCTGTTCCTCATGTGGGATTCCGTTGTGAAACTATACAAAAAATATTACTTTTGGCAATGGTTTCCTAGGTATGACACCAAAATCATAGGCAACGTAAGCAAAAATAGACAAATAATATTCTCCTAAACTTAAAAACTTTGTGCATCAAAGGACACAATCAACAGTGAAAAGAGAACCTGCAGAATGAGAAAACATATTTGCAAATCATATATCCAACAAGAGGTTAATATTCAGAATCTATAAAGGGCTCCTACAACTCAACAACCACAAAAAAATCAACAGCCTAATTAAAAAATGGGCAATGGACTTGAGTAGTCATTTTTCCAGAGAAGATATACAAATTGACAGAAAAGTACATGAAAAGATGCTGAGCATCACTAATTATTAGGGAAATGCAAATCAAAATTCATACCCATTAGGATAGCTACTATTAAACAAACAAACAAAAAAAAAAAAACAGAAAATAGCAAGGGTTGGCAAGGATGTGGGAAAAGTGGGACCCTGTAGACTGTTGGTGGGAATGTGAAATGATGCAGCCACTATGGAAAACAATATGGTGGTTTCTCAAAGAATTAAAAATAGAATTACCCAGCCGGGTACAGTGGCTCATGCCTATAATCCCAGCACTTTGGGAGGCCGAGGCGGGCGGATCGCGAGGTCAGGAGATCGAGACCATCCTGGCTAACACGGTGAAACCCTGTCTCTATTAAAAATACAAAAAATTAGCCAGGCCTGGTGGCAGGTGCCTGTAGTCCCAGCTACTCGGGAGGCTGAGACAGGAGAATGGCGTGAACCCGGGAGTCAGAGCTTGCAGTGAGCGGAGATTGTGCCACTGCACTCCAGCCTGGGCAACAGAGCAAGACTCCATCTTTAAAAAAAAAAAAATAGAATTACCCAAGATTCAGCAATTCTACTTCTGGGCATATACCCAAAAGAATTGAAAGCAGGTACTTGAACAGATATTTGCACACTAATGCTCATAGCAGCATTATTCACAATAGCCAAAAGGTAGAAGTAATACAAATGTCCCTATATAATGAAATATTATTCAGCCTTAAAAAGGAAAGAAGTTCTGACACATGCAACAACATGGATGAACCTCAAGGACATTATGCTAAGAGAAATAAGCCAGTCACAAAAAAATGAATACTGTATGATTCCACTTACATTAGGTGCTTAGAATAGTGAAATTCATGGAGACACAAAGTAGAATGGTGGTTGGCTGCCAGAGGCTGTAGGTAAAGAGAAATGGAGAGTTGTAAAATGGTTAATGGTTCAGCTGCAATGGAAAGCAGTTTCAGTTTTGCAAGATGAAAAGAGATCTGGATATTGGTTGCACAATAATGTGAATGTACTTAACACTACTGAACTGTACATTTAAAAATTGTTAAGATGGTATATTTTATGTTATGAGTATTTTATTATAATTTTAAAAAATACTAGTACTACTTAGTACTATTTTCCTGGTGTACACAGCAGTGGGCAAGATTTTCAACTCCCTTGGCACATATCTTGCACAGAATGTGAAACCACTTAGTACAGAGACAAATGATAAAAACTGTGGCACACAGCTGAAATCATAGAAGTCTTTGCTCTTGAATGAGAAAAAGGGGCATTTTTTTCTTTAATTCAATGGAATTTATCTTTTATGGATATAGGGAATAAGATTTTTCCACTTAATTAATTATAGTTTTAGTGTTCTATGAAGGGTTAATTCACCTTTCTCTTTTATAGAAAAAAAAGTTCGGGAATTCAAATATAAGCGTATGAGTGGGCCAGACCCACAATTCTCAGAAACATGCAACTGTAGGGAATAAAAGCAAGTGCAACTTACCAATCCCATTACTACCTGAAAGTACTTAGCAGTAACTATCATTTGCCTCATGTTTTACAGTCTACAGAAAGCTGTCACCGACTATATGTTATTTCATTTGAACTTCTTAATAACCCTAAGAAGTAATTAAACAGGTATCATTTTTCCTATTTACAGGTGAAAACTATGGATGCCGGAGGATAAATTACATATCCAGAGTTAGAGAATAACAGAGAGGGTGAATACTAAAACCAGAAGGCAAAATCTATTTCCTTCAATCACATTATGTGTCTCCTTAGCACTTAGAAGAACAAGCTGATTAATACAAAAAGCAGGCAAGGATGCTATGTCTTTTAAACATATGTACTGATTTAATTTTCATTCAGATTTTTGTGCTTTGCTCTTTCATTATATTTTTTTCCAAAGAAAAAAAAAACCTCAAAGTTTATTTTAAATAAAAGCAAAATGTAAAGCTCTTAAAAAGAAATTTGAGAGAGTTCTGGTTCTAGCTACAAGGAAAACTACAAATATCTGACAAACTTTCAGCTACAAGCACGTAGAAATGCTGGATAAAATATAACACATACTCTTTTAAATCATAGCTAAGGGCACCAAACCAAAGGGAACATCACAGGTGATAGAAATGAAAAAGGAAAACTGAAAAACAGAGAAGCAAGTTTATGGGCTGACAGAGACTATGTCAGAGCAACAGGCTGTCTCAGCCTTTGTAATGCAGGCAGCTTTAATGCCCATTTGGAAAATGGCACTTATGTCTTAAGCTTGCCCAAAACAGAGTTTGGAACTGAGAACCTCCTTCATAAAACCATTATCCTAAAAGGGCTGCTCCATTAGTGAAAGAATAGTTTAGGAAACAATTCACCTTCCAGCCCCGGGAGTTAATGGGAGTTAATAAAAGAGCTCGTCTGAGTAGTCCTGGCTCTGTGTGGGAAAAAGTCTCCCTGAAAATTTAACTATGGGAATCTAACTCCTCACCACCCCGGCAAGCAAGCCAAACAATTAACATATAAATTGGTTCAAGCTTCTGATACTCTTATTACATCTGGCCAGGGCAAACCAAAACCTACTCCAGAAGAGCACACCCTCAACCCAGGCTGCACAGGGTTCCCACACATAAATTTTCCTAAAAATTAGATAACAGTCCAAAATTACAAAACAGATGAAGAAACAATCCACCCTGAATAAGAGTTAGAATAAGATCCCCAAGAATATTTGATATTGAAACAATCTAATAGAAATCATAAAATAAGTATATTTAAATGTATTAAAGATATAAAATAAGAAATTGAAACGTAAAAAATAAAATTATACTGTTTAAAAACGGAAGATTTTTTGAAAGAACCAAATGAATTTCTAAAAATTAAAAACATTGTAATCAAAATTTTAAATTACAATAAATAGGATGAATAGTAAGTTAAATATAGCTAGAGAGATAATTTGTGAACTAAAAGGTAAGTCTTAGAAAATTGCCCAAACTACAGCTCAAACTAAAGAAAGAGATTAAAAAAAAAAAAAGGACAGGAGAATGAAAAGTGAAAACACAGCATATGTTAAATAGAAGTTCCAAAAGGAGATAGAGGCAATTTTGAAAAGCAATGAAGAATTAATGACTAGGAATTTTCTAAGATGAATGAGAAGACATGAATACCCAGTCTCAAGAAGCCAAGAGAATTTTGAAATGTATAATATAAATAAGTTTATGCATAGAAACATCATAAAAAATATTTTCAGAACACCAAAAACAAATAGGTAAACTAAAAGCAACCACAGAGAAAAGATAAAAACATCTTCAAAGGAAGAAATATTTCCGGCAGACTACTCAACATCAAATACAGGAGACAGAAGAAAATGTAATACCTTTTAATAATAAAGTAAAGTAACTCTTAACCTAAGAAACTATAACAACTTTATATACTCTTTAAGAGGAGAATGATACTTACACATTGTCAGAAAACACTGAACGACCTACATTCATGAATCCCCAAGGAAAAATACTATCTAGGAATGCACTTTTCACACCTGTAATCTGAGCACTTTGGGAAGTCGAGGCAGGCGGATCACCTGAGGTCAGGAGTTTGAGACTAGCCTGGCCAACATGGCGAAACCCCATCTCTACTAAAAATACAAAAATTAGCCGGATGCAGTGGCGTGCACCTGTACTCCCAGCTACTTGGGAGGCTGAGAGAGGATAATCGCTTGAATCCGGAGGGCGGAGGTTGCACTGAGCCGAGATCGTGACACTGCACTCCAGCCTGGGTGACAGAGGGAGACTCTGATTCAAAAAAAAGAAAAGAAAAGAAGAAAAACAGAAAATTGGCCGGGCATGGTGGCACATGCCTGTAATACCAGTACTTTGGGAGGCTGAGGCAGGCAGATCATTGAGGTCAGGAGTTCGAGACCAGCCAACTTGGTGAAACCCTGTCTCTACTAAAAATACAAAAAATTAGCTAGGTGTGGTGGCACATGCCTATAGCCTCAGATACTCGGGAGGCTGAGGCAGGTGAATTGCTCGAACCTGAGAGGTTGCCGTAAGCCGAGATGGCACTGCTCCACTCCAGCCTGGGTGACAGAGTGAGATTCTGTTTCAAGATAAAAAAGAAAAGAAAATTTAATGCAGATGGAAGGTGAGGGATCTGAAAAACAATGGTTTCTGCCATACTATTTCTATATGTTTGAAGTGTTAAATAATTTTTTCTGATTTTTAAATAATGAATTAAATCCAAATACACAAATCACTTCTCTTTCTACCCATCTTAAGTCCCAGATTTTGCTTTTACAGTGAATTGCAGCCCTGACCAGAATCATGTTTTTTTTTTCTCTCAGGCATTTTAGGGATGGTCAAATATTTAAGCAGGATAAGATTATGAAAATAATTTTCTGACAAATAAAATAACTTTTGTGCAAACATGCATATTCTCCTCAGAATAAACCCCTTGGAGGCAACACAATTTTTCCAAAGCTGGTGGATTGCTTGATTTATATAGCTCCTCTTTTTAAAAGTACTTAAGAGAAATGAAACCTGTAGGGAAAAATTATCTCTGGGTCTACTACTTAAGGAAGTTTTCCTACTTTTCCTTGCTCTGCTCAGCTTCACTATACACCATCTCTTCTAGCTCTCTTACTTGAGGCAAATGACCAATGACCCTAGGGCTGTGGTTTTAAACAAATGTGGCCCACATATCAATTCTGTTCAAATCAGCAAGCATTCACCAAACCCTCACCATATTTTGGGTGCTGAACTACAAGTTGGTTATGTAAGACACAGTCTCTACTTTCAAGACCTCGTTAGTTATCAGAAGAAGCAAATACATAAACAAATAACTGCCATATTGTGGCCAGTATTATGAAAGAGCTATGTACAAAATCAAAATTAGGCAGCAATTCCTTCTGAGGAAGAGGTAGTGGGGAAAATGAGAATCGGGGGCTTCAGAGAGTTGACACTTGATTTGATTCTAAAGGAACAGTGGGGATTCTGCAGGCTGACAGAGTGTGTGGATGTGAATTCTAGACCGCGGTAATGACATGGACAAAGATAGAGCAGTTGGATAGTGCACAGAACGGAGAAGACCCCAGTGTTCTAGAACACTGGAACATTTTGGAGAAGGCAGTGAAAAGTGAAGGAGGATGGGAGAGTCCTATAAATGAGAAGTCAATTTGGAAGGGCCCTTTTGTGCCATGATAGGTTGGGGACTACAATTTATTGAGCCTGACACACTGCTAGAAGCTTTTCATAGATTCTCTCCTTTAAGGAGCGTGTTAGTTTATTCTTGCATTGCCATAAAGGAATACTTGACACTGGGCAATGCATAAAGAAAAGAGGGTTCATTGGCTGACGGTTCTGCAAGCTGTAGGGTAAGCATAGTGCTCTCATCTGCTTCTGGTGAGGGCCTCAAGAAGCTTCCAATCATGGCGGAAGGTGAAGGAGGAGCACATGCATCACGTGGCCAGAGCGGGAGCGCACAGTGAGTGGGAGGAAGTAGGTGCCGCAATCTTAACTGGATCCTGCAGGAATTCACTCACTATTACGGGGACAGAAGCAAGCCATTCATGGGGGATCTGCCCCATGATCCAATACCTCCCACTAGGCCCTACCTCCAGCATTGGGAATTACATTTCAACATGAGATTTGGAAGGGACACACATCCAATATAAGGGAGTTTGAGCTTCACTGTCTGTGTACTGAGGGACATTCAGAAACAAGGTAGTGACACCATTAGATAAGGAAGGAAGGATGATATAAGTTCATTTGTATCTGCTTGTTTTATTTCAAGGCACAAAGTGGTAATATCTGGGAAAGTGATGGAATGCCAGAAATGTAAAACAGTGGGGGTAGAACCACCCAAATCTGAGAACTGTCTACATTAACTCCAAACTTCTCATTCCTTGTAGGCCCTCCAAGGGATCTAACTGCAACTTATTCCCTTTTTTCTTTGGACTAAAGCAGTAAAAATTTCCTGAAAATTTTACAGACTAATTAGGAAATACCACAGTTGGAAGTGGGCTAACCTGGAACCCCCACCCGGATAGCCTATTCATTTATACACCGCAGCACCTTCTTTGCCAGGAGATGTGGTATGTTAAAATACAGGAGTCCCTGGGGAAAGAGCTACTAAAGAATAGTATGAATGTTCCTCTTCGTCCTAATCATCCTATCTCCATCACATTTGCTGTATACTCACCATGCAGGCCTTATTTAACAAAGACCAATTCCTCCATGTGGCTCTAGCTCTAAAACAGCCCCGGTATTCTGTCTCCATTGATACAACAGTGAGAGGAGAATATTGGACTATGATGGTCTCTATATTTTCAGCTCTTAATTTCTATGATTTTAATAAAGTGCATAATTACTTAATTATCTTTTGTTAAATGACTGTTTTATCTAGCCAAAGGAATTTCATTCAAATTTTATATGTTGTGTGAGAAATGTAACAGAGCATTGCATTATATTTAACAACATCAGTCTTCTACACTGCGTTAATATCAGTTTATTTAGTTAGTTTACATTGAGCCATACACATGCACACCTCCTTAGGGGAAAACACTTCAGAACCTTTGATAAAGTAAATGTTGTTTTTTAAAAAAAATTGATTACAATGATTGCAGAGTTGTTGGTAACTGTACTGGAGAATGAGTACTTTCTATGTATAGGTACTACAATTTATAACTATGAAGCTTTCCTATAAGCAAACCGATTACATGAAAATAGAATAAACTCATGGTTAGATGGTTGCTTTATAAAAATAACCTCATAAGGATTTACTTCAACAATGAGGTCCTCTAAATGCAATCTTGACAGTGGTTTTGTTTTTTTTGTTCCCAAAAGATAATTAATAAACTGGGATGAAATATTCACCGTACATATGTACACACACACACACACACACACACACACACACACACACACAAAAGTATGGGACTTGTATCCAGAATATATAATGAGCTCTTACAACTCAACAAGAAAATAACCCAACTTAAAAATGGGCAAAAGCCTTAAGCAGACACGTCACAAAAGAAGGTGCATGAATGGCTACTTAGCACATGAAAATATATTCAACATCATTAGGGAAAAGTAAATTAAAATCACCATGAGATACCCCTAGAGATCATAACAATACCAAGTGTGTGGGTGAAAATGTGGAACAACTGGAACTCTTGCACATTATTAGTGAGAGTGTAAAATGGTACATCCATTTACCTATGAAGATAAACAAAATCTATCTTATGATACAGTAATTCCAGCTCTAGGTATTTACCCAAGAGATATAAAAACACATGTTTATAAAAATGCTTGTGAGAGAAAGTTCAAAATGGCTGTTTTGTAATAGCCCAAAACTGGAAACAACCCAAAGTCCTTCAACAGGTGAATGAATAAACAAATTGTCACGTAATCAAACAAATGGATATTTCTAAGAAATAAAAATGAACAAATTTCTGATATACACAACAATATGGATGAATTTCACAGAGATTAGATTGAGTGAAAGAAGTCAGACGTAAAAGGGTATATACCTGTACTTTCTTATTCCATTTATATGAAGTTCCACAGCAGCCAAAACTACTCTATTGGGATGGAAATCAGCGCATTTCTGGGGCAGGGTCTGGATTAGCGTAAGCCAGATTGACCGCAAAGTAGCAGAATGGAACTTTTTAAGGTGATGGAAATGTTCTATATCTTAGTTGGGGTTAAAGTTACATGGGTACATCTATTAAAATTCATCAAACTGTGCACTTAACATCTGCATGTTATTGTATATAAATTATACTTCAGTAAAGTTGATTATAGAAGAGTGATCACTGCAGACTGCTGATCATATCTGTCATTTAAGATAAAGGATTTTCAAGACTTCCTTATGTTAGGACTCCTAAGCTTAAATTCCTCCTATAAAACATGTTATGGTAAAATAGAACTTCTTTATAGGGGATGATTTTGTCCTCCAGAGGACATTTGGCAATGTTTAGGGATATTTTTGGTTGTCACAACTAGTTGAAGCTGCTCCTGGCATCTAGTGTGTAAAGGCCAGGGATACTCCTGAACATCGTACGCTGCACAGGATAGGACAGTCCCACAACCAAGAATTATCGGGCCCAAAATGTCAAAAGTGCCATGCTGTAGAACATTTTCTGAAAGGCTATTCTACTGTGCTGCATACATAAAAATTAGTGAGATTATTTAATGTTCCCGTTAAATGTGAGCAGCTATGTGTTATCACTAGTGTGCAGTGAGTGACCAAAGTAACAGTTTTGCGGTTGACAGGACCAATACATTCTTCATCCCACCTATGCAAAAATGTCAAATTTTTGAAAATGCACTGTTTGCTAAAAGTTGAAATAATAAAATTACAATTTGAGTTTATAAAGCGCATTCAAAAACATTTCAGGGACATATGCACAATATGGTGAGAGGCTGTGCACTTAATGAAACAGCAATGATACTCTTCATATTTGTGTTCAGAATTCATCTTGACAACCTATTTCAAATGGAAAGAATCCTAATCATACAATAAAATCAGATTTAGGGTATGATAAATAAGTATGTTTGCCTGTAAATGTCTTGCACTATGAATGAGTTCATTTATTAAAACTTCCCAAAGTGCCCTTTTCATATTTATTAGTGACTTTTGTTAAATATTTTATCTATAGATTCATGGTCAGTAATACTAAATACTTTAAATTGTAACATATAAAACGTTCAAAGAATTTCACTTACTAAGATATTAATGTACGTTAACCAGGACTCCATTTAGCACTGAAATATTTATTAATACATTTATGAATAATTTACTCCCTTGTTTTATCCATTGCTTAACATCTCAGCACTTTTGGAATTTAATTTCTTTGGAAAAAAAAGCTCAAATGGGTTTTGCTACTGTACAGAGTTTAATGTCATACCTCACAAGAAATATTGTTCTCCAAAGGGTAAGTTTTTTTAGGGAGTGTGATTTAGCTAGAATGGCTGAGATCCAGCAAGCCTGCATATCGTAATGCAGTGTCATACACACAGAGTATACAATGAGTGTTTGAGGATAATGTGATGGTGGGGAGGGAGGAAGGAGGAACAGAATAGATAAATGAAAATAGAATGCAAATGGATGCCAAAGGATTAATACTACACAGCTAAATTAGCTAATAAAATGTGAGATAAGGTTACACTTTTTAAAAAATAAAATAAAATATGGGTGGCTTATTTCCATACATAAAATTTATACTGATTTCACATAATCATTAATGATAATAATTTTTAAAACTGACAGTTGTTATGTATACCACAAAATTAGGGTCTTTTATCTGACTAAATAGCAAATCATTTCCTTATCCCAAAGGTTAAGAGACATCTGGTGTGTGAGAGCCCTAGAGTTACTCAAAGCATAAACTAAATAATAAAAGTTTCTTGTTTTTATTCCTCTTCTATGTAAATGATCATTCATTAAGCATTTGGTCATAGTAGCAAAGCTGTTTGAGAGATACATTATTAAAATTACTGGTCTCAAAAGAAATTACTGGACAATCTAAAGGTTATGGCATTTGCTTTTTAAATTCTGCAACAACAAATTATGTCTTATTTTGCTGCTTACAAATGATTGTCCATGTTATTGTCTGTTCAAACACAAAGTTTATTCAGGATAAATTATTTCTACAGTGAATTGGGTTATTCAATTTGCTTAGATTTTTCACCTTTTAAAAAGCAGCATTTATTGCCTCCTAGATTTTTTACCATGTACATTATTGTTCAATTGCTTAAGACTTTGTTAGTATGACTAAGGCCATGAGCTACCATAAATTATCTGCAGACCAATTGTGTTTTGAACATAGTTAATTCATGGTTTACATAATTCCTGAGTATTGGTCACAAGTGTCACAATTAAATTTTGTCCTTTAAATAGCAGGTAGATGTATTACTAAAATGGCTGTAATTCCAATAAGATATAAATTATCTAACTGGCGAGAGAGAACCAAATATTTAGTTCTGTGTTACTGTTTGCTATGGTTTACATGTTTGTCCTCTGAAACTCATGTTGAAGTGTAATTGCCAGTCTAACCGTATTAAAAGGTGGGGGCCTGTAAGAAGTAATTAGGTCATGAAGGCTCTATACTCATGAATGGATTAATGCCATTATTGTGGGAGTGTTAGTTATCTTGAGAGTAGGTTGTTAATAAGTGAGCCCAGCCCCTCATGCTTTCTCTTTTGCGCATGATCACTTGCTCTTCCATCTTTCCACAATGGGATGATGCATCCCAAAGACCCTAACCAGATGCTAAAGCCATGCCCTTTGATTGCCCAGCCTCCAGAACTGTAAGATATAAACTTCTTTTCTGTATAAATTACCTGGTGTGTGCTATTCTGTTCTAGTAACAGAAACTGGACTAAGATAGTATTGTTATCAATAAATAATTTACCTTGACTCTCACAATTTTGGAAATGTTTTTTATTTTCCCTAAACTTTTAAATTCAGAAACGCCTAGGGAGAAGAGAGAGGCCATGACTATTAAAAAATAAGTTATTAGCATAAACTCCACTTGTGATTTTATACAAACTGACTGGCAAGTCCGAATAAAGTATAGCTTTAGATGCTAATCCAACAAACTAACTAATTCGCTTCGAATACTTCTGAAAAGATCACAGAATGCCTTTTTATTCTTTTCTTCTTAGACCATACTCACCCTACAGATGCAGTTCAGGTTCCATCTCATTGATGCAGGCTCCCTTGGCAATCCCTGGTCACAGCAATCTCTCCAGACTTAACCACACTTACGTGTACCACTCTTTTTGGATATTAAATCAAATGGGGCCTAGTATTTACCAATGTTGACAGATAACGTCTTGTCTATCCAGTGACACTGAAGGCAGGCAAAATCTGCATTTCATATTATTTCTAATATATACTACCCACTGGAGTGCTGGGCCATTTGTTTTTTTCTTTGCTCCCTTCCATGAACATTTATTAACCAATCACCTGTTTGATAAGTACAAACACAGGAGAGAGGAAGAAATTTAAATAAACCATAGTCTGTGCCCTTGAGTCATTTGATGATTTTTGTCCCTCCTTAATTCTCGAGTCTCATGTTAACAGTCTTTTTTTAGCTCCAGACAGGCTTAACAGTATTTAATTCTTAAATACACTGTGTCTTCTCACTTCTGGAGTTTTGAGCTATTTCCTCTGTATCTAAGAATGCTTGGCCTCCTTGCTTCCATTCTACGCTCTATCCCATTTATTTCTGGCTTTGGTCTACTCTTACCTCACATGGTACTTCCTACAGGAAGCCCTCACTGATCTCCAAAGTGAGCTGACCTTCTTATCTGTTCCTCTGTACTGTTCCCAGCATCGCATTTTCAAAAATGAAGTATAAGTGCCTGTTTATCTGTCTGTCATTGGAGTGTATTATCTATTAGTACACATATGTGTCTCTTTTGTACTGAGTATGAGTCATGTGTATGTTTAGCTCCTGGTACACAGTATATATTTTCAAAATGTGTTGAATGAATGAATGTCACAAGGGTAAACATCACAATTCCTCCCCTTGAGGATATCACCATCTAGTGGGGGAGACAGTAATGCAGATAAACCATAATACAAGAAGTCAAGGTGTTAAGTTTCAGAATAGACACATACATTAAAAAGCTATGGGTTGGGGGGTGGGACGTTCGCCTGTAGTCCTAGCTACTCAGGAGGCTGAGGTAGGAGGATGACTTGAGTCCAGGAGTTCAAGGCTACAATAATGCAGTGAGCCACTATCATGCCACTGCACTCCAGCCTGGGCAACAGAGCGAGACCTTGTCTCTATAAGGAAAAAAGAAAAAGCTATGGGGGTCCAAAGTGGCTAATTTTGCCTGGTAGAGTCAGGCTTTTCACAAAGGAGGTGATATTCGAACAGCGTTTAGAAGGATTTCAAAGTTTGCTCGGTGGAAAAGAGGACAGCAGATCCTCCGTAATTAGCCACGTTAGAATGTTCCAGCATGCCTTTGTGTAGGTCTATAGTCTTGAGTGGTTCAAATCTTCCAAGTGCCTTTCAGTGCAAGAAAGATAGAAAAGAATAGAATATGACCACAAATGAGGGATCCAAGTAACTAGAACAGTGGAAAGGATTGAATTTGAAAAAAAAGATTTTAAAATGCAAGGATTATATATAAGTCAAATTAGTGGCTACTAGCAGGACAATTAACACTGACCGCATCTGCTGGAAAGAAATGGCATCAAGAAGAATAAAACACCCAGTCACCTAATGCCAGGCAATGTAAGGAGGGGAAATTGGAGAGCTTAAGAGAGGGAGACCCTGAGCAAAGCACTCAAGGGAAACTTCCCCTGCTATGGCATCTAGTAGTCTGTGAAGGTTTCACCAAGGGGGAACAGAAAGTCAACCTTCAACACAAATCTAGAGTCCAGTGTAAATGATCAAGTGCATCAGGGGGAGCTGGGCTGGGAACACATCTTGACTCCGGACCTACAAACCCTTGTCCCTACCCTGCAGCTCCTTAGACTGCAAGCAAGACGTGAAAAGTGGTATCAGTGAAGAAAATGAACCCAAGGAAACATTTCTCATATTTAAGCAAACTAAGAAATGTTGCTTAGTCCTTACATTCTACAGGAAATGAAATTTGAGAAAATTTAAAATCACTCAGGCCACCTCTCTAGACTCAGCCCCAACCGTAGTGTCACACTTCACATTTTAGAAACCGCTGCTTCTGTTTCTTTGTACACACAAGTTACTGCTGCCCCCCAAGCCTTTTGTCATGATGTTTCTTCTGCTAGGGTATTTTTTTCGTTTCTCCCTTACGCCCTTGTCAGCCAGCTAAAATCTATTCGGCTTTCAAGACTCAGCTCAGATATTACCTCTTAAAAGTCTTTTCTGAATCCCAAGGCCATGGTTTTTGTTCCTGCTCTGTTCTCTGGTAATTATTCCTGCTTGTGTATTGGTAACCCCTACCTTCACCAGTACTGGGTCTTACTTATATTGATGTTCTTAGGGCCTCCAGCCATTCATAGCACCTAATGGGTACCCAGAGAATAGTTCTTAAATGAGTGAATAAATTAAAGAAGAAACAAAAGTGTTATGGGGAGATTTACTAGGTAATATGATTAGAATTATGCTTCAGGAAGACAAATCTGGCAGCAATGTGTAGGATGGTTGAGGTGGGAAGCCCAGACGCAAAGGCAGGAAGACCGAAGAAGCTATCGAAACAGCTCAATGAGGAGGTGGAAATGAGGATATCAGGAGAGGATCAATCCAAGAGATATTTTGGAAGTTAAATCAATAGAACTTGGTGGCTGACTAGTGAACAAGCAGAGGAAAAGAATATTTATCCTTTCTGTTCATAGCTTATCCACCAAATGTGATAACCATTAACAGAAAGAAAAGAGTCTGTAACAAGGTACTTTGAGGAAGGGACTGAAGGAATAGAGAAAGATAACAAGGAGATAGTAACATATTCAGAAAATAAAAAGATCAAAGAGGAAGAAAGGGATCAGGAGGTTGCAGCTTCACTGAAGCTAAGGTTTGGGAAAACTGTGAAGAAAGTGTAGTCCAGAGTAAGGAAACCACAGGGAAGGTGCTGGACGGAGCTATTTTATTCACAAACCACAAGGCAATGGCTTCTCATATTTGTGGTCTTAGTTTATATACAACTCCAACCAGCAGTTTCCCCTTCACCTAACCTTCCCTCGATTTTCCATTATGAAATTGTTGATTGGAACTTATCACTCGGCTGCTAAACAACAAGGGGGGCATTCTTTTATTTCAAAGAATCTTTTAAGAGTCTATTTCAGTTGTGCTAAAAATAAGAAAACAAGAAATACTTGGTCACCTGGGGCATATTTTTATGTCCAAATGAAGTCAAAAATATTTAAACAATTTAAAATATCCAGGTAATTGGTCTAATCTCATCTGAATTATGCTAGAGAAAAAGACAATCAGAGAAATAAAAATGCTTTTATTTAAACAAGATACATAGAATAGAGCAAATTTCCTTGATCAAAAGTTTCTCTTGTTACTAAGGTCATATTATATCAGGATTAGGTTCACCTACAATAACAGAAAACTCAAAATAGCAGTGACTAGAACACACACAGATTTCTTTTGTCACCTGAAAGAAGTCCAGATGTGGCAGTCCAAGCTTGGCGTGGCAGCTCCACAAAGCAGAGGAGACTCAGGCTCCTGTCTTCATGCTCCACCACAGTTTAGGTCAATTCATTGTCTAAAAAGGATGCTGGGGCTACAACCATGGTAAATTTTAGGTAGGAAACAGGAAAGGGGAAGGAGAAGCCAAAAGACTTTTTCTTAGCTGTCTCTCTTGTAAGTAAACTTCTGGAAACCCCTCCCAATGATTCCAACAATTCGTGCTCTATTTCATTGGCCTGAACATAGTGTATGGATACGTTGAGTCAAGAGGGGTTGGAAAATGTGGTTTGTCTTCAAATCTGGGCACATAAGTGTCCCAATAATATATGGGTTCTCCTGCTAAAGCAAAAGGGGAAATGGATAATGAGCAACTAGTAATCTCTTCCACAAATATCAAATCTCATTGACATTTGGTGGCTCACTTAACCTGACAAGTCCTAAACACATTAAAATTAAGAAGATGGAGACTTAAAAGCACTATGGCACTTATATTTGTTAGCTAACTGTGTTAATATCTTCTTTCCTTGGAGGCTGAGACAGGAGAATGGCGTGAACCCGGGAGGCGGAGCTTGCAGTGAGCTGAGATAATGCCACTGCACTCCAGCCTGGGCAACAGAGCGAGACTCTGTCTCAAAAATAAATAAATAAATACATAAATACATAAATAAAGTAGGTTTTGGCCCAATAAAGTTATAAATATTGGGAAATGCTGAAAATATAAATATTTTTTCTTGGATTCAAAAAAGCAATAAAACACAATGCTTAGTGAAGCTAGTTCTTCTTTTCCTAACTGGTCAATGCCAGCAAAAAGAAAAGACTTCTTTCCATCTCTATTTTAGTTGTAAAGAAAAAGATTACCATTGCTTCTCTGGCTATCAGAAAAATAATCAACTTCTGAAGAAAGGTTACAAATTTTCTGCAAAAGAAACAGAGTTTGGCTGCTCTATACACTGGACAATCACTTGTTACTACCTATTCACCAAATGGAATCATCTCTTCTTGGCTTTTCCTTTCTTAAATTCTTTATTGAATTCAATACAATAGGTTTACCCCTTTGTGAAAATGTCTTCTTCCTCACTGGGCTTTTGTAGCATGGTCCTACCATGTACAGTTTTCTTCTTTGACTATGTCTTTTTTATCTCCTTTACTAGAGCTTCTTTTTCCATCCACCTCTAAAAAAATAGACAGTTGGTCAGGCATGGTGGCTCATGCCTGTAATGCCAACACTTTGGGAGGCCAAAGAGGGTAGATTCCTTGAGCTTAGCAGTTCAAGACCAGCCTGGGCAATATAGTGAGATGCTGTCTCTTCAAAAAACACAAAAATTAACCAGGCATGGTGGCATGTGCCTATAGTCCCAGCTATTCAGGAGGCTGAGGCGGGAGGATCGCTTGAGCCTGGAAGGCAAAGGTTGCAGTGAGCCAAGATTATGCCACTGCACCCCAGCCCAGGTGACAGAGCAAGACTCTGTACCAAAAAAAAAAAAAAAAAAAAAAGATAGTCCTCCCACCTTGTTTTCCTCATCCAATCCTGCTCTCACTGCTCTCACCCCATCTAGAATCCACTGGCACTTTCATCCCCTCCCTTCAATATAATTTCTGTGTGGAAGACTTCCATAGGTAGGTTCTAGCTCTGGCCTCTCCAATCCCAATTTGGAACTTCAGTTTATAAAAATAACTTAAAAAAAAAAAAACCTAGCTCTTCCACGGGCAGTTCAAATTTAACAAATCCAACACTGAATTTATCCATTTATCTTTTTTTTTTTTTTTTGGAGACAGAGTCTCACTTGCTCTGTCACCCAGACTGGAGAGCTGTGGCACAAACATAGCTCTCTGTAACCTCAAACCTGGGCTCAAGCAGGCTTCCTGACTCAGCCTCTCAAGTAGCTAGGATTATGGGCATGCACCACCAGGCCCAGACAATTTAATTTTAATTTTAATTTTGTGTGGAAATGGGGTCTCTCTATGTTGCCCAGACTGATCTCGAACTCTTGGCCTCATGCATTCCTCCCACCTCTTCCTTCCAAAGCACAGGGATTACAGGCATGAACCACTGTGCCCAGCCTCATCCTATTCTTGTTTGTCCCAAAGCCATTCCTCCTTTTACATTCTCTATCTTGGTTGCTGACATGACATTGCCACCTTTCCAATTCTTTGGACTGAAGACTTGAACATCACCTTGGGTCATATTTTCCCTTCCCACACCTATATCTAACTGTATACCAAAATTCTATTGATTCAGCCACCAGAGAGGCACTGCCTTTCCAATGTTATTACTTCTTGTTTAGAATATTGCTGTGACATCTAGAGGGGTCTATCTGCCTTCAGTCATCCCACATACTTCTACATCTTCTTCAAAATATCTTCAATTGGTTATACCTTGCACACAGAAAAAGACCAGACCATACTATGGTAACTGCCCAAGGGGTTCACCTTGCCCGCTACCTAGACAGAGCCAATTCATCAAGTCAGGGGAATTGCCAGAGAAAGAGTAATTCACGCAGAGCTGGTTGTGAGGGAGACCGGAGTTTTATTATTACTTAAATCAGTCTCCCTGAGCATTCGGGGAGCAGAATTTTTAAGGATAACTTGGTGGGTGGGGGAAAGCCAATGAGCCAGGAGTGCTGATTGGTCAGGGATGAAATCATAGGGAGTCGAAGCTGCCTTCTTGTGCTGGGTCAGTTCCTGGGTGGGGGCTACAAGGTCAGATGAGCCAGTTTATTGATTTGGGTGGTGCCAGCTGATCCATCAAGTGCAGGGTCTACAAAATAGTTCAAGCATTGATCTTAGGAGCAGTTTAGGGAGGGTCACACTCTCCAGCTGCATGACTCCTAAACCATAATTTTTAATCTTGTGGCTAATGTTAGTCCTACGAAGGCAATCTAGTCCCCGGGTAAGAAGGAGGTCTGCTTTGGGAAAAGGCTGTTACCGTCTTTGTTTAAACTGTAAACTAAGTTTCTCTCAAAGTTAGTTCAACTTACGCCCAAGAATGAACAAGGACAGCTTGGAGGTTAGAAGCAAGATGGAGTCGGTTAAGTTACATCTCTTTCACTATCTCAGTCATAATTTTGCAAAGGCGGTTTCACTATTTGGATTTTGAGGTTCTCTATAATCAAGAACCAATTTGTTTAATGCCTTTCCTACCTCTTCCACACTACTTCTTTTCCAAGGGACACCCCTAGGGATCTAAATTAATCTCTCCCTTATTTCTCCCACTGCCCTTTATCCAAAAGCCATCCATGGTACTCATCACACTCTGCTCTTAGAGCATTTGTGTTTGTCTGCTTTTAAGTAGTGAATCTCTGGATCACTTGTCCTTATTGCCTTACTGTGCTTACTACAGTATCTTTAATGTAAAAAGCACTCCATAAATGTTTGTTGAATAATAACTGTAAATAGCCCTTGCTTCTGCTCAATCTTCAATTCAAGGATGACCCTTAGCACAGCTATGAGGTAAGGCTTCAAGGACTCTCCACGCCCTTGCTATGCTCCCCTTACTTTCCCTTAGAGATGTCCAGTACCCTCACATTTTCTCCTGCTGACCCAAGCTTCTTACTAGGGTGCTTACACAGACCACTCCTTCTAAGCAATTCCAGCTCCCAGAACTTGCCATTCCCAGTCTCTTACCAAAACCTACATATCCCTGGGATGAACTTTAGAGCCCAGCCTCTTCATTTTATAAACCAAGAAACTAAGTCCCAAAAAAGTGACATGAATTCCCCAAAGTCATGATTCCAAGTCCATTGCTCTTTCTCTCACATCTGCGTTTAGTGCCCATCCTGCAACTCAACCCCTTCGCTTCAAGCTGCTGCTAAGGATTGGCAAGGGGCTGCTGCTTATCTTCCTCAGTAACACATCTCTCTCTTAACAACAGTCATCTGTGCTCTGACTCACACTAATGGATACTGGAGGAAGTTCACATTGGTACCTGGACTCATCCTGTTGTTATTTTGGTCACAGTGCTTTTCCTACCTCCTGAACCCAGACCTCGGAGAGACACTGTCAATGCTGGGATATGTAAGGCCTGCACATTTTTGCAATGTGCTTTCTTATGACTGTGGAATAAGTGATATTCACTGTCTGATGCAATCCTCCCACATGCCGCAGAAACCATGGTAGCAGAACTCCAGAGGCATCCCCCCCTGTTGCATTACAACTTCCTGGGGGAAGAGTTCAGTTCATGAATGTGTTGTAATTTCTGTGAAGGGTATCTAAAGTCCTTAAAAACATCCATGAATGATCCTTTTCAACAGTACTTGGAAGGAAGTCAGGGACTTCACCATTAAAACTGAGCCAACACAGTAATGAAATTCAATGACCACCACAGGAGACATATGAATGCCTCAGGGAAGAACAAAGGCCAGCAAAATCAGCCAACAGCAGTTACTTCCACAAAATGCATTTACCTGAATAGGAACTTGAATGGTTTTCAAGGAATGACAGTCTCCTTCCAGAAAGTGTCATGTGTTTGTTATTCGTCCAGTAACACTAAGAATCTAAATTTAAATTTTGGTTTAGTTTGGGATTGGTGCTGGATTTTAGGGAATAATCTTATCAGGGCTGGATTATTCTAGTTAGTGATGATCTGAGGAAACACTGCATTTCTTCAGATGGAAGAAGGGAGCACTGGCAGCTTGCTTTTTCTGAAAGCTTTGATTACAGAAGTATAGGTCCCTGATGCTTAAAGGGACCTTACAGCACATCTGATTCAACTGCCTTTTATAGGTGAAGAACTGATTCCTGTTAACCTGATAACATAGAAATTGCCTATCCTATTTTGTGAAAATCATCCTACTCTAGAAGTAGGAAATAATGGAGTAGGAACCTGGGCACTAAATTATAGTTGTTATATTATTAGGACTAAGTGTGTATGTCCACGGGCCTGACAGAAATGAATGCTCTGGACCCCATCCACTTGCCTTTCATTTGTTCCTGTGCCCTTTTTTCATACAAAGTGGATGGCCTCTTTAGGTTTCCTTTAGGAAATGTGTAAGTGCCTACAGGCCTTTGTGCTCACATTAAAATAATTTTTTTTGTTTTTATTTTTTGGAAAAATAACTTAAAGTCTGCTCAGAGACAGCTCAATTTCTTTATTTTAAAAATGGGATAAGACACACTATTTTTAGATGGCATTTGTGACTATCCAAATGAACAATGTAAAGTACTTTCAAAAATAGTGCTTTGTCAAAGAAACAAGTTATTCTATTTACTTTATGTATGCATTCCATTTATTTCTTCAGCAAATATTTATGAAGCACTTACTAGCATGATCACAATTTCAGTTAAATAGTTAAGTACAGTAGTCCCCCCTTTATCCATGGGTTCATTTTCCACATAATTATTCAATTTAATTATTAGTTATTGTTAATCTTTCACTGTGCCTAATTTATAAATTTAACTTTATCATATATATGTATAGGTAAAAACATAATACACATACATAGGTTTCAGTACTATCCATGGTTTGAGTCATCCACTGGGGATCTTAAAACATATCCCCTTGGATTAAAGGGAAATACTGTAATTAATTGCTTACTGCCTGTATCAGTCACTAGAATTCCAGCTTTCTGGGAAAAGGTACTTCTTCTCTTTTGTTCTCTAATGCTCAGCACCCTGCGTGGCTGGCATTTAAAAGACTAACAAATATTTGTTGAATGGATGGATGAATGCATGAATGAAAAACCAAATGAATAATGAAAACAAAAGTGTATAATACACTATAACACGTACTATATTGGGCTTGCGTAGTACTATGGGAATCTATAGTAGGAGCATTTAAAGCCAGCCTTGACGGGGCTAATCTCCGGAAGAGCAATTAATCTTTTCAAAATCCGACTCTTGCAGGATACGGTCCCCCACTGGCCTGCCACTAGTTTAAAACGAATTAGTTTCTGTGAAACATCAGGATCGTGCCAATAGTAGGGGACCAATAAGACTGAATAAGTCAAAGGGCTGCGCGGACAAGTCCAATTAGAACACCTCTGGCTAAAAGCCAGAATGAATGAAAGGGTTCATGCCTCGGCGTAGACACACAACTGGGACTGAAAAATCTGCCCCAAGCCTCCACGTCGACTTTGGCTCCACCTGCAGCGGCGGCGCCGTAGTCACGTGACCCGGGCCCCCGCGCCCTAGGCGCCTGGGCCAGCCTGCGCCTGCGCAGTACTCGGAGACAGCGGACCCGTGTCAGTGACAGCTTCCGGTTTGGTTTCTCCGCCTTCTGCTTGGCTAGAGCTATTGGGGCTCGGTGGCGGCCGCAGTGGGGTGGAGGGGGCAGGGCGTGGTGAGGTAAGGTGAGTGCCGTAGTGGGGTTCCCTGGAGCCATGGCCTGCTCCATTGTCCAGTTCTGCTACTTCCAGGACCTCCAGGCCGCCCGGGACTTCCTCTTTCCTCACCTGCGGGAGGAGATCCTCAGCGGCGCCTTGCGGAGGGACCCCAGTAAGTGCCTCTCTGGCCTCGCCCTTCCTTCCCTCGTCACCCGCGGCCTCTGCTCACGGGTTCGAGTCTCCTACTCGCTCTGCGCCTCCTGCCTCTGCCCTCTGGACCCCCAGTTCTCCCCGTGCCTCCCCTCCGCTCCGGGATGACACCCTGCCCACCTCGTCCTGAAGCCCCATTTGTGTTGTCTTCCTCTCGACCCAGCTTTTCTCCTTAGGCCCTCTGACCCCTGGCTAAAAACTGCGTCTTGTTTCCTCTCGCCTCTGCCTATCACCGCTTTCTCCCTCCCTCCCCCCACCCCCACACATTCCTAGCTTTCTCTCTGAGTATCTTCTCCGTCTCCCATCTTCAGCCTGGGGTCGTTCCCTGTTTCATGTTGCCTGCTCCGTGATCGCATCCTCCCCGTTCCTTGCCACATGTCAGCGCTCCACTCTGGTATTGCCCCAGCTCCCACTCTCTTCCATCCCGGAGACTGTGGCCTTCTGCTACCTCCCATTCCGAAAGTGTTGATCATCCCCCCACACTCTCCCTTCTTTCATCTGCATTTCCCCCATTCAGATTTTGAGAACAAATGGCTGACAAATGAGTGACTCTTGAGGTAAGACTCTCTCAAAGAAGGAAAATAACCTGTCAGGAAGTGAACGAGAATCTACATTAGGAACTAAAATTACAGTGACATAGCCAAGAAAGGTTAATTTGCTTTATTGAAGCCTTCCACCTATTTTTATCATCAAAGTGTTTAATAAGCCTTTCCCCAAGTAGTATAAAGTTCCAAGGCTGGTTTATTAGATACTATATAGGCTTTCAGAATTTCGTACATTTCATTTTGAAAGGGTGTGCCTTGTGTTTTATTTTATTTTATTTTATTTTATTTTATTTTTGCATTTCCAACCTGAAGCACATTTGGCTTTGTAGTACAGCGCTCTCACTTTGTGCTATACCGGAATGGTGATATAAAGCCCACTAAGCTCCTCTCCCTTTTTTAGAAAATTTAGAAGATATCAAATCGAACCCATCTGTGAATGATTGCATACTTTGTGCCAGTCATTGGTGCTACAAACCAAATAAGGTTGGTGGACCCTGCTGTAGGAACTTCTGGTTTACAGACAAATCATTAACTTCCATTCAGTGTGACTGAGATATACATGAGGCATTTTCTTGAAGTGGTGATACTTAAGCCTACCTTTGAAGTACTAGTTAGAGGAGTAAAGGAGCAGTAATAGCATGTGCAGAGGAAGGGAGGCCTGAAATGGCATGGTATTTAGAGAACTAAGAAAAGCTGAATGGCTGGAGAGGAGGATGGGAGAGGAAGAGTTGGGGCAATGAGGCAGTAGTAGTAATAAGGAGCTAGACCATGAGAGGCCTTGTGAAAATTGTGGCGTTTCTCTGAAAGTTTAAGTAGAGAAATGACATTGTCAGATTTGTACTTAATGTAATCAACAACATTTGTTGAAGACCTGTAATGTGCTCTGGTAGCAAAGTGGAGGAGAGATTGGAAGAAGGGAAATGGATTGGGAAGCTCTTCCAGTAATCCAAGCAAGAAATTATGTGAGCTTGAATTAAGAACCTTAGTAGGATGAAGATGAAGGACTAGATTAGAAAGACGTTAAGGAGTTAGAATCTGCAGGACCTTGTGAAGGTCTGGTGATGGGCATTGTAACTAGTAAGTGAGGGGGAGTTTAGGAAGTCTTTGGCTTGTGGTTTGGGCAACTATATGTAATAAGAGAATGAAGGATACAGATTTTCAACCTTTTGCATTTTAAATGTTTATGGTATGTCCAAGTAAGGACATCTGGTTGAACACCAGATATAGATAGTCTAAACAGTAGGGAGTACTGGGCCAGAGATGTTAATTGGGGAGCTAACAGCAAAAAGTGTCAGTTCAGTCTCAAGGATTATGTATGTTGTGAAATGCACTGAGTACTAAAGCTGTAAGCTTAGAGGAGCACTGGTGTTTAAAAGTCAAGTAGAGGTTACTGGGAAGAAGACTGAGAAGGAGTAAAAGAAAGAGGAAAATCATGTGAGAGTAAGGCCCTCGGAGCTGAGGAAGGCGAGAACTTGATGAGGGTGAGGAATGGTCAGCAGTTTTGCAAATGCAGCAGGGGTCAGGTAAGAAAAGGATAGAAAAATGCTTATTGGTTTTGAGAAGGTGGAGGTAACTTGGACCTTAGGACAGTTTCAGTAGGATAGTGGAGGCAGAAAGCATAGTTATAGGATAAGGGGTTAAAAAGTGAAATATACTATTTCAAGGAGCTTGGCTGTGAAGGATAGCAGATGCAGGATTGTAGATAGGGAATGTAGAAAAAAGGAACAGATTTTCTTTATCCTTCTACCACTCTCCTGGTCCAGGCCACCATCTTTTCTCAACCTGGGCTATGATATGATATGTGTCTTCTTCTAGCAATTCTTCCTGCTTTTGCTCTTGGTTTCCTGTAATAATTCTCAACAGTAGTTACAGTGAGCTTTTAAGGCATAATTTAGATCACAACATTGCCTTTTTTTTTGAGATGAAGTCTCACTCTGTTGCCCAAGCTGGAGTGCAGTGGCATGATCTCAGCTTACTACAACCTCCACCTCCTGGGTTCAAGTAATTCTTCTGCCTCAGCCTCCTGAGTAGCTGGGACTACAGGCATGCGCCACCATGCCCGGCTAATGTTTGTATTTTTAGTAGAGATGGGGTTTCACTATGTTGGCCAGGCTGGTCTTGAACTCCTGACCTTGCGATCCACCTGCCTTGGCCTCCCAAAGTGCTGGGATTACAGTCATGAGCCACCACACCCAGCCTAACATTGCCCTTTTAATAACACTCAATGGTTTTTGATTGCACTTAACGTAAAATCCAAAGTTCTTAAATGGTGTATAAGGCCCTTGAGACTCTGCTTCCTGCCATTTCTTGGACCTTATACACCTCTCCCCTTATTTCTTATGCTTCAGACGCTCTTTTTTGTTGTTAAACCAGCCAACCACATTTGTGGCTAAGGTTTTTGCCCTCACTGTTGTCTATGCCTTGGATGCTTTTTGCAGATCTTTGCATGCTAGTTGCATCTTGTCATTCAAGTCTCAGCTCAAATGTCAACTCAGGGCAGCCTTTTCTGACCACCTGATCTAGATCTAAAGTAGTCAATACAACCCCCTTGTTCCTACTTGTTGTTCTCAATCATATCATCCTGTTTATTTTCATCATTATATTTCTACTGTCCAGTATGGTAACCTCTAGGCACATGTGGTTATTGAGCCTGTGAAATGTGGCCAGTGCAACTGAGGAACTGAATTTTTAAAATTCAAGTTAATTTTAATTAATTTAAATTTAAGTAGCCAAAGTGGCTAATGCCTATAATATAGTATGGCACAGTTATAGGTGCTAAAACTCAGGTACATACAGATTGAATACTTGTCCAAGTTACATAGGCAGTTGGGGATATAAATACACCCCAAACATCTAGATTAATTTGCACTATACCTATAGATTTATAAATATGGTTTAATGTATTTCTCTTCTAAATCAAATTCTTGAGTTTATGTATGTTGATATTATTGTGGCTATGATCAGTTCATGTAGAAAATGAACAGAATGGACCTCTTCACCAGTGAGCCCCTTTGTAAAACCTGTACAGATGATCTCAGACTTATGATGGTTTGGCTTCCAATTTTTTAGCTTTACAGTAATGTGAAAGCAATGTGTACTTTGTAGAAACCATACTTCAAATTTTGCACTTTGATCTTTTCCAGAGCTAGTGATACAATGGGTAAGATACTCTTTTGTGATGGTGGGTAGCAGCAGCAAATATGAGAGACTGTACTCTACGGTATTCAAGAAGTACTGTATTCAAGAAATTACATGAGATATTTTCAACCCTTCATGATAAAATAGACTTTGTGTTAGAAGATTTTGCCCAACTATAGGCTAATGTAAGTGTTCTGAGCACTTTTAAGATAGTCTAGGCCAAGCCGTAATATAAAGAGTTTTGAACGTAAACTTTTGTACAGTGAAATTTTACAGAGAAAAAATGACATTAGCAGAGCAGGTAAATAGGACCTGACTTAAACTGCTGATGGTATTTGCCTTTGCTTTTCTTCACTTTATTTATTAATGTTATAAATGTTTATTGGGAAGCAGAAATCATGAGATCATCTTAAATTTTTTTAGCTGATATAGTTGTAATTTCTTAACCTAGCTCATCTCTAGAGGATATGTAAAAACATAAAACACCTCAATTACTTGTGAATTATAGAGGTGTATCAGTTGGTTTAAAAGTGCTTTTATTGGGCTGAGCTCTTGGAAGACTCAGGTCCTTGGGTCATAGGCATCACGGACCAATCTGAAGAAAACTGCATTTCAGGGCCTGTTGAGGCTAAAACTCCAGTTGGAGGTCCAGAACATGTTCTCGTGACTCAGCAATTTCCTTGTCAGAATCCATTACCTGCAAATAGTGGCCAGGCTCAGTGGGTCTTGTGTCCTTCAAATTCTTCGCAGCGTGTTCCTTTGCAAGCACAAAAGCTTGTCTCCAGTCACAAGCCAGTTCAGAATCAGAAGCAGAAGCAATTGCAGGCAACCAGTGTACCTCATCCTGCCTCCAGGCCACTGAATAACACCCAAAACAGCAAGCAGTCCCCGCTGTCGGCACCTGAAAATAATCCTGAGGAGGAACTGGCATCAAAACAGAAAAATGAAGAATCAAAAAGAGGCAATGGGCTTTGGAAGACCTTGAAATTGGTCGCCCTCCGGGTAAAGGAAAGTTTGGTAATGTTTATTTGGCAAGAGAAAAACAAAGCAAGTTTATTCTGGCTCTTAGGGTGTTATTTAAAGCTCAGCTGGAGAAAGCAGGAGTGGAGCATCAACTCAGAAGAGAAGTAGAAATACAGTCCCACCTCCAACATCCTAATATAATCAGACTGTATGGTTATTTCCATGATGCCACCAGAGTCTACCTAATTCTGGAATATACACCACTTGAAACAGTCAATACAGAACTTCAGAAACTTTCAAAGTTTGATGAGCAGAGAACTGCTACTTATATCACAGAATTGGCAAGTGCCCTGTCTTACTGTCATTCAAAAACAGTTATTCATAGAGACATTAAGCCAGAGAACTTACTTCTTGGATCAGCTGGAGAGCTTGAAATTGCAAATTTTGGGTGGTCAGAACATGCTCCATCTTCCAGGAGGACCACTCTCTGTGGCACCCTGGACTACCTGCCCCCCGAAATGATTGAAGGTCGGATGCATGATGAGAAGGTGGATCTCTGGAGCCTTGGAGTTCTTTGCTGTGAATTTTTAGTTGGGAAGCCTCCTTTTGAGGCAAATACATACCAAGAGACCTACAAAAGAATATCACGGGTTGAGAATTCACATTCCCTGACTTTGTAACAGAGGGAGCCAGGGACCTCATTTCAAGACTGTTGAAGCATGTTCCCAGCCAGAGGCCAATGCTCAGAGAAGTACTTGAATACCCCTGGATCACAGCAAATTCATCAAAACCATCAAATTGCCAAAACAAAGAATCAACTAGCAAGTATTCTTAGGAATCGTGCAGGGGGAGAAATCCTTGAGCCAGGGCTGCTGTATAACCTCTCAGGAACATGCTACCAAAATTTATTTTACCATTGACTGCTGCCCTCAATCTAGAACACTAAAAGAAATATTTGTTTTACTGAGCAGGTGTGCCTTAACCTCCCTACTCAGAAAGCTCCACATCAATAAACATGACACTCTGAAGTGAAAGTAGCCACGAGAATTGTGCTACTTATACTGGTTCATAATCTGGAGGCAAGGTTCGACTGCAGCCACCCCATCAGTCTGTGCCAGGCATGGTGTCCTCCCAGGAGGCAAATCCAGAGTCTGGCTATGGGGAAAGTGACCACTTTGTGCTGACTCGATCGGTTAAGGAGCTGTCCAATAACCTTCCAAGTACCTGAGTGAGTGTGTAACTTATTGGGTTGGCCAAGCCTGGTAAAGCTGTTGGACTGAGTACGTGATTCTTTTTAAGTAGGAAAATAAAGATATTTGTACAGAAAAAAAAGTACTTTTATTTTACTGTGGACAGCTGCTAGAGATATAGTGATACCACTCTCTTCTATATTTGAATTATCAAAGTATGACTTTATGTTACTTTGTATATTTAATTACAAAAGAAGACTGTCCTCTGTAGCTTTAAAAGATGCTGAACCCTACCCTTTCCCAATGTTTACATTAATGACAACTGTTAAATTTTGTTTTTATAAAGTAAATACTATCTACTTAAGACATGAAGTCTGGTCTTACTGCTTTGTGGCTTTTTTGTTTGTTTTGTTTTTGTTTTTTAGAGACAGGGCCTCACTCTGTCACCCAGGCCAGAGTGCAGTGGCATGATCATAGCTCACTGCAGCCTTAAACTCCTGGATTCAAGGGATCCTCCCACCTCAGTCTCCTGTGTTGCTAGGACTACAAGTATGCAGCACCATGCCCAGATAATTTTTTTGGTTTTTGTTGAGATAGGGTCTTGCTGTGTTGCCCAAGCAGGTCTTGAACTCCTGGGCTTAAGTGATCCTCCCACCTGGACTCTCAAAGTGCTAGAATTATAGGCATGAGCCACTCTCCCTGGTTTATTACTTTGAAGTTGCAGGGATGGGTGGAGTATAGGTCCCCACTTTATGGGTCCCCATTTAACCTATAGTGACATAATTTCCAATGCCTAGACCAGAACTTTCTGAAATTTACAGTTGGGTTGGGCAAAAATATAAATAAATATATAAATAAATAAATACATGAATAGAGAGGGAGAGCCAGAATAGTTGGAGATAATTTGGGTATTATAATATTGTGGATTTCTTGATTTACCTAATAGTAAAATAATTTCTTATTGACATACTAAAAATGTGGAATAGTTTTCCTTCTTGCCTCTTTTACCAACCAGAATATAAAGCATGTAGGGAATTATGTTGAAATAATCAATTCATGTTTTTAAGCAATCTCTGAGAAAAATGTGCTTTATTTAGGATAACCTAAAATCATAGAATCACTTTGCATAATGGGCTATCACAAATGATATAAAATACTCTATTTTTTATATGTAGTAAAATATTTTCTCTAGTTTGAGATCATACTAGGAGAGAAAATAATCTGAAAATAGAACATTTATAGAGATTTCAGAAAATATATAGAGTTACTGGGTTTCTTTAAAATTGGAAGAGGATCATACAGATAAAATTTTACCAGTGAGGAAATTGAGATTTGAGTGTTCTTCAGTTTCTTCATTCAGGTAGTATTTATTGAGCATCTACTATGTTCTAAGCACAAAATGAGTTTAAAGATAAATAAAATAAGTCCCTCAAGCAATTTTCAGCTAATAAAAGAAGACACGTATGTGAAACGATTGTTAGAGGTGTTATGCTATGATATGGCACATGATGGGAGAGAATGAAGGAGTGTTGGTCTAGTCTATGCAGGAAACCCAGAAAGTCTTCATATAGGAGGTGATATTTACACATTAATAGTTTAAAGATGTCCATCAGATGGAGAGAAAATAGACAACAGATGTGAAACAGTATGGGATTCAGAAAGCTGCAAATAGTAAATTGTGGTGGGAGGGTGGGATGTGTTCAGAGGTGAAATTGAAGAGGTTGGTGAAGGAGTTTAGATTTTATTCAGTAGCAGGGTCTTTAGATTGAAGTAAGAGTACCTTGGGATCATGGAAATTTATAAAAGGTTGCTTGGGAACAGATGATTTTAAGTAAATCATTTTCCACATGTACCTGTGAAAGTGCCTACTTTCTCACCCTGCCTTCTCCCACTTTATCTCTGACACGTTTGTAGTCTTATTATAGTAAGTTGCTTCAAGGTGTAAAAAAAACCTCCCCTTTAATCAAAGTGTTGTAAATTCCTCCATTCGTTTTATTATTAGTTTTCCAAATTTTACTTTTTGTTTAATTATCAAGATTTATGATATATTTATGTTGTTTTCCTCACTTATTTACATAAAATAATTGTAATAACTCAAGCAAGAAGAAAAATGTTAATACTTAAGAGTCTTATCACAGGAAAATGTTTTCTTAATTCATATCCTTTTTTGCAGAGAGAGTTTTGTACTGATAATAATAAAAATCTGTGTTTATTAGAATAGCATTCTGTGGAGGAAGTAGAATAGAAATAAGTATTCAAGGAGAATAAAGGACTTGTAAAAACTGTTGAGAAGGTCAGCATTTTTTTTTAATGGATGTCGGTGGGTATCATTTCCCTATAGTGTTTAGAATCCACTAAGTTTTAAAAAGTAATAATAGTTTTATGTTTAAATGTACATGTTTATAGTATAACAGAAATTACATATTTTTTGCAAGAGATACATACTAAAAAATTCTTTTGGGGCATATATGAACAAAAAATTTGAAGGTCATTCTCCTGTAAGACTCAGTGATTCCCAGTCTTGTCTTTTCTTTTTTTTGTTGGCATAATAGCGTACATAAGAAAAATGAGATATGGACCCCAAACAGCTAAAACAATTTTGGAAAAGAAGAAACAAGTTAGAAGATTCACACTTTCTGATTTCAAAGCATATTGCAAAGCTGTAATAACCCAAACTGTATGATACTGGCATAAAGACAAACAAACCAATGGAATGGAATAGATAGCTGATAAGTAAACCCTCACATACATGGTCAAGATGATCTTCAGCAAGTGTGCCAAGAGCATTCTTTGGGGGAAAAGACAGCTTCTTGAATATATGATGTTAGAGGAAATGGCTATCCATATGCAAAAGAATGAAATTGAATCCTTATCTTATACCATATACAAAAATTAAATAGATTAAAGACCTAAATGCAGCACCTAACACTGTAAAACTTTAGAATAAAACATAGGAGAAAAGCTTCATGACATTGGACTTGCATGCTTTTGGATATGACACCAAAAGCATAGGCAGCAGAAGCAAAAGTGGACAAATGGGGCTACACTAAGCTTAAAAACTTTGTGCATCAAAGGACACAATCAACAGTGTGAAAAGGCAGTTTTCAAAATGGGAGAAAATATTTGCAAATCATGTATCTGATATGGGATTAATATCCAGAATATATAAAGAATTCCTGCAACTCAATAACAACAACAAAAAATCAACCCTATTTAAAATGAGCAAAGGACTTAAGTAGACATTTCTTCAAGGATGATATACAGATGACCAAAAAGAACATGAAAAGATGCTTAACATCACTAATCATCAGAGTGATGCAAACCAAAGCATAATGAAATGTTACACCTATTAGAAATGGCTACTATAAAAAAAAAAAAGTATCAGGATATGGTGAGGATGTGGAGAATTATAAACTTTTGTGCATTGTTGGTGGGATGATAAGATGGTACAGCCATTAAGGAAAAAATAAGAGTTCCTCAAAAAATTTTAAAAAAATTATATGATCCAGCAATATCACTTCAAGGTGTATATACAGCAGAATTGAAAGCAGGGTCTTGAAGAGATGTTTGCACACCCATGTTCATAGACAGTTCACAGTAGCCAAGAGGTGGAAACAACCCAAATGCCCATCGATGGATGAATGGATAAACAAAATGTGGTATTATACACACAATGGAATACTGTTTAGCCATTAAAATCAAAGAAATGTCACATGCTATAACATGAATGAACCTTGTTAAATTATGCTAAGTGAAATATTCCAGTCACAAAAAGACAACTACTATATGATTCCACTTACATGAGGAAGCTAAAGTAGTCATTTATAGAAACAAAAAATAGAATGGCGGTTACCAGAGGCTGAGGAAAGGGAGAACGGGAATTGTTTAATGATACAGAGTTTCAGATTTGCAAGATGAAGTTCTGGAGATCTTTTTTTTTCACAACAGTGTGAGTACACTTAACACTACTGAACTGTCCACTTAGAAATGGTTAAGTTGATAAATTTTATGTTTTTTTGTTTGTTTGTTTGTTTGTTTGTTTTTTCTTGAGACAGAGTCTTGCTCTGTCGCCCAGGCTGGAGTGCAGTGGTGCCATCTTGGCTTACTGCAAGCTCCACCTCCCGGGTTCACACCATTCTCCTCCCTCAGCCTCTCGAGTAGCTGGGACTACAGGTGCCTGCCACCATGCCTGGCTAATTTTTTTTTTTTTTTTTTGTATTTTTAGTAGAGATGGGGTTTCACTGTGTTAGCCAGGATGGTCTCGATCTCCTGACCTCGTGATCTGCCCGCCTTGGCCTCCCAAAGTGCTGGGATTACAGGTGTGAGCCACCGCGCCTGGCCTGTGTGTTTTTTTTAACCAAAATACAAAATGTCAATCAATTAGATTAATAATAAATAGATTATTTAAAAACGCGACAAAGCTGCTTATGATGGAAAGTGACATAAGTTCCAGTAGTTCCAGGCCCTACCTGACTGCTTTTACTGCTAAAAGGATCAATATCTTGGCTCACCTGCAACCCATTTACAGCATACTAAGAATCTCTGCTATGGGCAGAGGGTAGCCATTGATGGTTTTAAGTAAAAGTGTAGCAAAAATATTTTAAGATTTGAGTTCTAAACAGATATATTTGGTAGCTGTAAAGAGAATAGATTGGGCAGTTCAAAGCTAGAGGCAGGTGACCATTAGATAGATAGTTGTAGAAGTCCAAGTTAGAGCCCATAAAGGCAGAACTAAGGTGATAGCAATGGCAGTGGAGTTTGAGACTATTAGAATTTGAGCTGAGAAATAGGATAGCCAGACAAATATTTTAGAGACATTTCTTTGTCAGCAAAGAGAAGAATGGATGGGAGTGATGGGTAAAGTGGAAGTGGAGTGACCAGTTAGGAGGCTATTGCAGTATTCCAAAAGAGGAGATTATCTTTTCCTTAGCATGGTTTTCATAAGAGGTTATTTTATAGTATACACAGTGACAGTCCTGGAAGTATGACAAGTATTTTTGAATGAGTACTATGCTTAATACAATTTGGGACTATTGAGACCTTGAATGAAGAGTAAGTTGTTGAACCTTCCTCATAGAGAAGAATTCTTGAAACTCCTAGGTATCTGCTGTGACCATATCTTGCCTTTAAAAAAGAGACCAGAAATGGTCCCTTGAACATAGATTACTTTTCTTTGTACAATGTGAGTCTAAATCTCACATTTAAGTTCCCCAGAAGAGAGAATCTCATCAGGTCAAGAGAGTAGACATTACTTACCACATTGCCCCCCCTTTTTTTTAAAGTATGTAAAATCAGACATAAAAACCACCACCTGGCTACTCATACTCTACCTTTCAGACGTTAAAACCTCAGTACTGTGCTGTCTAACATGGTAGCCACTAGCTACATATGGCTATTTACATTTAAGTTTAAATCAATAGTAATTAAATTTTAAAAAATTCAGTTCCTCAGTCACAGTGGCTACATTTGAAGTGTTCAAGCCATATGTTGCTAGTGGCTACCATATTGAGCAGCACAGATACAGAATACTTCCATGATTACAGAAAGTTCTATTGGAAGTATTGCCTTAGTAAGACTTTTTTCTTCTTCTTCTTCAACTTTTAAGTTCAGGGATGCATGTGTAGGATGTGCAGGTTTGTTATATATGTAAATGTGTGCCATGGTGGTTTGCTGCACAGATCACCCCATCACCCAGGTATTAAGCCCAGCATCCATTAGCTATTCTTCCTGATGTTCTCCCTCCCCCCACCACCCCAACAGGCCCCAGTGTGTTTTGTCCTCCCCTATGTGTCCATGTGTTCTCATCATTCAGCTCCCACTTATAAGTCAGAACATGTGGTGTCTGTTTTTCTGTTCCCGCATTAGTTTGCTGAGAATAATGGCCTCCAACTCCATCCATGTCCCTGCAAAGGACGTAATCTTGTTTCTTTTTATGGCTGCATAGTATTCCATGGTGTATATATACCACATTTTTCCTTATCCAGTCTATCATTGATGGGCATTTACGTTGATTTTGTGTCTTTACTATTGTATTGTGAATAGTGCTGCAGTGAACATATGTGGGCATGTATCTTTATAAAAGAATTATTTATATTCCTTTGGGTATATACCCAGTAATGGGATTGCTGGGCCAAAAGGTATTTCTGCCTCTACGTCTTTGAGGAATCACCACACTGTCTTCCACAGTGGTTGAACTAATTTACACTCCCACCAACAGTGTAAAAGCATTCCTTTTTCTCTGCAACCTTGTCAGAATCTGTTGTTTTTTGACCTTTTAACAATAGTCATTCTGACTGGCATAAGATGGTATCTCATTGTGGTTTTGATTTGCATTTCTGTAATGATTAGTGATATTGAGCTTTTTTTCAATATGTTTTTTGGCTGCATGTATGTCTTCTTTTGAGAAGTGTCTGTTCATATCCTTTGCCCAGTTTATAATGTGGTTGCTTGTTTTTTCTTGTAAATTTGTTTAAGTTCCTTGTAGACTCTGGATAATTAGACTTTTGTCAGATGGATAGATTGCAAAAATTTTCTCCTGTAGATTATCAGTTCACTCTGACAATAGTTTCTTTTGCTGTGCAGAAGCTCTTTTGTTTAATTAGATCACATTTGTCAATTTTTGCTTTTGTTGCAATTGCTTTTGGCATTTTCATCATGAAATCTTTGCCCATGCCTATGTCCTGAATGGTATTGCTAGATTTTCTTCTAGGGTTTTTATAGTTTTGGGTTTTACCTTTAAGTCTTTAATCCATCTTGGGTTAAATTTTGTATATGTTGTAAGGAAGGGGTCCAGTTTCGATGATCTGCATATGGCTAGGCAGTAGTCCCATTTATTAAATTTATTAAATTTATTAAATAAGGAGTCCTTCCCCCATTACTTGTTTTTGTCAAATTTGTCAAAGATCACATGATTGTAGGTAAGGGCCTTATTTCTGAGTTCTCTGTTCTGTTCCATTGGTGTATGTGTCTGTTCTTCTACCAGTACCATACTGTTTTGGTTACTATAGCTTGCAGTATAGTTTGAAATAAGGTAGTGTGATGCCTCCAGCTATGTTCTTTTTGCTTAGAATTGTCTTGGCTATTTGGGCTCTTATTTGGTTCCATATGAATTTTAAAATAATTTTTTTTTCTAATTCTGTGAAGAATGTCAGTGGTAGTTTAATGGGAATAGCATTGAATCCATAAATTACTTTGGGCAGTATGACCATTTTCACAATATTGATTCTTCCTATCCATGAGCATGGAATGTTTTTCCATTTATTTGTGTCCTCTCTGATTTTGAGCAATGGTTTGTAGTTCTCCTTGAAGAGGTCCTTCACTTCCTTTGTTAGCTGTGTTCCTAGATATTTTATTCTTTTTGTAGCAGTCATGAATGGGAGTTCATTCATAATTTGGCTGCCTTTCTGTCGTAGTGTATAGGAATGCTTGTGATTTTTTGCACATTGATTTTGTATCCTGAGACTTTGCTGAAGTTGCTTATCAGCTTAAGAAGTCTTTGGGCTGAGATGATGGGGTTTTCTAGATATAGGATCATATCCTCTGCAAACAGAGACAATTTGACTCCTCTCTTCCTGTTTGAGAACCCTCTATTTCTTTCTCTTGCCTGATTGCCCTAGCCAGAACTTCCAATACTATGTTGAATAAGAGTGGTGAGAGAGGGCATCCTTGTCTTGTGCTGGTTTTCAAGGGAAATGCTTCCAGCTTTTGCCCATTCAGTATGATATTGGCTGTGGGTTTGTCATACAAGGCTCTTACTATTTTGAGGTATGTTCCTTTAATACCTAGTTTATTGAGAGTTTTTAACATGAAGGGATGTTGAATTTTATCAAAGGCCTTTTCTGCATCTATTGAGGTATTCATGTGGTTTTTTGTCTTTAGTTCTGTTTATGTGATAAATCACATTTATTGATTTGAATATGTTGAACCAACCTTGCATCCTGGGGATGAAGCCACCTTGATTGTGGTAGATAAGCATTTTGAGGTGATGCTGGATTCAATTTGCCAATATTTTATTGAGAATTTTTACACTGATGTTCATCAGGAATATTGGCCTGAAGTTTTTTTCTTTTGTTGTATCTCTGCCGGGTTTTGGTATCAAGATGATGCTGGTCTCATAGAATGAGGGAGGAGTCCCTCCTTTTCAATTTTTTGGAATAGTTTCAGTAGAAATGGTACCAGCTCTTCTTTGTACCTCTGGAAGAATTCCACTGTGAATCCATCTTGTCCTGGGCTTTCTTTTTGGTTGGTAGGGTATTTATTACAATTTCAGAATTCATTACTGGTCTGTTCAGAGATTCAGTTTCTTCCTGGTTGAGTCTTGGGAAGATGTATGTGTCTAGGAATTTATCCATTTTTTATAGATTTTCTACCTTATTTCTCTGTGTTTATAAACACAGAGGTGTTTATAGTATTCTCTGAGGGTTGTTTGTATTTCTGTGGGGTCAGTGGTGATATTCCCCTTATCATTTCATATTGTGTTTATTTGATTCTTCTTTCTTTTCTTCTTTATTAGTCTAGCTAGAGTTCTATCTATTTTATTAATTTTTTTAAAAAACCAGCTCCTGAATGCATTGATTTTTTTTGAAGGGCTTTTTGTGCCTCTATCTCCTTCAGTTCAGCTCTGATCTTGGTTATTTCTTGTCTTCTGCAAGCTTTGGGGTTTATTTACTCTTGGTTCTCTAGTTCTTTTTACTTGAGATGTTAGGTTGTTAAGTCGAGATCCTTCTAGCTTTTTGATGTGAGCATTTAGTGCTGTAAGTTTCCCTCTTAACACTGTTTTAGCTGCATCTCAGAGATTCTGGTACAGTGTCTCTTTGTTCTCATTAGATTCAAAGATCTTTTTGATGTCTGCTTTAATTTCATTGTTTACCCAAAAGTCATTCAGGAGCAGGTTGTTCAATTTGCTTCTGGTTGTGTGGTTTTGAGTGAATTTCTTTCTTTCTTTTTGTTTTTTTTTGTTTTGTTTTTTTTTGAGATGGAGTCTTGCTCTGTCACCCAGGCTGAAGTGCAGTGGCATGATCTTCACTCACTGCAACCTCCGCCTCCCAGGTTCAAGTGAGTCTCCTGCCTCAGCCTCCCAAGTAGCTGGGACTACAGGCACGTGCCACCACGCCCGGCTAATTTTTTGTATTTTTAGTAGAGACATGGTTTCACCATGTTAGCCAGGATGGTCTTGATCTCCTGACCTCGTGATCCGCCCACCTCAGCCTCCCAAAATGCTGGGATTACAGGCATGAGCCACGACGCCCAGCCTTTTGAGTGAATTTCTTAATCTTGAATTCTAATTCGATTGTTCTGTGGTCTGAGAGACTGTTATTTCAGTTCTTTTGCATTTGCTGAGGAGTGTTTTACTTCTGATTATGTGATCAATTTTAGAGTAAGTGTCATGTGGTGGTGAGAAAAATGCATATGCAGTTGAATTTGGGTGGAGATTTCTGTAGATATCTATCAAGTCCACTTGTTTTAGAGCTGAGTTCAGGTCCTGAATATCTTTGTTAATTTTCTGTCTCCATGATCTAATGTTGTCAGTTGGTGTTAAAATCTCCCACTATTATTGTGTGGGAGTCTAAGTCTCTTTGTAGGTCTCTAAGCACTTGCTTTGTGAATCTCACTGCTCCTGTATTGGGTGCATATATATTTAAGATAGTTAACTCTTCTTTTTGAATTGAACCCTTTACCATTATGTAATGCCCTTCTTTGTCTTTTTAAATCTTTGTTGGCATAAAGTCTGTTTTGTAAGTCTGTTTTGTCAGAAACTAGGATTGCAACCCCTGCTTTTATTCTGTTTTCCATTTGCTTGGTAAATTTTCCTCCATCCTTTTATTTTGAGCCTATGTGTCTTTGCATGTGAGGTGGGTCCTTGAAGGTTTTGCGTCTTTATCCAGCTTGACATTCTATGTCTTTTAATTGGGGCATTTAGCCCATTTACATTTAAGGTTAGTATTGTTATGTGTGGATTTGATCCTGTCATCATGATGCTAGCTGGTTATTTTGCAGACTTGTTTATATGGTTGCTTCATAGTATTACTGGTCTGTGTACTTCACTGTGTTTTCGTAGTTGTTGGTAATGGTTTTTTATTTTCATATTTAGTGCTTCCGTCAGGAGCTCTTGCAAGGCAGGCCTGGTGGTAACAAATTTCTTCAGCATTTGCCTATCGGAAAAGGATCTTATTTCTCCTTCATCTATGAAGCTTAGCTTAGCCAGGTATGAAATTCTGGCCTGGAAATTCTTTTCTTTAAGAATGTTGAACATTGACCCCCAGTTGAGAGATTTGCTGTTAGTCTAATGGGTTTCCTTTTGTAGGTGACCTGGCCTTTCTCTCTGGCTGTCCTTAACATTTTTTCTTTCATTTTGACCTTGGAGAATCTGATGATTATGTGTCTTGGGGTTGATCTTCTTGAGGAGTATCTTCCTGAGGCTCTTTGCATTTCCTGAGTTTGAATGTTGGCCTGTCTTGCTAGATTGGGGAAGTTCTCCTGGATGATATCCTGAACTGTTTTCCAACTTGGTTCTGTTCTCTCCATCTCTTTCAGGTACCCCAATCAGTCATAGATTTGGTCTCTTTATGTGATCTCATATTTTCCAGAGGTTTTGTTCATTCCTTTTCATTTTCTTTCCCTCTATTCTTGTCTGACTGTCTTATTTCAGAAAGATAGTCTTCAAGGTCTGAGATTCTTTCCTCCACTTGGTCTGTTCTGCTATTGATACTTGTGATTGTATTGTGATCTTCTCATGTTGTATTTTTCAGCTCCATCAGGTCAGTTACCTTCCTCTCTAAACTGGCTGTTGTGGCTATCAGCTCCTGTATTGTTTGATCATGATTCTTAGCTTCTTTGCATTGGGTTACAACATGCTCCTTTAGCTCACCAAAGTTTGTTGTTATCCACCTTCTGAAGCCGACTTCTGTCAATTCAGCCATCTCCACCTCAGCCTGGTTCTGTGCCCTTGCTGGAGGGGTGTTGCAGTCATTTAGAGAAGAGGAACTCTGACTTTTTGAGTTTTCAGTGCTTTTGTATTGATTCTTTCTCATCTTTGGGGGCTATCTATCTTCAGTCTTTGAGGTTGCTGACCTCTGAATGAGGTTTTTGTGGGGTCTTTTTTGTTCATGTTGTTGTTGTTGTTTTCTGGTTTTCTTTTTTTTTTCTTTGAAATTTAAAGAAAAAATTTATTGAAGATCTGAAAAACAATTCCTAAAAGATTGACTTTTCCAGAAAACTAGCTACACAGTGCATTGCATCTATCATGTTAAAACGTGCATTAGACACAAATACAAAAACCATGAAACAAGCCACCATTCTTCAACAATTTGAGCCAAGATAAAATGCCTAAGTAACAACATGGATGCCTTGCAAAGGATGGGCTCTTTACTTTAAGCACCATAAAAAAAAAAAAAAAAGCACAAATGGATGAGTGTGTTCAGTTATATACACTGAATTGAACCTTTGGCACTAGGAATCAGAGCATTTTGTCATATAGCATTAACATGTATTATAAAAGTGCATAGTGTCAAAGGAATAGAACCACCAGCATTCAAAAGCAGCTTTGTCAACTAGGCAATAAAACACTCTACAGCATATCCCTCTGTTGTCCATCATTGAAAACACTGGCAGCAACTTTGAAATGAAAAAAAAAAAGAAAAGAAAAAAGGAGCTATTACCCCTTTTATTTTCTCTGTTTAAAATCAAACAGAAAACAAACATCAATTGTTATACACTAACATCTTCAAAGCACATTGTTTGTACAAGAGATAGACTAAGAACAAAAATGTGTTTACGGAGATCCAAACATAAGTGAGTGAGAGTGCCTCTCACACAGCTTTCCGATGGTACTCAGGAGGAGCCACTTCATAATCGCTGGCACTAAACAAAGTTGCAGAATTCTTTGCCAGGTACTTTAGGAAATCGTGAAGATAATTGAGTAATAAAGCAAGGCTCTTCTCATCCAGAGGTGTATAGGCCAACATTGCTCCAATTCGTACAAATAATCTCAGGAGATGTGGCGCTCCATACACCTGGGACATGGGTGCATCGGGATGATCTGCAAGAATTTCGGCATACTGTGGTCTCTCAAATTTATAGAGTAGCTGGGTACCCAACATTACGTTGAAGTATTCTTTTATCCCTGCCACAACTTCATTAACCGCATACTCCTTATTATCTGTGTTTCCACGAGATTTCTTGTAATTTGCATAATCCTCAAGAATGGAATCCACATTCTTCTTGGCAGGAAGATAAAAGAGCTGTTTTTGCCTGGTAATTAAGTCCCAGTCATCAACAAGCCACGGTTTTAGCTATTCAGGAATCTTTACTTTAACTTCAACTCTGTTCATGAATGTTTCCTCATTTTCAACAGTAGGATCTACCCGGGCCCTTTTCTTCCAAGGAGGCTGAGGGGTCTCACTGGTACTGCCACCATCTCCATTTCCAGGTGTTTTCTGTTTGTTCTTTTTCGTTTTCACTTCAACATTTTTCTGTTGCAGACCAGATGTCTTCTTTCCTGGGGCAGCCCCTCTCATCTTCCCCTCTGCATACTGCTCCTGATTGGCTTTTTGAAGTTCTCGCTGTTTCTGCAAATTGGTGTCCACGTATTTGAGTACTCTGCTCTCCGGAACCCACTCATCCCAATTTTTATTCCAACCACTGTAATGTATGAAGTATTTCACTTGTTTGTCCTTTATGGCAACCTTTACACACTTTGCTTCATAAAGAAGAGGCCCATGAAAGCACAGCACTCGCTCACCCTCCTGGAATTTAGGCTTCGGGTCCTGCTTCCGCGCCATTTATAAGTGATTTGCCGCCTCCTCCTTCTCCCACCACCCCCGACTACCGCCCCCTACTCTCTACCCCACCCAACTCCGCGTCAGACGCGCCGTCAGGCACTGCCAGCTCTACATCCTGGGTTCTGGTTTTCTTTTAACAGTCTGGCCACTCTACCATAGGGTTGCTGCAGTTTACTGGGGATCTGCTCCAGACCCCAGTTGCCTCAGTTTCTCCTGTACCTGGAGGTATCACCAGTGAAGGCCACAAAACAGCAAAGATGGCAGCCAGCCCCTTCCTCTGGAAGCTGCATTCTGGTGGAGTACTGACCTGTTGCTGGCCCACATGTACCTGTAGGAGGTGGCTGGAGACCCCTGTTGGGAGGTCCCACCCAGTGAGGAGGAATGGTATCAGGGTCCCACCCCAAGAAGCAGTCTGGTCACAATCTGACAAGGCAGCTGTTCTTCATTGTTGGGGAACCTTCCTCGTAAACTGTCTATTCTCCACAGCCAGCAGGCTGGAGTGCCTGAGTCTACCGAACCACAAAGATGGTAGCCACCCCTCCGCCCCTGGGAACTTGGACCCATCTCAGGGAGATTCCAATCTGCCACCATTGGCTGGCTGGGATTCCAAGCCAGTGGGTCTTAACTTGTGAGGTGCCGTGGAAGTGGGGCCCACAAAACAATGCTGCTTGGCTCCCTGGAATCAGCCCCCTTCTTAGGGATATATACAGACAGATTTCCTGCCTTGCCAGCGATCCCAGCTGTAGTATGTAAAACTCATGGTTCTCTGTGTGTGCCTGAGTGGCTGCTCTGCCGAGACTCTACACAGCTCTGTGTATCAGACCCAAGGCCCTGGTGGTGTGGGCTCATGAGGAGATCTCCTGATCCATGGAAAGATCTATGCAAAGATCCATGGGAGAAGTGTGGTTTCCCAGGTAGGGTAGCACAATTACTCACTGCTTCTCTTGGCGGGAGGTGACGGTTTCTTTGGCTCCGTGCCCCTTCCAGGTGGGCCGTCGCCCCCTCCACTCCCTCGTACTTTTCTTCGTTCTCTTTGGGTCAAGCTGTTTGTCCAGTCAGTCCCAGTGCAAGAACCTGGGTATCTCAGTTGAAGGTTCTGAATTCACTTGCCCCTTTTCATTTCTCTCCATAAGCTCCACAGACCACAGCTGCTTCTAATCGTCCATTTCAGGTCTGAGACTTCTTTCAGACTTTCTGTGCTCAGTCAACACACACATACACACAAGCTAATTGGGAATTTTATTTATTTGTAATTTTATATTGTGATCTCATTTTTATAAAATGCATATCTGCAACCTTTGTAGTTTAATTATATATTATATAATATCTATATCTTTCCAAGTCATTTATAGTTTTCAGGTATATATAGCTCTAGCTTGTTTTTTTTCTTCATTTTCTCTTTTTTTTTTTTTTTTTTCTTTTTTTGAGAGAGGGTCTCAGCCTATCACCTAGGCTGTGCCATCATGGCTCACTGCTGCCTCCACCATCTGGGCTCAATTGATCCTGCTGCTGCCTTAGCCTCCCCAAATAACTGGGACTACAGACATGTGCCACCATGTCCAGCTACTTTTTCTATTTCTTTGTAGAGATGGGGATCTCACTATGTTGCCTAGGCTGGTCTCGAATTTGTGGGCTCAAGCAATCCCACCACCTCGGCTTTCCGTGCTGGGATTACAGGCATGAGCCACCGCACCCAGTCTATAGCATGTTCTTAATGGTTACATAATATTACACTGAAGACTCCACTAGGCTCTATTTAATAATTGCCTGATCAGTGAACATTTTTAAGGTTATTTCTGATATTTTTGCTGTAAGAACAGTGCTCCACTAAGCATCCTTATACATGTGGGTCACAATTGCCAAATTACTCTAAAAATTGGTTTTCAGGTTCAGTCCTATCTATGATAATCAGTGCCTATCTACACATACACTTATTATCATAATATGATCAGTGTCTTTGACTTTTGTTCTTCTGATAAATGAAAAATGGTATATCATGGCTTTAATTCATACCTCTTAAAATTGAGAAAAGTTGAGCATTTTCAATGTGTATCAGTCAAGTAGAGCTTGCTTTGTAAATTAACTATTCACAATTTTTGCTGACTTTTTAATTGTATCTTTAAACTTTTTCTATTGTTTTACAAAAGTTTATCATATCCTGTGTTTATATTTTGCAAATATTTATATAATCATATCTCTTAACCTTTGCCTTTTTAGCTTCTGTTTCATATTCTCCTTTGAAAGATCTTTCCAATCTTAAGCTTGTAAAACATTCTACTAGATTTTAATCTAAATCTAAATATCTTAATCTAAATATCACATTTGTGTGCATGTGTGTAAGTGTGAAATCTAAGGTGGAAACCTATCCTTATTTTATTGCAAATGGATATGCAATTGTTTTAACACAATTTATTAACTAATTCATCAACTTCCTACTAATTCGAGATGCTGTTTTTACCATGTTAACTAGTCAGAAATACTTGCCTCCTTTTATGGCTTTTCTTCTGTTTCACTGACTTATTTGTCAATTTCTGTCCATTTTAATGCTTAGTAGAGACAGTTTCTGCCAAAGTACTTGTATTACTCCATTCTCACACTGCTGTAAGGAAATAACCTGAGACTGGTAATTTATTAAAAAAAGAGGTTTAATTGACTCACTCTTCAGCATGCCTGAGGAGGCCTCAGGAAACACAGTGGTGGAGGAAGGGGAAGCAAACACATTCTTCTTCACATAGTGGCAAGAAGGAGAATGAGTGAGAGCAAAGTTGGGGGAGAGCCCCTTATAAAACCATCAGTTCTTGTGAGAACTCACTATCATGAGAACAGCATGAGAACAGCACTATCACTATCATGAACCACCCCCATGATTCAATTACCTACCACCAGGTCCCTCCCACAACACATGGGGATTATCTGAAGTACAATTCAAGATGAGATTTCGGTGGGGACATGGCCAAACCATATCATTTTACCTGTCTCCTCCCAAATCTCATGTCCTCACATTTCAAAATACAATCATGTCCTTCCAACAGTCCCCCAGAGTCTTAACTTATTTTAGCATTAACTCAAATGTTCAAGTCCAAAGTATCATCTCAGACAAGGCAAGTCCCTTCCACCTATGAGCCTGTAGAATCAAAAGCAAGTTAGTTACTTCCTATATACAATGTGAGTACAGGCATGGGGTAAATACACCTTTTCCAAATGGGAGAAATTGACCAAAACAAAGGGGCTACAGGCCCCCTGTAAGTCCAAAACTCAATGGGGGCAGTCATTAAACCTTAAAGTTCCAAAATGATCTCTTTTGACTCCATGTCTCACGTCCATGTCACACTCATGCAAGAGGTGAGCTCCCAGAGCCTTGAGCAGCTCCCCCCCTGTGGCTTTGCAGGGTACAGCCTTCCTCCAGGCCTCCTTCATGGCTGATGTTGAGTGTCTGTGGCTTTTCCCGGTGCATGGTGCAAGCTGTCGGTGGATGTACTATTCTGGGTTCAGGAGAACAATGGCCCTCTTCTCACAGCTCCACAGTGCCCTAGTGGGGACTCTGTGTGGGGGCTTGTACCCCACATTTCCCTTCCACACTGCCCTAGCAAAGGTTCTCCATTAGGGTTCTGCCCCTGCAGCAAACTTCTGCTTGGACATCCAGGCATCTCCATACATCCTCAGAAATCTAGGCAGAGGTTCCTCAACCTCAGTTCTTGATTTCTATGCACCCACAGGCCCAACATCACATGTAAGCCACCAAGGCTTGGGGCTTGCACCCTCTGAAGCAATGGCCTAAGCTATATGTTGACCCCTTTTAGCCATGGCTGGGACACAGAGCATCAAGTCCCAAGACTGCACAAAGCTGCAAGGCCCTGGGCCCACAAAACCATTATTTCCTCCTAGGCCTCCGGGCCTGTGATGGGAGAGGCTGCCATGAAGATCTCTGACATGCACTGGTGACATTTTCCCCATTGTCTTGGTGATTAACATTTGGATCCTCATTACTTATGCAAATTTCTGCAGCCTGCTTGAATTTCTCCTCAGGAATGGGTTTTTCTTTTCTATTGTATTGTCGGGCTACAAATTTTTCAAACTTTTATGCTCTGCTTCCCTTTTAAACACAAGTTCCCATTCCAAACTATCTTTCTCAAGTTTAAAATTCCACCAACCTCTAGGGCAGGGGCAAAATGCTGCCAGTCTTTTTGCTAAAGTATAACAAGAGTGACCTTTTCTCCAGTTCCCAAGAAGTTTGTCATCTCCTTCCGAGAACACCTCAGCTTGGACTTCATTGTCCTTATCACTGTCACCATTTTGGTAAAAGCCATTCAACAAGTCTTTAGGGAGTTCCAAACTTTCCCACCTCTTCCTGTCTTCTGAGCCCCCAAGTCTCTAGAAAGTTCCAAACTTTCCGACATTTTCCTGTCTTCTTCTGAGCCCTCTAAACTGTTCTAACCTCTGCCTGTTAACCAGTTCCAAAGTTGCTTCCACATTTTCAGGTATCCTTATGGCAGCACCCCACTTCCAGTACCAATTTACTGTATTAGTTTGTTCTCATGCTGCCATCAGGACATACCTGAGACTGGATAATTTATAAAGGAAAGAAGTTTAACTGACTCAGTTGAGCCTGGCTGGGGAGGCCTCAGGAAATTACAGTCATGGCAGAAGGGGAAGCAAACATGTCCTTCTTCACATGGTGGCAGGAAGGAGAATGAGTGAGAGCAAAGTGGGGGAAAGCCCTTTACAAAACCATCAGATCTCGTGAGAACTCACTATGATGAGAACCTCCCCCATGATTCAATTACCTCCCACTGGGTCTCTCCCATGGCACATGGGGATTATGGGAACTACGATTCAAGATGAGATTTGGGTGGGGACACAAGCCATATCACTACTTTTCTTTCAAAAAAAGTCTTAGGGTTATTCTTATACATTTTTCTTCCCATTGAACTTTAGAATTATCCAAAAAAAAAAAACCAAACCAAATTTATACTGGGATTTTAATGAGAATTGTTTTAAGTTTATATATTAATTTGGGAACGATTGACATTTTCCCAAACTCTAGGTCTATTTCCCCAACCCCTACCCCTACCCCTAGCTTTATTGAAGTATAATCAACAAATAAAAATGGTACATATTTAAGGTGTGCAACATGATGATTTGATATACGTTATGAAATGATTGTTACAATCACCTTACATAGTTAATTTTTTTTTCTTTTGGTTGGGAGAACACTTAAGATCTACTCCCTTAGCTAATTTCAAGTACACAGTACAGTATTATCAGCCATATTTACCATGCTGTACATTAGGTCCTCATAACTTCATCTTGTAACTGAAAACTTTTACCCTTTGACTGACATCTTATTTCTACTCTCTGCTTCTAGTAGTTTGACTTTTTTAGATTCCACTTATAAGTGAGATCATACAGTATTTATCTAGATAGTTTTATTCATTTTTTTTGCATCTTTTAGCAAAGTTTTTTGCTTCTCATATAAATCTTACACTTCAATATATATCTGAGTGTCTAGTTACTTTATTAAATTTATGGTTGTGACCTGGATCTCATAATATTTTTATTTAAAATTTATTATTTTATTGGTTTTTGTTTACATTTACTTCTCTTTATCAAGTCTAATTTTTCAAAGTTTCTAATTAATTTCTATTTTCATCTTTATTCATTTTTTTCATTTGTCTAAGATCTGTAGAAAAGTAATACTAAAAAAATTTCCAAGTGGTTCTTTTTAAAATTTTTTCATTTAGTTATCTTTTTATTGCTGATTGCTGTTTTGCTCTATTGTTATTGGGGAGTATAGTCTGTATGTTTTCTGCTTCTTAAAATTTCAACAGTTTGGGGGTACAGGTGAATTTTTTGTTACACAGATGAGTTCTTTAGTGGTGAATTCTGAGATTTTTAGTGCACCCATCACCTGAGCAGTGTACACTGTACCCAATATGTAGTCTTTTATCCTTCATCTCCCTCCCAACCTCCCCTCATCGAGTCCTCAGAGTTCATTATATCACTCTGTATGTCTTTTTGTCCTTAGCTTCCACTTACAAGGGAGGACATACGGTTTTTGCTTTTCCATTCCTGAGTTACTTCACTTAGAAAACTGGCCTCCAGCTCCATCCAAGGTGCTGCAAAAGACATTATTTCATTCCTTAATATAGCTGAGTGATATTCTGTGGTGTATATATACCACATTTTCTTTATACACTTGTTGGTTGATGGGCACTTAGGTTGGTTCCATATCTTTGTAGTTGTGAATTGTGCTGCTATAAACGTGTGTGCATGTGTCTTTTTCATAAAATGACTTCTTTTCCTTTGGGAGATACCCAGTAGTGGGACTGCTGGATCACCTGGTAGATCTACTTTTAGTTCTTTGAGGACTCTTCATACAGTTTTCCATAGAGGTTGTACTAATTTACATTCCCACCAGCAGTGTAAGAGTGTCCCTTTTTCAACACATCCATGCCAACATCTATTGTTTTTTGACTTTTTAATCATGATCATTCTTGCAGTAGTGAGGTGGTATTTTTTTGTGGTTTTAATTTGCATTTCCCTCATTATTAGTGATGTTGAGCAATTTTTATGTATTTGTTGGCTGTTTGTATATCTTCTTTAGAGAAATATCTGTTCATGTGCTTTGCCCACTTTTTTTTTCTTCTTTTTATTTATTTATTTTTTATTATACATGTGCACATCGTGCAGGTTAGTTACATATGTATACATGTGCCATGCTGGTGCGCTGCACCCACTAACTCGTCATCTAGCATTAGGTATATCTCCCAATGCTATCCCTCCCCCCTCCCCCCACCCCACGACAGTCCTCAGAGTGTGATATTCCCCTTCCTGTGTCCATGTGATCTCATTGTTCAATTCCCACCTATGAGTGAGAATATGCGGTGTTTGGTTTTTTGTTCTTGCGATAGTTTACTGAGAATGATGATTTCCAATTTCATCCATGTCCCTACAAAGGACATGAACTCATCATTTTTTATGGCTGCATAGTATTCCATGGTGTATATGTGCCACATTTTCTTAATCCAGTCTATCATTGTTGGACATTTGGGTTGGTTCCAAGTCTTTGCTATTGTGAATAATGCCACAATAAACATACGTGTGCATGTGTCTTTATAGCAGCATGATTTATAGTCCTTTGGGTATATACCCAGTAATGGGATGGCTGGGTCAAATGGTATTTCTAGTTCTAGATCCCTGAGGAATCGCCACACTGACTTCCACAATGGTTGAACTAGTTTACAGTCCCACCAACAGTGTAAAAGTGTCCTATTTCTCCACATCCTCTCCAGCACCTGTTGTTTCCTGACTTTTTAATGATTGCCGTTCTAACTGCAATGGTATCTCATTGTGGTTTTGATTTGCATTTCTCTGACGGCCAGTGATGATGAGCATTTTTTCATGTGTTTTTTGGCTGCATAGATGTCTTCTTTTGAGAAGTGTCTGTTCATGTCCTTCGCCCACTTTTTGATGGGGTTGTTTGTTTTTTTCTTGTAAATTTGTTTGAGTTCACTGTAGATTCTGGATATTAGCCCTTTGTCAGATGGGTAGGTTGCGAAAATTTTCGGTGTGGATGTCCTTTCTGTTTGTTAGTTTTCCTTCTAAGAGACAGGACCCTCAGCTGCAGGTCTGTTGGAATACCCTGCCGTGTGAGGTGTCAGTCTGCCCCCGCTGGGGGGTGCCTCCCAGTTAGGCTGCTCGGGGGTCAGGGGCCAGGGACCCACTTGAAGAGGCAGTCTGCCTGTTCTCAGATCTCCAGCTGCTTGCTGGGAGAACCACTGCTCTCTTCAAAGCTGTCAGACAGGGACATTTAAGTCTGCAGAGGTTACTGCTGTCTTTTTGTTTGTCTGTGCCCTGCCCCCAGAGGTGGAGCCTACAGAGGCAGGCAGGCCTCCTTGAGCTGTGGTGGGCTCCACCCAGTTGGGGCTTCCCGGCTGCTTTGTTTACCTAAGCAAGCCTGGGCAATGGCGGGCGCCCCTCCCCCAGCCTCGCTGCCTCCTTGCAGTTTGATCTCAGACTGCTGTGCTAGCAATCAGCGAGATTCCATGGGCGTAGGACCCTCCGAGCCAGGTGTGGGATATAATCTCGTGGTGCGCCGTTTTTTAAGCCTGTCTGAAAAGCGCAATATTCGGGTGGGAGTGACCCGATTTTCCAGGTGCTTCCGTCACCACTTTCTTTGACTCGCAAAGGGACCTCCCTGACCCCTTGCGCTTCCCAAGTGAGGCAATGCCTCGCCCTGCTTCGGCTCGCGCATGGTGCGCGCACCCACTGGCCTGCGCCCACTGTCTGGCACTCCCTAGTGAGATGAACCCGGTACCTCAGATGGAAATGCAGAAATCACCCGTCTTCTGTGTCACTCATGCTGGGAGCTGTAGACCGGAGCTGTTCCTATTCGGCCATCTTGGCTCCTCCTCTTTGCCCACTTTTTAATGAGTTTTTTTTTTTCTTGCTGATTTGTTTGAGTTCCTTGTAGATTCTGGATGCTAGTCCTTTGACAGATGCATGGTTTTTGAATATTTTCTCCCACTCTGTGGGTTTTCTGTTTACTCTGATGATTATTTCTTTTGCTGTACAGAAGTTTTTTAATTTAAATAGATCCCATTTATTTATTTTTGTTTTTGCTGCACTTGCTTTTGGGGTCTTAGGAATACTTTGCCTAAGCCAATATCCAGAAGAGTTTTTCCAATGTTATCTTCCAGGATTTTTATGGTTTCAGGTTTTAGATTTAAGTCTTTCATCTATCTTGAGTTGATTTTTTATGAGAGATGGGGATCCATTGTCATTCTGCTTTGCCAAAGATCAGTTGGCAGTAAATATTTGGCTTTACTTCTGGGTTCTTTATTCTGTTCCAGTGGTCTAAGTGCCTATTTTTACATCAGTACCATGCTGTTTGGGTAACTATAGCCCTGTAGTATAATTTGAAGTCCTGTAATGCGATACCTCCAGATGTGTTCTTTTTGCTTAGTCTTGCTTTGGCTATGCGGGCTCTTTTTTTGTTCCATATGAATTTTAGGATTTTTTTTCTAGTTCTGTGAAAAAATGATGATGGTATTTTGATGGAAATTGCATTGAATGTGTAGATTGCTTTGGGCAGTATGATCATTTTCACAATATCGATTCTTCCCGTCCATGAGCATGGGATGTGTTTCCATTTGTTTGTGTCATCTGTGATTTCTTTCAGCAGCGTTTTGTAGTTTTCCTTGTAGAGATCTTCTGCCTTCTTGGTTAAGTATATTCCTAGGTGTTTTATTTTTTTGCGGCTGTTGTAAAAGTGATTGAGTTGCTGATTTGGTTCTCAGCTTGGTCATTGTTGGTGTATAGTAGTGCTACTGATTTGTGTACATTGATTTGGTAACTGTAGACTTTACTGAATTCACTTATCAGATCCAGGGGCCTTTTGGATGCATCTTTAGGATTTTTTGTACGATCATATCATCAGTGAACAGCAACACTTTTACTTCCTCTTTTCCAATTTGGATGGCCTTTATTTCTTTCTCTTGTCTGATTAGTCTTGTGAGGACTTCCAGTACTATGTTGAATAGAAGTGGTAAAAGTTGCCTTGTTCTAGTTCTCAGGGGAAATCCTTTCAACTTTTCCCATTCAATATGATGTTGGCTGTGGGTTTGTCATATATGGCTTTTATTACTTTAAGGTAGTCCCTTCTGTGCCTGTGTTTTCTGCTTTTGGGATGTTGTATCAAAGTTTGCTTTCTGGGTAGTAACCTAATTAATATTTGTAAATAGACTTTGGGCATAAGAAAAAACTATTTTCTGTAGGGGACAAAGGTATTTTCTGTATAGCTCTATAGCTTTGATCTCCATAGCAGCACCTCGTTGTATTGCTGTTTAACGTGTTATGCTAATAGAGACTGTGAGTGGACTCAAAACGACCAGTGACAGCATCATACCAGATTCAAAAGACTATCTCAAATAACTGAGATGGTACTGAAGATGATGTACTCTGGAAAACAGTTGACTGAAAAAGTAGATGGAAGATGGCATCTGAGCTAGCCTGCGTGGGTCCGAATCCCAGTTCTGCCACTTATCAGTTGTGTGACCTTGAGCGAGTTATGTAATCTCCATTTGCCTCAGAAATTTCATCTTAGAAATGGAAGTAACAGTAGTACATACCTCAGAGGGAAAGCTGTTGTGCTTAGAGCAATGCTTTGCGTGTAGTAAATACATGTGTTTATTATTATGTTTTTTTTTTTTTTTTTGAGATGGAGTCTCTCTCTGTCACCCAGGCTGGAGTGCAGTGGCACGATCTCGGCTTACTGCAAGCTCTGCCTCCCAGGTTCACACCATTCTCCTGCCTCAGCCTCCCAAGCAGCTGGGACTACAGGCGCCTGCCACCACACCCGGCTAATTTTTTGTATTTTTAGTAGAGATGGGATTTCACCATGTTAGCCAGGATGGTCTCGATCTCCTGACCTTGTGATCCGCCCCCCTCGGCCTCCCAAAGTGCTGGGATTACAGGCGTGAGCCGCCGTGCCCAGCCTGTTATATCTTTTTTTTAAAAAAATAAAGGCTGATGTTGAAGGTGCATGTGGAAGGGTTTTGTTTCCTGAAAAACGAAAATGAATAAAAGCAAGAGTTCTAAGTCAGTGTATTTTCTGTCATTGGGATTTTGAACATTTTTATCTCTAAATTAATGTTATATGATGTGTGACAATTAAATGTCACATGTAGGCATTTGATTATGTCATCTAAGTGCCTGCATTTGCAATGTATAGTATTCAGATTGCCCAAAAAACTTTGTATTTTTGGATCTTCTGTTTGGAAAAATAGATGATTACCTTATATTTGAAGTCACATTTTCTCTACTCATTTAAAAAATAATGGTTCGTAAAGTTGTTTAGCAAGGTTGGAAACAGTTTGTAAAGTCAAAAAATCAGTATACAGTTTCATGTTACAAGGAAGTGCTTATAACTGCAAAAAAGTTAAAAACAATACCTGATACTAGAAGGTTGATTAAGTTATGCTACATTGACACAGTGGTATAATACGGAGCTGTGAAAGAATAATGGCTTGTATCTGTATTAATTGCACGGAAACCTTCATTTCAATGTATGTGGCTAACTTTTTTCCCTAGTTTCCAGTTTTTTTTTTGGTAATATCAGCCTTGTGTTGCATTTGTCTGTTGATGTCTCTATATTGTGCACTAAATTATACACCACTTTAGGCCAGGGAATGAGTAATATATTTCTTATATCCCCAGCATTGGTACACAGATGATTTGTAGTAGGAACTTAATAACGAACAAATGTCTATTGTGTGTTGGATTGTGTCTGAGTTGGATGTTTGTCCTTGTTTTAGGAATGCTAACTATGAAATAAAACAATGATAAATATGCTATCTACAATTTTTTCTTTACTATGGAACCAAAATATTCCATGTTATCATGTGATATTGTTAAAATTATTATCAGACTTTCTCTGTGTGTACTTTGAAGAAAAACAGTAATAGCAAAATTAGGCTGGTTTAGGAAGGATTTAATTTAAATATAAGGAGATTTCTCAGGGACAGTACTCAAATAGTAGAGTAGGTTAAGGAAGGAAAATATAGAATTGGTTTCTCTAGAACATGCAGAAATTACCTTTAGTTAGCAATTTTTGCATACCTTTACCTACATTTCATAATGTTGCAGCCTTCTTCACCTTTTTAGACATGCTTAACTTTTTCTGTTGTTTTGGATATAAAAAATAAATAATATATAAATATGAAGTTGTTAAAAAAACAGAATTATAATAGACATGTACATTTTTAATGTTTGTAATATAACCCTTTGGTAAGTGACTAAGTGACTAATATGAAATTTATTTTCAAATTAGTATTTCTTGCTAATATGAAATTTCATGCTAATATGAAATTTATTTTCCTATTTTCCATTTCCCTAGAGATGGAAAAAATTAATAATTCCGATGTATAGGAATATAAGAGGCAGCTTCTCTATTCTTTAGACTTTTCTTTTGTCTTTTAGCTTTGTACTGCTGGGTGATGCTTTTCTTGCCTTGGCCAAGTAGAGCCAAGTAAAATTTGCTGAATCCCCTAAATTATTTACAAGTCATAGGTTGTAGAGGTTCTTACTTTTTATAGAAGCAAGTACATTATCTCTGTTTTTTTCTCATCTCAGAAGAACGGAAATGAATTTACTTCTGTACTAAGATCTTTTATTAGACCACAGAAACTAAATTAAATTTTCCTTTTCCTAACATTTAATGTTTTCAGTTTCTCATTTAGTATTTGAACTTGACATACTCATATTGGAAAAAGCAAATACTGTCAAATCAATTGCCCACTTCTAGAATTCAATTTCCTTTCTAGCTTCAGGTTCTTGTTAAATGAAAAAAAACATACACTCAGTTTATGAGGACAGACTGTTCAGAAGCAAATTAGGATAATGTATTTTGGGAATTAAATAGAGCTGTGGAAAGCAGAAGTTGAATTTCTTATTTAAGCTTCTGTTGTTAGAATAATTCATTGAATGGAAATACCCCTAAACAAGACATCTATAATTTTTTTGATGATTGATTAAAATATGTTTTCTGTATGGTTTGAAGGTTTCATTTATCAAATGAGAGACATAACAGGTTTTTCATACTAGTAAAATCTAATCTCTTCAAGGAAAAAATTCTCTTCAGAAGGGAATTGTGGTTACATTTTACATTTTGAAGTCATTGGTTTTATTTATTCAGTCAAAACATTTAACTTGGTGAGGGTAAGAACAGGAGTTTATGGTTATGTTACCGATTATTCTAGATATTAATAGTTCAAATAGTCCTGTTCAGTGATAGGTATAAAAAAAAAGTTAAAGATTGAAAAGTCAGGTTACTAATCAATGAGGATGCAGTTGCTTTTTTGTTACTATTATTTGTAACTTTATCTCGCTCCTCTTTATTTCTCTTCATATCATGTAAGTTGGTTGGAGATCAGCTTATTAATCTTATTTAGAGAAAGGGTATGATTCAAGATGTGGTATAAACCAGAGTGAAAGAAAATTTCAGCAACTGAGGTGGACAAACAAAATATTTTAAGATGACAAATTTCTTGAAAGACCCAAATGAAATCTTTAATGCAATCTTTGATTTTCTGTGAATTTTAAGGAAAAAAATGGATAAGAATGTAAACAGAATAAATTTTAAAGGAAGTTCACCCCTTAAGAAGGGATTGAGGAAAAAAAAGATTAAAGATTTAAAACAAAGTAGAAATATCTTATATTCCCAGAAATGCTATTTTATCAAATTGTACAACAAATGAGCTGAGAAAGCTCAGTTACAAACATGAATCTGAAATATTTTCCTTATTGCTGGAACGCTGTCCTGATGTAATACAGTTGTAACATGGCCACTTTAGGAACAACATCTCCTAAACGTCTCCTATGGATGTGAATCGTAGCATGAAAGTAACAAGACCTGAGAAGCATTCTCATCATCTATTTTTAGATTTCTCCAGTAAGCAATATTTGCTATTCTTGAACTGTTTTTAGTGTAACCTGTTTTAGTCACTGTTGGCAAAAAGAATATTTGCATAATAGACTACAGACACAAGAATGATGTGGTGTTCTTTTTTTTTTTTTTTTTTAATCTTCAAAATGGCATGGTGTTTATTTGGGAACTCAATGGCTTTTATAATTATTTCTTCTATCCCTACCATGAAATCAGGTTGTTGAAAGTCCCATGTAATTGAGCAAATTGGTTTTCCATTATTGATGTAGGATGTTTTGTTAGTAATGATACAAATTTTGTTCTGAAATGTTGAAAAATACATTGTGTGTGCACGTGTGTGTGTGAAATATAAAAATCCTTTAATGCATATCAAGCCATCTACTCTGAACTAGGTTTTTAGAAGATCTTCAGGTTTAATCAAATTCTGCCTCTTAGACTTGAATTCAAACAAAATACTATACTATTCCTATTATTTCATAATCAAAACTAAAGCTAAGAAATTGTGCTTTTTAATTATTTTTTCTCACTAATTAAAATGGGATGGAATAGAAAAAAATTATTAATATTGTAATGTTACATACAAAAGTTATTTGAAGGCCGGGTGCAGTGGCTCATGTCTGTAATCCCAGCACTTTGGGAGGCAGAGATGGGCAGTTCGCTTGAGCTTACAAGTTCAAGACCAACCTGGTCAACATGGTGAAACCCCGACTCTGCAAAAAATACAAAAATTTGCCGGACATGGTGGCATATGCCTGTAGTCCCAGCTACTTGGGAGGCTGAGGTAAGAGAACTGCTTGCGCCTGGGAGATAGAGCCTGCAGTGGGCCAGGATCACATCATTGCAGTCCACCCTGGGCAATAGAGCTAGACCTTGTCCCTCCCCTGAGCCCCACAAAAAAAAAGTTGTTTGAAAAAGATGGTTTGGATCCTGAATATAAGTCTGTATATATAAAGTTTATAAAACATAATCTTTTGTATTTGTTGTATTTCTTTTGAAATGCAAAAGGTTTAGAAACAACCACTGATTTGTTCATTATATTATAAAATATTAATTTAAATACAGCTGCTTTTATGGGGGTATATGCGGAAGGATTTGAGTAAGAATGTCATTTTCAATTACTATTCGTTTAGCAAATATTTATTAAGTACTTATGATACTTTTATGTATGTGTATGTGTGTGCACATACACAGGATACACGTTCTCTGCCCTGTAAGAGCCTAATAGTTGTGTAGACAGGGTGTACATTTATGTTAGATAAGTACATGTTAACTAACAATGCAGCAAATGACCCAAAACAGTATATAATTAAGTTCTGAATAAGAAACACAGTCAAATGCTGTAGTTTCACAAGAGGGAAAGATCATTGGTGGATGCAAGAAAACTTCATAAAGGATTAACCTTAGTTTGGAGAAGTTGGATTTGGAGAGGTAGAGTCACTTAGGAGGCATTTAGTTAATGGGTGTAGGATAGGCAAAGGCAGAGAGTAAGAGAGAATGTTGTATTTGGAGAGTGGTAATTATAACAGCTATTAAGGGTGTCTATGTGCCAGGCACTGTAAAAGTGCTTTGCATATTTTAACTATAACAACTCTGTGAGATAGGTGCAGTTTTTAACTCCATTTTTGCTGAAGAGGAAGCCGAGGCAGTAAGAAATTAAATAAATTGCCCAAGATCATATAACTCTTTAGAAGGTAAAACTGGGCAACCAATCCAGTGCAACCTGACAACTCAGTTAAACCTGAGATTGAGTTGATGTTCTAGACTTGAGCTGTCTTATACTGTAGCCACTAGCCACATGTAGTTTTGAGCACTTGGAATGTGACTAGGAAAAACTGAGATGTGCTCTACATGTAAAACACACATCACCAGCCTGGGCAAAATGGCAAGGCTTCATCTCTACAAAAAAAGAGAAAAAAAATTAGCCAGGCTTGGTGATGCACACCTGTAGTCCCAGCTACTTGGGAGGCCAAGGTGGGAGGATCACTTGAGCCTAGGAGATCGAGGCTGCAGTGAGCTATAATTGCACCACTGCACTCCAATCTGGGTGACAGAGAGACCCCTTCTCAAAACTAAACTAAACTAAAAAAACACTCATCAGATTTTGAAGAGTATATATGAAAAATGAATGTAAAATATCTCACCAATAATTTTGCATTGATTATGCATTGAAACAATATTCTGGTTGTATTCTGATCAACTATATTATTAAGGTTAATTTCACCTGTTGTTTTTTTTTTTTTTACTTTTTAATATGGCTATTAGTTAATTTAAAATTACATAGGTAGCTCATGATATATTTCTATTAGACAGTGCTCTTCAAGATTGCATACCAGTGAATGAACAGTCCAACTGGAGTGAAAGAATAGAAGAGTGATGACAGGCAAAGGAAAACAATATTTAGGATTAAATTAGACCAGCACTTAGGTTTATCCTTTAGGTGATCCATGCATGCACCATCTGCCTCAAATTTTTAGGGTGGGAAAAGTTGTTAAATAGAGATTCCTGTATCCATTGCAGACCTCCTGAAACAGAATCTCTGAGAGTAGAGCCATCTCTAAAACTTCAGTCATCCCTAACTCATTATTTTAATTTCTTCATTGTAAAGGTTTTAAGGCCTACCCATCAAGGGGGGATCTGCAGGAGAAACTATAACGCTGGTTTTATGAAGACAATTAATGTGAATGCTGTTTTCTTAATTTTCTGACCAATTTTGTTAGATTGGACTACAGTAAAACGAAAGACATAGGCAGTTGATAACAGTGTCATTTACAGAATTGCTTTTTGGAGATTGGGTGGTTGCTACTTATTTAATAAATAGGGAAAGTAACTGTTTAAATTGCCGTATAATTTGTAGTCTAGTCTTTCACGGAAATGAGAGCCACATAGCTCTGGCTATGGGATTTGGTGATTGGTGGAATGTTTGGAATCTTTACACTGGATCTAGACTGTCCTAAAGAAGTTGGCTGTCCTGGTGTCCTTAATTCCATGATACCTTTTGTTAAATTGATTTGCCTTTTTAAGTTATACCAGAGCTTAGGGCTTTCAAATTACCCTGTCTTATAAAAGATATTGATCTATTTATTCTTCTAAGAAACAATCATGGTGAGCCATTTTTAGCTTTTTTGGAAGTAATTGATAATAAATTAGGCAAATCAGTCTTATTTCTTCATGATGACGTAGAGTTTGTGAACCTCAAGGCCTTATAGTAATATTCCATATTAACCTAAAACAGTACATAGTTCTCAAAGTTATGTTGAACATTGCTTTGGCTACCTACATTCTTGACCAATGATCAATTAAAAAATACTAATGATATTGATTAAAGAATACCATCCTTCTTGGAAAGGTTACCAGAAGGAAGTACCGTGCCTGAACAGAATTCTTTACATGAATGGCAATTTTATTAGACATTCATCAGCTATTTTCTCAATATATACCTTTTTTTTTTTTTCTAAAGAATGTGCTTGACCTGCTTGCCTAACCTGAAGGCGTAAGAAATAACTTTGGTAAAGTGCTGGGTTTCTAACACTTTTTAATAGCTGAAAATTGCTGTCCACTACCTCCTTGCAAATATTCTCAAATGATTTTCAATAGGACATAGGAGGCCACAAAAATTAAATCACTGGCACTGAGTAGAAATAGCCACAAGGGGCGGAGCGCAGTGTCTCATGCCTATAATCCCAGCACTTTGGGAGGCCGAGGTGGGCGGATCACGAGTTCAGGAGTTTGAGACCATCCTGGCCAACATGGTGAAACCCCCGTCTCTACTACAAATACAAAAATTAGCTGGGTGTGGTGGCACATGTCTGTAATCCCAGCTATTCGGGAAGCTGAGGCAGGAGACTCGCTTGAACCAGGGAGTTGGAGGTTGCAGTGAACCGAGATGGCACCACTGCACTCCAGCCTGGTGACAGAACAAGACTCCATGTCAAAATAAATAAATAAAAAATAAAAATAAATAGCCACAAGGGTATTGCCCCACTGGCAAAACATTTCCCATTTTTAAGGTGACTATAATTTGGAATGCATTCTCTCATAGTATTATAAATAGGCTTAGTCTTCTAGAGCAACCTACAAAAAATATCTTAAACTTAGCTGAATAATAGTGCTGTTTCACCTTCCTTTATCTTGACTTGGTTGGGAAAAATGTATTCCTATGATAATAGAAGATGCCCAATTAAATTCTCTTTCCTTTTTGTTGAAAGAAGCTTTCCAGTCAGGGGCATTGAGAATGGGTAAACCTTCATAAACCTAAATATCTTGTATAAAGTATTTCTCAAGGTCTTTCTTTTCTTGGAGGTTCTGAATTGTGGCATAGAGAGATACTGGGTCTCTGCAGGGGTAGGAAATCCAAATTACTGCTGTCTTCTATTTGCTTATATGAGTCATTTGTGAATTGAGTCAGGTACTTTTTATACCAATATGGAGGAGAAATAACACACTTTTTATAGTTTATTTTATACACATTCAACAGAGGTTATGTACACAAACTAAGCTCTTTGAAGGCTTATTTGCTTTTATATTTCCAGCACTTAGCACAGTTCCCAGAACATAAAAGATGTGTTTGTTGAATGCATGAATGATTACAGCCTTCCTGAAGAGTCTAAATTCTGCATGGTCTTTTCGAGATTGTGGTAATTTGATATATACATTATTTTTATAGCAATTTAAAAATTGAATCATGAACTTTATAGTAATAAGCTCTTTTAGATTCTTTGCTTTCTAATGTAAGAGATAATACATATTCTGAAACTTTAAATGGGATAGCCTTGTTGCCTGCCTTAAACTCACAATAAGACAATTGTTTCTGGTGCAATGGAAAAATTAGCAAAATAAAGAGATTGCTTAATTGAATTAAATCGCCAAAAAACAAGCTAATTTTCCAAGTTAAAAATATCTCTAAATTGCAATATCAAGGGAATGTTTCTATTTTTAAATAAGAACCTTCTTACTTTTGGCCTTAACTGTAAACTCCACTTTTCCCTAATCTTACCCTTCATGAGGCATAGTAGGAGTACATGTAGTCTAATACTTAGGAGCATGGGTTTTGGAACTCAGACCTGAACTCACACTGTACTCTGCCACTTACTCCTGTGTGATTTTGGTCGAACTACTTAAACTCTCCAAGAAATCTGTTTTCTCATTGTAAAATAGGGACAATAAAGGATCCTGTGATGTTTAAATGAACTAATAATGTCTATAAAGCATTTAGGCATACAGAAATGTTTAATACATGTTAGTCGTCATATACATTGCATCTTTCTGCCTCTTTCATTCATGTTGACTTTTTCCCCTAGCCTTTCTAGCTACTTTTTAAGGACTGAGTTTAAGTTAACTATTCATTGTATTTTTTTCCCCATCTCTTACTTTCTCATCCAAGTTCCCATTAGTAGTCCATTACTGCACTCACCATATATTATGGTTCCATGTTTGTCTGCCTTCTACAGTAGATCATGAATTCTTCAAGGGCAAGGAGTATGTTTGTACTTTTCTCAGCTCCTACTACAGGATTTGCCACATGGTGTTTAATAGAGTATTTGTTAAATTGCTAATTGACTTGTATATGGAACTCTTCTATAAATTGTGCAATGTTAATCAAATGATAGTGCTATTTTAGGACTTAATATATACCTATTAGGAAGTAATTATTTGGCATTTAAGTACAGAAGATTAGACTGTTACTACAAAGCTAATTGAACAATGACTCCAAGTACTAGACTATAACAAATTCTTTAATCATCTGTATGTAATTGATTTCAGCAACCTTTAAAACCTCGTATATAAGTGAATCTATTTGCTTCCTGCTGTAAGCCATCAGGATCAGTCCCATCTTTTAAATTGTTTTCCCCCCAGAATTTTAAAGCTGATTGCTTAAATATAATATTTTATTTAGCTAAACCTTGACCAGCATTGAGAACTTGGTATGTGTCAGGCACTGAGGACTTTAGTATGCTATCTGGTGTAAGTCCTTACAACAACCCTACCAGATAGAGGTAGTCATGTTTTCCATGCCTTTATGATTAAAAACTAAAGTTTAGATGGGTAATTTGCACTAGGTCACAGAGACAGTAAGTGCTAGATCAGGATTTGAACAAGCATTCAATACTTTATATGTATTACCTCAAGGCCGGGCGTGGTGATCCACGCCTGTAATCCCAACACTTTGGGAGGCCAAGGTGGGTGGATCACTTGAGGTCAGGAGTTCAAGACCAGCCTGGCCAATATGGTGAAACCCTGTCTCTAATAAAAATACAAAAATCAGCCGGGCGTGGTGGCAGGTGCCTGTAGTCCCAGCTACTCCAGAGACTGAGGCAGGAGAATGGCTTGAACGCGGGAGGCAGAGGTTGCAGTGAGCCAAGATTGCGCTATTGTACTCTAGCCTGGACAGCAGAGTGAGACTCCATCTCAAAAAAAAAACACATACACTTTATATGTATTGCCTCAAATTAAATTTTTAAAGATGATAAAGTTCAAATAAAACTTAGGCAGCGTGATTCTGGGGCCTAAAGTTTTATTTGTACTTTATTAATGCATACAAAGTATCTCATGCTTGTCTCAGAGTAGTTGTTCAAAAATGATAGCTTTTTCTCTTCTGATAAATTAAAAGATGACTATGTAAAAACCAGTCACCTGGACCTTGTAAGGGAACATACTGTCCAAACCTATCTGGGCTTTTACATTCCTTGTTGCATTGTTGTTGACCGTCTTATTTTCCTCTGAGAGGACGATCCAACATATAAGAAATCACAGAATATCAGAAAAGGGTGCAGAATAGTAGGTTTGTCTTGTTTCAAAATTCAGTTTTATTTTCCATTGATGATTAGTCTTATCAAAAAGCAAGTTACTTTTTTAAGACATCTGTGAAATTTTAGGTGTTTTTTTTATCACCGTGTATATTTGTCCAGTATCTTGAGTAATAAACATTTGTCATTTTTAGATTTTTAAAACGTCACCTTTGCAGCTTGATTTGAATGTGAATTAACTTGATGTCCAATATCTTAAGATCCAGATAACTCACACACAATTTCACTAATAACTTGCACACAATTTTGCTAATATATAAATTTAGAAATTCAGTAGGTCAAATATTTTCTGATTGTTATTACATATAGCAAAATCCTGGTATAACACAGTTTACCCTTATTTTCTTTCTTAATATCAGCATTATACAGGGGTTGGTTCTATGATGTTTAGAAAAAATGCTTTAAAGATATTTAAAGCCCTATATTTCATGCAAGCATTGTTCATCTTTTTAAAAACAGGTAAATCAACAGACTGGGAAGATGATGGTTGGGGAGCATGGGAAGAAAATGAACCACAAGAACCTGTAAGTCTTTACAAATATATGCATGTTTTTTGATAGTGGCATTTTCCTTTTGTAATGATGGTGACATATTTCCCTGTCAAGCTGACATTTTAAATTCGATGTCAAGAATATTTTTGTGCTTACTTATTAGTACTTAACTAGATACCTCTTCTTAAGGAACTTAATGACATTGTAGCTAAAGCGGGTGTCTTCGTTCACTTGGTGTTGCTATAACAGAATACCTGAGACTGGGTAGTTCATAATGAACAGAAATTGATTGGCTCACAGTTCTGGATGTTGGGAAGTCCAGGATCAGGGGCCAGCATCTGGCAAGAGCCTTCTTGCTGCATCATAATACGGTGAAGGTGATAGGACCAGAGGCTGGTGGAGAGGGTGGGAGGGAAGAAAACATGGGCCAATACTCCTCTTTTTATAACAAATTCACTCCCACAATAAGGAACCTACTCCCTCATTAACGTCCTTAATCTATTCACTCTGCTCTCATGACCTAATTACCTCTCATTAGGCCCCATTTCCCAACACTGTTGCATTGGGGATTAAACTTTCAACACATGTTTTTTGGGGGCACATTCAAACCATAGCAGTGGGCTAAATGGAGAATAATTGTTTTAGGATTCTTTATCTTTCATAAATTATTCTTTTATATTCTTTCACTATTCACTCAAATATTTGCTGTACCTACCATATTCTACGCATTTTTCTAGATGCTGGGAGTATAGCAAGGAACAAGGCAGACAAAGTTCCTATATATGTTAGTATATTTTCACATATGAGTAATAAAAAAATCTAACTTTAATTGGCTTAAATATGAAGAAAATTTATTCGCTTACATAGAAGGAAGTCCAAAGATAGAATGGAATCCTGGGTTGGTTGATCAGGCAATTCAAATATGTCAAGTTATTTCATTCTGTCTACTTTGTATATGCAGTGTTGGCTTCATCCTAATGCCTGTTTCATTCACAGATGTAGTGTGGACAACATGTTTCTTCATTAATGGGTAGAGGGAGAAAAAGACTTGGGCTTTTCATGACTCTTTCAGGAGTTAGGGAGCTACTTTCTTAGACGTCTCTAGCAAACTTTTCCTTATGTCTTCTTGGCCAGGATTGGGCCACATGCTCATTTCTGAACTAATCACTGGCAAGGGATATGAGATATTCATTGTTGAATCATATTATTCCCTGGAGTTAGAGGATAAGAGGGTCAGCTTCTCCTGAGGCCCATGGCCACACGGAAGGAGTTGATACCTGAACAAAATCAGGATTTTTTTTTTAAGAAAGAAGAATGAATATTAGATAGGTCTTCTTACAGTCCTATTTCTGGGAGCTTACACTCTATGAGAGGGAGACATAAAAAAGAAAGATGGATGAAAAATAATTCAAATGGTAATGTGATAGCAAGTGACTGCTATAGATTGGGTGGTTAAGGAAGTTTTTTCAGAGGCTGTGACAGTTAAACTGAGATCTAAAAGGCAACAGGGAGTCAACAACATGAGAATCTGACAGGATTCTAGGCCAGGGCAGCAGCTCATGCAAAGTCTCAAGGCAGGAATGGGCTTGAGAGTTTGAAGGGACATAAAGAAGGCCAGTGTGATGTAGCAGGACTGAGACTGTTCCAAGATGGGGCAGAGAAGAAAGCAGGCCAGATGTCAAGCTTTGTGAATTTGGTGTTTATTCTAAATGCAATGGAAAACCACACTTACCTGATTTCTGACTTTGACAGCTCACCTTGGCTGCTCTATGGAATAGGTTGAAGTAGGGAGCAAAAGTAGAAGCAGGAAGACCAATTACAAGGCTGTTGCAGTAGCTTAGTTGAGAGATGATTGTGGCTTTGATTAAGGTGGTATTAGTGAAGATGAGAAATGGATGAATTCTGGATAATTTTCAGAGGTAATGATAAGACTTTCCAGTGAGCTGGTTATGAAGGATGAGAGGAAGGTGATAAATCAATAATAAATTCTTTGATCTGGGGTGTGGTGTGAAATAGATAAAACACGATTGTTGAAAGGTTGATATTCTCAAAAGGTGAGTAATAGATGCCATTCTCTTTACTTTTGTTAATATTTTTAAATATCCATAATAAGAAGTTTTTAAAAAACCCTGCCAGATATTTGGCTTGAATAACTGGAGGGATGTTGTGTCATACCCAGTTGGGGAGGATGAGGAAAAGAACAGCTTTGGCAGAGAAATCAGAGAGCATCATGTGCTAAGAAGTAGAGATATGCTCATGTAATAGAGATGTATGGAAAAACTCCATGAGGAGATTAAGAACAGGAAACCATTTCAGAAGACCTCTAGGAGAATTAGGATGTGTTGAATAGGATAAAATGCAGCTCAGGGAATTTGGTTACTGCAGCACCTCCGCGAACAACACCTGGTCCTCTTTCTAATGCTATGTCAAAATGGAGCCTCAGCTATTCTGCTTTTCCTAAGACTGACTGGTTGCTGCTTACTCCGGATTTAAACTATTGCATGGCTTTTGCTATGTCTCTTGTTTGTGGTTGTCTTAGATTATTTCTCCTTCTTTGTTTCACATTCAGAGCTCATGTGAAGATTTTACTGAGTCTGTGGATTACAACCTAATATAGGATATTTGGGGAGGGGGACATACTGTTTACACCAGGCCACTTCATGGGACATCAGCAGCTATATTATTGCTGCCTCCTGGTCAGGCATTCATCAGCAGTTTAATTCGCTATGGCAAGAATGAGGAGGGGAGGGAAGGAAAGGAGGGGGTTTGTGTAAACAAGCTTGGAGATTCTTCATGATTCTAGGAAAGTAACCTTTCAGAAAGGGATGTGCTTGGAGAATTTCCCAGAAAGAGATAGTGTAAATGGCACTTACCTTACATGTGCTATTTGGTAGACTTTTAGTATTTGCTTTCTGAAATCATGTAGCTAAGTTACCACTATGAATAACGTAAGAGACTTCCAAGTAAGTTTGAGGTTTTCTGGAATAAACCTCACAGGCATTGCATACTAAAGTGGACACATGCATTTATAATTTCAGAAGAGGTTCCAGTGTGACAGTTATTATTACATATATAGAATAGTGCTGGTGCTGAGCTATAGTATAATATTTCAGACCCAGATGGCCACATCTTAATGAGCCCACTGATACATACTTGGCTTTTTCTGTAATGGATTTTTGTTAATATTTGTGAATGACATAGTTAGGCATTTGTGTGTGAGGCAAGTTGTCCTTAAAGATATCTACTAATTCTTCCCTGATAGTATTAATTGGGTTAGTTTAGTCATAATGTGCCACAGACTTGCTTTTTGGCTCATCTAAAATGTGCCTTCCTAAGGGTGTGCCGCTTTATGGCATTATAACCTAATGAGTAGAAAAGAAGGAAAATGTGCTATGCAATGGGGTCAGAGAAGCAAGTAGGCCTGATATAAGGCTTTATAAATTTGGAATTTATTCTAAACATGATCAGAAACCACATTATCTGATTTCTGGTTTTTCAAGCTCACCTTGGCTGCTCTGTGGAATAGATGCAGTTAGTTTTCCTTGTATTTTTTTCTTAATTAGCTATATTATTCTTTTATTTTCTTCTTAATTAGCTGTATTTCTCATACTCATGAGGGTCGTGTGCCTCTTTATTTTGCAGTATTTCATTTTGATGTGCCACTATTGCAGCTGATTCTGAGTGACGTGGACAATGATAGCATAGTTAGAATGCATAAGTGTTAACACATTTCCTTTATATCTGACCTGTAAAGCATGTCTTCTTTTTTCAGCAAGGATATACTAAATCTAGGGATAACCTAAATCGAGGGATCTCCAGGGATAAATGTAAGGATCTTTTAAACAATGTAGTTAAAAGCTGAAAGATGCTTCTACTCATTCTAAAAACACATAAAAATACTGACATGTAGAACATTTCTTCATTTGGATAAAATCGGAATATTTACAAATGGCCCTAATGGATGAGAGTAGCTTGGTGTTCTTTGTCTTGATAGATTTGCTCATACTGTGACTTGACAAACACAGCAAGTGAAAATTGTTGATAGACCTCATTCACAACCATTTTGGGTGTACCAATTATTTCTAGCTGTTCTTATTATCCATTTTTGAACCCCTGTACCTTGTCATGGGTCATGTGTACATGGTGAGGGAGAATGCATTTGGGTGACAGTAAAGGTAGGCAGGTACAATGAAGTTCAGAGGTTATCTAGTTGTTCAAGTTATCCTGGTTGTTCAAGAGAGCCTCTTTGAATTTGGATCCTTTCCTTAAAAGACATCTTTGCTAAAGGAGACTGGTGGGTGGGAACAAAAACGGCACTATGGTCAGGGTAAGGACTGTGACCTCTCCCTTGAACAGCAGCATCAACCAGAACTTTCCATATATAGCACTATTATGAAGTTTTGCTGAGCAAAATGTTTTATACCAGGACTATTAGAAATCTACTCAGCTGAAGTAAGAGACTCTTATTTCTACTACCATCTATGATTATGAACAACTCCAGAACTATAACCAGCTCCAGAGGCAAGAATTAGAATAAATTTTGGCAGATGTGTGAAATGTAAAAGTATATGCTCTAGTTGCCTAGTTAGAATGTAAAGGAGTGGAAAGAGAACCTTTTACTCTCTCTTATTAGGAACAGATACCAAGCTCAAAACCTACCTCCTCTGAGAGTCTGAGTCTTATCCACATTAAAGAAGGAACCAGGTTTGGAAGAAGTGGAATGTCTTGAAGTCAACTTACAGTGTGTCAAGGCGTTATAATTATAAAAACAATTATAGAGGCCAGGCGCGGTGGCTCACGCCTGTAATCCCAGCACTTTGGAAGGCTGAGGCGGTCAGATCACTTGAGGTCAGGAGTACGAGACCAGTCTGGCCAACGTGGCAAAACCCTGTCTCTAACTAAAAATACAAAAATTGGCCAGGTGTGTTGGCACATGCCTGTAATCCCAGCTACTTTGGAGACTAAGGGAGGAGAACTGCTTGAACCCGGGAGGCGGATGTTGCAGTGAGCCGAGATTACACCACTGCACTCCAGCCTGAGCAACAGAGTAAGACTCTGTCTCCAAACAAACAGACAAACAAACAAAAAACAATTATAGGATTCTCCACCAGTTGCCATTGGTTTGAGGTTATTATAACCAGAAGAGGGTAAACTTTTCTTCTGCATTAGTCGGGTGTTACGGAGATGGTGTGTTTTGCTCTTCAGGAGTGCTGCAGTAGTGTGTAGATAAGCCACAGGAGGGGAAGCAAAGAGGAAAGGAGCAGCAGCCACTGCCACAGAATGCTGACATGGAGGCCAACTGGCTGCTACTGAGTTCGGCAAAAACACTAAAAACTCCACAGTGCTTTTTATCTCCACGAGTGTGTTAGCTCTTTGAGAGTAGTTTCTTATTTTTATGGCAGAAAATGACTTTTATGTTCAGAGTGACAGTACTGGGATCTGGACAAGGCTTTTTTAGGAAAGGAGAAAGCCTCTTTTTTTCTGACTCTAGGTTGATTCTGATTCTGATTTATAGGTGTTAGCTATAATAATGGCTTAGTGAAGAAAGCATATTTTAATATACACTATCGGCCGTAGCCAACTATGTCCAAGGAAGTGTACATCTATGACACTGGTAGGCTTAGGAGCTTTAAATAGTTTCTGTGACAGAAGACCAACATCTTTCTGCTATAGCTATTTCATGTCTGTATTCATCTGCTCAGGCTGCCATAACAGTGTACCACACGCTAGGTGACTTAAACAACAAAAACTTATTTTTTCGCAGTTCTGGAGACTAGAAGTCTAAGATCAAGGTGCCATCGGGGCTGATTTCTGGTGAGGCCTTTCTTCCTGGCTTGCAGACAACTGCTTTCTTGCTGTGTCCTCATTTGGCCTTTCTTCTATGTACACATGCTGGGAGGGAAAGAGTGAGTTCTGGTGTCTCTTCCTCTTATGAGGACACCAGTCCTATCCAACTCTTATGAGCTCATTTGCATTTAACCTAAATTACCTCCTTAAAGGCCCTATGTCCAACCAAGTACAGTCACTTTAGGGTTAAGGCATCAACATATGAATTGGGGTGGGGGCAAGGGGACACAAGTCAGTACATTGGCAAGTGTACTGAATTGGGCAAGTGACAAAAGTAAGGTTAAGGAATTTCAACTTGCCTATAAGTAAATACAATAAGAGACTGAAAAGGCAAGCAGAACAAACTTTTAAAATGGATTGGGATAGAAGAAAGATGGATTGGGATAGAAGAAAAGGTAAAACAAAGATCTTCCTCTATACTAACTTGATTTTAAGTGACATGATGACAAGATAGTGGCTGGCTTGGGGACATTGGAAAAGAAGGTAGATGCCATCTGCTGACTGATGATCCTATAACAAATAGTAAATAGCTTTGCTGGTTTTTTTTTTTTTAAGAGTATTATAAAGGCTTTTAGTTGGTATTACAATTTTTTTGCTATGAGAAAGAAGTAATTAGAGGAGAATATTTTGTTCAGCCTTATGCTGTAAAGGGAATTGAGGCAGTTTGGGAAGAAGCTTGAAAGGCTTAATTTAATTTCATGGCAAGACTGATTTAATGGACTTTCCTTCATTGGTGTATTAAGGCCAATGGTAGGAAGTATAGACTTGGGGATTTGCTCAATAGTAAACAGCTAGTGGTTAATAGGTGGTAAATGGGTAGTGGTTACTGGATCAGGAATCACAGGAAGGTTCTGGGTCAAGGTCTTCAGTTAAGGTAGGCAGCATGGAAAATTTCCATTCAAAAGAGCCTTTGAAATGTGCTCCATCTGTTTTACAGAAACTGTTATAACAGTTTAGAGAGGCAATTATGATTTAGCAGATTAACAGGGTGCTGGTCAGATGGAGGCCCCAGAGAATTGTTTGTTTACAGGCTGAGAAGTGGAATATAGCACGACCTGATTGGAGATTCCTAGAACATTAATAATCTGGGATGATACTGGAAAATGTTTTGCCTTATTTCATTATTTTCAGTAGACTCTCATGCCACCTGCCACACAGGAGACATGAGCATCAGACTGACCAGAGGCGGAAGAAGAACACTTACACCATAAGGATATGCCCTAGGTTATCCTCTGAGGCTGGGCAAGGGTCTCCTCATTAGGCTGTTTCTTATTAGGACTTTGGACTTTGGATTGTTAGAAACACTCATTTTGCTGAAGATCTTCCTCTCTACATTAATACAAGCTTAGTCTAGCCTAGTGATTCTCAACCATGGGTGATTTTTGCCTCCTCAGTGGATATTTAGCAATGATTTGGCATCATCTAGAGACATTTTTGGCTTTCACAGCTTGAGGGGGGTGCATCTAGTGAGTAGAGGCCAATAATTCTGCTAAGCATCTTTCAATGCACAGAACAAAGGATTTTCTGGCCCCAGATGTCAATAGCGCTGATATTGAGAGACCTTGGTTTATTTAGCCCATGGCTCTTAATGTAACCCTCCCAGTCTGTCTTTTTTGCCTTTTCCCCATTTTGTTCTCCAAAACTTCTTGACCTTCAGAGCATTTGATCTATAAGATCATTAATTTAATTTTAGTAGAGTTTGGTGAAGTGATTTGCTGTTGTGAAAAGTGCAGCTAAGTAATTGCCAGGAAACAAAAGTTAATTTAAGTTCTTCTTGGATCTTTGGCCAGAGCAACAAGTTGTCTAGGCTTGGTCTCTGTGGCATTATTTATGCCTAAATGCTTAAGCTCCATGTAGTCAGCTGCACCTTTTCCTTTCTCTTGTTTATAACTGTTAATTTTAGTTCAAATCTGCGCTCCTTAGGCATTCCTGCAGAGTAGCTTCTGTTAAGTGAGTTTTGGTTTGGTGATTGGGGCCTCTGGTCTTCTACCAGGGATCTGGCTGGGTGGTGTGGGGAAAGGGAGCCTGGGACCTGACTACTGGTTAAACACACTTGCAACCAAGCCTCCTGCTTTTAGCCCCATCCATACCTTTACTTCTAGGGGGACCTGGTGCCAATTCCTAAGGCTGCTGGTGATTTTGCAATGCAACTAGGGCAGCTTCTCAGCTTTCTTCTCCATCAGTTTAGGAGTTAGCTTTCTAGGAACTGTAAACTCAGTGACCACCTGTTCCTTTGTTTTCTAGCTCTCACATTTTGTGCCTTTTCTCCTTGATTTTGTTCATTTGTTTTTTGGAGGAAAGTTTTTTTGTCCTTACTGGTTTTGCCTTTAAAAAGAATTCTTTTACTGTTGTTCTTACTGGTGCTAGGGAGACTGAGAGTAAAATTCATGTGTTTAATTTACCCTGTTTACCTAGAGACCAAATAGACTTTAATTTTACACATTATTCTACTCCTTGCTTTTTCTATTTAATGTAATTTGGAGGTTTTTCCATATATGTAAATTATTTCATTCTTTTCAAGGAATACTATTTTATTGTATAGCTGTACTGTGATTTATTTAATCACGCTTCTGCTGAAGGGCATCTAGTTTTCCTTTGCCCTTTTTCTTTTCTTTTTTCCTATAATGAGCAATGCTGCAATAAGTACCTTTATGTCTGCCATTCATCTTTGGTTTCATGTTGGCACATAGTGTCATAATTGAGAGTCCGACTGCCTGAATTTCTGTCCCAACTCTGCCACTTACTAATTATGAAACCCTGGGCAAGTTATTTAACTTTTCTAAGTTCAGTTACCTCATTTCTAAAGTGATATTGATAACAATACCAAACTCATAGTATTGCCATGAGGATTAAATGATATATGCTTAGAATAGTACCTGGAGCATAGTAAGTGCTCAATAAATGTTAGCTAGCCTTATTCCATCAGAATAAATTCAAAAGATATATACATTTTCCTCTTTTTTTTTTTTTTTTTTTTTTGAGATAGGGTCTTGCTTTGTCACCCAGGTTGGAGTGCAGTGGCACGATCATGGCTCACTTCAGCCTCGACCTCCCAGGCCTCTAATTTTTCAGTTTTTTTTTTTTTACAGATGGGGTCTTACCATGTTGCCCAGGCTGGATTTTACATTTTGACAGAAATTGTTGCATGGTGCTTCTAAAGGGCTAGCCAATTTGTATTCCAAATAGCAGTGTATGAGAGTACCTTTCTTTACTTGTTGTTTACAGAAATAAAAACAGCTCTGAGCCAGTTGCTTATTATCATTGGCTGTGTGCTATTGTTTTTTTTTTTTAAGTGAAATATTTCTCTCCACCCATGTTTTTAACAAATATTGTATTGGGAAACAAGACTGTGAGAGATGAATGCGCTTTTCTCTTGCTGTTCTCAGGTATTTGAAATTGTTGACTCCTAGTATGTTATCATACTTTAGTCTTTGCTAAACCAGATCAACGTAAAATGCCATTTCAGTGTTTTAATCTATATTTTAAATTAATGGGTAAAGTTTGTCATTCTTTCATATGTTTTTCACTTATAATTCTTTTGGGGAACGCATACCATTATCTTATTTTTTTTCTAAACTCCAATAGCAGTTTAAGGTTCATTGCACTTACTTTAGCTATTAAATCTATTCTGATTTATATTGAGTGAGAGTTATTTCTTATTTACTAGTATTGTTTATCCAACTAGATGATAGTTTCTGAGCAGGAATTTTTTTGTCACTTTCTTTTACTCCATGACACCTAGATTTAGTATGTAGTATTAAACAGTTGTGGTCAGACAAAGTGACATGTGCCTGCCTATAGTCCCACCTACTCAGGGGCTGAGGTGGGAGGATTGCTTGAGCCCAGGAGGTAGAGGCTGCAGTGAGCTGTGATTGCACCATTGCACTGCACTCCAGCCTGGGCGTCAGAGCGAGACGCTGACTCAAAAAAACAAAAACAAAACAAAGCAAATAAACAGTTGTTCAGGCAATAGAGAAGTATACATTTAGTTTTGGAGTTCCATTGTAATTGTTTATGAAATGAATTTTGTATGAGTAATAAAATACATTTGACACATGTTTATTATAGAAAATTCAAGTATTACAGAAAAATAAAAATAATAAAATAACCCATCCCTAACATCTAAAAATGATCATCATTATTAACTTTCAGGGGTTCTGCATGGCTCTACACAAATAAAGGGGTTTTTGGGGGTTTTTCTTTGGCACTATATGAATAGAAGGTTGAGTGGGCAGATGAATGGGCACAAAGAACATTTTATGAAAATGAGATCATATTATATATACAATTGAAGAATAAATGGCAGAATTAATCCTACTTGAATTGACAGTTGAAGTAAATAAGAGTTACTGAGTTAGAGTTAAGTTCCTCTAATGCTAGAAAGAAAGGTAATTTTTAAAATTGAGATTGAAGTTATAGTTTTTTTGTGATTAATTTATTTGTGAGAATTCCTTTGGGCCCCTTCAAATCAAATTTAGAAAGAGTTCATGTCTTTCCTTATGTTGAAAAGATCTCAGGATCTTTCATTTGAGAATTTTAGTCTCTGATCTGAAATGTGGCCTAGACTAGTACTTTTCATGCTATGTGTGAGAGAGCTCTAGGGTTCTACAGAGGTGCTGTGTAGCTTCCTCATTTGTGCTTTTATCTATTTCATATATTGAATTTTTGTAAAAAATTTTGTTTGGGAGTACAAAGTTCTGCTATCTAAAAAAAGAAAGTTTGAAAAATATTGAGCATTTTATAGTTAGTAGCAGAATAGAAAAAAAAAGAAAAAATCCTTAGTAACTAGTAATATAGTGATGTTTACTTTCTTTTTGTGTTTCAAAATTGCTGAAGCACTATGTGTCTTGCTTTAAAAGTATAGATGAATATTTTATTTCTATGGCTTAGGCAGAAAGCTGCTGAGAATTACAGAGAATGTGCTGACAGCCCTTAGATTACACTGGATCTTACTGGTACCACTAAAATGTGTAAATATCTGTGAAAGTTAGCAAAATGACAGTAACAACATAAATTGCAAATGATGGACTTATCGTACTAAAGTTGAAAGCTTTGAAAAACCACTCCTGGCTACTTCAGTGACTACGTAAGTACTACAATAGCTGAAAAACCAAAAAACACTGGCCACTGTGTTTACCCAGTAATTACCAGTCCCTATAATGCCAGCTATAGTTGAAAGACTGATTTAATTACTACAATTTTATTGTCTGCCTGCATTGTGTGCTTAAAATCAAAAGAAAGAAAATTTTTAAAGTATATGCTCTATCCCATATTGCGTTGTTTAGAAAGAATTCCTTTCCATAATGCACATTAGTGGCTTCTGTATTTTTGTAGATTAAGAAAACTTTTTTACTGGTCTTAATTCAAAAAAAATTCTTGAAGTTTAGGCCATACTAAAATATAATTATAGATTCCCTCCCCTCAACAACTAGGATTATGTTTTATAGGTGCATTCATTCATTCATTCATTTTTGCCTTTATAAAAGCAAGTTTTATTGTTATTTACCATAGTAGTGTCAGAAAGAGGAACAGATTAGCTCAGTCCAACATGATTGGCAGCTGGCAAAATCTAGTGAAGCAGGTGTTCTGATTGCTTTAATTTGGGGGATTTAATTTGGTTGCTTTTAATACTTAGCCATCTAACACTTCAAACGTAATGCAGAATAAATATTTCATCTCCTTCCTTTTTACTTTAACACCACACCCACCTCACTTCAATATGGAAATATCTTCATTAAATATGATTTCCAAAAGAACAAGTTCCCTGGAGAATATAGCCATGAGGACAGTGCATAAAAAGAAAAACTCGAAATAAAACCCTGTATGATAATTTTCTATTCTAAGAAAACAAAAGTTTCCAGTATATGAAGAAATAAACCCAGTCTCAGATGCACTAATATGTCTGTGAGAAGCGGTTGTGGTATAATAACTGAAAACTGCCAGCTATTTTCAAGATACTCAAGTGGTAATGGTGCACCTAGCCCAGCAGCAGCCCTCAGAAGAAGCCAGGGTGCTCTCTCCACGTAGGCCAGTGTGTTAGTCCATTTTCATGCTGCTGATAAAGACATACCTGAGACTGGGCAATTTACAAAAGAAAGAGGTTTATTGGACTTACACTTCCACGTGGCTGGGGAGGCCTCACAATCATGGTGGAAGGTGAAAGCCATGTCTCACATGGCGACAGACAAGAGAAGAGAGCTTGTGCAGGGAAACTCCCCTTTTTAAAACCATCGGAACTTGTGAGACTCATTCACTATCAGAACAGGGCAGGAGAGACCCACCTCCATAATTCAGTTACCTCCCACCGGCTTCTTCCCACAACACGTGGGAATTGTGGGAATTACAATTCAAAATGAAATTTGAGTGGGGACACAGCCAAACCATATCAGCCAGGTACAAAAAATCCATCTTCAGCTTTTGCCTCCTAAAGCTGTCCCATGGTTGGGCTGCACTGTCTTATCCACAAACGGGACAGAGGCCTTTTCAGCAGCAAGCTGGATCCTACTCGTGATGATGCACATGGACTGAGCCACTGGAATACCAGGTGGCACCAAGGACTTCTACTTATCAGGGTCAGCGGTCTGAGAGCCTGGACTTTTTCATAATTGCTGGAACTGGCTGGGCTATTTTGTGCGGATCTTCGGGGACTCCACTCACCTGCGTTCCAGGAGCGAGACTCTCTGAACACCCACTTCACAGTGGCAGGGAAGGGACGGGCTGGCTCTCAGAGCCATGGAGCTTAGCGCAGCCACCACAACGACGATGATGGGGGAGACTGCAGGCAAATTCAGTGTCAACTTTAGTAACAGGGTGGGGGAGGCAAGTTTTGGTGGAAAACCCAAGGTCCCTGGTGGAGCACCTTTAAGCAGTGAGGTGCTTTTTTTGTTTTACATTTCAGGCGTGGCTTGGGAAATTACCTTGTCAAATGATATTATTTTTGGATCACTAGCTTCAAAGGGGCAGTGTTAGAGACTGTGGGCCCCATTATTGGGGAAGTTTTCCAAAACGCTAATTAGTAGGCAAATGCCCTTATGACACAAAACAAAATGATGAGCTTGCATCTTGTCAGCCACTGAATGTGTGCTGATGCTCTATTAGGCTTCCCAGAGCATTGTTGTTTACAGCCCTATTTCTTGCCTGAGCTTTCTGGAACTGGCGCTGGAAATCATATTTTGTTGTAAAACCTAATACTAGCTCATTGTGATCCAGCCTAGAGAGGGCATTTCCTAATCTCCACTATACCAATATTTTCATCAAGTTATTTGTGCTTAGACTTGAGACTTCCCTGAAAAATCTGGCACTGGAGTCACTTCAGATGGACTCACACTCTTTATTCTTGGTTTGTATTTCTGCAGCCCTTCTGGAGCAATACTGTGGCAGTGTTGTACAGGATACATTAAAGCAGAGAGAGAGAGATATGAGAACATCGAGGGTCTAGTCTTTCTCATGGATTCTGACCCACAGGCCATTTCCTCATTCTTCCTCAGACCCCTGATTTTAGAAGTGAAGGACCAGAGTTCCTCTGTAAATTGTCCAGGGACTGTGTGAATGTATGTTGCTTTAAATGTATTATCTATAGTATTGGCATGGTTAGTGAAAATCCACTTATTCTTTTTAGAGCTTGATTTCTTTTCTGGAAAAGGAGGAATTTCACTCAAATGATCCCTGTAGTTCCTTCTGTTTCTGTTAAGATTGAATCATCCTGTCAGTTGGCTTCAAGAGGATTATGACATGTGTAAGAAGGAGATTGTTGATCTGTACAGACAAGCAGTTCTAGGATCTTTGCTTACATTGTCTTGCACTTAGTACTACAGTTTCTTAATTTGTAGATTTATTAAAAGAAATTTGATTTACCTGAGGATTTCTCCCATCCACACCTCCAGCAGTTTTCTGTTTTGAATTTGCTTCATAATATGGTAAAATTTACTCTGGCTGGGGGCAAAATATTATAGCTAAGCTTAAAACAATACATTTTTACCTCTTTATAATTTTAAGGATATTATTTGGTTTGGGTTATTGTCATTAGAGGCTTTTTGTCCTTGTATTGAATCTGATATGTTGAATACTGTGCCTTAGTCACAAAGAAGTTACTTTAGAATTACATGTGACCAGGAGCTTGCAGTTGGAATAGGTATACAGCTGCTCCCCCGTGTGGTTGTGGATCCAAAGAGCTTGTGGAGCTTGTATTAAGAGCACAACACCATTGCATTTTGTGACAAGTTAGCATCGTTCTTTTTTTTTTTTAAATTATACTTTAAGTTCTAGGGTACATGTGCACAACGTGCAGGTTTGTTACATATGTATACATGTGCCATTTTGGTGTGCTGCACCCATTAACTCGTCATTTACATTAGATATATCTCCTAATGCTATCCCTCCCCTGACTCCACACCCCACGACAGGCCCTGGTGTGTGATGTTCCCCACCCTGTGTCCAAGTGTTCTCATTGTTCAATTCCCATCTATGAGTGAGAATGTGCAGTGTTTGGTTTTCTGTCCTTGCGATAGTTTGCTCAGAATGATGTGACAAGTTAGCATCATTCTTGAGAAGCACAACTAAAAGTTTAGATCTAGAATTTTATGGCACTTCAAACTCTAATGATGATATAATAATATTATCGTATTTTCTAACCTATTTTTATAATATGTAATGCTCAGTTGTACATATCCAACTTTACCATGGCAAACTGGGAGGATATATTTTTAGTACCACAGTAACAGAGAAAGTTGGAGAAGTAGAAAGGACATAGAAAATAAACTGCAGTAAAGAATGATGGAAGATTTTGGCTTTTTGCTTCTTTATTCCCCCGTCTTCAGTGGATGAAACCGGAATAAAAATCCACATCAAGTTTTATTCTCAAGTTTCATGTAAATAAAAATGTACATGTATAAGATGGCTAAGCAGGTTAGGGATATCATAATTGATTATGGAATCATTTTTCTGAATTTGCTTCCAAGCAAGTGACATCTATTTCCAATGCTTTTGTCATGGGTAGTCCTTTTGGGACAAAATTCATGTTTGCTTCTGAGATCACTTATAGTCCATTTGTTGGGGTAGCAGCAGCTTGATCATAATCTGACACCGAGTTTTAGGCCCAACTAAGAAGACTATGATACAGTGGTATTCTGTTCTTATATCTCTTTAACTTGTACTTACCATGAATATGTCAGCCAGAATCTTGAACTATTAAATCTTAGTATTACTTAAGAAAAAACATTACTAAGGACTGAATATACTAGCTTTAGGTTGATTGTTCATTGTTATACAGTTTCAGGTGTAAGAATAGATAATATATTATTTAAGAGATAGGGAATGCTGTTATTTACTCCTATATTCTATTAGTGGACTGTGCTACATGTGGAGGTGAAAAATAATATAAGCCATAGGCTTTGCCAACAGAGGGCGTCTCATCTAGTGTGGGAGAAATGCAGTCACAGAATAAACAGGTAGCAGGGAGTAGTAAGACTTTTAATTGCAGTAAGTTTGAAAGAAGGTTAGGAGTCAGGATAGGATGGGTTTGCCAGAGGAACTGGAACTTCTGATGGAAAAACAGAAAGGAGAGGGAAAGTATTTTTAAAGGAGTTCTTGAAGAAATACCTCAAGAATACTCTGGCTCACATATTCAAATACAGTGGTCATCTTGTAGCTGTAAATCGACTCAAAGAACTACAGAAAGATTAGGCCGGAATAAAGTGACAATACAGTAGTTCTTTTGGAGAAAAGGGTTTTCACTGAATATGAGATTAGAGTCAAATCTCAAGTAAAGACAAGCTTCCAAAGAGCTAGTACAGCTACCCACAGAGATGAGCAGGGTGATAGAGTGGAAAGACCACCTGAATTAGGAATTAGGAAGCCTAGATTTTAGTTTGGGCTCTGACACTAATTCTATGGCTGGAGCACATCCCTTAACCTCTCCGAGACTCCATTTTCTTTATTATAAAATTAGAATTTGGACCAGTTGGCCTCTAAATGTCTTCCATCTTTGACTCTTTGTCTTTTCTGTGCACATAAACATCAGATCTAATCCTTGTTAGTGGCATTATTTTGAAAACATGGGACAGAAACATAGGAACAATATTCTTTATTGAAAAAAAAAAGAAAAGCAACTTTTATAATATTTTTAGGATTTACTGATTAAACATAGTTTTGGAAGTGTGATAAGAGGAAGGAATCTATTTGTATAGATGCTCAATTATTAAAACAAATTTTTTTGAGAACATGCCCAAATAAGGGCTGTATTCCTTTCCTGAAGCATTATATTGATTCTTTTTTATTGCATTGAGATGGAGATTTTAGGATAAGAGTCAGAGACCAATCAAAGAGTTTTGGACCCTCCTAATTTCTTATCAAAAGCAATGCCTAAATAATATTCCTATATAAGCTGTCCTCTTCTAAGCTCCTACCTGAAAGTGGATCTCTAATCACTTAGAAGGTCCTGTGCCTCACAGTTGGTATAATTGGAGTCTCAGTTGTTGGAGGAAACCATCGGGTAATGTTGTCCTCAGCTTACAGCAAGCCATCATGAGGAGTGATGTGTTGGGTAAACAAAGACTATCCTACAGCAGAAGTTGTGGAACCAGGGAAAAATTTAATTACAACTAAGTTTTACCTTCATAACTTTTATCTTTGGGGGATAATTTTCTAATTTATCTGTAGAAAAACAAACATTAAAAACAACAAGCTAGATACAGAATTCCTTAAGAAAAGTAGAGCTTTAATAAAATGAGATTTTGCCAATGTTATGTTCTCCCTATCTTTCGGGAGATGGTGCAGCCTCCTTAGCTTATTTTGCTTGAGAAAAAAGTTCCAAATCTGTTTGTTTCCTAATATCCCATTGCAAAAGAAAAATAATTGCATGACTGTCCCAGAGGTTTCAGGCTCATTTTGGGGTATTTCTAAAGATTCCCTGTAACCCATATTTTTTTTGTGTTTTAAACATTTCTTTGATGGTATCCCAGCAAGAAATAATTTATTCCTGGAAATATGATACTACTGTAACATTTCTGACTAGGATGATTTTCTGTTTCTAAAATCTTTTAAATTTTATAATGCTTGTAATGCATGCTTATTACAAGTTTTTAAAAAGCATGAAATTATAATTTTTTTATAAAAGGAAATTAACCTGCATAGCTTTCCCCTCCCTTTCCCTCCCCTTTTCAATAATTGAATCTAAAAGACATTAGGTAGGGCTGAGTAAGGTAGGAGTCTACATGACATCAAACCCAGAAGCTGTAAGAGAATAGATGGATAATTTAGCCACATGACAATAAAAAATTTCTACATGGAAAAACTTAAGCCATCACAAATAGGAAAAACTATTTGCATCACTTATGTTCAAAGGGCCAATTTTGTTTTTCTTTTTGTATGTAAAGAGTGTATACAAAGCAATTAGAAAAAGAGCATCAACCCAACAGGAAATCTACAAAGGAAGGGAACAAACTATTCATAGAAAATTATGCAATTTGTTCCTTTCCTTTATATAAAAATGAGAAATTTTCTTAAGTATATGAGAAAATGCCTAAATTCTCATTAATAAGAAAAATGTAGTTTAAAAGCATATTGAGATACTACATTTTACCTATTAAATTGACAGAGATCCGCCATTAAAATATTTTTTGAAATGCCTGTGAAAAAGCAAGCACTTTCAAAAATTGCTGATGGAATTACAAATTAATACAACATGTGTGGGGCACAGTTTGGGAATATTCAGCAAATTTACTAATACACATTCCCTTTGACCCAGCAATTTTACTTCTGGGAATTTAGCTTACTGATACACTTCCACACAAACTGAGGAATTTATAAACCTATTTATTGCAGCATAGTTGGTAACAGCAAAAGATGGTAAGCAATACAAATGTCCACGCATATCGGGAACTGGTTAAATAAATTATAGTGCATCCATAAAATGGAATACTATGCAGACATTAAAAACAATAAAGAAACTTCATGTGGAAGTGGAATGAAGTCTAATGAATATGTTAAGAGAAAAAAGCAAAGTATAGAAGTATATATATATATATATATATATATATATAATGCTACTATTCTTGTAAGAAAAAGGGAGGAAAAGGGTAGTAAATGTGCATAAAGTATCTCTGGAAATACACATAAGAACTGATTGCATTGTCTCTAGAGTTAACAACTAGATGGCTAGAGTACAGGAGTATAAGAGATTTTTCAAAGAACACCTTTTTATAGCTGTTGAATTTTTAACCATGGGGATTTACCTATACAATACATAAACGTCTAATGAAAAAGAGAAAACACCTGTAGGCCAAATAAAAAGAAAGAAGCATAACGTTATATCAGATGCTTTTATAGATCCTATAACCATAATAAACATCACATTTTTTTTCTTTGCTGTCTAGCTATCTCTTTGTAAATAGGATTATTCACTAAATTTCCTAATGCTGAATTCCTGGAGTGATTCCTATGTGACATTTTTTTTTTTTCCCTGAGACAGAGTCTCACTCTGTCGCCCAAGCTGGATTGTAGTGGTGCGATCTCAGCTCACTGTAACCTCTACCTCCTGGGTTCAAGTGATTCTCCTGCCTCAGCCTCCCGAGTAGCTGGGATTACAGGCACGCGCCGCCACACCTGGCTAATTTTTGTATTATTAGTAGAGATGGGATTTCACCATGTGGGCCAGGCTGGCCTCAAACTCCTGACCTCCTGTCCTTGGCTCTCCAAAGTGCTGGGATTACAGGTGTGAGCCACCATGCCTGGCCACTATGTGACATTCTTTTAATGCCTTGCTAGTTTATATTTGTTTATATTTAAATTTTTTGCATTAATATTCAAAACTGAAGATTTGTTTATAGTGGGTATTTTGTTTGTCAGCCATCTTTGGCATGTTTTGATAAGGAATATTATGAAACTGTATGAGAATTGGAAATATTTCCTTTTCTTTTTTTTCTTCCCTCTCACCCCTTGAGACAGGCAAGCTGAGTTTGAATACTCTTGGTATTTTTGCATATGCAGTAATTGTAGTTTTACCCACAGGAAGAAGAAGGAAATACTTGCAAAACACAAAAAACTTCCTGGCTCCAAGATTGTGTTTTATCCTTATCTCCAACCAATGATCTTATGGTGATAGCTCGAGAGCAAAAAGCTGTATTTCTAGTGCGTGAGTATCCTATTATTTTCAGCGACCTTTATTTTGATACATTGGATAGAAGAGAAAATGGATTAGGTGAAAAGAATATAATGCTTTTTATTTATTTATTTCTCTCTCTCTCCCCCCCCCCCCAACTCCTCCTCCGCCCCCTCCCTCCCTCCCTCTCCATTTCCCTCTTTCTCCCCCTTCCATTCTGTTTGTTTTCTCCCTTTTTTCTTTCTTGGCTGTAGCTACCTTAGTGCTCTCCATATGGTACCTCAGGGGCAGTACTGTGCATTGCTCAATTCTTGCAAGGGACAGTCAGAGCTAAAAAGGTCATTGACCTTTTCTTAGTAACAATGTGAATGAGGTGATTTTCAACTCTAATTTGAAAACTCATAATATTATGGATTTCTGTTTGGGGCATAGCATTTTAACTCATAATTTTTTGTTGAAGATTAAAATTGAGGTTTTTTTCATATCTTATAGATCTCCAAACCTTACTGATCAAAGTAAGATTGTGTGTAAAATGTGTCTAGAATGGTCTTACAAAGCAAAGTTACCCTCAAGTAGCAAAGATCTAGTAGAAAAATTTTCTCCGTCATCTGATGATAAAAGTAGTCTTAAACTAGGCAGGGTGGGCATAGGAGTTAATAACTTTATTCTACAAGAACTATGACAACATTATACAGGTTGAATTGGGGGAAGGAGAGGCTGAAGGCCAGGAGACTAGGTGTATTATAAGAATCTTATAAACATGTTTATCTTATATTTACCTATAAAAAAGACCCAAGTCAGTTAATACACAACTGTTAAATTTTGTAATCATATTCTAAGGGGAAAGAGCAAAATTTATAAATTACTCTTTTAGTGTATTATAGCTAAAATTATTTTATATGATATCTTAATTCTTACAGCAAAATGGAAATATAGTGATAAAGGAAAGGAAGAAATGCAATTTGCTGTTGGCTGGAGTGGTTCCTTAAATGTCGAAGAAGGGTAGGTGCCAGTTAATTTTTGTTTCTCTGTGTGTTACATGTATGTATGAAATTATTTGACTTGTAGGTGAATCTATTAAAAAGTTTCATTATTTGATTGGGTGCAGTGGTTCACATCTGTAATCCTAGCACTTTGGGAAGCCAAGGCAGGAAGATCATTTGAGCCCAGGAGTTCGAGACCACCCTGGGCAACATAGTAAGACTCTGTCTTTACAAAAAATTTAAAAATTAGCTGGATGTGATGCGCACACCTGTAGTCCCAGCTACTCGGGAGGCTGAGGCAGGAGGATTGCTTGAACCCAGGAGTTTGAGGCTGCAGTGAGCTATGATCATGCCCTGCATTCCAGCCAGTGCAACAGAGTGACACCCTGTCTCTTAAAAAAAAAAATTTTTTAGAATAAGAAAGAAATTTCATTATTTGAAATGTTTAGTAAATGTATATGTATCCTAACTTTATAGGTTGTAGAGAATGATTCAATCAGCAAATTTTATATATCGTGTAATTATGTTTTTAAAAAATTCTGTTGGAAGATTTAAGGAAGAATTCAAAAAGAATCTCGTAAAATCCTTTTTACATTTTGTCTTTTCCCTCTGTTCTCCATTACTAATTTTATTCATTGAAAAAGTCAAGGGCAATCATTGTCTTCTCTGCTTTGCTGATATTGGGCTTATACTTGAAGGGTACAGTACTACATTAATTCTTAAAACTCATAAACACTTAAGAAATGCAAGTTGGTACATTAGTTTCCTGCTGACCCAGTAAAGCTTTTGTAACCATGATATCCAGTATGGTGACATGATGGAGCTGCTAGCTTAGAACTTGAGCCCAAAACTGGTTTTCAATTAAATCTTTATGACTCAAAACTGTCTGATCAGAATGAGTAAGAAAATCCTTCATACTTTGAATTCAGATAAAAGACAACCAAGTGGAAGTGCCTAGAACATGCCTGGAACATTGTAGATATTTGAAATATTCTCTATCATCAAAATAAATGGTAATATTTCTCCTTACGCCATTTAGTCTAAGTGTTTTAAAGACATTTGATCTCTGTCAGAAATGCAAAGCAAACATAATACTTTAAAAACAGTGAACAAACACGAAGATGAATTTTGTTCATTGATTACCTAGTATGATGTATGGCATGGAAGTGTTTATAGTTTTTTGGATAAGCTGGTGATGATCCTCAGGTTTGACAGATTTAACAAAAGTCAGTGGGTAGGAGTTGTTTTGATTTTGAGACTTAGTTTCTGAGCTCCTGACAAATATTTCAAGTCTACATGTCAGAAAAAAAATATATCTTTTTTATATAACATCACACCTAACATGTGCTTAGAAATAGATGATCAGAGCAGTTTCTGCAAAATAGAAAAGAAAACCCAGCAAGTTGAAATACATAAGTTCCTAAAATAATGTACCCTGCAGAAATACAGTTTGCATGTAACGTGACTGGCAGTTCCTCAACCATTTGCCCAGCTCCTGATCTCAAACAAGAGGCAGGCTGAAGTTCTTAGCTGAAGCAGAGGAGAGAGAGAGAGATAGTAGGAAATGGCTGCGTGGGGATCATTTGAGCTTTGCTCAGTTGTGTATACAGTCAGTTGTGTAAGTAAAGTTTTGCTTTCTGTACTTTCATGTTTTTCATGACAATACAGAGTGAAAAATTCTGTTTTTTATTAACCTCAAATGCATGTGGCATTACATTTTGTGTGAATGAATTTTATGGACCTTACCAGTGGTGGAGTTTTACTGTATTTTTACTTATGCATCAAATAAAACTGGTTCACAGAAGTCATCTTCCAGTTATTATCCTTTAACATCCAATTATAGAGAAATAAAAGTAATTGGTAAGTTCAGTGGGTAAGCATATGATTTTGTTTTTGTTTTTAGGGAATGTGTAACCAGTGCTCTATGTATCCCACTAGCAAGCCAAAAGAGGTAAGGATAAATAAGAGTCATCTGTTTTCTTTGCTTTGATTTATGAGTTGTTAAGATAATAAATTTTGTTTGTAACAGGAGTTCCACTGGGCGTCCTGACTGGACCTGCATTGTGGTGGGTTTTACTTCAGGTTATGTACGCTTCTACACTGAGGTGAGTTGAGTTTTCAACAGCTGGAAAACACTAGTTGACTGCAATATCTGGTTATGCATCACCTTTATACTGTTTGTGACTTTATTACCTGCTGCCTGAAAATGTGTAGTTGATTCTTTATGGGGGTAGAGGCCGGGATAGGCCGTGGCAAGTTCTGGTAGAAGATACAGAGAAGAGGAGCTGTATTCTGAAAAGAGTGTACCTGGTATCTCTGGAAAACTGTTGGGGAAATGGTACTCTTTGCCTGGCCATACCTGCTAAGGTATATTGGTAAGAAAACAAGCAGGGCCCTTCTCTGTGCTTCCTCCTAGAATGGTGTGCTCTTGCTTGCACAGCTTTTGAATGAGGACCCAGTACTTCAACTTAAATGCAGAACCTATGAAATACCACGACATCCCGGCGTGACTGAGCAGGTAGTGTAAAAAATTGTGTTCCAACAGTAACAGTGGCATTATTTTGAAGCAGTTTCTCTCCTCTTTTTTAGGTAGAAACTTAAAAGAGATCTTTGTCTTGTGGCACAGTTAGTTAGCTCTGCTATCATAGTCTAGAAATATAATCTATTTGTAGCTGAGTAAAGAATACCAGTCTTGCTTTTACTTATTTAATGAAATATTATATGTTTCATTCTACAACAAAGTAAAACCCTTTAGTTAGAAGCCAAGAAAATTTCTTATTTTTAGAATTTAATAATGGGAAGGCAAAAATATGATATTTTATAACCTTATATCTTGTTTTATTTGGATTTAGGTGCCAAAATTACCCAGAGTAAAAGAAAAAAAATTTGGCCTTGTTACTAGTGATACTACCTTGTACTTAACTGTTTCTCAGAAAAGGGGTTACTAAGCTTTTGTTCATAGTGGAAAATACATATATTCATTGAAGATTTCAACTGAGAAAATAATGCTGTTTAGTATCCAAGGCTCTAACTTCTTAGGTGCCTTGTAACATTTTGGTTGTCTTAGTCAAAAAATAATTGTAGGGCCATTTAAACCAATATGCTTTTATTTGTTTTGCGGAGTGCATAGTCAAAACTATGTAATATGCCTTCCCTTTGTTGTACTACTTGGCCTCCAAAAGATTTCAAGTGAACAGATGTATATACTGTATGCATTTGTTAATTTAATTTGCATGGGAGATGGACTGGAGCTGTGAAAGAATCTTAACTATCTCGTAGGAGAGACTAGGATTAAAATCTAATAATATCTATGGATGAATTAATCAGTAATATAAAGCAATACCTAATTTATTGGTAATTTATTTGGACAGAATACAGTCTGTACAAGCTTAGAGAAAGAGGAGTTCAATTTGGACCAGGAAAATAAGAAAATTTCATTGATGAGGCGAGATTTGCATTAAACCTTGAATAATGGGTATAGAATTTAATTAGGTAATAGAAAAGAGGGGAAAGTGTTTCAGGTAATCAGGAGAAGATTTGAGAGAAGATTCGAATGTAGAACTATATATGCAACAACAAAGAAACTTATGTTATAAAGTAATGAGAAACTGTCAAATAAGCAGAGTGGCCAAATTTTGCATAAATTCAAAAGCCAAGTGAAAAATGAGAGTTGATTCAGGAAATGAGAGAAACTCCTAAAGATTTATGAGAAGGAAGTGAAATAATCAAAGGAATATTGAAGATTTCTTTCTTCAGGATAAACTGGAATTAGGGAGGCTAGTTATCTGGTTTTTTAAGTCATCTGTAACAGATGTGGAGTGCTGGGTGGGAGCCAGGACTAATATGGTGTATGGGAAGAGAGAAAGGACTAGTACAAAAATTGTTTTGGGGCCGGGCACGGTGGCTGACACCTGTAATCCCAGCACTTTGGGAGCCCGAGGTGGGCGGATTGCCTGAGCTCAGGAGTTTGAGACCAGCCTGGGTAACACGGTGAAACCCTGTCTCTACTAAAATACAAAAAATTAGCCGGGCATGGCGGCATGCGCCTGTAGTCCCAGCAACTTGGAAGGCTGAGGCAGGAGAATTGCTTGAACCCAGGAGGCGGAGGTTGCAGTGAGCTAAGATCTTGCCACTACACTCCAGCCTGGGCGACAGAGCGAGACTCCGTCTCAAAAAAAAAAAAAATTGTTTTGAAGAAGAAATTAATAGGACCTGGTTATTGTGTAGAGATGTACAATTTTTTTAAAATGAGCTAAAGATGTCTCTAAGATACTTATCCTGAGGAATGCCATTGTCAAAGTTGGAATAGGGGACTACATTGGCAGTAAATGTTATTAAATGAGGTTTTGCACATGTTGAGTTTGAGGCGATGGTAGGAAATAAAATCAAGTTACTGATATCATGTAATGATACAAAACTGTTGTATAGGCACAGAGACTAGATTGGACACGATGGTTGAAGTCATAGATAATGAATGAATTCTTTCAAGTAAAGAGTGTAGGAAAATAAAACTGCAGGCTGAAGACTTAAGTCTTAGTAACTAATAATACTCATCGTAAGGAGATAGGAGAAATTGAACTATTAAAGGAAACAAGGAACAGCTGGAAATCAAAGAAGATAATCTGTGAACTGAAAATAACTTTCCAGAGATGTTTTTCATTTTTCTAAAAATTGACTGGATGACGAAGCTTTTTAAAATACGTTAAATTTGGTCATGTCTGTAATACTCTTTTTTAGAACTGGTGGAAAAATATAACTAACATTTAAATATTTCCTTGCTATTTGCTGTACAAAGCAAGAAAATCATCTCAAAATTTTTATCAAGAAGGAAGTCTTTGTTGTTACTCTGTATGCTACGTTAAACAGCTCTGGATCTGACACGTCAATTTATATATCAAAAATATCTTCTATTTGCTTCTTTTTAATATACTCCCAGATTTGTCAGAGATCACAGAAGCACATTTCCTCTAATTCAGCTCTAGGAGCAATGAGTGTAGTACGGGTGACAGCAGGTCATTCGTTTCAGGAGAGGATTCGAAAGAGAGGAAAAATCTCCTGGAATTTCAAAGAAATTTCTTTTGTATAATAGCTTCTGTAAAAAGATCTTCTCTGTCATCTAGCACAGTGTCTACAGATTTGGGGCCAATGGTGTTTGTATTAGTGTTTTCTTCAGGAAGACTACCTGGTTTTGGAGAAACTAACTTGCTAGTGATTAGGTCTTTTCTGTTTTCTAGCTCCCCAAAGTCAGTGAGGAGGCTCTCTCCCTGCTGCTGTGATCACTGGGCCATGCATGCTTAGTCTTGTGAACTTGTCATGTGAGAACACATGCCATGTCCCTTCCCCACTGGTTTATGCCCCTGTGGCCCTGAAGTCTTCTTTAAAAAGAGAAACAGCCTGACAGTCCAGTAGAAAAAGGAGCAAAGCAGATTTCAAGAGAAGAAATTGGCCCAAAAGCATATAAGAAAATTTTGAGCCTTAATAACAATCTAAGAACTATAAGAAAATATAATGAGATAACTTTTCACCTTTTGGATTGGCAAAGATAAAGATTAACAAACTTTTGATGACAATATAGAGAAACAGTCACTCTCATGTATTGTTGGTGGAAATATAAGTTGATAGGTACTCTTTGAGGCAACTTAATATATATGAGAATGAAAATTGTGAATACTGTATGACCCAACAGACCCACTTGAAGGAATTTACACTAAAGTAATATCTTACTAACATGAAAAGATATAGACAGAAGAATGTTTATTGCAGTGATGTTTATAATGATGAAAATATGTTAATTCATAAATATTCTTTACTGCCTATTATTTGCCCAGTTCATTTCTAATCCCTGAGGATTCATTGGTGTAACAGGCATACAAGGTTCCTGCTTTCATGGGGCTTACAGTTTGGGGATGGTAGAGGGAAACCAACAGTAAGCAGCTAGAGATATCAAGGTGATTCCAATCTCTGATAGGTGCTGTTAAGGAAGTCATGTTGATAAGATAGTAATGTGCCAAGAGAATATGTATGTTGTTTGAGATGGAGGTTCAGGAGCAGCCTCTCTGGGTAACTAACATTTGAACTGAAACCTGAATGACAGGAACAATTAGGCAGGTGAAGATCTGAGAGGAGAAGATCCAAGCACATGCAAAGGTCTGAGGGTAATGATGACCTCTCATATTTGCCAGATGTTGCAGCCATGGTTAATGAGTTCAGGTTTTATTCTAAATGCAGAAGAGAGTCATTGAAGAGTTTTAATCAGGAGATTGGTTTGATCTGCTATGTCTCACCAAGAGCACACTGGCTGTGTGGAGCATGGATTGTAGAGAGCAAGAGTGGAAGCAGGAGGCCAAACTGAATGTCCGTCAATATGAACTGGTTAAGTAAAATCGGGTACATATAATGAAAGACTGTGCAGCCACAACAAAAAATGATTTGTTCACTTATTGAAATGGAAAAATATCATTGACATACTATTGAGTAGTAAAAAACATGTTAGGATACTATATGTGCTATAGCCTTATGCAAATGTGTATGAATATATTTGGGGATGTGTATTGAGACGTGTCTGGGATTTCAGGTGAGTTTTCTTCTGTTTTTACATACTGTTTGTATCTGTGCAATGAGTATATTTACTTTTTATGAAATTGTAATTCTTTATTTACTCTCAGCATCTTTGAGATAATTATTCACCATACACAAAAGGTTATATTTGAAAAGAATTTTAGGTCTTTGGCAAAAAGGCACTCTCAAATTAATTTTTTATCTATTTTTACTGTTCTTCTGCCTGATATTGCTTTGGGTGTTGGGTGGTTATGTTACATTATTCGTGAAATTCAGTATAATAAAAAGTAGATAAGCTTATTTATCTATTCAAGAACTTTTTTTTTTTATTTCTTAAATAGAATGAAGAGTTGAGTATCTTATATCCAGCTGCCATTGTGACTATTGATGGATTTAGCCTTTTTCAATCTCTTCGTGCTTGTCGAAATCAGGTAGCAAAAGGTAATATTTTGGCAAGAAATATTTAACCTCTGTTAATGTTTGTTTTATTTAATTTCACCTGCTTATGGAATTAAGTATGTCTTCTAAATAAAAAAGGCCTTCTGAACTAGATTTATGGGAAAAACCTGCCTTCTGTAGAGAAAGGGGAGCATGTTGAGTAGATTGCTTAGTAAGGTAGAGATGAGCTAAAACATAAACACTCTTCACACGTTGCCTTTGGAGAGTGTGGTCAGCACAGGAACACCGGGCTTTCTTCACGAATTCAGCAGTATGTCTTGGCTAGCTAGATTTGCAACCAACATTGACAACCAACCCTAGTATTGACAACCAACAATGGGGTAAAGAATTTAGTTGCATGTGGCTGAGGTACCAGATTTTCACTAGATCAGCAGCTGATCAAGGCCAGCATCCTAAAATCTGATGACTCTACATTGCTTCCATCCTCCCTGAGAATAAAGCTATGACTGTGTGCAAGGGAGATGCAAGATCCTACAGATATCACTGTAGGCAGGACCCAGCAGGGAGTCAACATGAGCTGCTTTTTGCTAACTCAGAACACTCAGAATGGAGAAAAGGTAGAGGCCTAAACTTAATATATATATGGGCAATGACATTTTGTGACTTAGGGATGAAAACTGCCCAAATAATCAAGAATTCTTACTTTTACTACCTATAGTTTACATTCTGATGTTGTTACATCTTTTGGAAGAGATATTTCATCAAATTCAACATGCCATTGATTGTAAGATACACTATTGTTTTATGTACCACTAAGAAGAAAAACTGTTGCCAGTGAAAGACACACCATCAATTTTCAGATCTCAATTTCAGAGTTGTGAAAATATGGAAGAGTCTTAAAATCAGTGAAAATACAATAGCAAAGACTTGGAACCAACCCAAATGTCCAACAACAATAGACAACAATGATAGACTGGATTAAGAAAATATGGCACATATACACCATGGAATACTATGCAGCCATAAAAAATGATGAGTTCATGTCCTTTGTAGGGACATGAATGAAACTGGAAACCATTCTCAGCAAACTATCGCAAGGACAAAAAACCAAACACTGCATGTTCTCACTCATAGGTGGGAATTGAACAATGAGAACACATGGACACAGGAAGGGGAACATCACACTCCGGGGACTGTTGTGGGGTGGGGGGAGGGGGGAGGGATAGCATTAGGAGATATACCTAATGCTAAATGATTAGGTTAATGGGTGCAGCGCACCAATATGGCACATGTATACATATGTAACAATCCTGCACATTGTGCACATGTACCCTAAAACTTAAAATATAATAAAAAAAAATCAGTGAAAATATTAGTAGCACTAACTTCCCCTTTTCTTTTGGGATTGAGTAGAGGAGCCTTAATGGCCCCAAAACAAAGTTTAACTTTGGTGAAAAATTAAATGGCTGATAATACCGAATATAAAATAATTGTCTATTTCTAGTTTATTAAATTAATGGACTTCTTACCTACGGAAAATTGCCTTTTGATATATAGATTAATGATGAGTATTTTAAATGTTCTCAAGATAATGAAGCTTATGGTTGGCTAAATTTAAATAATTTAAAAGATTCTGAAAATAGGTATAAAAATTTAAACAAATTCTGACCTAGTAAAAAAGCATTTACTAGAAAAGAACCACATAGCCAAGACATCAGAATTTTTGCCAATCATACCAACCTGCTAAAAAAGACAGAGAAAAATTTTTGATTGCAATATGAGATGCTGGATTTAGACTAGGTTTAGAAACAATTTTATGAAGCAGTAAACATATCCTAATTAGCCTATGTTTTCAGGAAGCCGTCTCAACCATTTAGGAGTTAAACTTTGTTTTGGGGCCACTAAGTCTCCTCTACTCAATCCCAGAAGAAAAGGGGAAGTCAGCGCCACTACTCATATTTTCACTGATTATAAGACTTTTCTTTTCCATATTTTAACAACTGTAAAATTGGGATCTGAAATTATTTCTAAATCTAGTCTAAATGCAGCATCTTATATTGCAATAAAAATTTTTTTCTGTCTTTGTTAGCAGGTTGATATGATTGGTAAAATAAGGAAGTCTTGGCTATGTGGTTCTTTTTTTACAATTAGTTTAAATTTTTATACCTATTTTCATAATCTTTTAAATTATTTAAATTTAACCCACCATAAGCTTCACTATCTTGAGAACATTTAAAATACTCACCATTAATATATATGCCAAAAGGCAATTTCCTGTGGGTAAGAAGTTTATTAATAAACTAGAAATAGACAATAATTTTATAATTGGTATCATCAGCAATTTAATTTTTCACCATTTTTGAATTTCTGTTTGTTTGTTGTATATAAGACCATAAAGCCATTTGTCTCCTGGGAAGTAAGGAATTAAGCCACTTAGTGCCCTTGGGTTGTAAGTTGCTATAAAAAGAGTTCTGGTTACTTAGCCATAAATTGTGATGTTTATTTCAGCATATAAGAAAATTATCTTTTCTTGGCCGTACTGTCAATCTGCAATATTTAGAGGTTATATTTTTTCTTTATTATTATTTTTCACTTTCCTGAATAAACAGCCAGAACTCAGCAATATTCTAATATGTAGCATGGGAGTTTACTGATTTCATGGGATGTACATGAATCTATGGCAAGAGATGTAACTGTTGCTTTTCCTTTTCTTACTCACTAGGTGAAGGGACTGAGGTTAAAGATTGGCATTTCATTCATTTTTTTGACAGTGCTGTTGCTTTTTACATATCTTTCTATCAAGTCTGGCCTCAGTTACCTAGGTTAGAGACCTTGCTGTGTGTGTGCTCTGCCAAGTATATCAGGTTTTTAGTTTTTCTATCAGTAAAGCACTGATTCCTATCCCTAGGATTTTATCTACTTTGTCAAGAGGGAGAAATTGCTTACTTGGCATCACATGCAGTTTGAATTCACTTTGTTTTTGTTTTGTTTTCTTTTGTTGTTTTCGAGACGGAGTCTCCCTCTCTTACCCGGGCTGGAGTGCAGTGGCGTGATCTCAGCTTACTGCAACCTCCACCTCCCAGGTTCAAGTGATTTTCCTGCCTCAGCCTCCCGAGTAGCTGGTACTGCAGGCATGTACCACCACGCCTGGCTCATTTTTGTATTTTTACTAGAAATGGGGTTTCACCATGTTGGCCAGGCTGATCTCAAACTCCTGACCTCAAGCGACCTGCCTGCCTCGGCCTCCCAAAGTGCTGGGATTACAGGCATGAGCCACCATGCCCGGCCTGAATTCCCTTTGATTTTTAGTAGTAGTCTAGGATTTTTAATAGTCTTCTTTAATTACTGGAGTGTTCCAGAATCTTTTGTGACAGCCAACTTAGTCTTTTAAATGTTTGCATTTTACGTGCATTGTCTTGGTGTGAATAAATCTCACCTTATGCCTTGTTTTCATTACTTTGTGTCATTATTAGCTGAAATTTTAGAATAACAAATTAGTATGGTTTTAATGTTTTTTTGTAAAACTTCATTTTATCCATAATAAGTTTGGATTGTCTTATTTTATCTTTGGTAGCTGCAGCATCAGGCAATGAGAACATACAACCACCACCATTAGCTTATAAGAAATGGGGTCTACAAGATATTGACACTATTATTGATCATGCTAGTGTTGGTAAGTATTACTAATTCAAATTCTCTTGGAATTTACTTCTTACACTTTTTATTGAAGTATCTCATTTATTAGAAATGGGCATTTATTCTTTATTTATTATTATTATTTTTTAAGATGGAGCTTTGCTCTGTCACCCAGGCAGGAGTGCAGTGGCATGATCTCAGCTCACTGCAACCTCCACCTTCCAGGATCAAGTGATCCTCCCACCTCAGCCTCCCAAGTAGCTGAGATTACAAGCATGCGCCACCCCGCCTGGCTGATTTTTGTATTTTTAATAGAGACGGGATTTCATCATGTTGGCTGGGTTGGTCTTGAACTCCTGACCTCACCCGCCTCAGCCTCCCAAAGTGCTGAGATTACAGGCGTGAGCCACTGCACCCGGCCAAAATTTATTCTTATGTGAAAAAATGCATTGCCTTTAGTGAGACATCTGGAAGTTAGTTCAGATTCAGATCATCATAGGCATATATCTTTAAAACTGGGCATGATGGCTAACACCTGTAATCCCAGCACTTTGGGAGGCCGAGGTGGGTGGATCACATGAGGCCAGAAGTTCAAGATTAGCCCGACCCACATAGTGAAACCCCGTCTCTACTAAAAATACAAAAATTAGCCAGGTGTGGTGGTGCACACCTGTATTCCCAGCTACTTAGGAGGCTGAGGCAGGAGAATTGCCTGAACCCGGGAGGTGGAGGTTGCAGTGAGCCAAGATCACGCCACTGCACTCCAGCCTGGGTGACAGAGCGAGACTCTGTCTCAAGAAAGCAAAACAAAAACAAAAAGAAATGGTAGCAGTTTTAATAAAGATTTAATTATGCCCTCAGCCACAGTATTGTACAGTTTTAAGTCACTCACTGTTTGACTAATTTTTCTACAGACAAATTTGGTCTATATAATGACCATATAAATCAGTCTTAAAAATGTAACCTTGGTCAAGTGTGGTGGCTTGCACCTGTAATCTCAGCTACTCAGAAGGCTGAGGTAGGAGGATCTCTTGAGCCCAAGAGTTCAAGACCAACCTGGGCAATATAGCGAGACCCCATCGCTTAAAAAAAAAAGTAACCTTTAAACTAGTAAAATATAGATAAAAGCAGATTTCTTCTTGCAGCCACTATAAGAGAGCTTACTGTGTTAGGTACTGAGGGTATAGAGATGTAAAGACATGCTTCTCTGTTGTCTGAAAGTGTGAGTCTAGGAGCCTGGTTAGAAGAAACACATGAGAATGGCTACAATACTACAACATAGTAATTGTAACAGACAAGGGGACCAGCTGTAGTGGGAGCAGAGGAGGACACACTTATTGTTTCTCCAGCACACCATACACTTTTATCCCTAGATCTATGTGCATGTGGGCTAGAATGCCTCCTCTGTGTTTGTTCACTTGGTCAAGTTCTACTCATTCTATGCAAACTGGACACTGGGAGAGAAAGAGCAAGGAGAAGAGGAAGGAGAGTGACTCTAAAGAGGCTAAGGATATCTGACACACAGGCCATCTTTCTATTTACTGCATAGCTCTTACATGGAATACTCTGTAATAAAAACCTATTGGTAAACATTTCAGTGTGTCTACTTTTTTGCTAGCATAAAAATGCTGCAAAATTCCAAAGTGTTAAGTTCAGTTCAGGGTAGCTTCCCTGCTCTGTTAATTAAACTTTGGAACATTGAAACTGGCTAGGGAAAATGATTGGATAGAAACTATTATTCTATTCATTTATCCCCAGCCTACAAAATGAAAAAAGGTACAATAAACGTTATTGTATGTACATCTTTATGTAGAGGTCTGGTTAATTTATTCAACAAATAAATGAGTACCTATTAATATTTGTGCTAGAAATACAAGATAGGACCCCACCCTGATAAAGCTTACGTTTTGGTGATGGGGAGACAAACAATAAACTAAATGAATATCAAACTCTTAGTGGGCATCATGAAGAAAATAAGTAGGTTATGGTAGAGAGTAAAGGAAGAGGGTGCTTTAGGTAGACTAGTGAGGAAAGGCCTCTCCAAGGACATGACATTCAGACTGAGACTTGAAGGATGAGAAGGAGCCAGCTATGGAAAGAGGTGTAGGAAGAGCATTCTAGGTAGAGGAGCATCAGGGATATAGGCCTGGGAGCCTTGAAGACCTCAGAGTGTTCAAGAAACAGAAAGGGGGTTGGTGTGACTTGACTGTAAAGAGTGAGGGGAAAACAGGACAAGGTTAGGTTGGAGATGCAGACTGGGGTTAGATCACGTAGGGATAAGGAGATCCGATTTTATTCTAAATGCAGTGGATGTCACTGATGGATTCTAAGTAGGGGATTACATTTAAACATATCTCCCTGTTTGCTGGGTAGAGAGATGCTTGTAGAAGAAAGCAAGGAGACCAGTTATTGCAATAATTCACCCAAGAGAGAATGATGGCTTTATGGTGGAGGCAGTGGAGTTGGAAGGAAGTAGACAGATTTGAGATACCTTTTGTACTTGCTCAGGGATGGTTTTGAGAAACAAGAGGAAGGAAAGAATTAAGGGTTTCTTAATTTTTAAGTTTGAGCAACGGGCTGGATGATGAGACTGTTTACTGAAATGAGAATAAGGAGGAGGAGAGGAAGAGATTTAAGGTAGTCAAATAAAGAGTTACGTTTTTACAGGTTAACTTCTGACACAGTTAAACATTCAAGTAGAGGTATCAAGTATACGAATTGGACATGAGAGTCAGAAGTTCAGGGAGGAAGCTGGGAATGTACATATAAATTTGAGAGGGAGTGGTTTACTGTGGAATGTTTCGTAGAGTTCAAGAAAAGAAGAAGGTCCATTGGATTTGACAACATGGAGTTATTTACTTACTGACTTTTGATATGAAAGTTACAGTAGAATGGTGAGGATGAAAGCCAAATTAATATAGTCTTAAGAATAAATATTTTCACCCCCTGCTGTCTAAAATCACAAACAAGGAGCATAAGAAATAGATTCCCAGTATCTCCATTTTTATGGAGTCCTGACCTCTTGCTGAAGCCTCATACTCATTTCTCCAGCTCCCTACTGAATAATTTCTACCTAGATGTCAAACTTAACATATCCAAAATCGAGTAATTTCCTCCTGTCAAACTTGCTCCTCCTTTTTTTTTCTACATCATCTTTCTTCTTCTGGTTGCTCCTTACCGTGACATACAAGGCCCAACTTTATCTGGCTTATGGTACCTCTGACACTGTCTCCTGTAGGGTTCCCCTCCCTGTTCATTGTGTTTCATCATGTAGATCTCCTTTGTGTTCCTCAGACACAGCAAGCATATTCCTACTCTAGAGCATTTAGAATTACTGCTCCCTCTGCCTGGAAAACTTTAGCTAGTCACATGGCTTTCTCCCTCTCTTCACTCAGGTCTCCTTATATATCACATTGTCAAAGAGGCCTTCATTAGTCACTCTACTAGGCCTAGAAAATTATCCAATGAGTTTGACTTTATGGAAACTTATATTGAGAGGGACTTTGATGTCTTTCAAAGTGTGGGAAGGCCTCAGACGCTCAGGGAAAATTCTAAATGACAAGGTAATAATAACTCCAGAAAAAAAAGAATGCACAGCCAAGGAAATGTAATTACAGTAAGTAGCATGTCTCAGCAGTGAGTAATGCTTATATCATTCCTAATAATAAAAACAGTGAATTTAATAAAACGTTGAGATACAAATATTTTGGAAGGATATAGGGCGAGAAAGAGAGATGTAAATAAGCCATACCACCTTAAGTTAATGAAAAATAGTGCTAAAATCAGTGACTCGAAAGATAAAAGCCCCCTAAATTCAGTACCAATGTGTAGCAATATAAAGGGCAGAAAAACACTTTAAATAATACTATAGGAATGTGGTCAGCTGTAGACTGTGGGAAATTAGTCTCAAACAGCCTTGTTGCTTCAACAAATAGATTTCAAAGGATCGAGGATGGGAAGGAAGGGTTGAGGAGGTCAGAAGGATTTTGGACCAAGCTTTATGTCCATTTGTTTGTGGTTCTTACTTTGAAACCCAGAGGTATTGTTTTTCTTAGCAATGATCAGCTATTTTGCTTCAAGAGCAGAGAATGCAGAAAGTTTAGGTCAACCAAGATTAAGATTTAGCCAGAGGAGTATGTGTGTAGGGGGAAACGAGTGTAGGGAGGTTGTGGATATTTGCAAGAAAGTGATGATGATGGAACACAAAGCTAAGCTGGATGGAAAGGGAAGTGATCCCAAGAGGTACTTGATAAATAGTGGAAAAAATAGTAGGATTAATTAGTTTAAACTCGAAATTGTGAAATTACTGCAGGGAGTTTCTGGAGTAATTGAGATGGAAAGCTAGGAGGTGGTGGTCTAAGTGTGGTAAGCTTGAAATCAAAAATACAAAGAATCTACAGTTGCTGATGACAGGATCTAAAGTGTGACATTGAAAATAGATGATTTAAGTTATAGGAAGGAAAACATCATTGGTAGCAAGGATGGAAAGGATTGATCAGCCATTTCCTTACAATAAATTAGAATCCTTTAAAAAAATTGCATATCTATTGCAAAATTGTCCTCTGGATTACTGTGTAGTAATTTATACTCCCATGTATATTGCATGGGAGTTTAAAAAGAAGCTGTTTTAAAACTTAAATTTCAATTTATGTGCCATATAGTTTGCCCTTTGATCGTGTTTTGGTGGAGTCAGGCAAAACTTAAGCAAATTTTGTAATGTAGTGAAAACATTTTGTATACTGAATCATGGATTCATTCATGACTATGAGATAGGTGTTCTGATCTTTTATAATGGTCTAGGAGGTGGGAGGGGAGTTTAAAAAATAGTCCAAGGATTTGTTTGATCACTTTAATTCCTATAAAGCCAGTGAATGGCTTGCGTATGAACTCACTCAAAGAATTTCCTTTCCTAGGACACGTCTTAAGGACGAATGCATTTTTTGACAGTTTTCAGGCAAAGGGGAGGCCTGAAATATATGTATATGAAATTTAGTAAGGTCAGGCACAGCAGCACACGCCTATATTGGCTGGGCACAGTGGCTCACACCGGTAATCCCAACACTTTGGGAGGCTGAGGCTGGAGGATCACCTGAGGTCAGGAGTTTGAGACCAGCCTGGCCAACATGGCAAAACTTCGTCTCTACTAAAAATACAAAAATTAGCTGGGCATGGTGGTGCGCGTCTGTAATCCCAGCCATTCGGGGAGGCTGAGGCAAGAGAATCGCTTGAACCTGGGAGGCAGAGGTTGCAGTGAGCTGAGATTGCACCATTGCACTCCAGCCTGGGCGACAGGGTGAGACGCCATCTCAAAAACTAAAAAAAAAAGAAGTGAATTGGTATTTGGGGATATAAGTGGACTGTATACTTCTGGTACCTCTGAGTTTCATATCTGTTCAAAAAATTAAATTTTGTTTTTATGATATTCTATAGATTATGGAAATTATAGATGGAAATTTTAATATTTATTATTATTATTTTTTTGAGATGGGGTCTCGCCCTGTTGCCCAGGCTGGAGTGCAGTTGGTGTGACCTCAGCTTACTGCAACCTCCACCTCCCAGGTTCAAGCAATTCTCCTGCCCCAGCCTCCCAAGTAGCTAAGATTACAGGCACCCACCACCATGCATGGCTAATTTTTGTATATTTAGTAGAGGCGGGGTTTCACCATGTTGGCCAGGCTGATTTCAAACTCTTGACCTCAAGTGATCCAACTGCCTTGGCCTCCGGAGTGCTGGGATTATAGGAGTGAGCCACCATGCCTGGCAGAATATTTTCTGATGTTGACTTTGTAGCTTTTAAAATGACTTTTGGTTATTAAATAAAACTAAACATTTAGCATCTTAGAATGGAACTGAAGTAAAAATGTAATGACCGCAATAACATTGTACATTCAAATCACTTTTTTTTTTTTATTAGGTATTATGACTCTGTCCCCCTTTGATCAAATGAAGACTGCCTCCAATATAGGTGGATTTAATGCAGCAATTAAAAATAGTCCACCTGCCATGTCTCAGTATATCACTGTAGGGTCCAATCCATTTACTGGCTTCTTCTATGCTTTAGAGGTATGAGTTTTATCAATGATCATGAGTAAGGCTGCTCTTGATTTTACAATTTGTCTACAAATTGGATATGGTAACTTGCTTAGCCTTAGAAGATTAAGCAGTTTACATTTCTAAATTTCAATTGAAACTAAAATTAATCTCAACTAGCTTTCTTCTAAATTCTTTAGATTAACTGAAAAGGTACTACCATCAGTATAAAAGGAAATTCTTTGTTTCTGAAGCCCTGAGTTCTTTGATAGCTGAGATGTCTTTAAATATTGGTGCAATAGTCAGGAGCTCAGGCTTGTTAATGATGCCAGCCCACTAGGGATTTGAGTAAATGAGGAGTTGTAAAGACAGAACAAGCTGCCAACTATACTTGTTATAAGTGGTGAAAATTGCTTCCTAAAATAGTGGAAAGTTGAGTGTTAGATTTGGCAGCTCTTGTTTCTCACTTAAAAAGCATGCTTCTCAGAATTGTCCAAAATATCTTTTTACTTTTATAAAAATGTGTGTGTGTATATGTGTGTGCATATATATATATTTAAAGAGAGAAAGGAGCCAGTTATGTGTAGGTGTGAAATCCATAGTCCAGCTAGAATAATGTAATCTTAATGTCCTAGTTTAAAATTTATTTGAATGAAATTACAATTTAAAGAGAGAAATTCTAATGGTAAAATAGACTAATTGTGATTTTATTTTTAAACTATAGAGTTAAAACTTTTTCTCATATTACGCCTAAAATAAACTTTTTACTGTACTCTGAAAGAAGCTGAGTTGCTAGTCCAGCCTTTACAACTTTTCAAAGCATTTTAAAGTAAGCTTTATTTAGAAAGTATGTTTGTTTCTTTGTAAGCTACTAAGTTTTCTCTTTCAAATGTTCTGTTTTTCAGGGAAGCACACAACCATTATTATCCCATGTTGCACTAGCAGTTGCAAGTAAACTCACTTCTGCTTTATTTAATGCTGCCAGGTAATTACTTAACAATTAAAATAACAAATATCTCATTTGTATCTAGCTTGCTTTTAACTTATATTTTGATAGTTTGCACTTTAAAACCCTGGAAGCTCAGTTTTATATTCTAAGTTTTCTTTCTTTTCAGTGGTTGGCTTGGTTGGAAAAGTAAGCACGAAGAAGAAGCTGTCCAAAAGCAAAAGCCGAAGGTTGAGCCAGCTACCCCATTAGCTGTAAGGCAAGTCTGTCATGCTTCCCAAATTTTAGTCCTTTTAGAAAGGTACTGTTAAATGTATGGTCTTTCCGTGTGCTTGGTTGATTTGCTGATCTTGTCTTTGGAACTTCTGAAAGCCATTACAGTGGAATTTCTTTTCCCACTAGAATGTAAAACTCCATGTGAAGAGTGATTCTTACCTGTTTTGTTCACAGCTTTATCCCTGTTATATACTAGGTATTCAAGATGTATTTCTTGAGTGTGCTTTTTAACAAATAAACTTAGCTTAGTTGTAGGAGAATTAATTCAGTGATAGCTGTTAAATTTCTTTTAAAAGTTTAGATAGTTTGTTACTAAGTTGTATAAACTTTAAAAGTACTTAGTGATTTCTTTTTAAAAAAGTCATCCTAGTGGATTGCGGTGGCTCACGCCTGTAATCCTAGCACTTTGGGAGGCCTAGGTAGGCGGATCACTTGAGGTCAGGAGTTTGACACCAGCCTGCTCAACATGGTGAAACCTTGTCTCTACTAAAAATACAAAAATTAGTCAGGCATGATGGCATGTGCCTGTAATCCCAGCTACTCCGGTGGCTGAGGCAGGAGAATTGCTCAAACCCGGGAGGCAGAGGTTGCAGTGAGCCGATATTGCACTGTTGCACTCCAGAGTGGGGGACAAGAGCGAAAAACTCCATCTCAAAAAAAAAAAGTAAAAGCAGGAGTCCTGTATTCAGGCACTCTTTAAACAGACTCCTGTCCTGTGCTTCCTTGTTTACTTCAGTAGTGCTTTAGAATGTGTTAGTATATTGGTGAGTTTTTTTTGGTGGAGGGAGCATGATTTTTGTTGCTTTTTTTTTTCATTATTATTTTTTAGATAGGAGCATGTTTTCTAATGTTTGGTTTTGTTTTAAAATCATTTTTTATTACCTAATATAAAGTACCACCATGAAGGGAAATAGAACACCTCCTCTTTATGGATGTTCTTCACCTAAGAAGAGCCAACTAATTATTAAAATTTATCGAAGTATAGCTTCTAAGTTTTTTTTCATCTTTTTAAAAAATACATTGTAACATATCACATTTCCTAATATCAAGAGTCAATAAATTAGTCACATGGCCCTGTGCGTCTCTAATAGATGTAACAAAGGTTGGGCACCTTTGTTTCAGGGACTTTTCTCTAAATGAGCTTTCCTAGTTCTCTTTTAGTACTTCTTTACTTTTATTTTACTCACAATTCTAATGAGGTTGATTATAGAACAACAGAAGTTTAGAGATAACTATTTAGAAAAAGGAAGGTTTTTGCTTCAGGCAGATTGGTGTCAGCAGGATGTCATATCTTGCAAAAAAGAGAAAGATTAAGAAGAAGAATTTAAAATAGACAAAAGATGCCTGTGTGGGAGCATATTCTAAAATTTAGTTGATGGTGAGGACATTGTTTTCTGTGACATGCCTTTTAATCAAATATAGTTATACTTTATATTCTCTAAAGGTATAGGGTTGTGGGTATCTATTGAAAACCTACATAGGACTGTGGTTTTATTTCTTTTATGTATTTTATATTACAAATGTCAGTTGTGATTAATAAATTAACTATTAATCCAGGTAAAATTCATATTTCTTTATATAAAAACAGATTCAGCCTATTTCATTTATGCATTTCGTTATTCTGTTATATGTTTCTGAACTGGAATGTGATTTGAGCATTTTATTTTCTTTTAAATATCAGATTTGGACTTCCAGATTCTAGACGCCATGGTGAAAGCATATGTCTGTCTCCATGTAACACACTGGCAGCAGTAACAGATGATTTCGGCAGAGTTATTTTATTGGATGTAGCTAGAGGAATTGCAATACGCATGTGGAAAGGTACTTCTTACAAAAATCCAGAAAAACAATTAATTCACTTTTTACCCCAATAGTTGAGCAATGTTATCATCCTTCAGCTTCTGGATGATAACTCTGTTTAATTCTTCATGTTTACATTTTCTTTTTTTGACATGAACTCAGATCAGCAACCACTTGGTCCAGTAGTCAGTTGATACATCTTTTAGGTTTGATCACCTCATAGCCATGTTTAACCTTTGCCTTTTGCACTTTCTTTCAATTCTCACTGTTATTGTCAATTTCTGAGTTCAGTTTCTTGCCCCTGCTACATTTATTCCCCTTCACAAAGCCATTCTTGAGCCAAATGTTCTCCCCAAATCTATAATGCCAAGTCTTTCAGATTTAAGATAGCAAAACCCATCTTCACTGACTTGACTTTTATATCCATATGCTTGGGTCAATCCACCTGGTGTGTCAATAAGTATGTCACTTAGGAGTTTCCTTCAGCTATTATTAACAGACCTGAGTAACAGACCACAGTATCTTCAGGAACCCAGTCTTCTTCCTTGTAGCTTCCCCACTCAAGGTTCTCATAGACAGCCCTCTTATCTGCATTCCGGGAAGGAAGCAGAAAGGAAGAAGGCTTCTCCTGGCAACTGAGTCAATCTACTTTGAAGATATTCCCCGAAGTCCCTTCAACCATTATCTACATTAGCCAGGACTTAGTGACATGGCCTCATCTAACTATAAGGGAGACTTGAAAATATCTTTTAACTAGGCACATTGTGAATAATATCTCCCTGACTAAGAAAGAAGGGATGATTACATTATTTAGAATCATCTGGAATAGTAACATGTCAGCATAGACCACAATTTATGGTGCAATCTTGTCTATCCTGTAAAATGTGAGGAATAATGAATGGATTGAGGTCATTCAATTACTCTGGACCAGATTGAAGCCACTATCACCTTCTTGCCAAAGAACTCCTGCAGTGATAGACAGAGGCAGTCTTTACCTACTACATGTCTCAGTATCTGTAGAAATAGTTTTAATACTGCAGATACATCATTTCTCCTTGGTGTTTGTCTTCTGAAACAATATCAAAGGTATGTTCTCAGCAAGACTTTTCTAAAATACGAAGACGAAGCTGTACTGACTGCTCCAAATCCACTATGGCAATCTTATTCCTTGCATCATTGCCTGTCTGCAGCTAGTACAGCCAGTTTTTCTTTCCATTGTGTCCTTGGAAAGAAGGATCAATTGCCTATGTGAGGGACCACCCTAAAATGGAAAATAGCATCAGCTACGTCTCCCATGCAAGAGCTTCCTCCCATCGTCCTGTAACCCATATTTTCTATCTGCATGTCACCAAAAGGCTTGTGTGGGAAGGGAAGGGAATGAGAGCAGGAGGGGTAATCAGGTGGCTTCAATTATATCTATAATCTTTTCTCTTTTTTTTTTTTTTAGAGAGTTTCGCTCTTGTTGCCCAGGCTGGAGTTCAATGGTGCGATCTGGGCTCACTGCAACCTCCACCTCCTGGGTTCAACTGATTCTCCTGCCTCAGCCTCCCAAGTAGCTGGGATTACAGGCATGCGCCGCCATGCCTAGCTAATTTTTTGTATTTAGTAGAGACAGGGTCTTACCACGTTGGTCAGGCTGGTCTCGAACTCCTGACCTCAGGTGATCCACCCGCCTCAGCTTCCCAAAGTGCTGGAATTACAGGCATGACCCACTGTGCCCAGCCAATATTTTCTTTTTAAAGAGAAAAAGTGGTCAGAAGTAAATATAGCAAAATAGTAAGATTTGATAAGGCTGGGTGATAGACTGGTTATTATTTATTATCATTTTTTATTTAAGATATTCCATAATAAAAAATATACTTTTATAGCTTTTCTTACCCCACCCCCACCCCCACCCCCACTATTCCAGAGTACTTCAGGAGGCTACTATGGAACCTAGATTAAGTAATTAACTTCCCTTTACCTCTGTCTCTAAGGGTACCGCGACGCACAAATTGGATGGATTCAAACTGTAGAGGACCTCCATGAAAGAGTGCCAGAAAAGGCAGATTTTTCCCCCTTTGGAAATTCTCAGGGTCCAAGTCGAGTAGCTCAATTCCTTGTGATCTATGCGCCAAGAAGGGGAATTTTAGAAGTGTGGAGCACACAGCAGGGACCTAGAGTAGGAGCTTTCAATGTGGGGAAGCACTGCAGGTAAGCTGCAAATGCTGGCATTGTGCTGGTTACAAAATGAAATATAGGAATGCTTTTATTAAAATAAAGCTTTACTAAAGCTGCTTATTAGATTACAAGTTTGAGAATTACAATATTCTTTATTGTGGTTTTTCCTGTGAGTGCCTGGCATGTACTTAAGTATTTAATAACAAAAAAAAAAAATTAAAAATGCCATGATAGACTGCTGAATTAAAGTTAGCTTGTTGCTAATGTTTGTCCCTTACTTATGCTGGGAAGGCTCAAAAGGAAAGGTTCCTTTTGCCCTAGTCATAAGTGAGGTGAATGCTTTGTTTGCCATTGAAACAGGGGCCTGATTGTGTTCATTTAATTTTTTAGAATCTTTCAACAAGGCAGAACTCTGCTGGTTGAGCCCTGCTTTACTTATGTACTTGCTATCAGTATTTAGTTGCCTTATTAATGCTCCTAAATTGATAATAATGTTGGGTTTCCTAGCTATAATAAAAGCACCTTTTGGCATTTCTCCTTGTTCTAATATTTTTACCATATTGGTATGTGATTTCTTTAGGCTGCTGTATCCTGGCTATAAAATAATGGGTTTAAATAATGTTACCAGTCAGAGTTGGCAGCCACAGACTTATCAGATCTGTCTGGTTGATCCAGTGTCTGGAAGTGTGAAAACAGTGAACGTTCCCTTCCATTTAGCACTGAGGTAAGGTGTGTCCAGTGTTGCTGATTGACGCTCCTCTGCTAACTTTTCCTAGTTCCTAGGTTTGTTGTACTCTCTTTTGTAGTTGCTATTTTGTTGTTTCCTTTGTCTTTAGACTGATATCTTTAAAGTTAAATAGGAAATATATAAAGGAAAAAAAAGTTGGAGTGTGTCAGAATTAGAAAGAAAATAATTTCACATTCTGTAATAATTTGTTATATTTATTGGTTTAGTGATAAGAAGAGTGAACGAGCCAAGGATATGCACCTAGTGAAGAAACTAGCAGCCTTACTGAAAACAAAATCTCCCAATCTTGGTAGGTATTCTCTCATACAAATAATAAAGCATATTGTTCTATCATCTTTTAAATCAATAAAATATTCTGAATGGAGCAATCAAAATAATGCATGGATGAGCTTATTGGAATTGCTCTGTAAGGCTGAAGTGTGCCATCTAGAGGGTGTTATAATTCATAACAAGAAAACATTAATGTGAGAGAACCCAAAAATCCTTTAGACTCACTGATAGTACAGATATGTTCATTTTCTTTCAGAATAATGTTTCACTGTTATAAAAATTAAAATTTTACTTTGATTATTTTTTTCTTTATAGATTTGGTTGAAACAGAAATAAAGGAATTAATTCTTGATATTAAATACCCTGCAACCAAAAAACAAGTAAGTGTATATAATACACGAACTTTCCTGCTAGTAGCTATAATACATCCTTCTTAAGAAAATCTTTATTTTCCTATTTCCCCCAAACATGAGAGGCTGAAGTCTTCTTTTCACATTTTTATTGTTTATCCCTTTCTTTATTTTCAGATAGAAGTTCCTGTTGTCTCTTTAAAAAAAAAAAAAAAAATTAATATTCATGCCTGTAACTGTAATCCTAGCACTTTGGGAGGCCGAGGCAGGGGGATCATGAGGTCAGTAGTTCGAGACCAGCCTGGCCAACATGGTGAAACCCCGTCTCTACTAAAAATACAAAAAAATTAGTTGGGTCAGTATTGGCGGGCGCCTGTAATCCCAGCTACTCAGGAGCTGAGGCAGGAGAATCATTTGAACCTGGGAGGCGGAGGTTGCAGTGAGCTGAGATTGCACCATTGTACTCCAGCCTGGGTTGCCATACATCTGAGTGTGTTTTATATACACATACCTACACATCCCTACATTATATATATTATATATATAAAATAGTAAATATGTGTGTATGACCACCTACCTTAGGAAATAAAATCTTACCAGGAACTCTAAAGAGCCCTGAGTGTCCCCCCTCAGTCCCATTCCCTTCTCCCATCCCTAAGGTAACTGTAATTTAGAATTTTGTGGTTCTTTCTTTTTCTTTACTTTATAGTTACGTCATTCCTGTGTGGCTCCTTTGAAACCTGTTGATGCATTTCCTGCCTTTTCAAACTTTATATAAATGCAGTCATGCCCTATGTCTTCTGTGACTTTAGTTTTTCCTTCAGGATTATGTTTCTGTGTCATTCATATTGGTGTATGTAGTTATAGTTATAATTGATTCATTTACTATGCCATACAAATTCTGCTCACTGACTAGAATTTATTTACACTCCTGTCAGTGAACGGTTAGGTTGTTTCCAGATTTTTGACATTACAAATGATGCTATGCTTATCCATGTACATATTTCCTCATTCACATATGCAAGAGTCTCTCTGGCGTTTATACCTAAGAGTGGAATTGCTAGGGTGTGAGCTTCTTCAACTGTACTAGTTGATGGCAAATTGTTTCCCAAAATAGTTGTACTAATTTATATTCCCACCTGTTCTGTATGAGTCCCTGTTACTCCACAGCCTCAATATTCCATGGTATTGCCAGACCTTTACTTTTTGCCAGGCTCGTGGTTATAATATGGTCACCACTGGTGATTTCTTTTACTCCCACTCCTCCTATCCAAACCCCTCATAATGCTATTCAAGTCCTAACTCCACAAATTCTTACATAATGCTTCGATCCCCATGGATAACTCTGAACTCCTACTCTACTTTCAATCAAAACTGGATAGTTAATGACTACTTATTTTCTAATTATTTCATGTATGTTAATCATAGCTTCCCCGACTTTTTTTTCTTTAGGTCTTTTAAGCTCCTTCAAGTAGGAACCTTACCAAATACTTGATTTTTATAATTCACAGCATCTAAAATAATGCTACTGTGAAAATGTAAGAAAAAACTGTATCACAGGTTTTTTCTTTTCTCTTACACAGTCACTCGACACTTCTGCCACTAGATGTAGGGTTTTTTTTTTTTTTCCCACACACCAGTCAATTTCTTTGGCAGATTCTCCAGCTAACACCAGCTGGTTATTCTCTAATTCAGTTCGATTCTGACACCATCTACCTGGAGATAGCATGAGATCATCACGACAGGTTAAGAGCTCAGTCCCACAAGACTTCTACCTACTTCAGGTACCAGTCACAAGTAGTTGGTTGTCAGCTATATTTCTGACTGTCTAGCTATAAATTAGGGTTACTATGACCCCCTCTTTGCGGTTGATGAATTTGCTAGACCAGCTCACAGAACTCAGGGAAACGTTTTACTTGAACGTTTACCCATTTATTATAAAGGATATTACAGAGGGTAGAGATCAACAGCCAAGTGGAAGAGGTGCATAGAGTAAATCATATGGGAAGGGTTGCAGAGCTTCCATTCCCTCTCCTGGCAAGCCACTATTCAGGAACCTCTACACGTTCAGCTATCCAGAAGCTCTTCCAACCCTTGTCCTTTTGGGTGTTGATGGAAGCTTCATTATATAAGCATGATTGATTACATCATTGGCCATTGGTGATCAACTCAGTCTTCCAGCTCCTCTTGGCTCCCCAGAGGTCAGGGGTTGGGCTAAAAGTTTCAATCCTCAAATACATGGTTGGTTCCACTGGTAACCACCCCCTTATTCTGAAGCTCTCCAGGAGCCTGCCATGAGTGGCCTCATTAGAAAAAAAGAAGCTTCTATCACCCAGGAAATTACAGAGGTCTTAGAAGCTCCCCATCAGAAATGGGGGGTCAAAGACCAAATGTTAGAACAAAAGGTTCTCCTAGCACCTCTGTCTACAAAGGGATTAAGAGCTCTGACTGATGAACTAGGACAGAGACCAAACACTAGAACAAAAGAAACTCCTAGCACCCCCATTGTTCAAGAAATTATAGGAACTCTGTGTCAGGTACTGGGGCCATAGACCAATATGTATATTTCTTATTATTTTATAGCTACATACATGGGAGAATTCAGTGAATAGTGATACATGGGAGAATTTAGTGAATAGTGATTTCTGTTGCAGTCCGTTTTTAAAACACTTTATTGAGTTATTGTAGAACAGAAAAGCCTTTGTGACTTTTAATTGTGTCTTCCATTCTACTGACAATGCTAATTGGCTCTCATTTTGCTCAGGGTAAAGTCTCTGTTATTAGAGATGACATGATGATGACAAAGTGGGCATCTAGAGAGGCATATTGAGAAATCTGTAGTAGAAAGGGTCATAACCCACACGGTTCTTCTCATTTTTATGCCATCTTTCTTCTTATCCTAAATCATAGAACAACAAAATTGGGAAACCAGCATAATGCAAAATGTCTTCTTGATTTTCTTTTTTTTAATGGTACTTCTGAATCATGTATGAAGCTGTGAATTTTATAAAGAATGCTAGAAAACCCAGTAACAAAAGTTATAGGTCTTCTAGGACTGACTAAAGGGAAGGAAGAAACCAGTTCAGGCTTTGGGAGACTGTTGAATAATGGGGAAGAAAACAAGCTAGCTGCTAGCCTGGGTAATCATAGGCAGAACTGGAGCAGGTTATGCTTGTCCTGGGTTCTGGCCTCTTACAGTCACTTTCTTTATTGTTTCCTGGTAGTTACTTCATTATAGGCCTGACCAACATCTTGAGCCACCCTCTAAGCCCATTTCTCCTCCACAAACACGCAGAGGTTATTGTGTTATGATCGGATATTTGTCTTATCCCACATTCTCAGCCTACTTTTTGAACTATTTAATCTCATTAATTAAAACCCAACTTAATGTGCTAATATGAAAGGATAAATATGACCTTTAACTTCTGATAGTTGCTACTTTAGGCATGAAGAGATATTTTGGGACTGGTTATGAAGAATCTTAAATATCTATGGGGGTGGGGAGAGGGAGGTAGGGAAGGGTGGGTACTGTATTCATCTAGCAGGGCCTATAGATTCTGCCTGCCATGCACAAATGCAATAATTAAGGTATAACTAAGTTTTTGGCAGCTTTTGTTATTGACATGACAATAACCTCTGCTTTTCGTTTATGCCTATATAGTATAGGCATATTCAAACTCTTCTTATTGGTAAATAGCTTTATCTTTGTTTCTGTTTTGATTTGGCTATTCTGTTAAGTAGCAGTTGCCTTCTAGTTGTTTTATTCTCAGCCTGGATTTTTGTCATTTATGTCATATTTGGCATGACATGAAGTTGATTGTATATTACTTAACAACGCAACTTGAGATTTAATATATGTACACTAAAACATCTTAAATATAGAGCTTCCCTTTGAAATTTGGGGTAGTGAAAGTTTGGGCATAAATATAAGATTTAAAAAACAAAATCACTGCCTTATAATTACTAGAACTGTTCAATATCTTTCTCCTAGGCTTTGGAAAGCATTTTGGCAAGTGAACGTTTACCATTTTCTTGCCTTAGAAACATCACTCAGACTTTAATGGACACTTTAAAAAGTCAAGGTAATAGGGTTTGTACTGATTGGAGGTTATGTTCTTAACTCAAATTTTGTAACTCTGATTATAGAAAGCTATTGACTTTGTGATACCATCATGTTACTTTAATGTGGAAGTAATATAGATATAAGAAATTAAGAATCTTATTTATTCCCTATTTAATATATGTAGTTGATCTTCATCTAAGCTGTCTTTGAATGTATTGACTGTTATTGGGAAGTTGTTTTTAATTGTGAGGAAAGATGTCAGGATAGAATGATAAGTGGTTATTCTGATATAGCTTTGTATTAATGTTCTATCAGTGTATCAGTTTCCCTCGTGAACAGAGTTAAGGACTTCCAGAATCACAATCAACAATCAGATTATTATTTCTGAATTTTCTGGTCATTTTTTGATATTCAAAATTTGTCTGTACTATCACATTGTTCTTTAAAATCCATCAGTCCGTCAAAATGTATTTGTCTGAAAAAGGATTACACTTGAAACTTGAAACTGTGGGGTTGTAACACCATATTCCATCCAACTGAACTAGTAAAAATTCACTTTATTCTGAATTCCTAACATCAGTTAAATTGTGTGCAGTGGACTGATGTCATCTAGTTGTGACTTTTGTTTGTCATATTAATTATGTAAAACCAGCTTTGTGTTTTAGTTGTGTGTAAGACAGCTTAAAGTGGCTTAATACACAAATTATAATTTGTTCTTTCAGGACTTCAAACATGCTAATTTTGAGACTCTTTTTCAACCTTTTTTTTTTAACAGATACATAAAACTGACATTGGCAAATAGTGAACTCCTTTAGCATACACCACTTGTCAGAAATAAATCCCTCTTTTAAAAAGCGTGGTATACTTACAAAGCCCTCCCACCCCTCAAGGCATTCACAACATCCCAAAATTTATTAAATGAAAAGTTATCTTCCACTGGCCTGGTAGTAAACCAAACACCATTGTTGGAATTCCATAAAATCATCAGTTTCAAGTTCTACATAAACATAAGATTCCTAAAAACTTTAATCATTTTGTGTGGTCAGTTTTATTATGGCTATAAGAACTTGAACAATATTCCATGATACTGTATTTCAAATAAGATTTTGAGGGGATTATCAGTGTCTCCCTTTTTAAAGAATAAATATTTCTTTTATATTAGATATAAATATTCATACAGTATATGAATTATGTAGTCAGGGAAAATATTTTCAAAGGTATTTCCAGATAATTTCTTTAAATTTTAAGTATTAGATGAAGATATTTCCGCTTCCTTTTTTATCTCCCTACTTTTAGAGCATCTTATTTTATTTAAAAAGTTAGACATTTTGTCATGACAGAAAAATTATTTTTGCTTTCAAAACCTGGTATAGCTTAAGCATCTCAGTATTTAATACATCAGAGCATCAGGGAATTACATAATATTGAGAGATTTAATGAAAGCAAAGCCTGTTTATGAGTCTGTTAAATATATCTCTTATATATACTTTTCCTTCTGCCTTTTAGAACTTGAGTCTGTTGATGAAGGATTGCTACAGTTTTGTGCCAATAAACTAAAACTGCTGCAACTCTATGAGTCTGTCAGTCAATTAAATTCCCTTGATTTTCATTTAGACACACCATTCTCTGATAATGTGAGTAATCCCACATTTTATATTATATAAAATAATCTCTTTGATTAGTTTTACTTTTTAAAATTAGTAGTAAAGAAGTAGAAAATTAAGAATTTTTTTTAAAGCTTTAAAGGTATATTTTCCTTACCAAGCCCCCTGCTAGCTCTCTGTGCTTTGCTGCTATATTTATATTATTTATACAAGTGCTGAGATTATAGGCATAAGCCACTATGCCCAGCCATGATATGTTTTTGTACATATAGTATATAAAAATAGTTTGAAAGCCTAGCAGGTTGTATCCCTGAGAGCCACATACAGGACTTATATGTAGATACAATGAGAATATTTTTCTATGTTTTTATTTTATAGTGTTTACGCTGCTTTATAATTAAGCATTTAAGTTCAATATTTAGTTTCCTCAGAATAGTAAGAGTTGCGTTTGACACCCTTTTAAATTTTTTTCTGATTATACAGTAATACATGTTTATTAAAATTCTAGCATTTGCCAAGGCATAGTGGCTTGCACCTGTAACCTTAACACTTTGGGAAGCTGAGGTGCGAGGATCACTTGAGCCCAGGAGTTCGAGAGCAGCCTGGGCAACATAGTGGGACCCTGCCTCTACAAAAAAAAAAATTTTTAATTAGCTGGATGTGGTGGTGCACACTTGTGGTCCCGGCTACTCAGGTGGCTGAGGCAGGAGGATTGCTTGAGCCCAAGAAGTCAAGGCTGCAGTGAACCATGATTGTGCCAAGGCACTCTAGCCTGGGTAACAAAGTGAGACCCTGTCTCAAAAAAAAAAAAAAAATGCTAACATTCTAGAAGATAATAAAGTACCCTCAAGAAATATCCTAAAATGGTACTTTTAATACCATTTCTTTTAGTACCTACCTCTAGTACCATGTTTGGTTTGGTACCAAACATGCAGTGTTTCAAAATTATAGTTTACTTTATTTAAATAACTTCCTACTCATGAAACGTGATTTGTAAGTAAAGTTTTAAGCAGAATACATGATAGGTATTATATTAATTAAAAAGTCGACTTTTGCTTACAGCCTTGAATTTCAGTTCAGATAATGTGGGTGATAGATGTGGAATGTTGTTTTGTTTTGTTTTCTGTTTTAAAGGACTTGGCTCTGTTACTAAGGCTTGATGAAAAAGAACTGCTTAAGCTCCAGGCATTACTAGAGAAATATAAGCAAGAGAACACCAGGACAAATGTTCGATTTTCTGATGATAAAGATGGTGTGTTGCCTGTAAAAACATTCTTGGAATATTTAGAATATGAAAAGGATGTGCTCAACATAAAGAAAATAAGTGAAGAGGAATATGTGGCTTTAGGTAGGTAAAATAATACACTGGTCTTTGTATGCCTCTTCTTTTAGAAGAAAACATGGTAGGAACATATAGCATCTCAGAGATTCCATTTGTTTTGAAATTTAAATAATGAAAGGATTTAATGTACTGTATTTTTTGGCCAACAAAAGATACTCTGGTCAACAGGTTGTATTAATGAGTATACTAAAGAGACAATATTGGATCATGATTTGCTTTCTGCTTTAATAAATCAAGCAAATTGAACAATTAATTTCTCTTCCTTCATAATGTTTTGTTTCTCTGGAATTCCAGATTGTGATTCAATAAGATTGTTAGTCCAAATGGTAAGTAGTCATTGATTAATGTGCTTTGTTTTTCTTCTACCAGGTAGTTTCTTTTTTTGGAAGTGTTTGCATGGAGAAAGCTCCACTGAGGATATGTGTCACACTTTGGAGTCGGCTGGTCTTAGCCCTCAGCTGTTGTTGGTAAGGTTTTTTTGGTTGCTGGATGCTGTTCTTCCTTGTGAATGTCACCCAGAAGTGTCAGTCTTCTTTTTTTTTTTAACTATTGTCTTTTAGGATATCACAGAATGTCCATGAAAACTTTCTAAAAATGATCAAAGAAAATTTTAATCACCATATTTAATAGAAGTAATATTATTTATTTTTCTTATACCCTGTAATTTTTTTTTTCTTTTACTTTGAGAGAGAGAGAGAGTCTTGCTCTGTCACCCAGGCTGGAGTATAGTGGTGTGATCATCGCTCACTGTGGCCCCAACCTCCTGGGCTCAAGCCATCCTCCCATCTCAGCCTCCTGAGTAGCTGAGACTACTGGGCAATTTTTTTTTTTACTTTTGTGGAGATGGGGGTCTCGCTATGTTGCCCAGCTTGTCTCAAACTCCTGGCCTGAAGCAATCCTCCCCGCATGACCGCTCAAAGCTTTTGGATTACAGACAAGAACCACCATGCCTGGCCAATTTTCTGTAAATGTTAACAAGCATATCGTATAGTTGGCCTAAAATAAGTTTAGAATCTGTGTGCACCCATCTATATGCGTGCATTTACAGTGGAATTGGATCATCAGTAAAAAACTGTCATGTTACAATGAAAAATATCTTAAAAACAAAATAAGCTTCCCATAAAGCAATGTGGAATTGTTACCAAACATTTTCAGACTTTGAATATATATTATAATGTAATCTCTAATATAACAAATATAAAACAAAAGAATCATCCAAGGAGGAAATACAACACTAAATTTTTACCCTTTCTGAAAAAAACAAGGAAAGTTACCCCATCTTCCTTGTTCTTCTTTGTTATTACCTATCCCCTACACATGCATGCATACACAGTTGTCCCTCAGCACCCATGGAAGATTGGTTCCAGGAACCTCCCCCTCCATTACCAAAACCATGGATACAGAAGGTCCTGATAAAAAATGGTGTAATAAAAAATTAGCCAGGCATGGTGGCATGTCCCTGTATTCCCAGCTACTCAAGAGGCTGAGGCATGAGGATCCCTTGAATCAGGGAGATCAAGGATGTGCTGATTGCACCTCTGCACTCCAGCCTAGGTGATAGAGTGAGACCCTGTCTCTAAAAAGCAAAAAAGTTAAAATGGTGTGGTATTTGCATGTAACCTATGCACATCTCCTGTATACCTTAAATCATATCTAGGTTACTTATAATACTTTCTGCAATGTAAATGTGTAAATTGTTAAAACTGTACCGTTGAGGGAATAATGACAAGAAAAAAGCCTGTACATGTTCAGTATAGATGGAACCGTCCATCTTTTTTTTTCTGAATATTTTTGACTCACAGTTGATTAAATCCACAGATGTGGAATGCATGGATACAGAGGGCCAACTGCATACTCTTTCACACACCCCCATTTACATGTTATATTTTGGCCAGGATTTGGGCATCCTACCTCTGTGAGCTTGTTGATGGTTTAATGTGTTGTTTTTATTATGTATGTGTCTGGTTTTGGTATCTGGGTAATGTTGGCCTCATAGAATGAGTTTGGAAGTATTCCCTCCTCTCCAATGTTGTGAAATAGTTTGAGTATAATTGATATTAGTTCTTCTTTGAATGTTTGAAAGAATTCAGCAGGAAATTCATCAGATCTGGGCTTTTCTGTGATGGGAGACTTTTTATGACTGCTTCCATCTCGTTACCCATTACTGGTTTGTTGAGGTTTTCTGTTTCTCTACTGCTGTTGGCATAAAGCTGTTCATAATAGTCTCTAATGATCCTTTGTATTTCTATGGTATCAATTGTAATGTTTTCTTTTTTGTCTCTGATTTTATTTATTTGAGTCTTTTCTCTTTGCTTCTTAGTCTAACTAAAGGTTTGTTGATTTTGTTTATCTTTTTTAATAAAAACAACTTTTTTTGTTGATCTTGTGTAATTTTTTTATTCTCAATTTCATTTATTTCTGCTTGATCTTTATTACTTCTTTTACTAATTTTTAGGTTGGTTCTTGCTTTTCTAGTTTCTTGAGGTGCATTGTTAGATTGTTTATTTGGAGTCTTTTTATTGAGGTGTTTATTACTATAGACTTCCCTCTTTTCTTTTTTTTTGAGACGTAGTCTCACTCTGTCACCAGGCTGGAGTGCAGTGGTGCGATCTCGGCTCACTGCAACTTCCGCCTCCTGGGTTCAAGCGATTCTCCTGCCTCAGCCTCCTGAGTAGCTGGGACTACAGGCATGCGCCACCACACCCAGCTAATTTTTGTATTTTTAGTAGAGACGGGGTTTCACAATGTTGGCCAGGATGGTCTCGATCTCTTGACCTCGTGATCTGCCTGTCTCGGCCTCCCAAAGTGCTGGGATTACAGGCGTGAGCCACCGCACCCGGCCGACTTCCCTCTTAGCACTCCTTTTGCTGCATCCCATTGTTCTAGTATGTTGTATTTCCATTTTTATTTTTTCAAGAAATTTTTAAATTTTATTTTTAGTTGCTTCCTTGCCTCATTGGTTGTTCAGTAGCATGTCGTTTAATATCTGTATTTGTGCAGTTTCCAAAGTTCCTCTTGTTACTGATCTCTACTTTTATTCTGTTGTCAGATAAATACTTCACATGATTTTGACTTTTTAAAATTTGTTGAGAATTGTTTTGTGGCTAACATATGGTCTGTCCTGGAGAATGTTTTATGTGCTGATGAAAAGAATGTGTATTCTGCAGCAGCAAGTGAAATGTTCTATAAATGTCTATTAGGTCCATATGGTCTAGTATGTAGTTTAACTCTGATCTTTCTTTATTGATGTTCTACCTGGAAGATCTGTCCATTCCTGAAAGTGAGGTTGAAGACCTCTGTTATTACTGTATTGAAGTCTGTCTCTCCCTTTAGATCTATTAATATTTGCTTTATATATTTGAGTGCTCCATTGTTGGGTGCATATATACTTACTATTGTTAGATCCTCTTGCTGAATTGACTCTTTTTTCATTGTATAATTACCATCTTTGTCTTCTTTTTTTTTTTTTTTTTTTTTTTGAGACAGTCTCACTGTCGCCCAGGCGGGAGTGCAGTGTCATGATCTCGGCTCACTGCAACCTCTACCTCCCAGGTTCAAGTTATTCTCCTGCCTCAGCCTCCCCTTTGTCTCTTTTTATAATTTTCAACTTAAAGTCTATTCTGTCTGATATAGGTACAGCTTCTCCTGCTCTTTTTTGGTTTTCATTTTTATGGAATATCTTTTTCCATTCCCTCACTTTCAGTCTATGTTAGCCTTTATAGGTGAAGTGAGTTTCTTGTATGCAGTATACACTTTTATGTTGTTGAGTCACTCTATGTCTTTTTTTTATTATTATTATTCCTGGGCCTAAGCTATTATCTCCTCTCAGCCTTCCAGTCAGCCAGGACTATAGGTGCATATCACTGTGCCCAGCTCACTCTGTGTCTTTTAATTGGAGAATTTAGCCCACTTACATTCAGTGTTATTATTGATTGGTAAGGTCCTACTACTGCCATTTTGTTACTTGTTTATTAGTTGCTGTGTAACTCCTCTCTTTTTTCTGTCTTTTTTTTTATAGTTAAGTGATTTTCTCTTGTAGTATGTTTCAATTCGCTACTTTTGATTTTTGTGTATCTATTGTAGGCTTTGCACTGTGATTACCATGAGGCTTACAAAAAAAATCTAGTTACAACAAGTATTTAAAACTGATACCAGCTTAACTTTGATCACAAAACAGCAAAACCAACAAACCATAAAAAGAAAACCTATACGCATTAACTCTCTTCTCCCCCCATTTTAGCATTTTTGATGTCATCATTTTATGTTATTGTCTCTTAACAAATTGTCAGTTTTTTGATAGTTTTTTCTTTTAGTCTTCTTACTAAAGATATATGTGGTTTAAGCACCGTGATTAGAATATTAGTATGACAATCACATTAGCATCATTTTCTTTCAGTTTGGAGAACTCCCTTTAGTGTCTAAGAAATCACACATTTCTTATAGGATAGGTCTGATAGCAGTAAATTCCCTCAGCTTTCGTTTGTCTCGGGAAATCTTTTATTTCCCTTTTTCATTTCTAAGGAATAACTTTGCCACGTACAGTATTTTTAGGTGGCAGTTTTTTTCCTTTAACACTCTGAACATACTGCCCCACTCCCTCTTGGCCTGTAAGGTTTCTGCTGAGAAATCTGCTACCAAGCATATTGGATCTATCTTATATGTTATTTGCTTCTATTCTCCTGCTGTTTTCTAAATTCTCTCTTTGTCTTTGACCCTTATGAGTTTGTAAATTGGAGTATTCTTGTCTGAGTTAACTCGGATTGGTGACCCTTGACCTTCCTGTACCTGTATATTCTGGTTTGGAAAGTTTTCTGTTATTACTTATTTGAGTAAACGTTCTACTCCTTTGTCTTTCTCAGTTCTCTCTTTAACTCCAGTAACCCCAATATTTGCTCTTTTGATGTTGTTTTATAGATCCTATAGACCTTGTTCATTCCTTTTCATTCATTTCATTTCTTTCTTCTCCTCTGACTATGTATTTTTAAATAGTCTATCAACGAATTCACTGATTCTTTCTTCTGTTTGATCAATTCTGCTATTGATGCTCTATATTGCATTTTTAATTTTATTTATTTTTCAGCTCCGAGGTTTCTATTTGATTTTTTTCATTAGTATTTCAACCTTTTAAAAATTTCTCTGATAAATTTTTGAATAGATTGTGTGGGTTTTCTTAAAGTTTGTTGAGCTTCCATTTTGAATTCTTTGTCTGAGAGATCACACATCTCCCTCACTTTAGATTCTGTCTCTGGTGCCTTTCTTTGTCCATTTGGTGAGGTCGTGTTTCCCTGAATGTTCTCGATGCTTGTGGTAGTACGATGGTATTGTGCATTGATATATTAGGTATGTACTTTAGTCTTCACAGTCTGGCTTTGTTTGTACTTGACCTTCCTCAGAGGGCCTTCCAGGGATTCTAAGCTGACTGACTTTCATGTTCCCTGAGCTTGTGACCACTGCAACACTTGACATCACTCTAAGCCCAGGCTTGCTGCAGGTCTCTCAAGAGCTCTGAAGTTTATGTGGCTTTCTATCCTTCATGGACTGGGGGAAGACCCAAGGAGGGTACTGAGGCTATTTGGGAATACTGGCCAGGGACCTGGGTCCAGAAGTCTGTCCTGGTGGCCCCGACAGGTATGCATCCCAGCAGGTGTCTGCACAGGTGGATGGGTCCCCAGCTGCAGTTAGAGGGGGTAGAAGTGAGACTGGACCTCTTTAGGATCTGTGTGAAAAGGAGGCTGGGGGGCCTGTTTTGTTGGCTCAGATGGTTATGTGTCGCCCAGCAGGTTCCTGCACAAGTGAGGTAATTCCTCAACTGCAACAGGAGGGGCTTGAGCTGAGACTGGGCCCTCTTGGGATCAGCTGTGGGAATGGAGGCTGGTGTGTCTCATGTTGGCTCAGAGAGGCATGTGTCTTCAGCAAGTTCCTGCACAGATAGGATAGTTCTCCAGCTGCAGTGAGGGGGCCCTGAGGGGGATCTGCTGTGAGATAGAGGTTGGTGAGCCTGTCAGGGAGGCTCTGAGTCCTGGGCTGAGAGATATGGGTGAGTCTGCCTCTGGGTCCTTATGCAAGCAACTCTGAGCTGGGACCTCAGCTAAGGAAGGTGAGAGCAGCACCACAAGGCTACTTTCCAGCCCACTGCTGAGACCAGTGCTAGCGGGCAGACTAGCCTTTCTGCCAAAACACTAGTGTGTACAGTTCTTTCTGGACCCCATGGCAAATGGTTTTGGTGGCAGGATCATGGGCAAACAGGGAAGTAGCCAAGCCCCTTGTGGGGACTGGGCTGTTTCTGGGCTTCAATCTGGAAGTCAGTTCAGGGGGACAGATCAACCACCTTATTGTGAGAGAATATAAGTAGGTTGCCTTCTATTCCGCCATCTTGGTGACCTCAAGGTTTCTGTTACTCAAAATCTATTATTTAGACATCATCTGGTTATATGTCAATATATAACATATTTATATGTGAGATAACAGTTAATATTTTAATATGTGAATTCATAATATAAATATATTATGAATAATGTAATGTGGCATTCTTTGTTGTGACTGTTAGAATATCTTATTTTGTATTTACTAGTTATGGAGGTAGTTACCTTTATACACTAGACTCTTCTCCTGTTATATGTGTCCATATATGTGTTTCTATGTGGTAACTTAATTTATCTCTGTATTCACTTCTTTATTTTTCTTCTTTCATCTTAATGTTTCCTGCAATTTAAAATATCTATATTGCTTATAAGTGATTCTACAATTATATGATTATGTTCTGATAGTTTCTTTGGCATCCTCTATTTTATACTGATCTCCTATATACAAACAAAAGCTTGACTGTTTGGAAGTTTTAATGTTTATAGAAAACAGGAAAAACACACTCTAGGTTATAAACAGAGACTACCTGTAGGGTGGGAAATAGAAGGAGGTAACCTAGGGAGAAATAAGAAGCAAAGTTAAGCAGAGCAGGTTTTTTGTTTGTTTCAGAATTTTATTACAAGTGATGGTGGGTAGAGGAGAGGTTGGTTGGAGAGAAAAGTGGAATTCATAGTGTGAAGAGAGGTCCAAGGCATGGCATTTAATTTTTTTGGCTGCCTTAATATAAAATAAACTTCTGGCTGCCAATTTTGATGAGCATTTTGAAACTTTGTTGTTGATGGGGAAATGAACCAAGCTTTAAGAGACATTAAATCTATAGGTATGTTTAGAAATCTGGTATTCCGGCCGGGCGCAGTGGCTCACGCCTGTAATCCCAGCACTTTGGGAGGCCAAGGCGGGCGAATCACGAGGTCAGGAGTTCGAGACCAGCCTGGCCAACATAGTGAAACCCGTCTCTACCTAAAAATACAAAAATTAGCCGGGCATGGTGGCTCGCGCCTGTAGTCCAAGCTACTTGAGAGGCTGAGGCACTTTGAACCTGGGAGGCGGAGGCTGTCGTGAGCCAAGATCGCGCCACTGCACTCCAACCTAAATAACAGAGTGAGACTCTGTCTCAAAAAAAAAAGAAAAGAAAAGAAAAGAAATCTGATGCACTTTAATAACAGGCCCAGGTCAGACATTTTGTATGTAAAATTTATCAAAGTGAATCTAGTGGCAATTTAACAGTGAGCCTAAAATATAAGATAAATTCTGCTCTCCCCCAACATTTCTTTTTGATTTGCTTCCCAGTATACATGCACATAAAACAGCGAGACAGAGTTATTTTTGATTGAGTATAGAATGTCTTTGTTAACTGTATAGGCAACCAATTTTTTCAGCCTACCTAGTGGTGAAAAGCATCAGGTTATGGAGGTTAAGGGGAAGTCTAGAAGAGAGGAAATTCCCCTGATAAATAAACTAAGGTCATTCTGAATTTTGTTGGTTAAACAGGATATTGGGTTGCAAGTGGAAGGAACATGGTGTAATTATGATCCCATTGTTGTGACAGTGACTCCCCCTTATCCTCCCTCAAAAGTACGATATATGTATCTATACATATAAAGCTGTTAATGGCTTGGAGCATAGTAACCTTTATGTAGCCATTAGCATTTATTGTTGTTAACATTGTCATTATTTATGAGCATGGAAGATATATTTGTTTTTTAAAAAAGGTTTCTAATGGGTACAAAAAATAGAATAAGACCTTCTATTTGATAGCACAACAGGGTGACTATAGTCAATAATAACTGTGCATCTTAAAATAGCTTAAAGAATGTAATTGGATTGTTTGCAACTCAATGGGTAAATGCTTGATGGGATGGACACTCCATTCTTCATGATGTGCTTATTTCATGTTGCATGCCTGTATCAAAACATATCAAGTACCACATACAAATATACACCTACCTACTATGTACCCACAAAAAGTTTTTTAAAGGGTGTCTATATGGGATGAGGTAAAAAGGGAGCTGGTATGAGGAGGCCCTTGGAAGGGAAATTAGACCAAAAAAGGAAAAAAAATAGAAGGCATTAAAGAGTGTGCGTGTATGTGTGTGTGTGTATATATGTGTGGTTTCGTAAGTGTAAAAATTAAGTGCATATATAAATTTATATGTACATGTATATATCCTCATACACATGTGAACATTTTTAAAGGGGGAGAAGAGAAAATACGCATGTTATTAATAGAATCAGGCAGGTTTATTTTCAAATTTTAGTTCTTTTTTTTAAATTTATTTGAGATCTGATAAACATGGATCCAATTTTAGTTCTTTTCTTTTCTTTTTTTTTTTTTTTTTTTGAGACAGAGTCTCGCTCTGTAGCCCAGGCCAGAGTTCAGTGGCATGATCTCAGCTCACTGCAACCTCCGCCTCCTGGGTTCAAGTGATTCTCCTGCCTCAGCCTCCCAAGTAGCTGGGACTATAGGCACCTGCCACCCCGCCCAGCTAATTTTTTGTATTTTTAGTAGAGATGGGGTTTCACCACGTTAGCCAGGATGGTCTCAATCTCCTGACCTCGTGATCCGCCCGCCTCGGCCTCCCAAAGTGCTGGGATTACAGGTGTGTCAATTTTAGTTCTAACTCATTAACTGTAGTGCTGGACATGTTAGCTTTCCCGTATGAGCTTATTTCATCATTTCTGAAATCTGGATCATCATCCCTGCCACAGAAGTTATTAGGATAAAAGGAGGTGATGTGCATGTCACGTACTTATCACAGCTCCTGGCCCTAAGTCGTCCTCATAAATTCACTTCTTTCATGTGCTTCTTCTCCTTCAACTCTTTACCCTCCTTAATTTTTGAAAACTATTTGAAATAATTCATTTAAACTAACAGTCAGTCTTTTAACTTAGAGCTATTTTTCACATAAAAGTATTGCAGTATTATAATTAATCAAGGCCTTTCAGAGATACCAGTACTTACAGATGTAACACCATTTCATTAAACTTCATTATCCCAGAATTATCTGTGAACCAATTTTATAAATCTTAAAAAAATTTCAGCTTCAAGTAGGTATGCTGGTTTACAGCCATTTTAAAAGTCACTTATGTTGACTTAAGTTTTTTGGTTTAAAGTCTGTTTTTTCATAACTTATTAGTGATTTAAAAATTGGAGTTTGATACTTTTATGTACTTGCTCCTCACTGCCACGTCTGCAATACCTTTGTACAGCCAAGGCAAGGCTAAGATCCACAGCTACAGATCCTACCTCTCTCTCCAGTCAAAACCTACAGCCAAGTGGCACCTCGTTCATCAACAGCAGATCTATGCTCACGTAGTAGTAACTCCTGTCTGGTAATATGCTCCTTAATAGAGATTTGGATTGGAAGGCAATGCTTAACCCAAAGAAGGTTTGGAAACAGTGAAGTTTAAATATACAACAGGTTATAGAGAATCTCCTAGGTAGACAAGGTACCTCATATTCCCTCTCAGATTACATGATACAGCAAGCAACCACTAATTTTTTCACCTCAAGAAGCTGCATCATCCATATGCATGCATCTGCTGTCTAGGAAAGTGTAAGATTTTGTCTATGCTAAATTTTTTTTTAGACTGAAAAAGATTTAAATTTGATTTCAGTCTCTGCTCCTGAGTGTTTGGCTTTCAAAGGAAAAGGATATTTTGGATAAACCACAGTCAATCTGCTGTCTTCATACCATGCTGTCCCTCCTGAGCAAGATGAAAGGTAAACAAAGTTTGTTGCTCTCGTCAACAAAGTTTCGTGTTTGAAATGTCACAAAAAGATGGGAGAGTGGATAGGATCCCTTAACAAAAGGAGTCTGTAGTGTACAAAACATTTCACCGTAGAGATTCTTTTATGTATTAATAGAATACTCTTAATGCATTTGACTTATGCTTTAATTTATGAAATTTTATATTTTGTATCATCATAAAAAAATAACATGATTTGAACAATACATCTTAACTCAGTAAGGCAAATGGAATGGTCTTCGGGGAAGGCAATGTTTTTCTTGTTATTTTTTGTATGATTATCAGAATATTAATCTGTTAAAATATTCAACAGTTTTCAGTAATGATGAAATATTCCAAATAAGGATTTATATTGATTCAGAACAAAGATGACTAAAAGATCATAAATAAATGGAATATAAATGTTCTGAATAAAATAGATTGTTAGACTTCCACTTCATTGAGAAATACAAAAACACATCAGTAGGTAACTTAGTTTTAACATTATGTTTAACATAAATGGTTAGTCCAAAAAATTGACAGGGTAAGAGTTTATTTTTCTGTTTTCTCCTATCCCTATAGTGGCCATCGATGAGACCTGGGATTCTCAGTCTGTGTCCCCATGGTGGCAGCAGATGCGCACAGCCTGTATTCAGTCTGAGAACAATGGAGCCGCTCTGTTGTCTGCGCATGTTGGGCATTCTGTTGCTGCACAGATATCAAACAACATGACAGAGAAAAAAGTAAGTGGGTAAAGGTATGGCTTTGATCTGTACACATCCAGTAGGCTAAGGGGATGCTTTCCTTTTCTGGGGTTTTTCGGGGGGTTTTTTGGAGCGGGGAGAGGGATGAGAGGTGCTCCCCTTAATTTCTTTATTGAGAATGATGCCGTGGATACTTGAATTTAGCAGTTGTCACATGGCAGTGTCCTACTGTGTTTTTTTCTCATCTCTTGAGGACTCACATTTCCTTTACAGCTCATGGTGGATCAAATAATTTTTTCCAGGGGGTGTTAACGTTAATTTGGATGAGACACCTAAATAGGTCTGTGGAGATTCACTTAACATTGTCAGCCACTGTTGTTTATAGGCTAAATTTAATATTGCCTGCTTGAAATGTTCATTATGATGGAGAGAGATGAAATTTCAGATTGTTTTTTAGGTTGAAGAGTGCATTCTGAAGAAATATAAGTATTTTGATGGTACTGATAGACAAAACTTGGCCCTTGCCAAAGATGGCCCAGAAAACTCTGAAATGTATACTGGTTGAGTCAGGGCCATTAGTGCAGGACTCCTTATAAATATCTGAACTCACCATCCTTGCCCATGAGTCTCCAATCTACTCCTGACCCTCATGTTTCATCCAGCCAAGTAGTAATATTTGTGAAATAGCATGTATGTGTTGCTTTGTGATGTATCCTCAGTATCCATCAGCTTTCAAGTTAAAAGCTCATTCAAGTTAATATTGATTCAGAATCTTTGGCAAAGAATCACCAGTGCATTTTTTATTAGTTTTCCCAAACAGTTTTGGGTGCTGATTCAGAGGCCCTCACTGATTCCTGGGAGGCACTTTCTCTTGACACTGAGTACTGGAAACTCCTTCTGAAACAGCTGGAGGATTGTCTCATACTTCAGACTCTGCTTCACAGCAAAGGGAACACTCAGACCTCCAAAGTGTCATCACTGCAGGCTGAGCCACTTCCAAGGCTTTCTGTTAAAAAGTTATTAGAAGGAGGAAAAGGTAAGCTGAAGTTTATTTGAGCATTTGCATCCATTTTTTTATGTTACGAGGGTTTCTTTTAATAGAAATGACGGAAAGAATAGAGAAAGAAAAATACACTCAGATTTAAAAATAACAATAACCTTCTATATACTACCTTTAAATTAATTTTCTCTAAAGTCTCATTTGGTCAGTTCCACGCTCAGGAACTGCTAGGTGCTTCCCTCTGCCTAAGAAAATTGGCAGTGATTCTCAAAGAGTGGTCAGAGGACCTCAGGAGTCCTCCTTTTTTCACCTACATGTCTATATGAGACCAGATTTTCCTCTTATACTTCAACCAAAACACAGAGCACAATAGATTGAATGGCAAAACTGATTGGAGAATCCAGATATAAACCAGGCATTACAGAGATTTGCAAATATGTAAAGTAGTGCCATATTTCTCACCAAATATCCTTTTTTTTTTTGCATTGGGAAATATAACTACTTTTTTATTATTATACTTTAAGTTATGGGATACATATGCAGAACGTGCAGGTTTGTTACATAGGTATACACGTGCCATGGTGGTTTGCTGCACCCATCAACCCATCATCGACATTAGGTATTTCTCCTAATGCTATCCCTTCCCTAGCCCCGCAATCCCCCACAGGCCCTGGTATGTGATGTTCCCCTCCCTGTGTCCATGTGTTCTCATTTTCAACTCCCACTTATGAGTGAGAACATGCGGTGTTTGGTTTTCTGTTCCTGTGTTAGTTTGCTGAGAATGACGGTTTCCAGCTTCATCTATGTCTCTGCAAAGGACATGAACTCATCTTTTTTATGGCTGCATAGTATTCCTTTGTGTATCTGTGCCACATTTTCTTTATCCAGTCTATCATTGATGGGCATTTGGGTTGGTTCCAAGTCTTTGCTATTATGAATAGTGCTGCAGTAAACATATGTGTGCATGTGTCTTTATAGAAGAATGATTTATAATCCTTCGGGTATATACCCAGTAATGGGATTGCTGGGTCAAATGTAATTATTTTCATAAAATATTAGCATGTAATCAGTTTATTTTCATTTCAAAATGGACTAATAAAATATTTTTTAATTTATCAGTTTTAATTTTTAGTACCATAAAGATTGACAGCCATAACTCATAAACCAAAGTTCTGTGGGGTTGCCAGTAATTTTAAGGGGATCATGAGACTAGTAAGTTCAAGAATTGCCTGAACAAAGCATAAACTCTTAAGCTTGCTCTCCAATAACTTTTGACTTTGAATCCAACTGATTTTTCTATTTCTTTCTCATTTGCTTCCTAGATTTTAGTTAAAATGAAGCATCCGTGTGCTTCCCGTCTTAGATCTGGACCTATCCTCTTCCCTTTCCCTGCCTCTCTCACTCATGGATATCGAAATCTTACTTATCTTTCAAGGTCCAGCTCAAATGCTTCTCCTCCAGGAAACCTTTCATGATTCACTAACTGCAAATTTTCTCTTCTTCCTCCTAATATCCACAGAACGTTATTCCTCTGTTGTGAAGCATCACTTTCTACTGTCCTGGAATCATTTGGGTTCCTGTGCTTATATCTTGCAGGAACATAAACATCTTACATTTTTAGTTGTCTTTGGGGGCTCACACTTTTTATCAGCAGCTCTTTTAGGCATTTGATACTGGAAGGACTGTATATGAGGTTTATAAATACCCACATGTTTATAGATTTTTAGTTTACTTCTTTTCTCATTCTTTATAAAACTTGTGAACTTTTTCTTATTGTAAACTCACCACACTTCATGTTGCCACCTAGTGAAAGGGTAAGGATGCCATTTGAATATTAACCTAAGCAATGGAATCAGGGGCTTAATTCTGGAATGAGAATTTTCCAATGATTTAGAAGCCAAACATAAGAAATTAGATCACCCAGCACACTGCTCACATTTATTTTCACTGATAATTGTGAATTTACTGTGAAGCATTCTTTTTGTGGAAAGGTTTTTATTTGAATCAAAAGATGAGGAAAGACTGAGAAAGTTTTGGTAAACAATAGAGTATAATTTGTTTTCGATAATAAACAGGACTCGTTAAATATCTGGAACGTTTTTCAGCGTGTTTACAATTTTTTGTACTATATTGATGACTGAGACATGATATAATGCTGTTGATTAGCTATAGCTAAATTAGGCCCATAAATATTTCATATAGGCAAATTTGTTGATTATTAAAAGTAATAGGGCTGGGCATGGTGGCACATGCCTGTAATCCCAGCATTTTGGGACGCTGAGGCAGGTGGATCACCTGATGTCAAGAGTTTGCGACCAGCCTGACTAACATGGTGAAACCCTGTCTCTACTAAATACAAAAATTTAGCCGGGCATGGTGGCACATGCATGTAATCCAAGCTACTTGGGAGCCTGAGACAGGATAATCCCTTGTACCTGGGAGGCAGAGGGTGCAGTGAGCCAAGATTGCACCATTGCACCCCAGCCTGGACAACAAGAGCGAAACTCTGTCTCAAAAAAAAAAAAAAAGGAATATTTACTGGGCACAGTGGCTCACACCTGTAATCCTAGCACTTTGGGGGGCTGAGGCAGGCAGATCACCTGAGGTCAGGAGTTCGAGACCAGCCTCGCCAACATGGCGAAACCCCATCTCTACTAAAAATATAAAAAAATTACCTGGGTGTGGTGGGCGCCTGTAATCTCAGTTGCTCGGGAGGCTGAGGCAGGAAAATCACTTGAACCTGGGAGGCGGAGGTTGCAGTGAGCTGAGATCGCACCACTACACTCCAGCCTAAGCAACAAAGCATGACTCTGTCTCAAAAACAAACAAACAAAAAAGTAATATTATATTGGCCTTAGGAGCCTAGACAAATGTCATACTAACCAATCTATTTTCATTTATAATTTAAGTAAAAGTGTTTTAAGTATATATTAATTTTTTTTGTCTCTGGTAAAGTGTATTTTGAACTTAGAAAGCATATGGTTTATAGACATATGCATGTGCATTTATATTTATCTAATATTTTCTGAGAGTATAAGGATGCCCTGACATCGTAAATATCCCACTTGTTGCCCTCACAAGTTGCGTGGTAGGTAGGAACACTGCTGTAAATCTCATGGCTTTTTCGGGTCAGCTTCAGGCTGAGAAATGAATGTGGCACTTAGATCTCTTCGTAAGGAAATTGGCTCCCATTGGCAAACACTGCCCTGTGTGTTGTAAATTTTTATTTTCTTTCTTGTCTCCAAACTATAGGTGGCATTGCAGACAGTGTAGCCAAGTGGATATTTAAACAGGACTTCAGCCCTGAAGTATTAAAACTGGCTAATGAAGAAAGAGATGCAGAAAACCCAGATGAACCCAAAGAAGGTGTTAACAGAAGTTTCCTTGAGGTATCAGAGATGGAGATGGACTTAGGAGCCATACCAGGTGATACACAAATAATGAGAAATATGAAATCCAAATTGGAAAGATGTGGCCAAGTGTTCATTAAGGAAAAAAATAACATCACTGCTTTCTTCTGACTTTCAGACTTACTGCATTTAGCCTATGAGCAGTTTCCTTGTAGCCTTGAGCTCGATGTCTTGCATGCACATTGCTGCTGGGAGTACGTTGTTCAGTGGAATAAAGATCCAGAGGTAAGATTCTCGTTACCTCTTTCATGTTATTTCTGCTTCTGTGTTCATGCTATTCATATATGGGGACCGTCTAATTAAATAGCTTATTATAAACACTGGCTTTTTCCCCGTTGTAATGCCTCTGTACTAACTAGGGTAGACCTTTTTCACATATTTCCTCTTACAATCCTCCCAGTAAACCTGTGAAGTATAGATACTGTCAGTATCCCCACTCTAAAGAAAATACTAGGGCTCAGAGAAGTTAAGTTTCTTCCCTGCAGACACACAGCTAAGTAAGTGTCAGGATTTAAGCATATGGTTCTCTTTATCTAAAACCAGTGTGCTTTGCTCTACTCCCTAGTTAGGTTGTGACAAGTATATTGTTTATTTCCTTCTGAATTCCTGCATGAAATGGCCCCAACCGAACACAATATTCTTAATATTATAGTCATCGTGATAAAAGTCAAGAGTGAAGGTCCTGAGATCAACCTAGTGTCTGATTGTTCAAATATGTATTTGTCTGTTACTTCTGTATGCCTCAGAAGAACAAAGAGGCAGATCGTGACCAGGGTTGACTGTAGTCCAAGGTTAGCCTTGCTGCCCTCTCAGCTCTCTGCTCAGGCTTCATTTTCTATTGCTTTCGGTAGCCACTGTTTCTACCAGGACATTCACAGTCTGGAAGCAGCATATGGGGAAGACCCCAAGCCTGGAGGCAGAAGGCAGTGATTTGGATCCCAGCTGAATTGCTGACAAGCTTCTGGCTCAAGAGGGCCACTGAATCTCTGGCCTGTTATTTTCTACCTCCTTCCACCTCCTTTTTAAAATGAAGGTGCCATGATCAAATAAGATATAAAAACATATTGTAAATATTCCCCTTTGCCAATCAGTCCTTCACTTAGACCTCCTTAGTCAGTTCCCTGGTAAATTATTCCTCTCAAATCAAAATTCTTAACTTTATCTTCCTTATATGAGGTTGCACTATTGTAGAGAACTCTCACAGATGAACTAATTCATGCTAATATATTAATGGAAACGATACTCTTCCTTCCTCCAAAAAACTGTGTAATCACTTATATATTAAAGGAAGACATTATGAAAGTAAGTGATTTAAATAAAGGAATAGTCTTTGATCAATTAAACCTTGACCAAAAAATGATTTTAGGACAGAGGAATCCTCTTAATGCCCTTCAAATCACCCTCTTCAGTTGACTACAGCCTGAATGGCGATCATATTTAGGCTCTCTACTTAAATGTGTTACTTTTCCATTTTATTAAAAAGGAATGTTATGTCTAGAATGAGAAAATAATAATTTCTAAAATCTGAATTAATTTCAAATTCAAGTCTAAAAAAGTGGCATTTAAGAAGAAAATTCTGCTTTGTAGTATTTGTTTATAAACCAAAGGCAGCTTGCAGAGGGGACATAGACAAAGCTGACGTCAAGCCCCATGGTTGCTGCATAGAGCTTGTAATCCTCATAGCACACGGTTTCTGAACTCTTCGTTTCAATGTTCTCCTAAAATGAGGGCTGTAATAGTAGTTATCTCAAAAGGTTATTGCATATTTTGAGAAAATGAATGCATAGTGCCTAACATTTTGACTAGTGTTATCAGTATCATTAATGTTGCTTACATTTAAAAGAAGTTGTTGTTTTACTTGTTTGTTTTTCCCATTAAATATTCATCTTGCCCCATCCAACCAGTCTCAGCTCCACCATTTGACACACACAATTTTATAAGGCTCAAAACAATAAAATTACCTTCAGAGAAATTTCAACACAGTGTGTATTGGCAATGATGATATGTTTGATGATGATGTACAAGCTACAAAATTATTTAGCAGATATCTAAATTATTTAATCAGTGTTGTATACTGTATTTGAGTTTTAATATGTAAACTTCTTTGATTAGAAAGAGTTGAATTTCAAACATCCCATCTAATATTTCATATTTCCTTCCTGCTTTAATGTTTTTCTCTTTGGCACTTACCATTAACATACTAAATATAATATATTAACTTATCATGTTTATTATATAGGTCCCTCACTAGAATTTAAACTCAGTGAAGGCAAGACTTGGGGTCTGTTTTGTTCATTATGGAATCCATCGTGCTTCAAATAGGGCTTGGTGCATACTAGATACTCAATAAATATTTGTTGAATGATGAATGAATGAATAGTATCTACAAAAGTAAGCTTATTGTTTTTAAATCTGTATGAAATTCAAGTATTTATTGGAGAGAATATTGCTATGATGTTCAAACCACAGCAAATTTGAATCCAGATGTTAGCCCATATGACCGAGGAGCTTCTGGGAATTAATTATTGTATAGGTAATGTGAGTTGAAGAGGGACAGTTTATCAAAAGTTATTTCTTATCCAATAATTTCATGTTATTATTGCAACATTCTTAGGTGGTTTTATGCAGAAATTTATGTAAGAAGTCTCCATTGATAATGGTAAAACCTATTAAATGATACCTCTTTTTCTTTCTCGTTTTTTTCTCCCTGTATGTAAGGAAGCACGTTTTTTTGTTAGGTCAATAGAACACTTGAAGCAAATATTTAATGCACATGTTCAAAATGGTAAGTAAACAGATGTTAGAAACATCACTGTTTGATCTAAAAGAGGCTTCCTGATTTAACAGGATGTGAATTTAAAGATTTACAACCTATTAAATTTTTATTTGATTATCCTGCAGCCTAACATATTACTGTGTATTGGCTGAGGTGCAAGGGTCTCTTGAGCCCAGTAGTTCAAGGCTGCAGTGAGCTATGATCACACCACTGCATCCAGCCTGGGTGACAGAGTGAGACCCTGTCTCTAAAAAAAAAAAAAAAAAAACAAAACAAAAAACAAAACAAAAAAAAAACAGTACTGGCCATTTTAACTACTTGGAAAAGTGCTATTTATAAAGGGGCAAAACAACTGATAGTAATCACCACTTCTGTTCCCCAAGCAGCTGACTACTATCCCTGAGTGTAATGAAGGCAGCTGTTCTGTATCTAGCTTTCCAAGGAAAGAGGGAATCAATGATAGATGCAGAACAGCTGCCTTCATTACACCCTTCACAGATAGTGAAGGAAAGAGGGATGGATTTCTCAGGACTGCAATTCTTAATAAAAAATCTTGGTAGCCAAAAGCCTAATAAGATTAGACTGTAGCAACTATCTTGTGCGTCTTATAATGGATGTGAATATTCTCCATTAGCTGCCTTGGCAACTACTGATGCCTCCTTGAAAAAATATTGAACTTGTAAACAGATTCCATTTAATAGATAGATGGGTTTCATTATAGGAATTGAGGATATCAGCACTAAGCTAGTTAGTAACCTTAGTAAATGATGAGACTTGGTGTTAGGCTGGGTAAGAGGAGATATCACCTTATGTCTCTGTAATAAATTCTAGAGAAGCTATGTATTTTTCACCTCTATCACATGCTTGCAGGTGACATGAAATCCAGTTGCAGAAATTGTAAAATATCCCATTTTACTTGAAGAGAACTTGAAAATTACTTATTCATCTCTTAGATCTTACCTTCATCCTATATATATATATATATATATATATATATGTATGTATTTATATATTTACCTTGACTGATTTAGAAAATATCATGTTTAGATTATTCTATCTTTATTGATAAAATTAAGTTACTGCCGGACGCAGTGGCTCACACCTGTAATCCCAACACTTTGGGAGGCCGAGGCGGGCGGATCACGAGGTCAGGAGATCGAGACCATCCTGGCTAACATGGTGAAACCCTGTCTCTACTAAAAATATAAAAAATTAGCCGGGCATGGTGGCAGGTGCCTGTAGTCCCAGCTACTCGGGAGGCTGAGGCAGGAGAATGGCCTGAACCCAGGAGGCGGAGCTTGCAGTGAGCAGAGATCACTCCACTGCACTCCAGCCTGGGAGAGAGAGACTCCGTCTCAAAAAAAAAAAAAAAAAATTAAGTTACTAACTGACTTCAGACTAGTATTTCTTCAAGTCAGGCCTTTACATATTTGTACCTTTACCCATCGAGTAGGGTTCCTGGCTTCTCATAGCCTGTGATGGGCCTTACTCATAGACAGACTCAGCTACAAGGGTAGTAATAATAGCATGTGAAATGCCATGTTTACATTGCCTAATTGACAACTGTTTCAGAAATTTAATGTTAATGCCACAGCTCAATGAGTAGTGACAGGGTCTTGCTTTGTTACCCCAGTTGGAGTATAGTGGCACACATAGCTCACAATAATCTTGAACTCCTGAGCTCAAGCTATGCTATCACCTCAGCCTCCGAGTGCGACTATAGCCATGTGCCACCATGCCTAATTTTTTAAACATTTTTTCATAGGGATGGGTTCTGGCCATGTTGCCCAGCCTGGTTTGTTTGTTTGTTTGTTTTTTATATATTTTGTTTTTAATACTTTTTTATATAACTACATACTTTAGTTTGCAGTTATATGTGAAAAAAATCAATTGGCAGACATTGGGATTGTTTCTAGTGTTTGGCTGTTGGGAATAAAACTGTTCCCAACAATCTCATACATATGTTCTGTATTCATTTCTCTAGTGTATATACCCAGCAGAATTGTCGGGTGATAGAGCAGACACATGTTTAGCTTCAGTAGCTACCACCCAGCAGTTTTCCCTGTGGTTTTACCAAATTATTATACCACCAGTAATGCATGAGTGTTCCATTTGTTCCATATCCTCACTAATACTTGGTATTATAATTTAAAAATTGTTCTTAGCCTTTTTGGTGGTTATGTAATGCTGTCTCACTGTGACATTGTATTTCTCTCATAACTAATGATGTGACTCTTTTCTTCATGCTTAGTGGCAATTTAGACATACTCTTATACAGCCTAGTTCTGATTTTTATTAAATCAGATTTTAAATGAAATTAAAGATTTCATGAACTTTATAAATATTACATGAGATATAAAAAATGAAATCAAAATAGTCTATATAGTTTAATAAGCTTAAGAAAGAGTAATTTATGTGTAATAAAAGTGAGACTATATAAGCATTCTATTTACTACTTTTACTTGCTATCTAGGCATTGCACTGATGATGTGGAATACGTTCTTAGTTAAAAGATTTTCTGCTGCTACATACTTAATGGATAAGGTAAGGTAGTTTCATGTATTGACTTCTTATTTATTTGATTCTCTTATTTGACTAATATTAGAAAGATTGTTCACATTAGGCTTTGTTAGACTATTTTTTAATTTGATAATTAGATTTTACTCATACTCAGTTAAATGTAATGCCCAGTACTGGCATTTTAATGACATAAAGAAGGACTCTAAATCCTCATAAAGAGACTAATATATTATAAAAGCCTCTTAACTAAAGAGATTAGGACTGGTAGTTGATTCAAGCAAGGATTTGCATTTTATTTTAAATTAAAGTGTACAAATTTACACTTACCAATCTTTGATGTAAGGCCAAGATATTTTCTTTGAATGGAGTTGATTGCATTCTCCTTTGGTTTTCTTGTGTAAACCTCACCCATAATGTATTGCCTATCATGGCTAGATCTTATTTTTTTAAAGTTGTTGTGTAATCTGAGTCCAAAACCTTTAGATTTCTATAATTTTTATAGTTGTTCCCTCTGTATCTAATCCAAAAGACCTAGGAGTTATTCTCCTCTATAAATCTTTGCAAAGCATTCAACATAGCATTCATGGAAATAACTCCCCCTTTTTTCTCATTCATATTTCATCAGTTATGGAATTAAATTACATAATTACAGTGACATCTACAACCAGCATGAGTAGCTTTGGGAACAAGCATAACATATAAGCATAGAACTCAACTGGTGGGAGCAGAAGCTGCTAGCATGCCGACAGTACCAGCCTAGCCTCCAGCTGAGTGGCCAGGGACACTAGTTAGTGTGTTTTACAGGCCACTCAACAATGTAGATTAGTGTAGCATCAGATGAGTGGATGCTAAGAGAATTACCACTGTAAAGATAACATATTCTTTTAAATGTATAGTCACAGTCATTCCTGCATCATGAATAGCACCACAGCCAAGACCCAACTTTAGGCCACTGCTCCCCTTGAAATTACTCTCTTTGATGTTATTGATAACATTTTTCTGGTTAAATCTAACCATTCTTTCCTCTGTGCTCATCTTCCTTGACTGAATAGCTTCTTTCTTGGAACTTGCATCTTTTGGCCTTTATGATGTTGTTCTCCTATTCAACTTCACCTCTTACCCCCTCGTCTTTCGAGAGAATAACAGTAAAATGTAATTTATGTGTGTTACAATTTGTAGTTTCACAGCATTCTCACATCCACAATCACTTTTGATCTTCACTACTTTGGGGCAAAAACAGTCCTAAACCAGGAAGTAGGAAATTTGTGATTGGATAAGTCTTTATTATAATGTGTTATCTCTCATGTGCCAAGACTATGCTAGGTTCTGTGGTTGAACCAATGGAAGTTATGGTCCTGGCCCTCAAAGAGCTCACAGTTTGAACACCAGGTAAACAGACAATAGGGAGTGTTTGGAGCTCAGAAGAGGAGGAAATAAATAACAAAACAAGGGGAAGGCTTCTGACTTAAATTTTGGTGGATGCCTATATATATACCAGTAAAAAGTAGGTGAGAGGAAAGTATATCCCAGCAGTCCTGGAGATATGAGGCAACTTGTTGGATTCAGAGAACTAGAAGTAGCTTAGGATGGCTGGAACATAGGCTATATTAGAAGAAAAGAAAAGCTAAGATGAAGACATTCCTGTGCAGGCTGTGAATTTGGATTTTCTAGTAGTATGTGTAAGCTTAGCACAGGGTCTGGCACATGTGGTAAGGGCTCAGTAAATGGTAGCTATTATTTTATATTGAAGACACTGGGGCAGTTTTAAGCAGAGGAATTATATATTCAAATTTGTGTTTAAAAAGATGATTCTGGCAACAGACAAAATATCTTGGGACTGGGGTCAGCTGATCTTGGTTGTTCCAAGGCTGTTGCAGTAATCCCAGCAAGTGGTAGTGAGGTGACATTTTTCTCCAATGTCTCCTGTGAGTTTCCTCTCTTATCAAGTAGTATTTCTGAGGGCAGAACTTTTGCCTCCCACTTATTACACTGTAGACATATACAGTAAAATCTTAATAAGTACTTATTGCGTAAGGAAATTTTTCTGGGCTAGGAATATAACTCCCATGTGCTTTAGAGTGGTTTTCCTTTCTTTCTATTTCAAACAATTGTGCCTTTATCAACAAGCTGAATTCTTAGGTGTTCTTGATTAGTAGCCCTGAATTAGGCTCTGGGTTTTTTTTTTAGTTTTTCTTTGGTAGGAGTGGGATGGAGTCTCACTCTGTTGCCCGGGCTGGAGTGCAGTGGCACAATCTTGGCTCACCGCAACCTCTACCTCCTGAGTTCAAGTGATTCCCCTGCCTCAGCCTCCCGAGTAGCTAGGACTACAGGTGCATGCCACCACGCCCAGCTAATTTTTGTATTTTTAGTAGAGATGGGGTTTCACCATGTTGGCGAGGCTGGTCTCAAACTCCTGACCTCAAGTGGTCGGCCCACCTTGGCCTCCCGAGTGCTAGGATTACAGGCATGAACTACCACACCCGGCCCAGGCTCTGGGTTTTTAGGCAACACAGTTATTTGACTGTACAGATTTTTAGAGTTTTTACTTATTTAATAGTTCAGAAATATGTAATTTATATTTGAAAAGGATTATTCTTGAGCCCAGTGTGAGATTAAGTTTCACCACCAATTTAATTGCATCTACTGTTGGTAGAGCCAACAGCTAATTAATGAGGCTGTCACATTTACTTATAGCGCCATTTACGGTTTTTAAATTCGGTTACTTTTTATTATTTGTGCCATAGTAATGTCTTTTTATTTAAATTATTAAATGTTACAACATTTTATCTTTTTATTTTAGGTTGGAAAATCACCAAAAGATAGGTTATGCCGAAGGGTAAGTGAATCTCCCATAGCTAGAATTATGGTTGTTAATTCCACACTTTTATGTAGTACTTTATTAACTGTATAGGTGAACTTTGCCTTTTATCATTGTGATGACGTATCAGAAGGAGATAAGAAAAATGAAAAGAGAATACTGCATTAAGGAAACTGGTCATGAACTATGGCCAGTTTTAATTTACTTTTCCAGATTGTTAGATAGCATATTAAACTAGGTTTTTATAAGATGTTGTTCAGCTTTGAACTGTGAACAGGTTAACATGCTACCATTGCTGCATATTCCGATTAGACATTTATAATGGAAGCATCCAACATCAAATTGAAGCAGGTTCAAATGAAGTAGTTAATTTGATCTACCTATATATATGATATATATAATAACATAAGTATACAAATACAACATTAGTCTTAACTAATATTCTAATCCATGGATATGGGACTTGTATTTGACCCAAGAAATTAATAGTACTAGCTTCCATTGTTGAAGACTTTTTCTGATGTGTTCTTGAGAATGGTTGTATGACTAGAGTGTGTACGTGTGTGTGCATGCATGTGTGTGTGCATGTACCCACAAACACTGAATTATTTGCTTTGGGGATGTGAGGAAATTATAAGATTGTTGGTTTTAAAAAGATTATATGGCAGGGCGCGGTGGCTCACGCCTGTAATCCTAGCACTTTGGAAAGGCGAGGCTGGTGGATCACCTGAGGTCAGGAGTTTGAGACCAGCCTGACCAACAAGGTGAAACCCCATCTCTACTAAAAATAGAAAAACTAGCCAGGCATGGTGGTGGGCGCCTGTAATCCCAGCTACTCAGGAGGCTGAGGCAGGATAATCGCTTGAACCTGGGAGGTGGAGGTTGCAGTGAGCCGAGATCGTGCCACTGTACTCCAGCCTGGGCAACAAGAATGAAACTCTGTCTCAAAAAAAAAAAAAGATTATACACAAATGCAGTGGTCCCTTGGACAAGCCCTTTAAAGGAGTCATTGAGAATCGTCTGTTGCTCACAGCATCAATCTGGTATTTAGTTCTCAAGCTTGAGGATTCTAGTTTTGCTCAGAGGGTCGGGTTCAGTCTCTAAAAGACGCTCTGAAAGCAGACCAGGCTGTTTTCTTGGAGCTTTTCAGGTTAGATTCTCATGTGTGTATCTTCCATCTACCACGATTATTTGGCTACCAGATGCCTTAGCAAGCTGAACAGTGAGCTCAGAAGTGCCACCATCTATAGTAACTAATGAGGCTGTTTCTTTACAATACACAAAGAACACTACTTTTTAAAAGTCAATATTTATACCACTTTGTAAAGCTTGACTTTAAAATTGGTTGACAGTAAATCTAAAAGAAGGAACTTAAATATGCTAATGCCTTGACTTTCAAATTCTTGCCTGTCTATTCAGTGTGGAAAGTCAGCTGAACCAGTGTATTGTATCCTGGTTCTTGTTTGGCTGACAGTAACTATAGCAGTTTTCCTGCAGGGCCTAATTACGTTCCTTTTTAAAAAACAGGATGTGGGAATGAGTGACACAGCAATGACATCTTTCCTCGGCTCCTGTTTGGATCTTCTTCAGATCTTAATGGAGGTAAAAGAGGTGTATTTTTCATTCTGAACTGCTCCTAAGATATTACATATTCTGCAAACCATTGCATTTAATAAATGACTATTTTAATGAGGTTGTTTTTCATTCATTCATTTCTAAATTTTGACTTGAGCCCAGAAGGTAGTGATGTTTTCTTATTAAATTCTTATTGAAATTAGACTTTGTGTTTTTTTATTACAATTTGGGACAGTGTGCAATATGAATTTGCACTTTGCTGCTAATAAACTCATTGGGATATTTGTAAGCTATTATTTTTCCATTACTGAACACAGTCCTCCATTCTCAAAACCCTTAGGCAGATGTTAGCAGGGATGAAATACAGGTGCCTGTGCTGGATACTGAGGATGCGTGGCTCTCCGTGGAAGGACCAATCTCCATAGTGGAACTGGCCCTTGAACAGAAGCACATCCACTACCCACTGGTGGAGCACCACTCCATCCTGTGCTCCATCTTGTATGCAGTCATGAGGTTTTCTCTGAAGACCGTGAAGCCACTTTCACTTTTTGACAGTAAGGTAAGTACCTCACAGGATTTCAGAGCTATTTTGGAGTTGCAGGCTTAGCAGACACATGGATTTTCATATTTAATAGAAGCTGTCCAGTACTTTTGTGACTGGTATAATTTGGTGTGAGGTTCCAACTCCCTCATTCCCTGCTTGATTCCGTTCTTTTTATTTACCTTCTGTACTGCTCCCCTTGGAGTTTTGCCCTCTCAGCTGTCTGCTCTTCTCATTCTCCATATTATTCCTGGACAGACTCATTTTCTCCCTCTTATATATCTCTAGGCCTGACCAATCCCTAGAGTTTGAGGCATTCATTTCTTTTGAACTTCTCTCTTTGAGTGTCTTATAGGACTTCAGACACCTCATATCTAAAATATATCTGCAAACCAATACCCACATCCTGCCCCTAACCTAAATTTGCTGTTCCTTCTGAATTCCCTGACTTGGTTATTTTATTAACGATGTCATCATTTTTGCCCTGGCAAAAACTAGAAACTTTGAAGTTATCTCACCAATTCCTTACTTCAAGCCAATTTTCTTCATTGTAAATTCATTCTTGTAAATTCTGCCATAGATCATGCCTGTCCGTTTCTCTCCATGACTATAACCCTAGTTCAGGCATAATCATCTTTCCCTCGGCTATTACAACAGCCCTTTCTTAATCACGCTGCCTCCAGTTTCTCTCTCTCCAGTCCCATGCTGCAAGAGCTGTCTTCCTAAGAGACAGGTTTAATTGTATTAGTTCTATACCTAAGATTTTTTTTGGCTCCTCTGCAGGATCAAGTCCAAATTTGTGAGTAGAATATGTTTTTACATATTCTATTGTAACCTTCACAGTTTAGCTGCAGTGGATAGTAAAATCCTTTCCTTCCCCACGCAGGTGTCAAATTTTGAGAGACAGGACAAACTGTTGGAGACAAAAACGTCAACATTATTACTTAGCTTTTTACTGATAGAAGCTGGGTTAGAGAACACAGCTTAGGCTTGTGGGAAAGTGGGTTTATTATTTCACCCTTAAATGAGAGACTCCCGGACAGTCATGGTGGCTCACACCTGTAATCCCAGCACTTTGGGAAGACAAGGTGGGCAGATCACTTGAGGTCAGGAGTTTGAGACCAGCCTGGCCAACATGGTGAAACCCTGTCACTAGTAAAAACACAAAAACTAGCCAGGCATGGTGGTGTGTGCCTGTACTCCCAGCTACTTGGGAGGCTGAGGCAGGATAATCGCTTGAACCTGGGAGGCAGAGGTTGCAGTGAGCCAAGATCACACCACTGCACTTCAGCCTGGGCCACAGAGTGAGACTCTGTCTCAAAAAAAAAAAAAAGTATAGATTTTGAATGAGTTAGTATATCTTTGAGAATATAAGCGATAAGAGTACTTAAAAGTTAAAAAAGAGAAAGAAATACCAAAATAAAGTGCCTAGCTCAGTATTCCCATCAGAAAAGGCCTTTGTGAAACCAGAACACATCCAGAATTGGATTAGCACAATAATGTTTAGTTTCAACCCATGTCATGCCAAGACTACCTGAGACAGCTGGGTGACACTCATCTGCAGAGAGCTAGTATGGTTGAGTGGCTAGTGAAAACAATCCCGGTGCTACCATTTGCTAACTAGAATTATTTAGATTTTCTTACTCTCAGTTTTCTCATTCAGAAAGTAGCAGTGCCAGCCTCATGGTTGTTGTAAGGGTTCCTTGTATTCAACATGAAGTACTTAGCAGCATCTGGAATGTAGTAAATAATAAGTGGTGCTATTATAGATGCTATAGCTAGGACCACCAGGTGGGAACTATCGAGTAACAGATTGTGAGTGTATGCTAAATCTTTAAATACTTCTCTCAGTGATGTCCAAAATGTCATGGGTTGCCCTGTAAGTCCGGTTTTTCTTATCACTAAAGGATGAGTAGCTTTAATCTACTTGGCAGTCACAACAGATGACCTAGAATCACAGATGATTAGGTATGGAAGGCACATTGGAAGATACCTAGGATGACCTGCTTGCAGAAGAAGAAACGGTAACCCAAGATTGTGGGTCATTTACCCAAGGCAACCTGGATGGAAGTGGTGAGCCTTGGACTAGACCCAGGTCTTTCAACTTAAAGGCCAATGTTCTTTGCTCTGTATTACATTTCCTTCCAAGGAACTTCTAAAATCCTGTTTCCTGATATTCTGTTTTTACTCTTTAGACACACATCTGTTCTTTTAAATAAGGTGTTTTTAAACAATTCAACAAGTGTTTTTAAAAGGATTCAGAGGCTGGGCGCGGTGGCTCATGCCTGTAATCCCAGCACTTTGGGAGGCTGAGGCGGGCAGATCACCTGAGGTCAGGAGTTTGAGACCTGCCTGGCCAATATGGTGAAAACCCCGTCTCTACTAAAAATACAAAAAAATTAGCCTTGGCGTGGTAGTACACGCCTGTAGTCCCAGCTACTTGGGAGGCTGAGGTGGGAGAATCGCTTGAACCAGGAAGGTGGAGGCTGCAGTGAGCTGAGATCACACCACTGTACTCCAGCCTAGGCAACAGAGTGAGACTCTGTCTCAAAAAAAAAAAAAAAAAGGATTCAGGGTACATATATGTATTACTTAGCTATTACTGCGGAGTAAATCATCCCAAAACTTGGCTGAAAATAACAAATATTTATTATCTCACAGTTGTTGTGGGTCAGTAATCTGTGTTCTCCTTATCTAGGTGCCTCTGGCTTAGTCTCTCATGAGGCTGTAGTTAAGGTGCTGCATCTGAAAGCTCAACTGGGATGGGGACAGGGTGATTCACTTCTAAGCACAATTGTTGGCAAGATTCAGTTATGCCACATGTGCCTCTCCATACAGCAGCTCACAACACGGAACCTGGCTTCCTGCAGAACAAGTGAGAGTGAATATGAGTGCCTCAAGGCAGAAGAAGCAGTCTTTTGGAACGTGGTCTTGGAAGTAACATGTATCACCTCTACCTGCTTCTGTTGCTAGAAGCAAGTCATCAGCCTCCATGCAAGGAGAGGAGACTATAGGAAACACGAATACCAGGAGGAGGGGATCACTGGGTTTCATCTTAAAGGCTGTCTACTATATACTAGATAATTGTTATAAAAATTATTCTAAAATCTTACTGTTCAAGGAGAAATAAAAATCAACCATAAGTTATTATTAAGTTTTAAACAAATCTTTCTCCCTCTCCCCCCTTAATAATCCACACTCATCAGTTTTCTTGCTCTCTTTCTTTTTAGGGAAAAAATGCATTTTTCAAAGACCTAACTTCAATTCAGTTATTACCTAGTGGGGAAATGGATCCAAATTTTATTTCTGTACGACAACAGGTAAATTATAGCTATTGGATTTTGTTTTTGTTTCTTGGAAAAAAAAACATAAGGGAAAAATCTAGCTGGCTTTTGAAAAGAATGACTACTTTCTATCGCAAGGACAGAAAACCAAACAGCACATGTTCTCACTCATAGGTGGGAGTTGAACAATGAGAACACTTGGACACAGGGTGGGGAACATCACACACCAGGGCCTGTCGTGGGGTGGGGGGAAGGGGGAGGGATAGCATTAGGAGATATACCTAATGTAAATGATGACTTAAGGGGTGCAGCACACCAACATGGCACATGTATACATATGTAACAAACCTACACGTTGTGCACATGTACCCTAGAACTTAAAGTATAATAATAAAAAATAATAATAATATTTAAAAAAGACCAATTTCAAAGTATTCTTGAGAGCTAGTTGTTTAAATGATGTGTTCCTTTTTTGATAACTAAACAATTTAATGGAAAAGCCACTATAAGTGACAGAAAAGCTAACAATACTTGGTTTAGGTATTTTAAAATGAAACAGTAACAATGCATTGCTCTATCTCTTTCTCCATTTTCAAGTTCTTATTGAAAGTTGTCAGTGCAGCTGTCCAGGCCCAACATTCAGCCACAAAGGTCAAAGATCCCACAGAAGAGGCCACACCCACTCCTTTTGGGAAAGACCAAGATTGGCCAGCTCTAGCTGTGGATTTAGCCCATCACCTTCAAGTTAGTGAAGATGTTGTTAGAAGGCATTATGTGGGGGAACTATACAACTATGGAGTTGACCACTTAGGAGAAGAGGTAATCATGACCCTTTGAATGTTAATTGGGCTCAAGTTATAAAATTGATAGTTGGAATAAAGAATCAGTTAAGTTTCCAATGAAGCCTTTTGCTCTTCCTTTTATTAGAACATCTAGGTATAAAAATAGAACAATAGAATATTTTTTAAAACATAAAATTATAATCAAATAATTCCTACAGTGTGCCAGGCCTGCCCTACGCACAGGGATATAGCAGTAAACAAAACAGACAAGGTTCCTTCATCATGGACTTGATAGTCTGCTGGTAGGAGCAGAAAAGCATGCTAAATTTTGCATTGAATGATAGGTGCTATGAAGAAAATAAAGAGGGCCGGGTGTCGTGGCTCACACGTGTAATCCCAGCACTTTGGAAGGCTCAGGTGGCAGATCACTTGAGCCCAGAAGCTCGAGACCAATCTGGGCAATATAGCGAGACCCCGTCTCTAAAAAGGAAAAAAATATTTATTTTTAAATTGAAAAAGAAAGAAACAGGATCATATGAATAAACAGGAGCCACTACAGTAGAGTGGTCAGAGAAGGTGACATTTGAACCGAGCCCCCAAGGAGAAGCAGCAGCCAGCTACTCAGAAACTGGGGGAACAGTGCTTGAGACAAGAATTACAAAGGCCCTGAGGTGGGGACTAGAATGACTAGGTCCAGGACTAGAAAGGCCAGTATGGCTGACCAAACATAGTAAGCAAGGAATAAAGAAGTATGGCATGAGGCAGGGAGGCTGGCCCGGGCCATGGCCCTATCCTAGGTCTCGGAGCCCATGGTTATTCTAAGTGTATTCAGAAGCCATTAGAGGGGCTGGGCGTGGTGGCTCACGCCTGTAATCCTAGCACTTTGGGAGGCCAAGGTGGGTGGATCACTTGAGGTCAGGAGTTCAAGACCAGCCTGGGCAACATGGTGAAACCCTGTCTCTACTGAAAATACAAAAAATTAGCTGGGCGTGGTGGCATGTGCCTGTAATCCCAGCTACTTGGGAGGCTGAAGCAGGAGAATCGCTTGAACCCAGGAGGTGGAGGCTGCAGTAAGCTGAGATTGCACCACTGCACTCCAGCTTGGGTGGCAGAGTGAGACTCCATCTCAAAAAACAACAAAAAAAAGCCATTAGAGGGTTTCAAATAGACATGACATGAAACTCCTTTTATTTGCCAAAAGTTTGAAAACAGCACACTGAGTAGCCACATTGAATTGAAAGATTAGGTGATGAGAGAAAAAAAAATTAACCAAGGAACAGAAATTTGGGTTTAAATGCTAAGTTTGATTTGGATTTATCTTTGGTTGTATACAATCAAAAGATAAATGGCCACAGTTCAAAAATCAACTAGAATCTCTTCACTGGCAACCCCTTTCCTATAGAATAAACAAATCTGCTCACTCTGACTGTATTATTTCTCCATGTTCCTATCTTCAGGCCATTCTACAGGTTCATGACAAAGAGGTCCTTGCCTCTCAGCTGCTGGTGCTCACGGGGCAAAGGCTGGCTCATGCGCTTCTCCACACCCAGACAAAAGAAGGAATGGAGCTGCTTGCCAGACTTCCACCCACACTGTGTACTTGGCTGAAAGCAATGGTCAGTACAATAGAACGAGATCAGGCAAAAGGTCATTGGATGTTTTCTTGAGTGCCTGGTTAATAACAGTTATGAAGAAAATTTGACAAGTTTAATTCACCTAGTTACAAAGAAAAGCATTTTTATGTAATAACTCTTAAGTCAATAACAATTATTGTTTAGTTGTCTATAATAGGTTATTTTTGTGTCCCATTTGCAGGACCCCCAGGACCTTCAAAACACTGAAGTGCCAATTGCAACAACAGCTAAACTAGTAAATAAAGTAATTGAGCTTTTACCAGAAAAACATGGGCAATATGGTCTAGCCTTACACCTCATTGAAGCTGTGGAAGCCATATCTCTTCCTTCTTTATGACACTTACCTACTGGAAATAGTCTAAAATTATGATTATAACATGAAGTAGTGCATGGTTATTTTACATAGTAAGACCTGGAATTTTATGGGAAAAGTATGTCTTTTTTTTTCCTTTTGTAAAATAAATAAAAGTATATACAACTTTTAAAAAGTGCAACCCTGGCTAAATTCCACTCCTTTGGTTAATACTGAAGATAAAATATAAACAAATGTCAACTCTGTTATAATTAATACAGATGTTTTACTGTTTATTTCTAATTCAAACACTTAAGTAGCTTTATTGTTAAACTTTGCTATTTAAAATTGGTTATAATTTAGATTATGTTCTTATAAGATTCTATATTTCCTATCTAAAATGTTGTTGTAATTCAATTTAAATGTGTTCATGTACAGTCCCCATCAGTAGCGTATAGAACACCCCACTCTCCTTTAGTAAATGTTGAGAAAATGCCTTTGTTGTCATGCTCCAAATCCCACACTGGGCTGCCACCTGGGAGTTCTGGATACCGAAAGGTTCCTTTCCCAGAGGTTCTGCTGTTGCCATCAGAGGAGGATGACCGTGCTTGAGGAGGAAGAATGGGTTCAAGATCATCATATTCATCAGAAGGGGACACTAAATAGAACCCTTAACCTGTTGTACTTGCCAAAATTGAGAATCAGAGATGTGTAAAATGCAGCAAATTAATTATAATGTAAGTTAAGATTTGCTTTTTGCCAAGTTGCAAAGTTGTATCCACATCAGGTCACTGTAAAAATGTATTATCTTGTAAAACTTATGTAAAAAAAAAAAAAAAAAAAAGGCAAAGATACTAAAAATTTTAAGTCCGACTTTATTTTTCCTACAAGTGTTTAGAAATGCTTCTGGGATTTGCTAATATTATCTGTCCTTGGGAACAGTATTGAAAAAACTGCTTAGTGGTATTACAGCTTTAGCAAACCTACCTCACAGCTGGGATGAGAGGATAAAATACAACTAATTTTGTACCCTATAGTGCCTAGAGCAGTCCAAGTGCTAAATAAATATTTACTGATTAAAACCAAACTATAGCTACTCGGGAGGCTGGAGGAGGATCGCTTGAGCCCAGGAGTTTGAGGCCATTCTGGGCAATATAGCAAGACCCTGTCTCGAAAAAAAAAAAAAAAAGAAAAAACCAAACTAACCAAAACTCTGTAAAAGAGTGCTTTGAGCTCTACAAATACCAAGTATTTATTGTGGTATATTTTTAGAATGTAGCCATACAGTGTAATTATGGGTATCTGTCATGGATCACAATTATTATTCATAGTAAGTCATTGTGATACAGAAGTTTGTTTCTTCACTTCCCCTTAAGAAGCCAACTATAGTAATCATGCAAAGTTGAGGAGTATGTCCTTCAGGGATATAAAAAGAAAAACAAATCTGTTTTTTGAGCTAAAAGAGCACATCCAAACAAGAATTTAACTGGCTAAAATTTAGTAATTACTGTTAAGTAACTATCAAACTTGAAATCTTACAAGATAAATGGTTAAGATGTCTTGAGTATTTGGGATGGGGGCCTGTGAGTCTGATTGAGACATACATTTTACAGAGTAGCAGCACTGGAAAGGGCTAGTCCAACCTCCCAGCCTCTGCTTGGGTCTCCGCTGCCCCAGCCACACACATCCTAGAATTCTTGTAAACATATCTGGCTCTGTGTTAACAGTCACTTGTTATATGTTTTCTAAGAGATTAGTTCTTCCTGTGATTTTTCCAAGTACGCTGAAAGTAGTAGTATGAACTTAAGGAGGCTAGTCAAAGAAACTTGGAGTTATAGGTATTTTTAAAGAATAAATCCTCAATTCCATCATCACTTGGCGGGGAGGGGGCACTTATTAAGCATTTTAGATAATAAAACTGGTTAAGCTTACTCTGGTAGAACAGACAATCAAATCTGGGGATTGCTGAGAACAATAATAAGCTGAAGTATGGCTCACAGAATCCTAACACAAATCATTAAGTCTCTAGTTAGATTTGTTATCCTAAAATTTTTCATAGAATTTTAAAATCTAATTCTGACTTGTATGGTTAAGAAAAGCAGTTAAATATTTTACTACTTATCAAGGGCTTTTAAAATAAATAAATCTGATTGATAGGAAGAAAGGCAAATAAATACCTATGTAGACATTCTATAATAACAAAGAGCCATAGATGATAAAGGAATTAGATTTTAATGTAGAATGGGTGGTTTCTGAAACAAAGGTATGTGGTACTTTGTAGTTATTGATGAGAAGCCAGTAACCAGTAGTGTTTTCCTAGATATATGCCCACCCTCACACAACTTTCTTCATTAACAAACATTAAATATGCATTTGTATCTTATTAAATTATATTGTATAATGCTGAAGGAAAACAAAAAGTGTTCAAATAATCATAACTTCTACATTACAGGTTCTGTTTAGATGCAGAACTAGAGGGGCCAGGGTAAATGTAGATAAAGAGATATATAGCACCATGCTTCTTAATGCTTCATACTTTTGCAAACAGAAAAAAAAAGTTTTACTTTTATTATAAAACTTCATCTATGGTCAAAGTAAACACTGTTACATTTAAATTGCTTTTTAAAAACAATTGCGATCTAAAAAGTCAAAAATCTGAAATTTAATAATATGAGACTTACACTGAATATAATGTTCATTTAGAAGTTGCTGTGGTCCACTTCATTTATAAGGAACAAATATTTTTACAGTACACTATAGCAACAGCAAAAGCCCTCTCTCACCCTGATAGGAATGGGTTTGCTGGGTGTCTAGAAGTTAGATTCCTGCTGAATAGAATTAGCCATCCTTAAAAGATTTTAATCCAATACTGAACTGTTTATAAAATGCTTTCTCTATTGTAATGTACTGTAAGTAGTGAAATTCTGTATATACTGCTATTTTCTGTCTGTTCATTGTTGTGAACTTCTTATGTATATTAGTGAAATAAATTTTCAGCTTTCATGTTGTTTCCTAAACATTCATAAGTATAACTAACTATTAAGAGATTTCTTCCTTTCTTGAGTAACAAATTTGGTGATTATATTCTTTCTGATCCAACCCCAAAAACTAGCTATTCTGAAAAGGCTGATGTTCACTAATGGGAAGAATGAAATGACCCTTCACCTCTTAAGGGAAACAGGCCTCCGCCATTCCCTTTCAAAACTATACTTCTTTTACTTGATACTCAAAACTTCTGCACCAAAATCAGTCAGTATTTTTCCAGAATGCCTTTATTTTCAGTATCATAGAATTTAAATACAGAGTCAAAAGATGATTTATAAAATATAAAACATTTTCTGCTTGGCCGTATTTGAAGACAAGCTGAATACATATCTATGTTCTGAATAAGTCCACTATGGATATATATAGGAAGAGATATACATATATCCATCCACAGATACACACACACATATATATTTCTGCATGTATATATACATAATTCTTTCTATAGTTACAGGAAATACTTCTTCTATAATTCTGATTTTGACTCCCATCCTCCACCATTTACTCATCCACTCATTACCTAAATCTTGGCTTTCTTTCCTATATTGTAAATAATCCATCCAAACTTCTAGCCAGTACTGTCAGGAGGGTTCTTGCTCGAGTGAGCTGTTAATACTATTTTCCACTGACAACTTCTGCACATCGAGGACACAGTGTATCTGAAGACTCCGCTGTATACTTCCAACAACGGGGGCATTTTTCTTTCGTAGTCGGCATGACAATTACTTTATAGGAAGACTCTTCACGAATATCACCACCTATAAAAAAATACATGAAGAGTATTTCTGATAGGCATTCAACTTGTAACACTGTTTCTTAATTGGTTTAGCAGAGGCTTCTTTTTCAGTCTTTTGTCCTGCCTTGGTAAAGCTTGTCAGACACTTCCCCATTTGTCCCATTACATATATAGCCAAGATAATGGGATCATACAACTCAACACCTGAAGGGAGCTGAGGAATTAGAGACCCCGTGACTCTGAGATTAACTGACATCTCCCAAGTCACCGAGTTCTACATCTACTCAGGCAGAGCAGACTTTCTAGCTGTTAAATTTGGGTATAGTTCTGATGAATGACACTGCCTCTCCAGCTACATACTTGACTAAGAATTTTTAAAAGTCAAATTATAGTGACAACTACAGTGTCCTCACTCAAAATATCTCGTGGGACAAAAGGAACCAAAAATATCTCCACAATTAATACTCTTAGACCTCAGATTGATAAAAATATAAAACTAAGTTATTTTCTAGTCATTGTACAAAGAGTATGTGAACATTACATGGCCGGGCATGGTGGCTCAAGCCTGTAATCCCAGCATTTTGGGATGCCGAGGCGGGTGGATCACCTGAGGTCAGGAGTTCAAGACCAGCCTGGCCAACATGGTGAAACCCCATCTCTACTAAAAATACAAAAATTGGCCGGGTGTGGTGGCAGGCGCCTGTAATCCCAGCCACTTGGGAGGCTGAGGCAAGAGAATTGCTTGAATCTGGGAGGCGGAGGTTGCGGTAAACCAAGATTGCGCCATTGCACTCCAGCCTGGGTGACAAGCGAAATTCCGTCCGAAAGAAAAAATTACACAAAGTAAATTAAGCCAGAACTTTTACTACACGGTCTATGCTGCCAAGCCCAAATTTGAACTGATGCCTGTAAGTTAGCTTCCCATCTCCTGGTACCCAAAAGCTATGAAAAACACAAGCAGCATAAGATACCTGCTTTTTTTTTTTTTTTTTTTTTTGAGACGGAGTCTCGCTCTGTCGCCCAGGCTGGAGTGCAGTGGTGTGATCTCAGCTCACTGCAAGCTCCGCCTCCGGGGTTCACGCCATTCTCCCACCCCAGCCTCCCCAGCAGATGGGACTACAGGCACACGCCGCCACGCCTGGCTAATTTTTTTTGTATTTTTAGTAGATTCGGGGTTTCACTGTGTTAGCCAGGATGGTCTCAATCTCCTGACCTCACGATCCGCCCGCCTCGGCCTCCCAAAATGCTGGGATTACAGGCATGAGCCACCGTGCCCAGCCTATTTTTCTTTATTAATGCAACTCTACCGCTACCAATGAAGATGAACCAGACTGACTTTTAAAATCTTCTATAAAACAAATATCGACAAAATGCTTGCTTATGAGATACCATTGTTAGAATGAGCTCAATAAAACTTCCTCCTTAACCCCTCACAAGAATGGCTAAATATTTTAATCCGGGGTATACATAATAGGAAATTTTAGAATCAATACTGGGGAACAGTGGGCAGGACTGGGCCAGTACTGGGGTACTAAGTATCAAAGCAGGGGGACACAAAAGAGGAATGGGAGCAAGTCAGCCTAACATAAACTTCATATACAGTGACCATTATTTATTCAAAGGACAGAAAGAAAATCTCTCTCCCTCTTCTGTCCCTAGCCCTCAGTTCCCAAGATCATCAGGTAAGATAGTTTTAAGAGCGGGCTTAGAAACTTGGCAATTGTTTTTATTATTTCCATAGAAAGATGTATTCCAAGTATATATCTACCTTTAGAATAAACCCAGTCCACTGGAAAGTTGGAGATGACCTATAATTATTCAATTCTCCAGATGTTACTTGTTACTTTCATCTCCTTCTTACCTTCTAAGTTGATGAGGAATTTCCCTTTAAGCTCGATTACATCTGCAGTCATCTCTCGTGGTTCCTGAGCCAGTAAAGTTGACTCAGAAGCCATCATTAATTCATTCAACTGAGAGGTGCTGGAAGTCTCTTCAGACTGCAGCATCTGGAAGGAAGCATGTGAAAGTTACAGTTTATGTTAAATTTGTACCATAAACTGAGGTTATAAAAAGAAACACTATAAAATCTCACGTTTAGAGAGGAACCTTCTGGTATACCATTGCATCCTGAGCAAACATCACTAAATGTATCAATCCTAATTAGCATAAAAGGTTTTAACTAAATATTTCCATCAACAGTATTTATTGAGAATGCCAGGCACTTCACTTTGCTAGATCCTAAGATGTCTCTTACTTCTAATTGTCACATACATACACACAAAAAAAACCTATATGGTGTTTATTATCCTCACTTTACAAATGAAGAAACAAGCAAAGAGAGGTTAACTTGCCCAAGATTCTCAACCCATACGTGGTGGAACTGCAGGTCAAGCCCAGGTCTGTCAGCCTCAAAGCCTTTTTTTTTTTTTTTCATGTATCATTGGGTGAGGGGCTAAAATACTATCTCAACAGGTACCAGCTTTTAGTAATGTATACTGATAGTGGCAATCTGAACAATACGCAGAACACTTATGAAGTAGACTGAATTTGTCTGATGAACACATTTTTCTCTGTAATTTTGATCTTCAAAGTGAGTTTGTAAGCTAACCAACATAGACATTCCTTTAAAAATTAAAGCCCATGAGAAATAAGAGACTCAAAGAGATTAATTTGGTTTTAACAAGTTTATGCAATTAGTAATGGATAGAACCAGGACTCCATCTTACAGCTACTTGGTATGATTCCTAAGGAAAATACATTCATGTTTTTGAAAATCCCAAAGTATTTTTTCCAATAAAATTGATCCAAACAAGCTGTTCTTCTTTTCAGTTCATTACTTAGAAAGACTGAAGACAAAGGAAACACAGTATGTAGGAAAAAAGGCCAGGACTAGGCTGTGTTACCCTGTCTAGGTCACAGCTTCAGCAGTCCTCACTTCCTCACTTGTAAAATGAACAGCTTCCCAAGTTTTAAATTTTAAAATGGGAAAATCTCATCTATTATACCTACTAGCTATTTCAAGCTCAAATCTTAATCTTGCTAATTACATCATTAAAAATTTAAATTGAGCTTACCATACAAAATAAGATGGATGTTTTTTAGAAAACTGACACTAATAAAACTTTTAAAAAATAGCTCTTCCACCGTCTTTCTGCACCACCACAATGGTGCGCATGAATGTCCTGGCTGATGCTCTCAAGAGCATCAACAATGCCAAAAAGAGAGGCAAAAGCCAGGTGCTTATTAGGCCGTGCTCCAAAGTCATCATCCTGTTTCTCACCGTGATGATGAAGCATGGTTACATTGGCAAATTTGAAATCACTGATGGTCACAGAGCTGGGAAAATTGTTGTGAACCTCACAGGCAGGCTAAACAAGTGTGGAGACATCAGCCCCAGATTTGATGTGCAAAGCAAAGATCTAGAAAAATGGCAAAATAATCTGCTTCCATCCCGCCAGTTTGGTTTCATTGTACTGACAACCTCAGCTGGCATCATGGACCATGAAGAAGCAAGATGAAAACACACAGGAGGGAAAATCCTGGGATTCTTTTTCTAGGGATGTAATACATATATTTACAAATAAAATGCCCCGTGGAAAAAAAATTATATTCATTGCCAATTCTCTTCTTAAGCATTTAGACTGGAGAAAAATCACATCATTATGTTAAGCTATAAGCCAATCTGGCCAATCAACCCCTAAAAATCCCAAGAATAAAATTCTGATGGCCCTTCTAGAAATAAAAATAGGATAAATGCTTTGAAATATATGTGGTAACTTGCTGGAGAAAATGAATTTTCTCCAGATTTCACAAAATAAAAATGGAAACTCTTTTTGGGTTTGTTTTGAATCTGGTCCAGATGGATGAAATTCTCAGGAAACCTGACCCTTAATACAAAACTCCCATTTTTTATACATTCAAAGACGATCGCGATCAATTTATATGTCCCCTGTCTTCTAAATAGTCCTGAGGCCTTTTGTTTGAAACAGAACTTTATCTATTCCTTCCCTATCCCTACACAGTAATATGTATGTGTTACATGCACAGAACACGTTTTACAAGACATGGAAAAGAATATGGTGAAATAGGAAACAAAAGAATCAGTGATGATATCAGGATTAGAAGACGGAAACCCTAATTTCTAAATTAATTTTTTTTTAATTTAGACACTTTTTTTTAAATGTGCATGACTTTGCTTAATTTATTAAAAGATATTTAAAAGTGAAAAAGTATGTGAAAAGGAACATAATAGAATAATTGCATAGTAAAGTTACACATAACCCAATGTTATTTGATTAATTTAGACACATTTTAAAAGCAAATTTCAGGCAAAGCTCTATGATACTAACACCATTTCAAAAGGTACATATTGCTGCATACCTCTATTATCTCAAAAAGCAGTCCAGGTTCTATCACAGTGATAACCTTGTACTCAGCTGCATTTTTGCCAGGGATGCTTCCAAGAAATGAGTCTCGCATTGCACACGCACTCTCCACAGCTTCTTCCAACCCGGGCTTTTTCCAGATAGAACTAGTACTAATCCACCCAGTACGGAAAACACTCTTGGGCTCTTCAGAAGAACAAAAATAGTAAACTGCTTTACAAACATCCTAAACTGTATATGAAGCTCTAACCATTAAATAGTTACCATTAATGGGAAATAAGAATTGTTATTTATGGTAATCAAGTGATGAAATATTATGGATCCATCCTAATTATTTACAAAACATTTATATCAGCATTGGAAAATCTTTGTTATATTTAAACAAAAGAGAAAATATATAATAAGATCTCAAAGAAAAAAAGGATGCTTAGAAAAAAATAAATAGAAATATCCCAATATTAACAGCTATCAGGAGTAACATTATAAGTGACTTCCCCCTCTTCCTACACTTCTATAGTTTCTAATTTTTATAAACTTAATACAATCAGAAGAAAACAACTAACATAAAACTCACTAAAAGCACTATATTTTGTTTTAATACAACCTAAAATATATTTCAGAACATTTTTTTTGACAGTCTTGCTCTGTCACCCAGGCTGAAGTACAGTGGCATGATCTTGGCTCACTGCAACTTCCACCTCCCGAGTTCAAGCAATTCTCCTGCCTTAGCCTCCCAAGTAGCTGGGACTACAGGCACCCGCCACCACCATGCCCCACTAATTTTTATATTTTTAGTAGAGATGGGGTTTCGCCATGTTGGCCTGGCTAATTTTGAACTCCTGACCTCAAGTGATCTGCCCACCTCGGCCTCCCAAAGTGCTGGGATTACAGGTGTGAGCCACCATGCCAGCCATTTCAGAACAGTTATAAAGGTATTTAAGAAAAAAGGTGATTTCTCGACACTGTCAAGCTGCTAATACATTTCAGAAAGCACAGAATTCTGAAATTTACCCTACTCCTCTACAAATAGGTGCAGAAACAAATACATGACCAAGACACACTGTGTCACACAGCAGTCACTGTAAATGGATAAGTGCCCCTTTTATGAAGCAGATAGAAGTAGAAGTTGCACCTTGATCAGGGATATTTCTCATTAAGAGAATAAATGAAGTATTCCTTACCTTTAATATAAGGTATGTGCTGGAACACCTCTTCAGCCAGGTGAGGAAGAATGGGAGCAAAAGAACGAACTATTACATCCAAAATTTCAACTAATGCAGTCTGACAAGAGCGTCGTTTGGGGTCATTTTCCTTTTCACAATAGAGCCTGAACAAGAACAACTTATTCAGCAGTTGACAATACTTTATACATTATGGTCACCTAGATGGGACCTGCCTCAGGTTGAGTTTATTCCTAGTGGCTAATCCTATGGCTCTAATCATCTTCTACTTAAAGAATACAATACACTCTCCTACAATTTTACTCCGTCCAGGTGTACCCACCTCCTTGAAAGCACTCATGGCTACGCTATCTCATTCTGTTTCTCAGGTGGATGACAACTAGAGTCTAGACTACTGTATTAAAGGACTATGAATAAGTTAGTTGATGGTATTTAACATGTGGCTCCCACCCACTCCAATGTTATTAGTGTTTTAAGGGAAGGAGTAGGAGTTATAATCCCTATGTGCAAGGTCCTTGGGGTGCTGACAGGCTGAGGATAACGCCTCAGACTGGACTCATTACCATGAAGGTAGGACCGTCACCTGCACACTGGAGCAACAGATGAAGACTTGGCATCAAGGCCTCTTCTACAAGGATACTGCTAATATTATACACTGTTACCATATAATTGCACATATATATCTCTCTCTTCCCCTCAGGATTTGAGAACTCCTGAGAACAAGCATTATGTTCATCGTCTGATATTAGTAGTGATGATTTTTTGAACACTTTATCAAGCACAGCTTTAAGCACATTATTGCTTTTCCTTCTCAATCACGAGGTAAGTATTATTATACCCATTTTACAGATGAAGAAACAGATTACAGAATAAGTTGCCCCAAATCAGAAAGCTAGTAAGCGGGAGGTCAAACCTTTATACTCAGACTTGACTCCGGAACCCAATCTTTTTTTTTTTTTTTTTTTGAGACGGAGTCTTGCTCTGTCGCCCAGGCTGAAGTGCAGTGTCACGATCTCGGCTCACTGCAAGCTCTGCCTCCCGGGTTCACGCCATTCTCCTGCCTCAGCCTCCCAAGTAGCTGGAACTACAGGCACCCGCCACCACGCCCAGCTAATTTTTTGTATTTTTAGTAGAGACGGGGTTTCACTGTGTTAGCCAGGATGGTCTCGATCTCCTGACCTCGTGATCCGCCCGCCTCGGCCTCCCAAAGTGCTGGGATTACAGGCGTGAGGCACCACGCCTGGCCCGGAACCCAATCTTAATAACTGCACAACACTGCCCATCTTGCTCATCACTGTATCCCTGACGGTTGCCAAACACAAGTAGACACTCAAAAAATACTTGTTGAGGTTTTGTTGTTGTTATTTTTTGAGACGAGATCTTGCTCTGTCACCCAGGCTGGAGTGCAGCAGCACAATCTCTGCTCATTGCAACCTCCGCCTCCCAAGTTCAAGCGATTCTCGTGCCTCAGTCTCCTGAGTGACTCGGATTACAGGCATGTGCCACCATGCCCGGCTAATTTTTGTATTTTGCCATACTGGTCTCGAACTCCTGGCCTCATGTCATCCACCCGCCTCGGCCTCCCAAAGTGCTGGGATTACAGGCGTGAGTCACCACACCTGGCCATTGTTAAGCATTTTAATATTTAGTCATACATACCTATCTTTGATTATACTGAAATAAAAGTTAGAGAGCTCTCTGGTATAAAACGTCCGTAACAGCCGAACAACTTTTCCAAAATCATATTGTTTGTATAATTCGGTAATCTAGGGAACAAAGCCAAAATAAATTTGGAAGCTGAGACAGGCAAATGAAAATGTAAGTCATCACAAGCAAAATATGCTCCTTTCAAAAATATGTTTCAATGAGACAAATACAAAACAGGCAATATGCAAGAACTCCTGGGAATCTTCCAAATGTCATTTCTGGATAACACATTTGACTACACTCAGAAAATACTATTTTACTCTGAGAACTACGAAAGGACATTAATTAAGGAAAGAATGAGATTGTAAATAACAAAATCACACCATTTTAACAACAGCAAACAGTGGACGTCACCAACAATTCATTAGTGTTCCTTCATTTATGCCTCATTTATTTTTGATTTGGGCAAAATTGGTATGTACACCTCTGACTTAAGGGTACACTAATGCAAACACATTTCCAATTATGAGAAAACACAATTTTTTTTTTTTAAGACAGGGTCTCACTCTGTCAACCAGGCTGGAGTGCAGTGGCACAATCACAGCTCACTGCAGCCTCAAAACCATGGGCTCAAGCGATTCTCCTGCCTCAGCCTCCCAAGGAGCTGGGACTACATGCACTGGCTAACACGCCTGGCTAATTTTTAAAATTTTTCTAGAGATAGGTTCCTGCTCTGTTGCCCAGGCTGGTCTTGAACACCTGGCCTCAAGCAATCCTCCCACCTCGGCCTCCCAAAGTAGTAGGATTTATAGGTGTGAGTTTCCACACCCAGCCAGAAAACAGAAATTATTTAAGTCTATATGAAAATGAGTAAGTATCTTATGAGACAAATAGGATAGTCCATTTTGGTTATTTCTGTACTTTATTATGAGGAGCACATGTGCAGATAAAGTATAACTCCACTTTATTCCTTCTTGTTGGAAAAATAGAGCTAATCATGAGAGAAAAATCTGGTCCGAGGGGAAGTCTGGACATATTTCTCTTCAAGAGTGCTATAGTTACTATTTCCAGCAAGGTCTGTTCCACTCAGATAAAACTAAAATTTTAACCTACAATAGTGCTGATATTTCTAGTTTCCAAAAGTTTATTAATTTACATTTACCTTGTTTGCCAAATCCTGCAGTAAGTGTAGCATGTACTGGTCTATGACATACATATCGTTTACAGGGATGGAATCTGTTTCTGGGTTGAAATCAGCCACATTTCCCAAAAGAAAGCGAAGTGTATTCCTAAGCTATTCATAGGAAGAAAAAATATGCAGTTAAAAAAATCTAATGGTGCCTTCAATTTTCACTGAAAAGTTATTTTATTACTAACTCTTGTCATTTTCTTAGTGGGGTATTTTTATTATCATTCCAAATAAGACTACAAATGTAAAAAAATAAAAAACAAAAAGTACACAACAAACTCTTATTCCAATAGCCCAGTTATAGGAACAACCACTGGATTTTACGCCTAACGACTGAATTTTCATTATATTTCTTTATTACGTTGGGGCAAATCACCTTTCAGTAGCCCAGTTTATTCATGTGTGTGGGTCAGAATAATGTTATTTCACTTGCTTCACAATGAAATAAAGATACATGGAAAAATGTGAAAGGTTATTGAGTACATAAAAGTATACAAAATTAATATAATCTATACTATGCTATATTACATTTTATATATTAATAAAATATAAAGGATATTATATACAAATTATATAAAATTACTGGTATTACTACCAATGTTTTGAAACAAATAAATTTACACAGGAGTTTTTTGTTTTTTTTGAGACAAGGTCTTGCTCTGTCGCCAGGCTGGAGTCCAGTGGCGCGATCTCGGCTCACTGCAACCTCCGCCTCCTGCGTTCAAGTGATTCTCCTGCCTCAGCCTCCCGAACAGCTGGGACTACAGGTGCATGCCACCATGCCCAGCTAATTTTTGTATTTTTAGTAGAGACAGGGTTTCACTATGTTGGCCAGGCTAGTCTCGAACTCCTGACCTCGTGATCCACCTGCCTCTGCCTCCAAAAGTGCTGGGATTACAGGCATGAGCCACCATGCCTGGCCAACACAGGAGATTCTTAAAATCTCACAATAAATGAAGAACTCGTTTTCATTCAGTTTTTTTCAGTTCCAAACAAAATGTGTCTCATTTTTTAAAACAATGATTTGACAAACTTGTCCTTTAGAAATAGGAAGAATAATAGTTCTAACCTTGCTAATATCATCTCTGGCAGCATTGAGCACGGATGGGCCAATTGCAACTTCGGTGAAGACATTGGAATCAGCTACCCACCAGCGAAGGACATCAGCACCATACGGAGGCTCTTTGCTTTGATCCTTTTCATTGAGAAAAAAATATATAAACACAATGGCTTTCAATTCCAATTAGCCGAACAAATGTTTTAGGTAAAGCTCCTATTCAGATATTTTTGAGCACAATGTAAGTACAAACTATACTAGCACTGTAATGAAATGCGGGCTAACAATCTCAAATTAGACTGTATCTAAAAACAAAACTGGAAAAAGAAAGAGCGTGCTCTGCAATCTTGTTCAATGCACAAATGCTCATACCTAATCTCTTCCCTGGTCATGTCTGTTTCCTCTATTACAGCTGGTGGTTAGACACACAGCAGTGCCAGGGAGGTCTCTATAATAAGGGAGGGGAAGAGGAAGGACTGCTTTTCCTTTCACTATTTCCTAGCAACTCTGTACACAAAACAATGAACGGTTACAGGATGTTAGGCGGGCAGTAAAAAGCTACAGGAGTTAAAAAATAGAAAAAAACAGACAAATGATTTAATTCACAAAAGCAGCTCCAAAAACCCCCCCAAATTATCAGCAACCTCAGATTTGATGTACATTTAGGACCTGCTTTAAAGTGTATAATTTTCAACAATATAATAATGAAATGCGCATTTTGAAGTTGCAATCTCATTTTTCATCATTTCCATTTAACTACACAATCACACTTTACATATTCTTTTTTCACTTCAGACAGCAATGTGCCAACACTGTAACAAGGTTTGAGGGAGGCACACCTCACACAATAGTGCGAAAACCCAATCATCACGCTTACGAATCACAAAAGGATCTACACATTTTAAAGGCTCTCAGACAATTAAAAAAGAAACAGCGTGGTTTGGGACCTAACTGGAGAGTCAGGCCTGAAATAAGTTAAAAGGACCACAATCCCAGCCTCTGCCTTCTTCATTACAATCATGTGTTATTTGAGAGTATAAAAGATAGTTTTTATTTTTACATTGAAGTAACTATATTAAGGGCTTTGGCTGCCAATTTAAGATCCTTAAAACGAAAATAAAATACATTTTAGAGAATCACCTACTTGTCCTCCATTAACGACAACATCAGGATGAATGACATTCCCAAGAGACTTGGACATCTTTTCTCCCTTTTCTCCAAGGGTAAATCCATGAACAATCACTGTCCTAAAGGGACAAATCAGCTATTTTAATGATAAACACAATTATAATTATCTTTTTGAAGATTAGGTACAGCTTAAAAAGAGTATCTAAGTTTGACACAAAAATATGATTTTTCTTGACTGATTATGAATAAAACCTTTTCTTTTCTTTTCTTCTCTTTTTTTTTTTTTTTTTTTTGAGATGGAGTCTCACTCTTGTTGCCCAGGCTGCAGTGCAGTGGCATGATGTCGGCTCACTGCAACCTCTGCCTTCCAGGTTCAAGGGATTCTCCTACCTACGCCTGACCTCAGGGGATCCACCTAACTCGGCCTCCCAAAGTGCTGGAATTACAGGTATGAGCCACCCTGCCCGGCCGAAACCTTTCCTTAAAAGTCAAATTCGGCTGGGTGCAGTGGCTCACGCCTGTAATCCCAACACTCTGGGAGGCCAAGGCAGGCAGATCACTTGAGGCCAGGAGCTCGAGGCCAGCCTGGCCAACATGGTGAAACCCTGTCTCCACTAAAAATACAAAAATTAGCTGGGTATAGTGGTGTGTGCCAGTAGTCCCAGATACTTGGGAGGCTGAGGCATGAGAATCACTTGAACCCAAGAGGCGGAGATTGCAGTGAGCTGAGATCGTTCCACTGCACTCCAGCCTGGGAGACAGAGTAAGACTCCATCTCAAACAAAAAAAGTCATTCTTAGCTCATGTATCACAATAGTCAAACAGTTAACTCTCGACTTACACAAAGGAAAACTTTAGATATTTTCATCACTAAACAGATTATTTTCTGAGCTTCTGCTATGTACTGATTTTATCATTAAAACTAACCAGGTTAGAAAGAGCAAACTACAGAGACAGCAAGGAGATCAGTGGTTGCCAGGGGCCCTGGGGTGGGAGTGGAGATTAGTCACAAATGGGCATGAGAAAACTTTTTAGTGTGTTGGAAATGTTATAAAACCTCTTGTGGTGATAGCGGAAAAACTATATAACTCACTAAAAAAAAAAAAAAAAAAAAATTTTAAATGAAAAAATAAAACCAGGAAAAAGTATGTCTTAAAAAGAGCAGATTATCATCTCAAAATTATTTTCAAAAGACAATTTGAAAAAAATAGGATCTGCCCTTTTACTGGTCTTTAAAACGCATGTTAAGAAACAAAAACATGTAAAAGGGCCAGGCGTGGGGGCTCACGCCTGTAATCCCAGCACTTTGGGAGGCTCAGGAGGGTGAATCCCTTGAGAGCAGGAGTTTGAGACCAGCCTCACCAACATGGTGAAATCCCGTCTCTATTAAAAGTACAAAAATTAGCCGGGCATGGTGGCATGCTCCGTAATTCCAGCTACTCGAGAGGCTGAGGCAGGAGAATCGCTTGAACCCGGGAGACAGAGGCTGCAGTGAGCCAAGATCGCACCACTGCACTCCAGCCTAGGCAATAGAACAAGACTCCATCTCAAAAAAAAAAGAAACATGTGAAATGTTCTGGGATGGGTTTTTATCCTAAGAGAGCCACAATCTTAAGCTAAGCTATTTAGGAATCTTTCTGATTAGTACTTTCACCCACACGTTTGAAAAAGTAATTATGTGTACTAAATGAGAATACCTAATTTAATAAAATTCATGAAAGCAATGTTTCAGTTCACTAGCCACTGTGGATATTACAAATATAAAGGACATCTGCACTCAGGCTGTCTTCTCTCAACCTTGAATATCCTTCCCTACATTCCTCCTAGTCAAGTTTTACCATAGATCAAGATCTAGTTCTAGGCCAGGCATGGTGGCTCACGCCTATAATCCTACCACTTTGGGAGGCCAAGGCAGGAGGACTGCTTCAGGCCAGGAGTTTGGGACCAGCATGGGCAATGGGAGGAGAACGCACCTCTAAAAAAAAATTAAAAATTAGCCAGGTGTGGTGGTGCATGTCTGTAATCCCAGCTACTCAGGAGGCTGAAGCAGGAGGATTGCTTGAGCCAAGGAGACGGAGGCTGCAGCGAGCTCTGACCACACCATTGCACTCCAGCCTGGGTGACTGAATGCGATCCTTTTTCAAAAAAAAAAAAAAAAACAACAACAACAAAGAACTACATAAGTTCCCCCAACTACTCCAGTCAATGCTGACTTTTTCTTCAAAGAGTTATGATCTGCATCACACTCACAAGACACCTTGGTGTTGTCTCCTTTTTCCTTTCTCTTTTTTTACTTCAAATTCTTACAGGACACTGTAAGCAATCAAGAGTGGTGCCTTATCATCTCTGTAGTACTCAGCATAGTGCTTCACACACTGGCAGGTACTCAGCAGGTTGGTTCAGGCATAAATACTTACTTATAAGGTGCTCTCTTCCTTGCTGCCACACTTGTTAATAAGGATGACTGAAACCAACCCCCGAGCTGGTCTTTTCCTTCCAAGTACAAATCTGCTCTTTGGTCAGGACCTCAAAATTAAGTATTAAAAGAAAAAAAAACCCAGAAATTTAAGTTAATTAAAATAGAAAAAGAAGATACTTATTAATAACAATTAGTGGGGAGGAAGGGAAGTAACTTTACAATAGAGAAAACTGACAGATGCCACCTTAACCAAGAAAGTGACCAAAGTTACACATCACCAGTAGTAATGGGACAGAGATGTATCACGTGACTTCTGAAATGATGTACTGAAATAAACACAGTATCCTTTCTGTGATATTCCTACCTAAAATGCATAACGTGGATCTAATCATGACAATGCATCCCACAAACCCAGAGAGACCATCTACAAAATAAACCTGTACTGCATGAATGTCAAGCAATGTCATGAAATGTCATGAAAGACACAGAACAAGAACTAGAGAGACATGACAGTTAAATGTGACATGTGATCTCAGATTAGATCTTGGGTCCTTTTTTTTTTTTCCTCTTTCCACCTAGGAATAAGTTCTATAGACAGTTAACAGTATGGAATCAATGTTAATTCCCTAATTTTGATATCTGTGTTGGTTATGTTAAGAGACTATCCATGTTTTGGGGAAATATATACTAAAATATTGAGATAAAAGATGCATCTTTTCCTCTACATATATATACATAGGATATATAAAGCAACTGTAGCAAAATGTTAATGTTAACGTTGGGAAATCTAGATGAAGAGCATGCTGTAATTCTTCATGATACTTTATGACTTTTCAAAATAAAAGGGTTTTCAAAAAAAAGTAACATGAGGTCGTTGATAAAGATTACATCTATATTTTAAATCTAAACTCACAACTCTCAAAGCCCCCATAATCCCTTTTATTTGTAAAATTATGATTTGTCCTTATGTCCTAAGACTGAAAATTTAGTGTTGTAATCTTCATGTAAGAAAGATTAACTGAGTGGAGGTGGGGAAACAAAATTTAAATAACTGAATCAAACCAATTCAATTGCACCAATATTACTGAGCACTTGTTATATAGCAGGCATTGTGTTAGACCCTGGGGAAATCTGGACTCTGCCTTCTTGGAGCTGACACCTAGTAGGGTAGATTTTATGTTAAGCAAGAAATAACTGTGATGGGGCCGGGTGCAGTGTCTCGTGCCTGTAACCCCAGCCCTTTGAGAGGTGGAGGCTGGCAAATCCTGAGGTCAGGAGTTCGAGACCAGGTTGACCAACATGGCGAAACCCCATCTCTAAAAACACGAAAATTATCTGGGCACGGTGGTGGGCGCCTGTAATCCCAGCTACTTGGGAGGCTGAAGCAGGAGAATCACTTGAACCTGGGAGGTGGAGGTTACAGTGGGCAGAGATTGTGCCACTGCACTCTAGCCTGGGCGACAGAGTAAGAATCTGTCTCAAAAAAAAAAAAGAAAAGAAATAACTGTGATGGGTGTTACCAAGGGGAAAATAAAGAGTTTAATCTAGTCTGTGCAGCCAGGAAAGTCTGAGATAATGTAAGAAGGTAAATGCATATGCAGTGAAAACAAATCTTTAGCTAGACTAAGAAAATAGAAAAGAAGATCCAAATAAACAAAATCAGAAATGAAAAAGGAGACATGGGGCTGGGTGCGGTGGCTCACGCCTGTAAAATCCCAGAACTTTGGGAGGCAAAGGCGGGTGGATCACGAGGTCAGGAGTTCAAGACCAGCCTGGCCAAGATGGTGAAACCCCATCTCTACTAAAAACGCAAACATTAGCCAGGCATGGTGGCGGGCACCTGTAACCCCAGCTACTTGGGAGGAATGAGGCAGAGAACTGCTTGAACCTGGGAGGTGGAGTTTGCAGTGAGATGAGATCAGGCCACTGCACTCCAGTCTGGGCAACAGAGCAAGACTCCATCTCAAAAAAAAAAAAAAAAAAGAGAGAGAAAGGTGACATACAACAGACAACAGAGAAATACAAAGGATCATCACAGACTACTATAAACAAATGTACACTAACACATAGGAAAACCTGGAGGAAATGGATAAACCCCTGGACACATACAACCTACCAAGATTAAACCGGGAAGAAATAGAACAGTAAGGAGTAACCGGACTGAATAAGTAACAAAAAATCTCCCAACAAAGAAAAGTCTAGGACCAGATGGCTTTACTGCTGAATTCTACCAAATATATAAAGAACAACAATTCTGCTCAAACTACTCCAGAGCATCGAAGAGGAGGAAACTCTTCTTAAATCACTGTACAAAGCCAGCATTACCCTGATACCAAAACCAGGCAAAGACACAACAAAAAAGAAAACTACAGGCCAGTATCTCTGTTGAACAAAGACACAAAAATCCTCAACAGGCCACTTGCGGTAGCTCATGCCTGTAATACCAACACTTTGGGAGGCCAAGGCAGGTGGATCATGAGGTCAGGAGATCGAGACCATCCTGGCTAACATGGTGAAACCCGTCTCTACTAAAAATACAAAAAATTAGCCAGGCATGGTGGTGGATGCCTGTAGTCGCAGCTACTCGGGAGGCTGAGGCAGGAGAATTGCTTGAACCTAGGAGGCGGGGGTTGCAGTGAGCTGAGATCGTGCCATTGCACTCCAGCCTAGGCAACAGAGTGAGACTCCATCTCAAAAAAAAAAAAAAAAAAAAAATTCAACGTGGCCAGGCATCGTGGCTCATGCCTGTAATCCCAGCACTTTGGGAGGCTGAGCAGCGCTGATCCCTTGAGGTCAGGAGTTCGAGACCAGCCTGGCCAACATGGTGAAACCCCATCTCTATTAAAAATATAAAAATTGCTGGGCAGAGTGGCTCACGCCTGTAATCCCAGCACTTTGGGAGGCTTAGGCGGACAGATCGCCTGAGGTGGGGAGTTCTGAGTCCAGCCTGACCAACATGGAGAAACCCCGTCTCTACTAAAAATACAAAATTTGCTGGGCGTGATGGCTCATGCCTGTAGTCACAGCTACTTGGGAAGCTGAGGCAGGAGAATCGCTTGAACCCGAGAGGTGGAGGTTGCAGTGAGCCCAGGTCACGCCATTGCACTCCAGCCTGGGCAATAAGAGTGAAACTCCATCTCAAAAAAATTAATTAATTAATTAAAATTAACCGAGTGTGGTGGCACATGACTATAATCCCAGCTACTCTGGAGGCTCAGGCAGGAGAATCACTAGAACTCGGGAGGCGGAGGTTGCAGTGAGCCGAGACTGTGCCACTGCACTCCAGCCTGGGCGACACAGCGAGACTCTGTCTCAAATAAATAAATAAATAAATAAAGATTCAATGCAATTCCATGCAAAATACCAATGATATTCTTCACAGAAACAGAAAAATTCATATGGAAAATTCATCCTAAAATTCATAAGGAAACACAAAAGCCTCCCAAATAGTCAAAGCAATACTGAGCAAAAAGCACAAAGCTGGAGGCATCACACTGCCCAACTTCAAAATATACTGCAAAGTTACAGTAAAAACGCATGGTGTTGGTATAAAAACAGACACTTAGACCAATGGGACAGAATAGAGAACCCAGAAATAAATCTACCAGTTTATTGCCAACTGATTTCCAACAAAGGCACCAGGAACATACAGTGGGAAAAGGACACCCTCTTTAAGAAATGGTGCTGGAAAAACTGGCTATCCATGTGCAGAAGAATGAAAATAAACCCCTACCCCATCCTGGCTAACATGGTGAAACCCCGTCCCTACTAAAAATACAAAAAATTAGCCAGGCGTGGTGGCAGGTGCCTGTAGTCCCAGCTACTCGGGAGGCTGGGGCAGGAGAATGGCGTGAACCCAGGAGGCGGAGCTTGCAGTGAGCCAAGATCGTGCCACTGCACTCCAGCCTGGGCGACAGAGCGAGACTCTGTCTCAAAAAAAGAAAGAAAGAAAATAGACCCCTACCTCTCACCATATACAAAAATCAACTCAAAAGAGAGACTTAAATCTAAGGCCCCCAACTATGAAACTACTAGAGGAAAACACAGGAGAAATCCTCCAGGACATCGGTCTAGGCAAAAATGTTATGGCTAAGACTTCAAAAGCACAAGTAAAGGAGCGAAAATAGACAAATGGAACTATATTAAGAAAAAGCTGCAGCACACAAAGGAAACAACACAGTGAAGAGACAACCTGTGGAATGGAAGAAAATCTTTGCAAACTATTTGTCTGACAAGAAACTGATATTCAGATTATAAAGGAATTCAAATAAAGAAACAGCAAAAACAAGAAACAACAAAAAAAACCTCATTACAAAGTGGGCAAAGGGTCTGAACAGACATTTCTCAAAGGATGTCATATGAATGGACAACAGGTATATGAAAAAATGTTCAACATCACTAATCATCAGGGAAGTGCAAATCAAAACCACAGTGATATATCATCTTACCCCAGTTAGCCCAGAATGGCTATTATCAAAAAGAAAGTAACAAATGATGGCAAGGATGTGGAGAGAATGGAACTATTATACACTGTTGGTGGGAATGTAAATTAGTACAGTCATTATAAAAAACATTATGGAGGTTTCTTTTCAAAAAACTAAAAACAGAACTACCATATAAGCCAGCAATCCCACTACTAGGTATTTATGCAAAGGAAATAAAATCAGCATATCCACAGGATACCTGCATCTCCATGTTTATTACAACACTACTCACAATAGCCAAGATATGGAACCAGTCTAACTATCCATCAAAGATGAATGGATAAAGAAAATGTGATAAATATACACAATGGAATACTATTCAGCCATAAAAAAGAATGAAATTCTGTCATCAGCAGCAACATGGATGGAACTGGAGGTCATGATGGTAAATGAAATAAGCCAAGCATAGAAAGACAAATACTCCATATTTTCACTCATATGTGGGAGCTAAAAAAGTTGATCTTATGGAGGTAGAAAGTAGAATGACAGTTACCAGAGGCTGGGAAGGGTGAGAGGGAGGGATGAAGAGAGTTTGGTCAATGAGGATAGAAAAGGAGTTACATATACGGGATAAATTCTAGTGTTTAATACAGTAGGGTAAATATAGTAACCATTTATTGCATATTTCAAAATAACTAGAAGAGAAGATATAAAATGTTCCCACCACAAAGAAATGGTAAATGTTTGAGATGATAGATATCTTAAATACCCTCATTTGATCATTACATATTAAATGCACCTATCAAAACACTACACGTACTCAATAATATGTACAATTATTATGAATTAATTTAAAATTTTTCTGTTGCAGTGAAAATCATTTGGTTAAGAATATCACACTCTGGACGGGTGCGGTGGCTCACGTCTGTAATCCCAGCACTTTGGGAGCTGAGGCAGATGGATCACTTGAGGCCAGGAGTTTGAGACCAGCCTGGCCAACACGGTGAAACCCCTTCTCTACTAAAAACACAAAAATTAGCTGGGCATGGTGGCACATGCCTGTAATCCCAGCTACTCAGGAGGCAGAGGCAGGAGAGTCACTTGAACTCAAGCTGAGATCGCACCACTGCACTCCATCCTGGGCAACAGAGTGAGACACTGTCTCGAAAAAAAAAAAAAATCACACTCTAGAAATATTATGACTAAACTCTATCAGATAGATTTTAATGCCAGTTTTCATGGATTTTAACCCACTTGACAGCGCCAAATATAACGTGCACTTAACTGCACTGTAAAACCATTTCAGAAACTGAAAAGCAACAATGGTAGCAGCATTAATTCTCACAAAGCCTAAAGCAGTGAATACACTTTGAAATACACTATACCTCACTGTTTCACAATTGGCATACTCTTTTCTGAAATTCAGAATGCTGCCCAAAATGTGCCAGCAGGAAACTCTTCTTCCTACTACCTTAAGTAGTGGTATTGACCTGCATTTTCAATACATAGTCATGCATTGCTTAATAGAGATATGCTCTGAGAAATGTGTCCTTAGGTGATTTCATCACTGTGTGAACATCATAGAGTGTACTTACACAAACCTCAATGGGAGAGCCTACTCTACACCTAGCCAACATGGCATAGTGTTTTTGCTTCTAGGCTACAAACCTGCACAGCATGTTACTATACTGAATACTGCAGGCAATGTCAGCACATGGTATGTATTTGTGTATCTGAACATATCTAAACACAGAAAAGGTACAGTAAAAATACAGTAGTCATCCCTTGATATATGCAGAGGATTGGTTCTAGGACCCACCAACCCCCCAGCCCCCCACCCCCATATGTACCAAAATCTGTGAATACTCAAGTCCCACAGTTGGCCCTGCTGAAACTGCATATATGAAAAGTCGGCCCTCCCTTTCTATATGTGGGTTTCAAATCCTGAGAATACTATATTTTCCATCTGCATTTCATTGAAAAAAATTGCATATAAGTAGACCTGTGCAGTCAGAACCCTGTTGTTCAGGAGTCAGATGTATTATCATCTTGTGGGGCCATCATCATATATGCAGTCTGCTACTGACTGGAGTGTCATTATATAACACATGACTGTAATTTAGGGAAACCAAGTACCTAAACTTGCAGTATTTTCTCTCGAATATGCTGGGAGAAAAATTATGAAATAATAATTCTGAAAATCACTACAAAAAAATTATAAAAATATGTAACTTATATTTGGCCATTATTATTACGCACATTTTACTTGTAATAGAGAGTAAACATGAATTTATATGCATTTTGTTTTTCAAACTTCCTAAGCTGAAAGAAAGGCTTAAATGAAGGAAATAGATCCACCTACTAGGAATCCTATTGTGTGATTCATAGACAAGCTACTTTTCCCACATACCCTTACTCCAGAAAGCAAACAGGGTCTCTCAGGCCAAAGCTGGCCCTTAGTAGGAGTGTGAGGAACTGTGTGATCCATCACTGCCTCCGTGACATCTCATCCCTGTCTCCAACTTCACAGTGATAACAAGCCTTGTTCTTCATTTGAACTCTATCTTTTCACTTAGTTGCCTTAAAAATATTTCTTCTCAAGCATCTAAACACATCCTCTAATATGTGCCTTCTCCTACTACTCCTTTCTAATTCCTGCCCAACGTCTCTCCTTTCTCTTTATCCAATCAGTCAAAAACATTCGCTAATTATCTGTAAGTATAAAGTTAGTCAGCTGTTTGTACAGAGAGGAGAAAAAGCCACAAAAAGCAATGTAGTATAGAAGATGAGAACTGAAAATCAGGGTACTTGCGTTCTAGTTTGACACTACTAAGCTATGTGACCATCACCTAATTTGGCTCTAAGTCAATTTCATTTTCTCTTCTGAAAAATTATGGGGTCAGACTATTTCAGTGACTTCCAAACTTTGTTTTACAAAACTGGGTGCCTTGGGGTTGCCAAGTGGCCAAGGAGAATGAACTGGTTGAAAGGAGGAAAAATATTCCCATGTTTAACTATTTTCTGTATTATAAATTCTAAATGAAATTTCATCTAGAAAAACAGAAAAAGGTTTAGAAATCATTGGATTAAGTAAACTCTAAGGGTCTTTCGAGGTCTAAAATATAGCAGATCTCTAAATAAAGCACACACAGAAAAAGAGTTTGATTATAGATCCCTTCTAAATACCAATTCCATATTTTCAAAACTTCTTGATCGGCATATATCTATTTTTAAGAATTACCTGGAAGAACATAAGACCATGAAGTTCCGCTATCAAACCAGATGTCCAAAATATCCTGACCTGGCACATATTCCAAGGCATCAGGGCCACCAACCTAGTAAGATAATGCAAAAGCATGTCAGGTACACAAAGATCACAATATAGACAACAAATACTGTACCCCAAAAGTCTTCAGAAAATGAAATGCAACCATGAAGTTCACATTTTTAGATGAAATTTACAGTATTTTTAAGCATTTCACAGTTAACTTCAACTCCCTCCATTCACATTTAAAAGTATCTGTGGCCACTGAATTACATATTTACCAATGTAATATGAATTGGTTTTTATTTCCTTGAAATTAACTTTAAATTTGGATATTTTAATGTGTGATACAATCAGCTAACTCTACTACAGATCCTACAAAGGCCTGATGTACCATTAGGCACTGTTCTCTAACAGTAAATTACATGAGCTTAGTCAACCAAATCAGTCAACATCAATCAATCCTGGCCCTCAATGAGATAACAATTGACCCTCACATTCCACTACTTTATTAAATACTACACTTTTTGATTTGTTTTGTTTTTGAGACAGAGTCTTACTCTGTTGCCCAGCCTGGAGTGCAATGGCGCGATCTCGGCTCACTGCAACCTCCGTCTCCTGGGTTCAAGTGATTCTCCTGCCTCGGCCTCCTGAGTAGCTGGGACTAAAGGTATGTTGCGTGGCTTTTTCTTTTTCTTTTTTTTTTTTTTTTTGAGACAGAGTTTCACTCTGTTGCCCAGGCTAGAGTGCAGTGGTGCGATCTCGGCTCACTGCAAGCTCCGCCTCCCGGGTTCAGGCCATTCTCCTGCCTCAGTCTCCCGAGTAGCTGGGACTACAGGCGCCCACCATCGCACCCAGCTAATTTTTTTGTATTTTTAGTAGAGGCAGGGTTTCACTGTATTAGCCAGGATGGTCTCGATCTCCTGACCTTGTGATCTGCCCGCCTCGGCCTCCCAAAGTGCTGGGATTACAGGTGTGCACCACTGCGCCCGACCTAATAATACACTTTGTTTTGCAGGGATGGGCTCTCACTCTGTCACCCAGGCTGCAGTGTAGTGGTGCAATCTTGGCTCGCTGCAACCTGTCTTCCAGGCTCAAGCCATCCTCCCCCCTCAACCTCCCAAGTAGCTGGGACTACAGGCGCATGCCACAATGCTCAGCTAATTTTTATATTTTTTTGTAGAGACAGGGTTTTGCCATATTGCCCAGGCTGGTCTCAAACTCATGGACTCAAGCTATCTGTCTGCCTCAGCCTTTCAAAGTGCTAGGATTACAGGTGTGAGCCATCACGCCCAGCCTTAAATACTACACTTCTATAGTTAAACAAAATGTCTACTTTCACACTGCATTAGCTTCTAATTTACAGTAAATAAATTTGTTAACTTTACATAAGATAATTTTTTAACTCTCAAGAATTTCTCATGTTGTCATTAAGTCCTGTAATACATACAAAGGCTGTTAAATACAAACAGAAATTTACCTCAGATAAGACTTCTTTTGGAAGAAGTTGTTCAGGGGGAAGAGTCCACCAGATATCACTGCCGTGTTGTTCCACTAGTTTAACAATATGCTCAGTGGTTTGGCTATTTCAGGGGGGACATGGCAGAATTATTCAATTAACTATTGTGATGAATAACAAACATTTTAAAATTAAGAAATAGTGATTTATTTTCCTTTTTCCTCAAACCTTAGTTTGAAGAAAAAGCTGCTATCATTTTAAATTCAATATAAATAAAAAATTGATTATACATATCCTTAAAAAGAAAAAACATCTGTTTCCGTTACTGATTTACCTATTTCTTACTCATCTATTTTCTATCCAGGTACTTATACTCAAAGCCTTCTAATTATCTTCCCTCTTCTGATTTCTGCCTAAATTAAACCAACACATTCTCTCAGTTCTACCTTTGAAAGATTACAGTGGTTCCCACTGACACTGTATCAGTCCAACCTCATTCCCTCAAAACTAAACTGATGCAATCAATGGTCTGAGAGTACTTCCTCCTACCCTCATCCCTTTACTTTACAAAACAGACCTTGAAATAGATGCATTCCTAAACTGCTTTTATCACACGAATTCTCTGCTTGAAAACTTTCCAGGACTCCCTCCCTGCTTACAGGCATCTGCACAAGATGCAATGCCATATTAGAGCAGAGACTGTGATGACAGATATCCAGGCTTATATTCTGACTGTCACTTTGTATTTATATGACCATGCACAAGTACTAAAACTTCTTTAAGACCTAGCTTTCCCTTCTGTTAAGAACAATCTAATTCATTGTTCAGAAACTATTGAACACCTCCTGTGTCCTGGGCACAGGCACTAGAGATACAGCAGTTGGCAAAATACACAAGATCCCTCCCCTGGTGAAACTTAACATTGTAGTAATCCTAGACACTTCCCTCAGAACAACTACAAACTAAATGAGACTATACATGTAAAACTTAGTACAGCACCTAACACATGACAGAAAGCCAATCAACCCCTATCAAATAAATAACAGAACTGGTCGTATCTTTAGGAAGATATACAGTAATAAATTATTTAAAAATTAAACTCAGGGAAAAAAATTCATACTATAGTTTCTCACAAAAATAAAATATTTTTGATTTATTAGAATATTGAATTTATTATTGTAGCTTTGTTGCTATTACAGCTTCCTCTAGTTGCTTTTCATTTAGTCACAGTACATATAATGGCCAAGAGCATGGATCCTGCCAGCAGGGGGCTTTAGCTTAATTTCTGGCTCCACCACTTGAACCCAGGCAAGGCACTTAACATTTCTGTGCCTGTTTCCTCATTTGTAAAACACAAATAGTAACAGCATCATGAAGAGACTTCCTATGAATATTAACTGAGTTAATAAATATAAAACACATAGAACAATACCTGGCACATTTGAATAAATACTATGTAAGCATTATTCAAACTGATTATTTGACGTCAGGTCTGGGCCTGATAATTCACAGATAAATGAAGTGTTTACCAAAAATTGTTGTGGAAAGCAAAATCAAATGAGTATAAATTAAATATGCTCTACAGGCCAGGAGCAGTGGCTCACGCCTGTAATCCCAGCACTTTGGGAGGCTGAGGCGGGCGGATCACGAGCTCAGGAGATCGAGACCATCCTGGCTAACACGGTGAAACCCCATCTCTACTAAAAAAAATACAAAAAAATTAGCCGGGCATGGTGGCGGGCGCCTGTAGTCCCAGCTACCTGGGAGGCTGAGGCAGGAGAATGGCGTGAACCCGGGAGGCAGAGCTTGCAGTGAGCTGAGATCGCGCCACTGCACTCCAGCCTGGGTGACAGAGGGAGACTCCGTCTCAAAAAAAATAATAAATAAATAAATATGCTCTACAAATTTAAATTTGAAATACCTTATAAAAGCTGGATATCAGTAAGTTGGTATTCTATGAAGGATAGATTTTAAAAGTATAATGTTACCATCATGTACTTTGAAGAACTTATAATGAGAAAGGAAAATGGGCATAAATGCATGTTTCTAAGACAGTGAATCATTTTAGATGGACTTTAACAGTAAAGATAAACTTTTATGTTATCAGACCATAAAAACCTTATGTAATAACTACCTAGTTATATGACAATAGTATTTAGTTACATATTACTATTTTATATAGTTTGTCCAGAACATTTTCAGTTAAGAAAATATGAATATGGTATAATAGAAAAATCTGAATAAATCTAAAGACCAAAAGAAAAAAAAAACAAAAAGATTACAACCATAAAAGAGAGATACTAGTAAAGTACATTTACATGGACACATACGCACAATTACAATTGATAACACTGTTCATACTAATGAAATTCTCATTAAAAAAGAATAATTCTAAAAATGGGTGTCATTTTGCCTTTTTTTTTTTACAATGTTATCATTAGACTGGCAAGTTTAGGTAAAGAGTAAAATAAAACAGTAAAACAGCTTTAAATGTATTGGAAAAAGACATAAAAATAATATCGAAGTAAAAGTAAATGTCTCAAATTTCATATTAATTTAGCAAATACGGTAGAAATGTTAGGATAAAGAGTATTTTATGTATTTGTATGTATAAAAGATAAAGAGTATTTGTATGTATACAAAACTATGTATATACGTACACCACATATCTTTTTCGAAGCACTTTACAAGCACTTGCTAATTGGATTCACAGAAATACACAGTGGGTCTTGAGAAATGATTTGTTCTGCACCTTAGGGTTCCTTAAATTATGAAGCTAAGCAAGTAACAGTTAAAACCAGGGCTTGAATTTGTGTTTCCTAAATCATACATAGTTTGGTGTGCTGTTTTTACTTCTTTATTCTGCCTCTCTAACTCATCTATAAAGACAACACTGTAACTGAATTCACACTCTTACTCTCTGGAGTTTGCTAAGCAATGGCAGAAAGGCTCTTTTACCCAGGCATAGAGTGAAGACTACGTATCAGAGATGAAGTGAGGAACTAGGCAGTCTCAGGAGATTAGTGTGTTGACACAGCAAGCACTAAGTCCAAAGACCAGACTCTAACTGGACTTAACTGGAAAATGACAGGAATAAATCATACTATTTTTTGAGTTTCAGTTTCTATAAACATCGGAAAAAGTGACGAAGACTAGGCGAAAATTTTTATTCTTAAAAGAAAAAGTCCTAATAACTAAAGAAAGTGAGTAACGTTATGACTATAGATGAAACATATCCATTTTATTTTATTTTAATTAATTAATTTTTTTGAGACAAGGTGTTACTCTGTGGCCCAAGCTGGATTGCAGTGGCATGATCATAGCTCACTTGAAGCCTTGAACTCCTGCGTCAAGTAATCCTCCCGCCTCAGCCTCCTGAGTAGCTGGGACTACAGGCCCATGCCAACATGCCCTGCTTTCTTTCCCCCCCTCTAGAGATGGGAATCTCGCTTTGTTGCTCAGGCTGGTCTCAAATGCCTGGCCTCATGCAATCCTCCAGCCTTAGCCTCCCAAAATGCTGAGATTATGGGTTGTGAGCCACCACACTCAGCTCCACATCCATATTTTAGAATCCTAAATTCAACTTTAATAAAACTAAGCTCTTTTTCATATTCTTGGCCTGGCACGGTGGCTCATGACTATAATCCTAGCACTTTGGGAGGCCAAGGCAGGAGGATCACTTGAGCCCAAGAGTTCAAGACCAGCCTGGGCAACATAGTAAAGACCCCACATCTATTTTAAAAAAAATAAAAATAAGTTCTTTTTCATATTCCTAAATATCAGAAAATTCAATGACATTTTAAATGTTATTTAACTACATTCAAGTAACCTACTGAGCATATAACTAAAAGCATTAAGAAAGAAAGATTCCAGTTTTGCTGTTGGCATGTTATTAAAGCAACCGTAAAATCCCACCAAGTTTAGTCAGACACCTCTAGTCTAAAATTCATTTTAATTGCTACATTTTTATAACAATATTAGTAATTTAGATATAGCGCATATTTTAATATAAGAAATGTAATTTTGTGTTTTATACATACTTTATTTGCAAATTTAAAAAACTTTTTAAAAAAACTGACAAAAGTCTCTTAGTGAGGAGGAAAGGTTTTTTGTTTTTCTTTTAGCTTACCTAATTACACTTACGAGAAACAACGTAACTACACATTAGCTACATCAATGAAAAGCAATCCTGCAATTATTTTTAAAAATCCAATTTCAAAAAGGCTACTGTAAATAAAACAACATACTTCAGATTTTTTTCCTTGTTACATAAGTATATGAATCAGAACAAAAGAAAAATTTGTTCAATGTATCCAAAAGAAACATGAAACATTTTTAAGGGAAGAAGCTTTATCTCATTAAGAGAGCAAGTCTCACTAATATTTAGAGAGCAAGACTTCCTTCCTTACTTTATATTGTGAATTATGAAAACATCATGTTCTAAATAAAGTCTACTAAATGCACTTTAGTAAGCATTATGTTCTATAATTCGGTTCTATTATGAGATTCTAGATAAATTATTTGTATTTTTAAAACAATAAAGTTAATTTTAAAATAAGAGAGTAAAGAAAAACCCAACAAATACATGTTAATTAGCTAGATTTAGCCATTCCACAATGCATACATATTTCAAAACATGTTGTACATAATATAAGCAATTTTTGTCAATTGAATAAATTAATTTTGGGCGGGCACGGTGGCTCACACCTGTAATCCTAGCACTTTGGAAGGCTGAGATAGGTGGATCATTTGAGCTAAGGACTTCAAGACCAGCCTGGGCAACATGGCAAAACCCGGTCTCTACAAAAATACAAAAATTACCCAGGTATGGTGGTGCGTGACTATAGTCTCAGCTACTTGGGGGGTGCTGAGGCAGGAGGATCACTTGAACCCAGGAGGCAGAAGATGCAGTGAGCCGAGATTGCACCACTGCACTCCAGCCTGGCAACAGAGTGAGACTCCATCTCAAAAAAAAAAAAGGCCGGGCGCGGTGGTTCACGCCTATAATCCCAGCACTCTGGGAGGCCGAGGCGGGCGGATCACCTGAGGTGGGGAGTTCGAGACCAGCCTGACCTACATGAAGAAACCCCATCTCTACTAAATATACAAAAATCAGCCAGGCATAGTGGCGCAAGCCTGTAATCCCAGCTACTTGGGAGGCTGAAGAAGGAGAATCGCTTGAAGCTGGGAGGCAGAGGTTGCAGTTAGCCAAGATCCCACCATTGCACTCCAGCCTGGGGAACAAGAGCAAGACTCCAACTCAAAAAAAAAAAAAAAAGTGTGACAGAGAGCTTTGAAAACAAAAATTGCAATAAAAATAAACAGACATATAACCCACAAACTTGAGCTAGGTATAATGATGATAAAAACAAAGATAAACTTAATGTTCAAACAAAATCTAAAAAGATAATTTGAAAAAAGTATATAAAGTTAACTGTGAACAAGTGCTCAAAAGACACTCATTATAGAGATGTGACAAACATCTAACAAAATCCAAACACTGGATAAGTTATGTTCATTTGATTTTCATACACAAGGAACTAGGCAACCATTAAGAGCTAAGCTGACATTTTTAACAGGTACATATTCATTCTTCTATAACTAATTAAATTACATCTTCTTTTGTATATCATTATGTTCCTTTATAAACAACTGTATTGGACATCTTATATACATATCCTCACACAAGAGGTATTAGTCCTATTTCCTTTGGGTAAATACTTAGAAGTGGAATTTTTTTATAATGAAACCAAGATAATACTTAAAAGATTTCTTAAATAATTTTCTGTTTCCTAAAAAAATTTTTAAACAATTTTCTAACTATTTCCTTGTGATATTTAATATTCTTCAGAAAAAAATGCAGGAAAATTCCTAATTTGTCTGAAATTTAAGAATTCTACCTTCATTTCTTTAACATTGTATACTTAACACAAACTCATAGTTAACCTATAACCCAAAGATCAGTATAAACGACTGCTGATAAAAGTGGGTGAAACCACTTACCAGTATGTAATCTATATGCTTCCATCTTAATGCTTTACTTCATAAAGCAATAAATCCATCATAAAACCTTGTACTTTACTCAAAGGCCTTATCTCAACACATGCATTACGTGTCCCTTCTTAGGTTTCAATCAGTGAAAATCCACTAGGTAGCATGAGCAACTATGACATCAGCCAATCATTCTGAACTTCGATATCAACCGGAATGAGGCTTATTTAGCGTGTTATGGACATTAAGCAGCATTAAGATTACTAAAGCAACAAAGAAACGACTGCTGTCATCCCACTGTCTTCTGTGTTTTGCCTTTATAAGCAAAAATATTGAAGATTATTAAGACAACTTTTCTTCTGTAACTTACTGGAAGAAGAATGAGGTAAGAGGCTAAATGTTTCACATTTGTTTACTAAATTTAATTCTAGAACAATGTGAAATTTGGAAGGGGAAATTCTATTTTTAGTTTAATCCTAGATTTATGTTTTAAAGCTGACAGAAAACCATTTTGAAGAAATTTTTCTTTATTTAATGAACATAAATTTTTTGAACAAAAGGTTTATTATTGTTAACTGAGAAAAAATTTGAGGTAGCTAAAGTTAACACTCAAATTATATTGGAAATTCCTTGGCTATTTTTACTAAATTTCTCATAATTTCCAGAAGTTAGGGGCTAAGTTTCACTATGTTAACTATAGCATTAATAGCATGAAAGTGATTATAACTGTTTGAAATGATGAAAGAAATTTAACCAACTTCTTTTCCTTCCCAGGTAGCCAGTGTTTCTACATTTTATCTTTTTTATGCTAAAAATTATTTCTTCTGTTTTTATTGACTAGTAACAGATTTCAACCCAAATTCTAATGGCATTATCTCACAGATTCAAAAAATGACCAATGACAGTAAAGTCAGAAATGGAATTATTTCTTGATAAAATACAAATATGATCTAAAATGCAAATGACACTATTAATTCAAATCAAAATAAAACATCAGCGTTTCAAATCTACCAGTCCCTAAACTTATTTAGAACATGAATAAATCGAGACTTTCTTCTGTGAAACAAGTATACTTAGAGATATCGTACAGCTCCCATGATGAGCAAAAGGAATCTCCTTATATGTTTAATGGTGTTATCAAGTGTAACAGCAACTCCATGTGGACTGTGTACCAATTTCCAGTGGAGATGCTGTTACTTTTGATGGTTACCAACTTGCTACAATATAAAGGTATAATAAAGAAAGACAGAAAATTGTGGTCACTTGGACTCTCATTTGATTCCAGCAGAAAAAAAGATTTTCAGCCTGTTTTATAAAATTAACAAATGATTAAGAATTAATATCAATTTTCTTAAATTCAAGTTTTGTAACACCAAAAAGATCCAATAATGGAAGAGGATTAAAGTCATCATTCAGAAATGGTATACAGGAAAATGACCTATGAATTGACAGACAATATAGCTGAGTTTGTCTGTCATTTCTTTAGGCCAATATTCTGTATGACTGTGCTACTTCAATATCAGAAATCGACTAACACCACGCAACCAACGCAATGGCAGGTACACAGAAGATAATCTGTAACACTACCATGTAAATGTATTGAGTAAATAAAACATAAATATACCTAATGAAAACTTGTGTTTTTCTGACAAAGCTCATATTTATTTAACCTAACTTACTGACCAGTCAACCTATGTACCATTTAATTATCAGGATGTATCAATTAAACCAGTTTGCTATATTTACTAATACATACATATGATCCACCTCAGAGTCCAGAGGGCTATTCCACCAAGGAATCCCCACCCACCTCAATCACTTCAGTGAAATTCCCTAGACATCTTGCTCTCTAAATAGTGAAAAGAAGAGTAGCCGGGCACAGTGGCTCACGCCTGTAATCCCAGCACTTTGGGAGGCTGAGGCGGGCGGATCACTTGAGGTCGGGAGTTTGAGACCAGCCTGACCAACATGGAGAAACCCCGTCTCTACTAAAAAATATATATATATAAAATTAGCCGGGCGTGGTGGCACATGCCTCTAATCCCAACTACTCAGGAGGCTGAGGCAGGAGAATCACTTGAACCTGGGAGGCGGAGATTGCAGTGAGCTGAGATCGTGCCACTACACTCCAGCCTAGGAAACAAGAGTGAAACTCCATCTCAAAAAAAAAAAAAAAAAAAAAAAAGAAGAGGAGACAATGACATGGCTTATAAAACTTTCCAAAAAAAAAAAAAACTTTCCAGTGTGAAATTTTAAACAAATGTTTGTGGAAACTCGTCTCAGGTATAATCACTTTAATTCTTTTTCTTTTAAACTAAGTCTGAGGCTGGGCATGGTAGCTCATGCCTGTAATCTCAGCACTCTGGGAGGCAGAGGTGGATGGATCCTTTGTGGCCAGGAGTTCGAGACCAGCCTCGTCAACGTGGCAAGAGCCCATCTCTACTAAAAATACAAGAATTAGCCAAGTCAGTGGCGCGTGCCTGTAGTCCCAGCTACTCAGGAGGCTGAGGAGGGAGAATCACTTGAACCTGGGAGGTGGAGGTTGTAGTGAGCCAAGATCACATCACTGCACTCCAGCCTGGGTGACAGAGTGAGACTGTATCAAAAATAAAATAAAATAATCTGAACTGGACAGAATTTACATTAATTCTTAATGTAAGTATTAAGATATTAGTAGTTTACATCTGACCAAGCTCTGTAAGAACACCACAGCAACAATATTTAGATTATTCCTAAAGTCTTACCTCAGATCCAACTTATAATAATATTGAAATAGCTTTCCAATGACTTTCCAGTCTCTAGCCTCTACTTTCTTTTCCTAAAACATACTCTTACTCCTCAAGTCTACTTAAAAGTTTAAACTTCTTAATAGCATAATTTAGAAAAAATTCCATTCACCAAATTAAAAAAAATTGCTCAAAGAAAATGAAAATCTGGAATGTGTTCCTAAAAGGAAGAATTAACATTCCCCTCTCCACATCTGTGAAAAACAGCAACAACACTCAAAGCCTCCCTAATATTACTAGAAGATAAACTAGCTAGACTATTATCTCATTAAAAACAGGGGCCATGTCAGTCTTGTTCACTGTAGCAACTAGCAGTTCCTAGCACTGACACGTACTAAGTGCTTGACAATGTGTTCTGTTTTGTTTCGTTCTGAAGAGACAGTGTCTTGCTCTGTCATCCAGGCTGGAGTGCATTGGCATGATCATAGCTCACTATAACCTCAAACTCCTGGACTTGAGCGATCCTCTCGCCTTAGCCTCCCAAGTCGCTGGGACTACAGGCCCACACTACCACACCAGCTAATTTTTAAATTTTTCTGTAGAGATGGGGTCTCACTGTAATCTTGAACAGCTGGCTTCAAGCAATCCTGCCGCCTTGGCCTCCCAAAGTGCTGGGATTACAGGCATGAGCCACTGTGCCCACATAACAATGTTTCTTAAGTGAATACATGAATAGCTCATCATCTATGGAATACTGTGCTTTACACCAAGTAGTTTGCATTTATTATTTAGTATTCATAACAGTCTACCTGCAACCATTGCTTTTCCTATTTTATAGAGGAGCCAGAGGCTAAGTAAATTCCTCAGTCTCACACACAGTGAATGGCAAAGCCTGGGTTCAAATTCAGTTGCCATTCTCCAAAGCTCACAGATTTCCAAGCAACTTCTCTTTCGAAAAGCACAAAAGGGAGCTGTTCGGGATAAAAGAATTATTCTAAGACACAATTATGATAGTGGCTGTAAAACTTAACAAATTTACTATAAATCACTTATAATAAATGAATTTTTCTTTTTTAATTTTTTTGAGATAGAGTCTCACTCTGTCACCCAGGCTGGAGTCCAGTGGCACGATCTTGGCTCACTGCAACCTCTGCCTCCCAGGTTCAAGCAGTTCTCTGCCTGAGCCTTCGGAGTAGCTGAGATTACAGGCCCGCGCCACCATGCCTGGCTAATTTTTGTATTTTCGGTAGAGATGGAGTTTCACCATCTTGGCCAGGCTGGTCTTGAACTCCTGACCTCATGATACACCAGCCTCGGCCTCCCAAAGGGCTGGGATTACAGGCGTGAGCCACCGCACCTGGCCATGAATTTTATAGTATGTAAAGTATGCTTTAATAAAGCTTAAGAATGAGGCTGATCTATGTGTAGTGATTTGGAATAAATCATAACACATAAAGTGAAAAAAATCTAGGCACAGAGCAGAAGATAGAGATACTCTCTTTTGTATAAACATATGTATGTGCTGACAGAAGAATTCATTTTTTCTGGAAAGATTCAGAAACAGCTGTAAACAATGACTGCCTCAAAAAAAGGTTCTGGATACCTGGAGTAGGAAAAAGCCTACTTTTCAGTGTACAAGCTTTTCTACTATGAATTGTTCACTATGTCCATCTATTACCTTTCCAACTCAAAAAAAAAAAAAGGGAAAAACTGGGAATATAATCATCAGTGTAATCATGTGCATTTAACTACAATTTCTTAAATTTTAAGTATCTACACAATTACATAATCCCATTTCCACTGAAAAGGAAAGCAGACTCAGAATGTGAGAGTGATTCTCTTCATTCCTTTAGAAAAAATACATTTCAGGCTCCCCTGCTAAACACTGTCCATCTTTGGATCCATGATACCTTAATACAGCCCAATAAATTCTCATAGAAAAAAAGTCAGAGACTTTACTTCTAAGTATCAATATTTAAGAAAATCTAGTTAATATTTTAACTGTATGATAGAATTGTTTTGAACTTATATTTTAGTCCCCCAAAAGACTATTTTAGCATATTTTATTTAACATATATAAACGGTTCTTAATCATCCACATTATTTTTCAATTTTTGAAGAAAAAATATTTCACTTTAAAACACTAAAAAATTTTAGAAAGCATTCTACCTGTTGATCAAGTATTCATCCTTGGTCTTATGATGAAACACAGGAATTGGAACACCCCAAACTCTTTGCCTTGATATACACCAATATGGCCGCCTGTCCATCATTTCAACCATGCCATTCAGTGCTGATCCAGGAATAAATTTCACCTTTTTTAACAATTCCTGCAATTAATTCATAAATCAAGTCTTGTGAGAGAAAGCAGAACAAGTATTCTAGAACAGTCAATTTTCCAAATGCATTTGTTTCTTTTGGATGTTTGTAGCCATTCACATACCTCCCTTACCCTCCCCTCAAAAAAACAACTAAAGAACTAAAAGATTTCAGAGCAAATAAGGCAAAGTAAAAATGGAGCCGCGAAGAACTTAATAAATAATATCGGGAGCAGTGATAATATCAGGAGCATTGTTGCATTTTTTAACAATGTTACAAAAGATTTCATACCAATTTCTAATTTACACCAACCCTAGATCAAAACTGGTAATAAAAGCTTTCATAGAACTATTATACTTCACTAAACTATAGTTAAAATCAATTCAAACTTGATTTCCACCATTTTTTAAAATGCTTAAAAAATAAATTACTATCGTAGACTGCCAAAAAAAGATTGCGATATACCTAATTTTACATAATATAGTTTACAACACAGAAAACACTTTCTCAAAATAAGCCCAAGTATGTGGTTCAAACCTGTAATCCCAGCATTTTGGTAGGCTGAGGTGGGAGGATCACTTGAGCCCAAGAGTTCAAGGTTGCAGTGAGCTATGAGCATGGCAGTGCACTCCAACCTGGGCGACAGAGCAAGAGCCTGTCTCTAAAATAAATCTCTCTCTCTCTCTATATATATATATCTATCGACAAATGGCTAACAGTTACTTCCTCTCAAGAAAGCTCCCTTCCTCCATTCCCAAAATAAGGTTGAAAACTGCTACCATTTGATTTAATTTGTCAACTAGCAAAAGATTAACTGTATAGCAAAAATGTTTACTAATAGTCTCCAAAAAGGTCAAAATGTTAACTTCATTTTAAAAAATCTTTCTATCCATTAATAAAAGCATTTTTACATTTTCAAAGAAGGTTTAAATGGTTTCCTCACTCACCGTAACTACCAGAAGTCCCCTCCCACAAAGCTCTCTGTAGCACCACCTATTGGCAGAATGGCAAAATCTCTACAAATCAATTTGATTAATACCATACTTGGTTTAAAAGTCTAAGAAATGTGAATATTGAATAGATATTTGATTTTGCTAAGGAATAACTATTACTTTTTAAAGGTGGTGATAATGGCATGGGAATTATGCTTTAAAGAGTTTGGCCGAGCATGGTGGCTCACGTCTGTAATCCCAGCACTTTGGGAGGCTGAGGAGGGCGGATCACCCGAGCTCAGGAGTTCAAGACCAGCCTGGCCAACATGGAGAAACTCCGTCTCTACCAAAAATACAAAAAAATTAGCCGGGCATGGTGGTGCATGCCTATAATTCCAGCTAATCAGAAGGCTTAGGCAGGGAATTGCTTGAACCCAGGAGGTGGAGGCTGCTGTGAGCCAAGATCACATCACTGCACTCCAGCCTGGGCAACAAGAGTGAAACTCCATCTCAAGAAAATAAATAAATAAATACAGAGTTTATCTTTGGCTGACACCTGTAATTACAGCACTCTGAGAGGCCGAAGCAGGCAGACTGCTTGAGCTCAGGAGTTCGACACCAACCGGGGCAACTTGACAAAACCCTATCTCTAGAAAAAATACAAAAATTAGCCAGATGTGGTGGCACAGGCCTGTAGTCCCAGTTACTCAGGAGGCTGACGTGGGAGGATAGGTTGAGTCCAGGAGGTGGAGGTTGCAGTGAGCTGAGATCACACCACTGCACTCCAGCCTGGGTGACAGAGCAAGACCCTGTTTCAAAAAAAAAAAAAAAAAAAAAGAGCTTATCTTTCAAATATATGTGCTAAAATATCGCCGGGACAATATATAATATGGAAGAAATAGTGCCTGGAATTTGCTTTAAAATAATCCAATTGTTAAGGGGTAAAAAGTAGGTGGTCGGGCCGGGCGCGGTGGCTCACGCCTGTAATCCCAGCACTTTGGGAGGCCGAGGCGGGTGGATCATGAGGTCAGGAGATCGAGACCATCCTGGCTAACAAGGTGAAACCCCGTCTCTACTAAAAATACAAAAAATTAGCCGGGCGCGGTGGCGGGCGCCTGTAGTCCCAGCTACTCGGGAGGCTGAGGCAGGAGAATGGCGTGAACCCGGGAAGCGGAGCTTGCAGTGAGCCGAGATTGCGCCACTGCAGTCCGCAGTCCGACCTGGGCGACAGAGCGAGACTCCGTCTCAAAAAAAAAAAAAAAAAAAAAGTAGGTGGTCGGAGGGGTGTAGATAAAAACAAAATTAACCAAAAGTTGATTATTGTTGAAACTGAGTGATGGGAATACGACAATACATTATCCTATTCTCACTACTTCTACAAAGAACAATTTTTAACTTTACAAAAAAGTTAAAAAAAAAACTTGGCTTAAATATATTGCGTCAGACTTAGATGTTCTACAACCAAAAATCGGTGCAGAGCTGCAATTTACAAATTTTAACATTGACAAATAAGGAAGAGAGGCTTTAAATGAAGAAAAAACCAAAATGCACTATATATTATAGTTGTCCACATTACACAAGTATAGAAAGTATAAACTGCTATAAAAAGCTTTGGCAAGGACCCCAAATTGCCAGGCCAATAAATGAACCAGCTAAATACAGTAGTATCTTTCAAACTGTAAAGCAAAATATCTATATATTCAACCTGGTTAACACATATATATTTAAGCTCTTTCATTAAATAGAATCAAGTTGTGAGAGATGTTTACACACACACACACACACACACACACATATATATATATATATATATATACCCATATAGAAAGATACATATTAAATGAAAGGGCTCAAATATATATTAAGTATTTAAATACCAATTATAAGTATTTGTTAGCTCCAAAGCAACAACTTTGTATATTTTTCATATTGTTAGTTTTTCTTTTTAATATGCTTCCTTTGTAAGCAGAACAGTAACTTTTTTAATTGATTGTAATTTCAATCTTAAGGAAGCAAAGGGTTTAAAAAAGTTTTACTGACTGCTTATTATGTATCAGACCATATTCTGGAAACTCGAATTTCCTTACTCCATGAGATACGCATTATTACCACTTTATATAGATGAGGAAACAGAGGCAGTGGGAGGTTAAACTAGGTAACACAGTTCTGTCCAAATTCTATGCAACTTTGACTACACTGGGCAAGAAAGTCTATCTACTAACAGTGTGATGTGGACAAATCACTCAACCTCTTTATGCCTCATTTCTCACACATGTATAATGAAAAAATGGAAGTCCAAGGTCCTTCCAGATCTAAAATTCTACAATGTTATGAAACTAAATCATAATAGCAGCAATCCCTATTACTCCTGAAACCCCACCTCAACCTCACATGCAGCCCCTTTATACTGAGGGAATGATATGCCCGACCTGTTAAAACAGGATGCTTTTTATACCTTGGCTGCAGTCTTAATATCCGTGATGTTTATAAACCACTGCTTGCTGGCACGAATAACCACAGGTTTCTTGGTCCTCCAGTCATACGGATAGCTATGCACCAATTTCTCCTCTTTCAACAAATTCTTTGCAGTCTGAAGCATCTTTATAACTTTAAAAAAAAAAACACCAAATTAGACATAATTAAAAAGTACTGTGAAAATCCTAAAAATGCTCTAAACTTCCAGAAAATACTAAATCTGCAGCAACAGGTGGCAATAAGAGTAGTCACCTTGCCAGCCACAGTGGCTCACACCTGTAATCCCAGCACTTTGCGAGGCTGAGGCAGGCAAATCACGAGGTCAGGAGTTCGAGACCAGCCTGACCAACATGGTGAAACCTCGTCTCTACTAAAAATGCAAAAATCAGCCGGGCATGGTGGTGTGTGCCCATAATCCCAGCTACTCAGGAGGCTGAGGCAGGAGAATCGCTTGAACCTGGGAGGCAGAGGTTGCAGTGAGCCGAGATCGTGCCACTGCACTCCAGCCTGGGTGACAGAGCGAGACTCCGTCTCAAAAAATAAAAGAGTAGTCAACTTGGCTGGGCGTGGTTGCTCACGCCTGTAATCCCAACAGTTTGGGAGGCAGAGACGAGAGGATCACTTGAGGTCAGGAATTCAAGACCAGCCTGGCCTGCATGGTGAAACCCCATCTCTATTAAAAATACAAAAAAATTAGCAGGGCACAGTGGTGTGAGCCTGTAATCCCAGCTACTTGGGAGGCTGAGGTGGGAGAATCATTTGAACCTAAGCTAAAGCGGAGGCTGTAGTGAACCGAGATTGTGCCACTGCACTCCAGCCTGGGCAACAAAGCGAGACTCTGTCTCACAAAAAAAAATAAAATAAAAAAGAGTAGTCACCTTCCAGGTATCAAAGGCGTGCTCTGGGATTCTCCTGGCAAAAAAAAGCACGGACTGTAAAATCTTAATCAGACTCCAAATTATGCCACTTCTACCTCTTTTCACGTCAAAGAAAAGATGAACAGATTATATCTAGAATTCTACATTTGAAGTTTAGATCCATAATCTTTCATGCCATGAATCTTAAAATGGTCTCCAGGTAATCTGGAGGAAACCAGGTGTAGTGGGTTGAACTGTGTCCCCAAGAAGATCTAACCCCCAGCACTAGTGAATGTGACCTTACTTGGGAATCAGGCCTCTGCAGATGTAATCAAGTTTAGATGAGGTCACACTGCATTAGGGAGCACTGGTGTTCTTAGAGGAGGATAGAAAGAAGATTATGTTTTTGCCACTGATTCAGCCATGTGAAACTCATCTCATTACCCTTTTCTGGGTTTGAAGCTGCTGTCTCTAAAAGTGCCATCTCATTGTGCTTAATATCAGTTAATGCTAGAGAAATCTTAAATAGCTTATGTACAAAACTTTTTTAAATTTTTGTATTATTTTGAAACTTTGCTTCTTTGGGTGGCACCCTGGCCACCCAGTTTGACTGTGACAGCCCTCTACAGTCTGTGAGCTGGCAGATTTTTTTTTTTTTTTTGAGATGGACTCTCGCTCTGTTGCCCAGGATGGAGTGCAGTGGTGCAGTCTCAGCTCACTGCAACCTCTGCCTCCCAGGTTCAAGTGATTCTCCTGCCTCACCCTCCAGAGTAGCTGGGATTACAGGCACCTACCACCACACCTGGCTAATTTTTTGTATTTTTAGTAGACACAGGGTTTCACCATGTTGGCCAGGCAGGTCTCGAACTCCTGACCTCGTGATATGTCCGCTTCAGCCTCCCAAAGCGCTGGGATTACAGGGGTGAGCCACCGTGCCTGGCCGGGCTGGCAGTTTGCTGATCTTTTAAAGTTTCTTTCCCTACCCAATCCCCACTTTCCGATAAGGTTTCTGTAAAGTCTGTCAGGTGTACATCCTGCAGCATACTGGCTTAAAACGTACTGTCCTTTGATATAGTCTCTTTGGGGCCGATTGGGAGAAACAGAAATCAATAGTCCACCTGCTTTGATACTGAATATTGACAAGTGTCTTTTTGAAATAAAGAACCAGTCCCTCCAATAAAAAAAAAAAAAAAAAAAAAAAAAAGAGGATTCACAGAGAGACATTTAAGACCTAAAGAAGGTGGCTGGGTACGGTGGCTCACACCTATAATCCCAACACTTTGGGAGGCCTAGGCAGGTGGATCACTTGGGGCTGGGAGTTTGAGACCAGCCTGGCCAACATGGTGAAACCCTGTCTCTATTAAAAATAAAAAATAGGCCGGGTGCGGTGGCTCATGCCTGTAAACCCAGCATTTTGGGAGGCCAAGGCAGGTGGATCACGAGGTCAGGAGATCGAGACCGTCCTGGCTAATATGGTGAAACCCCATCTCTACTAAAAATACAAAAAATTAGCTGGGCATGGTGGCAGGCGCCTGTAGTCCCAGCTACTCGAGAGACTGAGGCAGGAGAACCCATGAACCCAGGAGGCAGAGCTTGCAGTGAGCCAAGATCGTGCCACTGTACTCCAGCCTGGGCAACAGAGCGAGACTCCGTCTTAAAAAAAAAATAAAAATAAAATAAAAAATAAAAAAATTATGGCCTGACACAGTGAGGGCTCACGCCTGTAATTCCAGCACTTTGGGAGGCTAAGGTGGGCAGATCACCTGAGGTCAGGAGTTCAAGACCAGCCTGGCCAACATGGTGAAACCCCATCTCTACTAAAAATACAAAAATTAGCCAGGAGTAGTGGTGTGTATCCTGTAATCCCAGCTACTTGGGAGGCTGAGGCAAGAGAATTGCTTGAACCCAGGAGGCAGAGGTTGCAGTGAGCTGAGATCACACCACTGCACTCCAGCCTGGGCAACAGAGTGAGACTGTGTCTCAAAAAAAAAAAAATTAGCTGGGTGTGGTGGTGTATGCCTGTAATCCCATCTGCTCAGGAGGCTAAGGCACAAGAATCACTTGAACCCAGGACACAGAGGTGGCAGTGAGCTGAAAGCATGCCACTGCACATCAACCTGAGTGAGAAAGTGAGATTGTCTCGAAAAAACAAGTAAGATCTAAAGAAGGCCATGTGACAAGACAGGCAGAGAGTGGAGTAACGCAGTTATAAACCAAGGAATGCCAAGGATTTCCAGGAGCCACCAAAAGCTAGAAAGAGGCAAGTAAGGATTCTCCCATAAAACCTTCAGGAAAACATGGTCCTGCCAGTACGATGAATTTAGACTTCTAGCTTCCAGCACTTGAGAGAATAAATTTCTGTTGTTTCAAACTACCAAGTTTACGGTGATTTTTTACAGTAGCCCTAGAAAAGTAATATATCAGGTCTAAATAGCCTTAGTCTTAGTGTGGGCAAAGAAAGGTTTTCATAGCACTTGGTCTCTGAATCTGTAAAGGAAGACAGAAAGACAATTCAAGGCTGGAGGATTCCCAAGATTCTAATACATAAATCATGCCATATAGGTCAGTTATTTACAAGGGTTAAAAAGTGAGTAGGGAATGTGTAATTTACAGTCAACATCCAGCCCTGATCTTGATTGTATCCTTCCACAAAAGTAATACTGCTGATTATTATCTCCATAGCCCTAAAATAACTTCACTCCCTGTTGACTGCCCTGACTTGCTTAAATAAAGCAGCTTCAAAGCAAAAGATGAAAAAGTCCCAAACTCCATTTTAAAACATATGGCAAAACAAGACATAATTTATTTTTTTGTTTCTGTTAAAGTATAAGGAGGGAAAATAGGTAGCAAAGGTTACTGCTACCTACTTTTCAGAAAACATGTATGATATCAACAGATATGATGCTCACCCACATCAGTTCCCTCTTCAAGGACAGCCTTGTTTTGAAGTTCAGGACCTGCAACATCTGTGAAAACTCCATCTTCGTCCACTAGACAATCCTATAAAGTATCATTTTGAACAATTAAAATATCAAGACATTTTCTCTTATGACAATATCTGGCAAAACAATATATATAAAAACATCTCAGTATAGCCTGGTCTTTTTCTACATTGAAATTCTAGGTACTTGGCCGGGCGCGGCACTCAGGCCTATAATCCCAGCACTTTGGGAGGTCGAGGTGGGCAGATCACTTGAGGTCAGGAATTTGAGACTAGCCTGGCCAACATGGTGAAACCCACTTCCACTAAAAATACAAAAATTAGCCAGGCATGGTGGTGTGCACCTGTAGTCCCAGCTACTCGGGAGGCTGAGGCAGGAGAATCGCTTGAACCCTGGAGGTAGAGGTTGCAGTGAGCCGAGATCATACCACACCACTGCACTCCAGCCTGGGCGACAGAGCAAGACTCCCTCTCAAAAAAAAAAAAAAAGAAAAGAAAAGAAAAGGAAATAGGAATTTGTGAATTTTATACATTTAAATCACCAAAGCCAAAATGTGTTATTGAAGCATATCCATAAACTTTAATAACAAAAGTAACAAAATATATTAAAACATCTTTGAGTGGTCTCTATTGTTTCCAAATCTATGCCTATATACACAGTTGTTCCCTTTCTGACTCACCTTTTAACTAAACGGAAATACTTGCTAAGTAACTGAAGTATGTAAAGTAAATGTAGAAAGGACTGTTTAGCTAAAACAAACAGGCTTTTTCAGGGAATAAAAGTAATTTGTCTATGTGACTTGATACTAGAAAAAAAGTATTTTAAAAGTGCCCCATGATATATATTCTTCAATTCTAAAGTGCTAATTTTCTATTAATTCTGGGAAATCTTTTTCAATTAGTACGAATTAATGAAACTTTAGAGTACTACACAAACCTGAGCATTTCACAATTATGATGACAAAAGTCATCATTTTTAAAAAATGAAGATGTTGGTTAGAATTTATCATTTCCTTTTATTAAGATGAATAATTAAAAATGATAAAAGAGGAACAGTACCATGGGCAGGTTGTGCTGAGACGCTACACCGTAGTCTTCCATACCATGAGCTGGGGCTGTGTGAACCAATCCCGTTCCTTTTGCCATGGTCACATGATTTGCAGGTAAAAGAGGAGAGGCTTTATCAGGAATTAATGGATGACTGCAAGTACCATTTTCCAAATCTACACCTGTGGGGAAAGAAAACCACTATTAAGAATCATTTTATATGGCAAATCTATCTCCTTAAGCTTAGCAATAGAGTATCAGGTTAAATGTGCAGAATCTAGAACAATACTGGCTAGGCTTAAATTCCAGCTTCCCCTTTAACTTGTTCTGTGACCTTCTATAATCTATAAAATGCAGATAATTATGGTTCCCACCTCAGAGGGTTTCTGTGAGAATAAACAGAGTTAATGTAGTTTAAGTGTTTTGATACTTACTGCATCTACCACTTAATATTCTCCCTCACCACCCTCCCAAAATGATCTCTAAGTAATTGATAAGAAATAATTCATTTTTTTCCGGAAAGAAAACCTACCCCATACAAATTACTTCATTTTTAGCTCTTCAACATTCCTACTACTTTAATAAGTAGTAGCTACGTGACACCAGCTTATTTTGACAGGGATAATATATATACTCCTCCACAATATGGTGACTCAAATAGCAACTCAATAATTATCTGATAGTAAGAATTTGAAACAATTATGCTATCTAGACAAAAGATCTTTAAATTCAACCTTAACACTTTCAAAAATCTTGTGATTTTTAGCTTCTATGATAATGTATAACTTGACAATGAAGTCTTTAATATCCTCTGCATTTATAAAAGAGCAGGGGGCTGGGTGCAGTAGCTCATGTCTGTAATTGCAGCACTTTGGGAGGCTGTGGCAGGAAGATTGCTTGAGCCCAGGAGTTTGAAACAAGCCTGGGCAACACAGTGAGAGAGGGTGTGAAGTAAATTATTATCTTGGTTTTTATTTTTATTACCCTATTGCACCAAAGAGGACCAAATGGTCTTCAAAATTCTTAAGCTCCTTTCCTGCCTCTGACATAAAAATCTTTTTATTTTTGTTAAGGTTGTTTAAACTTCTCATTGGCTTGTATCTGAACTGATTAATTTAGAGGGCTTTCCTATTTAGCTAGGCAGTCTTTCTAGGCAGTTTTTGTATCTTTATTCATGTGATAGATTTTTTAGCAAGAAATTAAAAGATATATCATACCTAAGGATCAAAGATAATTTTAGCCCAGGCATGGTGGCTCACGTCTATAATCCTACCACTTTGGGAGGCAGAGGCAGGAGGAACACTTGAGCTCAGGAGTTCAAGATCTGCCTGGGCAACATAGTGAGACCTCATCTCTTTAAAAATAAAATAAAATAAAATAGAATTTTAGTCCAGGCACAGTGGCTCATGCCCATAATCCCAGCACTTTGGAAGACCAAAGCAGGAGGATCACTTGAGGCCAGGAGTTCAAGACCAGCCTGGGCAATGTAGCAAGACCTCATCTCTACCAAAAAAATTAAAAATTAGTCCAGCATGGTGGCACACACTTGTAGTCCCAGCTACTCAAGAGGCTGAGGCAGGAAGATCACTTGAGCCTAGGATCCAGAGGCTGCAGTGAGCCAAGATGGCACCACTGCACTCCAGCCTGGGCAACAGAGCAAGACCACGTCTCAAAACAAAATGAAGAACAACAACAACAAAAAGCTAATTTTAAACTTCCCTAGACTTCCATAATTATATTTCAAAGCAGTCACTACCTCAAAAGTCCCAAATTATAGCTCACAAAGAATTATTTTGGGCTAGGCACAGTGGCTTACGCCTTTAATCCCAGCACTTTGGCAGGCCAAGGCAGGCAGATCACTTGAGCCCAGGAATTCCAGACCAGTCTGGGCTACACAACAAGAATTCATCTCTGTAAAATATTTTTTCAAAATTAGCCGGGTGCAGTGGCATGTGCCTATAGTCCCAGCTACTTGGGTGGCCAGGGCAGGAGGATTGCTTGAGCCCGGGAGTTTGAGGCTGCAATGAGCTGACTGGACCACTGCATTCCAGCAGTGGGCAACAGCATGAGACCCTGTCTCTTTAAAAAATAAAATAAAATAAAATTCCTTTGATAGAAGAACTGCTTTCTGAATAATTTTCAGAACTTATTCAATCCTTTATTAAAATTATGTATCGAAAAATAAGTATATGCATTTCCTTTCTTGCTACTTTTATTAAAACAGATAAAAACAATTTTAAAAATTAATTTTGCATAAAATTTTACCAAGTAACTACTGGATATTGCCAGAAATTAGTTTTACCTGTTGTACATTTATCAATATTCATATTTTTCTATACTCCTATCATGCTTAATGTATATTCTCCTTTAGTGTAATCAATGTAAAATGTATTCTAGAAAGGTAGAGGCCATATCTGTTTCAATTCAAAATATGCAGTTCAGCAAAGTAGTAAATTCAAGTCAGCCCAATACTTTGATGACTATGTTGTCAGATATCTAAAAATCTTCACCTGAAAGTGTTGAAATAGTCTCAAATGTTGTTTCCAAAGTAGAAGCAACAGATGCTACTTTATCTGCCGCCAGTACGTAGAGGTCTCCAGACTTAGAACATTTCACAACAGCATACCTAACATAAAATTTTAGGAGAAATTACTAATAATGAAACAAGAAAAGCCACAGATATCATTTTAATTTTTAAATAATCATTTTAGAAAAAACTGACTTCAGGCCAGCGCGGTGGCTCATGTCTATAATCCCAGCACTTTGGGAGGCCAAGGCAGGTGGATCACCTGAGGTTGGGAGTTTGCAACCAGCCTCACCAACATAGAGAAACCCCATCTCTACTAAAAATACAAAATTAGCCTGGCGTGGTGGCGCATGCCTGTAATCCCATAATCCCAGCTACTCGGGAGGCTGAGGCAGGAAAATTGCTTGAACCCGGGAGGTGGAGGTTGTGGTGAGCCAAGATCATGCCACTGTACTCCAGCCTGGGCAACAAAAGGCAAAACTCGGTCTCCAAAAAAAAAAAGAAAAAAGAAAAAACTGACTTCAAGATCAAACTGTACTATTTTCAAAACACTTTGTAACTTATACTTCTATTTCATTTTCCCGAAAAGCTGGATAAGGTCATAAAAAGGATCACCTAAAGGTTAATAAAATCTATATGAACATAATAACTAAGTTATAATTCATTAAATTTTACAATAATAAACAGGATAAAATAAATTCAAAATAATGTTAATAATGGAATACATTCTATTTGTGTATAAAACAAAAAATGCAATAATATACCCACTTTGATTCAGGCATATAGCAAACAGCTTCATTGGCTGGAATCGTCCAAGGTTGTGTGGTCCAGACCAAAATACTAACAGGAGATGAACCATCTGTGAAAATACAATTGTAAATATGTTAGCAAATGGGATAATTCTATAACTTTGGTACACTCAAGCTATGAATAAATCTTACCTATAAGAGATGCCAATTTTGGAGAAGGCTTTAAGAGAGGAAATTTTACATATATTGAACGACTGACATGCTCAGGATTATATTCAAGTTCTGCTTCAGCCAATGCAGTCCTAAGGGTTAAAAATATTAAACATAAATACTTGGAAGCCTCACAAATTTCTCCCTTTTAATTACCGAAAAATGCATATATACCTAGATGACGGAGACCAAAACACAGGTTTGTAAGATCGATAAACCAAGCCCTATAAAAGACAAAAATATGATGTTAAAAGTAGAATCTTGTAACGCATACTAAAACCTACTCAAAGAGAAAAAATACTTCTTTACCTTATCATACATTTGGTAAAAAGTTCTCAACTGTTTGGCTTCATACTTCCCATCAAATGTATAGTAGCAATTATTCCAATCTGCCATTATTCCCCAACGAATAAATGCTGATTTCTGTTTCTCAATGGCTGCTTTAGCAAATGATCTAGCTAAAAAAAAGACGAAAAAAAGATTTTAAAAAACCAATGAATTCGAATTCTTAAACATGGTTTAGCATGTATCTCTCTAAATGCAAATGCTACAGACAGTTTAGAATGCAAATTTTTTTTGAGACACAGTCTCGCTGTCACCCAGGCTAGAGTGCAGTGGCGCGAGTGGCATGATCTCGGCTCACTGCAAGCCTCTGCCTCCCGGGTTCACGCCATTCTCCTGCCTCAGCCTCCTGAGTAGCTGGGACTACAGGCGCCCGCCACCACGCCCGGCTAATTTTTTTGTAGTTTTAGTAGAGACGGGGTTTCACTGTGTCAGCCAGGATGGTCTGGATCTCCTGACCTCGTGATCTACCCGCCTCAGCCTCCCAAAGTGCTGGGATTACAGGCGTGAGCCACGGCGCCCGAGCACAAAATTTTTTTTTTTTGAGATGGAGTCTTGCTCTGTTGCCCAGGTTGGCATGCAGTGGCGGATCTCAGCTCACTGTAACCTCTGCCACACAGGTTCAAGCAATTCTCGTGCCTCAGCCTCCCAAGTATCTGGGACTACAGGCGTGAGCCACCATACCTGGCTAATTATTTGGTATTTTTAGTAGATACGGGGTTTTGCCATGTTGGCCAGGCTGGTCTCAAACTCCTGACCTTAGGTGATCGATCCACCTCCCTCAGCCTCCCAAAGTGCTAGGATTACAGGCATGAGCCACTGTGCCCAGCCTATAAAAATTTTTTAATAGAAAAATAATTTGAAGGTCAACAGTGTTCAGAAGATACCTACAACAAATTCTAAAATTAACTGGAATTGCAAAAGTTAAAATTTTATTACTGTCTTCTGTATTTTCCAGACTTTATACAATGACCTCATATTTAGGACAAATAAACTGGAAAAATTATTCCTTATTGTTTCTTAATTTAAGAAAAGGTCAGATAACAATTTTCATTTCATTATACACAAAAAATTAATCAGAATATCAAATCTAAGCCAATGATAATAGGTTTCACAAGGAAGTAAAAAAATCTTCACAGTTACATCCAAATGTACAATAGTATAACATATAAGAAAAAGAGAATCCTCCCTTGGCCCAGTCGACTGAAGAAAAAGGATCAAATAAAAGATTAATGTAAAATATATGTATTTTAGAATTGAATTTTGGCTTAACACCTAAAATCAGTCAACAAGCCCCCTTGAGGAAAGCAGAAAAAAGAATTTACCAAAAAATAGTTTTTTAAAATATGAACATTAAGAAACTGAGAATGCAATCAGAAATGCTCACAAAGTCTTTCCTTCAATATCCAAACATAAGTTCTTACAAAAATCAATGAAATAAAATCTGAATTTTCTGTGACAGAAAGGCGTTTCCAATAGATCTTATTATAAGCAAACGAAACCCAAACAAAAGGTTCCTTTGGTAAAGTTCTGACTATTTCAAGGACCTGAGTGTTTACAAATATCATTTTAAAACAGAAATACAGATTATTTACCTTTCTTTCTAATTTCCATAGCTGAAAGATTCTGAGCTTCTCTACCAAGTTCTGATAATACTTTTATTTCAATGGGCAACCCATGACAATCCCAGCCGGGCACAAAATGTATTTTGGAGCCATTCATCATATGGAATCGATTGGCTATGTCTTTCAAAATCTGCAAAGATAAAATGATAATTATCATTCATACATAAAATATTTGGCCATGTATTTCAAAATCTGCAAAGATAAAATGATAATTAGCATTCATACATAAAATATTTGGCCTACAATTTATGTTCTTTTTTTTAAACTTAATACCATTTTTAAAACTGCAATTTGAAAGGAAACGTATAAATTAACTCATAAAAAAACTATTGACACAAATAGTCTAATATTATTTATATTGAGCTAAGAAATATCATCAAACCATTGCAGAACTTACAGTGTACTCAGAGAATGGAATATTGTGGTTAACTCTGTCATTGACAAACCCTTACTAAAACAGTAGACCTCTTCATTAGGTATAGTTCTAGAACCAATTTACCTTTTTAAATTCATTTTAGATACCAGAGGGCAGCAGAGCCTTTTAAAAAATATATTACTATAGTTGAATGGAGGAATCAAAGGCAAAGGATAGATTTGGCTCCAAGCTCAATTTCCTTCTTCCCAAGAGGAAACAGTGCTCTGACCACTAGCCCAGTAGTCCAGAAAACAATTTCCTCCTTTCCATGCCTATCAAAAGTAGAAAAGATATTATTATATTCTCCTCCCATCCCTTCCCCCCTTTAAAAACTCTAATTTCAAACTGTTTACTAATGAACAGGAAGGAGCCTTGTGATCTGAGTGGTTGTCACATTAAAAAAAATTCATCTAGCTATACATACTTAAGATTGGTTCACTTTACTCTGGGTATATTATTTAAATCAATCATCATATAAATAACCTCCTTTCTACTTAACTCTTTGGAAATTGTTTACTTATTTTTTTGTCTCTTCCCTGTAAAACATAAACTCCATGAAATCAGAGAGCCCATCTGTCCTCTTCACCTATGAATTCCAGCCTTTCGAATGGTTTCTGGCACTAGTCTATAAATATTTATCAAATACATGAATACATGGATGCATATATGCTCTAAACAATGGTATCTTATATAGTAGCCACTGGCCACATGTGATTTTTGGTGCTAGTCCGAATTCAGATGTAATGTAAATTATAAAATATATACCTGATTTCAAACATGTTTTACGAAAATGTGATATATCTCAAAAATGTTTTACATCGACTGTATGTTGAAATGATACTTTAGATATGTTGAGTTAAATGTAATATTAAAATTAATTTCACTTGTTTCTTTTCATTATTTTCTGGGGCCACTAGAAAAATTTTAACTTACCTATGTGGCACAAATTTATAGCTTGCATTATATTTATTTCTTTTTTTTTTTTTTTTTTTTGAGACGGAGTCTCGCTCTGTCGCCCAAGCTGGAGAACAGTGGTACAATCTCGGCTCACTGCAACCTCTGCCTCCCAGGTTCAAGTGATTCTCCTGCCTCAGCCTCCTAAGTAGCTGGATTACAGGCACATGCCACCATGCCCAGCTAATTTTTTTGTATTTTCAGTAGAGAGGGGGTTTTACCATGTTGGTCAGGCTGGTCTCGAACTCCTGACCTGATGATCTGCCCGCCTCAGCCTCCCAAAGTGCTGGGATTACAGGCCAGACCCACCACGCCCAGCCGCTTGCATTGTATTTCTACTGAATAGTGTTGCTTTCAGTCATATGAACAGGATGAAATCAATCACTGGAACTAATAATTAACAGTGTACCTAATAAGGATTCTTAAATGTAATAATAAAATATAATATATGAAGCCTCTAGTGAAAAGAATAGTAGCAATATCATAGGAATATTTTACTAACTCCTCAGTATCAAACACCACCCTCCTTCTCCCCAAAAAAAGTTCCTCCATACTTTTAAGAGTCATTTATCTCTGTTCCTTTCATTTTTCTAATATTCATGCATTGCTTTGTTTGAGGGATAAATATCTGAATGCCTACTGTATGTCAAGAATTTTTCTAGGAACCTAGAATATAGTAGTAAACAAAAACGACAAGGTCTTTTTTCTCATGGAGGAACACAGAATATATACCAACATATCACACACTATGGAGAAAAAAGCAAATTATAGGGTTAGAAAATGACATTTAGGGGCTGGGGGTGGTACCATTTTAGAGGGAAGTCAAGAGAGCCTGGTAAGATGACATTTGAACAGAATCTGAAAGAAATGAGGAGGTGATCCATGTGAATATTCTGGTGATGCATTCTAGGAAGAGGAGAAAGCAAGCAAGACTATAATTAGCATGTGTGAGGAAGAGCAAGAATTGGTCCTTCCCTAGTTCCAAAGTGCCCATGCTCTTTGCTAAGGGCTTCAAGAAGGTTTCTCTTCATGTGAGAGATAGTTTTGTAAGATGCCACTGTTTTGGCCGGGTGCAGTGGCTCACGCCTGTAATCCCAGCACTTTGGGAGGCCGAGGCGGGTGGATCATGAGGTCAGGAGATGGAGACCATCCTGGCTAACATGGTGAAACCACGTCTCTACTAAAAAATAATACTAATAATACAAAAAATTAGCTGGGCATGGTGGCAGGCACCTGTGGTCCCAGCTACTCGGGAGACTGAGGCAGGAGAATGGCGTGAACCCGGGAGACGGAGCTTGCAGTGAGCCGAGACTGCGCCACTGCACTCCAGCCTGGGTGACAGCGTGAGACTCTGTCTCAAAGAACAACAACAACAAAAGATGCCACTGTTTTTTATGGAATTATTCCTTTGTCCTCAATCCACATGGAGCTGGCTCCCTCTGCTGCAGCTCCAAGAGTGAACACGTGATCCACTGTAGCCATTAACATATTCTATCCCCAAGTCTGCAATGACTGATTCAGAAATAGATGTGCGACCCAAATCAGGCCAATGAGATTCAATTCCAGGACTTTTATAAGAATTATTGGGGGCCAGACGTGGTGGCTCACGCCTGTAATCCCAGCACTTTGGGAGGCAGAGGCGGGCAGATCACGAGGTCAGGAGATCGAGACCATCCTGGCTAACACAGTGAAACCCCCTCTCTACTAAAAATACAAAAAATTAGCCGGGCGTGGTGGCAGGCGCCTGTAGTCCCATCTACTTGGGAGGCTGAGGCAGGAGAATCGCTTGAACCCGGGAAGCGGAGATTGCAGTGAGCCAAGATTGCACCACTGCACTCCAGTCCGGGCGACAGTACAAGACTCTGTCTCAAAAAAAAAAAAAAAAGAAAAAAGAACTGTTGGGAAAGAGAAGGTGGAATTATGTAAGCCTGAAACTACTGGGAAATGTGCTGGGGGTCTGGGGTGGGGCAGTCACTAAAGTAGCAAAGAGTGAGAGACAGAAACCAATTCTTAATTTTATGTGAATTCCTGATCCAGCTATGCAGGTGGCTAAAACTATCTGGACTCTACAGTAAAAAAGCCAGTAAATTCTCTCTCTTTGCTTAATCCAGTTAATGTTGGCTCTTCCATTCCTTGCAAAAGGGTTTGAAATAATAGAGTTTTATTCTGTATTTATATCACAAAACATGATTTTTTTTTTTTTTTGAGACGGAATCTTGCTCTGTTGCCCAGGCTGGAGTGCAGTGGCGCGATCTCGGCTCACTGCAAGCTCCGCCTCCCGGGTTCACGGCATTCTCCTGCCTCAGCCTCCCGAGTAGCTGGGACTATAGGCTCCCGCCACCATGCGTGGCTAATTTTTTGTATTTTTAGTAGAGACGGGGTTTCACCGTGTTAGCCAGGATGGTCTCGATCTCCTGACCTCGTGATCCGCTTGCCTCGGCCTCCCAAAGGGCTGGGATTACAGGCGTGAGCCACTGCGCCTGGTCTCTTTAATAGCACTATTGACCCATTCAGTGACCAAATTCCTGGTTTTGAAACTACAGATGCCTAAGCCCACTTCCTCCCCAAAATTTCCACTGAAATCTACAAAAAATAAAGAACTGAAAAATGAGTGAACAGATTGTAGTATTAACATATTCTCTCAATGAAATTCTACTAAGCATTTTAAAAATAATGAATTATTGATATCTGTGGGCCAAGCACTGATTACAGGCATGAGCCATACTGCCCGGCCAAGACATACCTTTTTTTTGTCCACTGCTATTCCCAGATTCTAGAACAATGCCTCGCCCGATAATTATGCACTGAATAAGATGATGTTTACTAATATAACGTTAAGCTCAAAGCAAATAGCAGCAATTTTTTTTATGCAGTACTAAAATTGTATATTGCTTTCTATGAAAATGTTTTAGTTTTATGTGCAAATCTAAATTTACATAATTATCATATAATTAGAATACACATTTATAAAGAGTATTTACATAAACACTTTCTTTCAAGTGTCATAACCTAAATTATAGTTACCTTATTTAAAGCATGTCCAACATGAGGGTCACCGTTTGCATAAGGAGGTCCATCATGAAGGCAAAATTCTGTCTTTACTTTTCTTTCTCTTTGCCATGAATAAAGTTCTGAAAATCCACATTTCTGTTTTAAAAAAAAAAAAGATATCTAAACATCATATAAATACATACTCCTGAGTCTAACCATAAATAACAGCCAACACTTGCTTATTTCCATTCCAATTACATTCCAATCTATTCCATTCCAATCTACTCAACTCTGAAATACAAGGTGAGGTTTCTGAAATGCGTGTCAAAGTACGCATCTCTTAAAATCTTTCAGTAATGTCCCCATACACCTCAGATTGAAGTCTAAACTCTTTATATGATATGCAGCACCCTACAAAGGTTTAGTGCCACTAAGTTCTCGGGCATTCTTTCATCACTCCCCATGCTTCACTCCTCACCCCCGACATGTTGAAGGACCTGCAGATTCCCGACACACATATTCTTGCTATTCTTTGGCGGCAATGCTTGCCATTCCCCAAATCTGGGAACAACATGCATGGCAGTCTAAGTCACTTCCCTTCCCTCACTTGCTGTATGATTTTGTCCAGGTTACTGTGCACTTACGGGCCTGCTTTCTTATCTGAAAAAAAAAAGTGTTAATATCCATCTTACAGGGCTGGTGTGAAGATTAAACGAGGAAACATTTGAAACTGTCACTCTTTCTGGCATACAGAAGGTATTGACTAAAAAACCTTTAAAAAATTAGATGAACTCTTATAACTGTCAGAATATTTAGGCTAAGTATATTTACTTAACCAATATTCCAAGAATATCAGGGATTTTTAAAGACTAGAATTACAGAAGCTAAAGAGGAATCTCTGCTCTTAGAAAGTTCAGACTAGGCTGGGCGTAGTGGCTCAGGCCTGTAATCCCAGCACTTTGGGAGGCCGAGGCGGGAAGATCACTTGAGGTCAGGAGTTAGAGACCACCCTGGCCAACATGGTGAAACTCCATCTCTACTAAAAATATAAAAATTAGCCGGGCGTGGTGGTGCGCACCTGTAATCCCAGCAACTGGGGAGGCTAAGGCAGGAGAATTGCCTGAGCCTGGGAGGCGGAAGTTGTAGTGAGCTGAGATCGCGCCATTGCACTCCAGCCTGGGCGACTTCAAACGAGTCATAATTCCAACTAGGGATCTAAAAGATCCAAGAAGTGGGCTTCAACTTCCCCTTCATTCATCATAATTGAGGTTTTTAAGGTTTTTTTTAAGGACGGGGGGGTGGGGGTGACTAGCCAATATGGTCTCGAACTCTTGGCTCAAGCGATTCTCCCGCCTTGGCCTTTCAAAGTTCTGGGATTACAGGCGTGAGCCACTGCGCCCAGCCTGGGTTTTTATTTACATGTGGACATGTGAATTTACTTTTTACAAGGCATTGGAAAAGTGCCCAAAGTCTATCTGTTTTGCCTACGGTAGACATGGGACATACGTGCGATACATGCTGGTAACTGGGCATCGCTAGTGACCCCTTAATGTCCCGCTCCAGAACCTGGTACAAAGGAGGGGCTCATCTAGAGATTTCTTCACTTAGGTTTTCAGCCCACAAAATCTGTGCGAAGCAGACGAATTCCACCAATCTGGTCACACCCCCGCCCACCCGCACCGGCGTGGAGCCTAGAGGTGTGGCGCCTGCGAGCGCCCGGTGCCCGCGGCCGGATCGGGCCTCTCTGGAGGCCCCGCGCCGAGGCGGGGCCCGTACCTGCTGGATCTCCAGCTCCGTGTCCGGCTGCTGGCGGCCCAGCAGCTTCATGGGGAAGCTCGTCTGCGGCAGCAGCACCGTGTCCCGGTATCTGCCACTATTCGAGTTCGGCTGGTGGTTACTGGCCCCGGAGACCGACCGCACCAGAAGCCTCTTCGTCGCCCCTTGCCATCCCGGGCTGCAGGGAAGGCGGGGCGTCCCCCACAAACTTCGGGCAGTGGCCAGGGCGGCCGCGCCCGGCCCGCGAGGGCGCAGCCCCCAACGCATGGTCCGGCAACCCCTGAGAGCGGGGTCCTCCGCTCCCGCCCCAGCTTGAAGGGGCAGGACCCCAGGAAACCAAGGGGAGCCGAGTAAGAGGGCGCACGCGCTCCGGGAGCGGAAGGGGCGGGGAGGGAGCGGCGGGTAGTGGGGGCGGGGCGGTGGGCACCGCCTTCCCGGAGTCCGCGGAGGCTGAGCCACCTCCGGGTCCTCCCTGCAGCCGCCGGGGGGCGGGCTCAGATTCACGGGGGCGGGGAAAGGTGGGGCTCATAGTCCAATCGCTGTGCCCTGCTTTTTAAATATATATATATATATATTTTTTTTTTTTTACTTTAACACAACATAGCTATGATTGTATCACTTTAACATGTAGCCAATAAAAAGTAAGATATTTTACATATTCTCTTCATACGAAGCCTTTGAAATTTGACATGTACTTTGCACATACTGCACATCTCAATCTGGGCTAAACTCATGGCAAGGCCTCAACAGGCACACTTGGGTAATGACTACGACTGTGGGCAGCACAAGTTCAGTGAAAATATTGTAAAATAATAAAATTTCAGCAAATCGAGTTTTAAAGATCTAATTGGCTATTATTAAATATTCCTAAACCTTTCTACAAAATAGAAAGGATCTCTGATGAGCTGTGGGGGCAGGGTGAGGTTTATAGGCAGAAAAGGTTGAAGAAGGCAGAAACAGGGAACGAAAAGCAGACGCCATTTGGCTTAATGGATTTGGCTATCATCTCTCCTGATTTCCTGGAACGCAGACCTTACAAGTAAACAGCCTAGTGCAGGAGCTCAGTCCAAATCAATGACTTCCCATAGATTTTAACAATATTATAAAACAATCTAACCTTTTTTTAAGATTCTCTGAAATCCCTGTTATATCCCACTCATAGAATAGTATGGTATATATAGCAACTTCTGCTCCTGTTTCTGACAGATTCTGCTCTATTTGGTTGTCCAGTTCATAATAGTTCACAATTGTTACCATTTCATTGTTGAGTATACAACTTGGGAATAGCCTTCCTAATCATAAAACACAACATCCAGAACATTTGGTTCACATAAATAAGAAGGACAGATTTTCTACAAGTATGAAAACATATATATACCAAAAAAAGATACCGGAAAGTGAGAAACCAAGTGACAAACAGAAAGCACTCAATGTCAGCCTTTCACCAATCAATGACTCCAGCTCTGTACCTGAATTAATTCACTTAATCTTCAAAACCAGATGAGGTGAAGACACAGCATACCAAAAAAACCTGTGAGATAGGAACTATGAGTATTTCCATTTCACAGCTAAGGAAACTGAGGCACATAGAATTATGTAACTTGCTCAAGATGATACAACTAAGTAGCACAGCTGGAATTCAAACCCAGGCAGTTAGATTCCAGTGTGTGTGCATAGCCACCATGTTATGTTGTCTTTCCTACACTATACTGTGGAAGAAAACATTTGCTACACATTAAAAAATAATAATACACAAAATGCATAAAGAGCTGCTACAGATCAAAAAAACAAATGTAAACAACCCAATTTAAAAAAAAAAAAGGATAAAAGAAGCTGGACACAGTAGCTCATGCCTATAATCCCAGCACCTTAGGAGGCTGAAGTGGAAATATCACTTGAGCCCAGGAGTTTGAGACAACCCTGGGCAACATAGGGAGACCCCTATCTCTGAAATAATTTTTAAAATTAGCTGGATGTAGTGGCATGTGCTTGTGGTCCCAGCTGCTTTGGAGGCTGTGGTGGGAGGATCGCTTTAGCCCAGGAAGTCAAGGCTGCAAGTGGGCCATGATTACACCACTACACTCCTGCCTGGGCAACACAGTGAGAGCCTGTCTCAAAATAATAATAATAAAGCAAAAGAAATGAACAGTCAACTCAGAGACACAGAAGTGGAAACAGCTAATAAACATAAAAAGATCCTCAACTTTAGGAGTCATGGGAATAGACAGTTAAAATACCATTTTCTTTCCAGCAGATTAAAGCAAAAATAAAGAAGTTTGATAACAGGGCTTGGGAGAATGTGTGAAAGTGGACTGCTGATGGTAGTGTTAAATAGGTACTGTCGGCCAGGTGCGGTGGCTCATGCCTATAATCCCAGCACTTCGGGAGGCCAAGGTGGGTGGATCACCAGAGGTCGGGAGTTCAAGACCAGCCTGACCAACATGGAGAAACCCCATCTCTACTAAAAATACAAAATTAGCCGGGTGTGATGGCGCATGCTTGTAGTCCCAGCTACTTGGGAAGCTGAGGCAGGAGATTTCCGAATGGCAATTTAGCAATATCCATCACCATTTAAAATGCGCTTCAGCTGGGCGCGGTGGCTCACGCCTGTAACCACAGCACTTTGGGAGGCTGAGGCAAGTGGATCACCTGAGTTCAGGAGTTCGAGACCAGCCTGGCCAACCTGGCCAACATGGTGAAATCCCGTCTCTACTAAAAATACAAAAAATTAGCCGGGAGTGGTGGCAGGCGCCTGTAATCCCAGCTACTCTGGAGGCTGAGGCAGAAGAATCGCTTGAACTCAGGAGGCACAGGTTGCAGTGAGAAATCAGGCCACTGCACACCAGCCTGGGCGACAGAGCGAGACTCCATCTCCAAAAAATAAAATAAAATGCACTTCATCTTTGACCCACGGTTTCACATCTGGGATCTATCACAGCTATAGTCTTCCAGGAGCACAAAGATATATTTACATAGAAACTCTCCTAACCAACCTCTACATAACTTGCTGAATTCAACTATGCCGTTTTCTCGTAAAACCTATGAGAGGATACAATGAACACTTGGGAGATGGCTACTCTTTAGGATGACTGCAGATTTCTATTCTCACTTGTTGAGCTTACCTTGCATTATGTTTGTCTTTATTTAAGCCATTTGTACTTGTCATGTAATTATACAATTTAATTATAAAAACCAAAGTATGGCCAGGTGCAGTGGCTCATGCCTGTAATCTCAGCACTTTGGGAGGCCGAGGCGGGCGGATCATGAGGTCAGGAGTTCGAGACCAGCCTGGCCAACATGGTGAAACCCCGTCTTTACTAAAAAAAAAAAAAATGCAAAAACTAGCTGGGCTGGGTGGTGTGCGCCTGTAGTCCCAGTTACTCAGGAGGCTGAAGCAGGAGAATAGCTTGAACCCTGGGAGGCAGAGGTTGCAGTGAGCCGAGATCAAGCCATTGCACTCCAGCCTGGGCGACAGAGTAAGACGCCGTCTCAAAAAATATATATATGTATATATGTGTGTGTGTGTGTGTGTGTATATATATATATATATATATATATATATATATATATATGGTTAAAGTAATATAATTTAAGTTATGTATATTTTTCCACTTCCCAAAAAGGGTCTACTTAACTCACAGAGTTATTGTGAAAATCAAATGAAGACGTAAAAGCCTTTTTAAGCTGGGCGCAGTGGCTCACACCTGTAATCCCAGCACTTTGGGAGGCCGAGGTGAGCAGATCACCTGGGGTCAGGAGTTCAAGACCAGCCTGGCCAATATGATGAAACCCCGTCTCTACTTAAAAAACAAACAAAATTAGCCCGGCGTGGTGGCGCGCCTGTAGTCCTAGCTACTTGGGAGGCTAAGGAGGAAGGATCGCTTGAACCCAGGAGGAGGAGGTTGTAGTGAACCTAGACTGCGCCACTGCACTCCAGCCTGGGCGACAGGATGAGACACTGCCCCCTTCCCCAACCACGCCCCCCAGTAAAAGATCCCATCTGTACACAAAAAATATTTTAATTAGCTGGGTGTGGTGGCGCGCACCTCCACCAGTAGTCCCAGCTACACGGAAGGCTGAGGCGGGAGGATGGCTTGAGCCTAGAAGTGGGAAGGCAGCAGTGAGCCGTAATCGACTCTGGGCGACAGAGCAAGCTATCTATCGCTTAAAAAAAAAAAAAAAAAAAAAAAAAAAAAGGTAAGCAAGCATCTTTGACACAATTCTGCATAAAGTTGCTGTGTTATTGCGTGGGGAGTGGGAGGTGGAGGTGTGTGTGGTGGACCTGCTGAAGCCTGTCCACGGACCGCTAGGGGTTCGAAGTTAAATAGCCGCAGAGTGGTATCACTAATACAAAGAACATTTTAAAACAGTGAACTCTACGAAGTGGGCTGGAAGACAGCTGAAACCAAAACCAATCTTTTTTTTGTTTCAACACACTGTTGCTGGCTTAATGTGTTCTTTCCTTCTTCTTTTTCTTTTTTTAGCCAATCTTTGAAAGTTGACACATCTTTCGCTTTTATTTAATGCAACAGGTGACTTGCACCTACGGAGAGCTTGGAGAAAACACGGACAAGTGGAATTTTCCCGCGGATCAGGAGTCTAAAGAGGCAGTGTGAAATCGCTGTTGTGCGCTTGCGCGCAGTTTCCCGCATGCTCAGTAGCTGAGGTAGGGATGCCATCCTTCTCAAAAGACTTATTGACAGTGCCAAAGCTCGGTACTGGACACAACGAGGGACCTGGGTCTACGATAACGCGCTTTTGCTCCTCCTGAAGTGTCTTTGGTCCAACGTTGTTCCAGGTTTGTCACCGTTTCTCTCCGGCCGGTCAGGGCAAGAGCCAGGTAGATAGGATTTATGTTAAAAAAATAAAACGAAAAAGGTTTATGTGAATCAGATTGCTTCTCCAGATATTCTAACTTCCGACTTGGACTCTTGAGTGTCGATATTTTAATTGTTTATCTGTGCTTTTATTTTCGTGATCCGGAAGGTTTTTATAGCCATATACTGTAGAAACAAGACAAACCTAGACATTGAGTTTGTTGATGCACCCAAATTTAGAAACTGCTTGGTACCTAAAATTAAATTTCTTTAAACAGCAAATATTCTTCCAACTGCCATTTCTACATATTTATAGGTTTGCGTGATTTATTTGGATTTCTCTGTAAATATAATTGTTGGTTCAAAAGATACGTACTTTATACTTTTATTAAGGTTCTCAAAACTCTCCTAAGAGGGTTCACCGCTTTGCCAACAATGCTCAGGAACATGTTCCCTCACACCCTTGCAAACTGGACAAAGGACAAACTCTTCTTCTTTCTTCTTTTTTCTTCTTCTTCTTCCTCCTCCTTCCTCCTCCTTCTTTTTTTTTTTTTTTTTTTTTTTTCGAGACGGAGTCTCGCTCTGTCGCCCAGGCTTGAGTGCAGTGGTGCAATCTCGGCTCACTGCAAGCTCCACCTCCCAGGTTCACGCCATTCTCCTGCCTCAGCCTCCCGAGTAGCTGGGACTACAGGCGCCCACCACCAAGCCTGGCTAATTTTTTTTGTATTTTTAGTAGAGACGGGGTTTCACCGTGTTAGTCAGGATGGTTTCGATCTCCTGACCTCGTGATCTGCCCGTCTCGGCCTCCCAAAGTGCTGGGATTACAGGCGTGAGCCACCGCGCCCAGCCTTTCTTTCTTTCTTTTTTTTTTTTTTTTAAGACAGGTTCTAGCTCTGTCCCCCAGGCTGGAGTACAGTGGTGCCATTATGTCTCACTGCAACCTTGACCTCCCAGGGTCTGGTGATTCTCCCACCTCAGCCTCCCGAGCAGCTGGGACTACAGGCATGTGCCACCACACCATCTAATTTTTGCATTTTTTTGTAGAGACGAGGTTTTGCCATGTTGCCCAGGCTGGTCTCGAACTCCTGAGCTCAAGCAATACACCAGCCTTGGCCTCCCAAAAAGTTCTAGGATTACGGGTGTGAGCCACTGCATTCAGCGACAATTTTTTTTTTTTTTTTTTTTTTTGAGTCGGAGTCTCTGTCGCCCAGGCTGGACTGCAGTGGCGCGATCTCGGCTCACCACAACCTCTGCCTCCTATGTTCAAGCAATTTTCCTGCCTCAGCCTCCTGAGTAATTTTTGTATTACTATGCCTGGTTAATTTTTGTATTTTTAGTAGAGATGGGGTTTCACCATGTTGGCCAGGCTAGTCTTGAACTCCTAACTTCAGGTGATTCACCTGCCTTGGCCTCCCAAAGTGCTGGGATTACAGGTGTGAGCCACCGTGCCCTGCCAAATTTTCTTTTCTATGCCAATCTTAAAAATAAACAATCATGGCCCGGCGCGGTGGCTCACGCCTGTAATCCTAGCACTTTGGGAGGCTTAGGCAGGCCATGAGGTCGGAAGTTCGAGACCAGCCTGACCAACATGGAGAAACCCTGTCTCTACTAAAAATACAAAATTAGCCAGGTGTGGAGATGCTTGCCTGTAATCCCAGCTACTCGGGAGGCTGAGGCAGGAGAATCGCTTAAACCCGGGAGGCAGAGGTTGCGGTGAGCCAAGATCTCGCCATTGCACTCCAGCCTGGGCAACAAGAGCAAAAACTCTGTCTCAAAAAATAAATAAATTAATTAATTAATTAAAAATAAAATAATCATTTCTCATTGTTTTAGTTTGCATTTCTTTCATAATTAGTGAAGCTGAGTATTTATGTATTTAATGGCCAGTGCTTTTCTCTTTGTAGGTGTTGCCCGTTCTTGTTTATTTGCTCATTTTTCTATTGGATTATTCAGCTTTTATATACTGATCTTTTACAAATTAAGTCATTTGTCTGGTATGTGATACAATATTTTTTTCTCATTTTGTCAAGTACCTGTTTATTTAGTTTATGGTATTTTGGCCATGTAGAAGTTTTAATTTTATTTTTATTTATTGATTGATTGATTTTGAGACGGAATCTCGCTCTGTCACCCAGGCTGGAGTGCAATGGTGCAAATGATCTCAGCTCACTGCAACTTCTACCTCCCAGGTTCAAGCAATTCTCCTGCCTCAGCCTCCTGAGTAGCTGGGATTACAGGCGCGTGCCACCAAGCCCGGCTAATTTTTGTATTTTTAGTAGAGACAGGGTTTCACCAAGTTGGTCAGGCTGGTCTTGAACTCCTGACCTCGTCATCCGCCCGACTTGGCCTCCCGAAGTGCTGGGATTACAGGCCACCGCGCCCAGCAACTCTTAGTTTTATAGAGTCAAATTTATCAATAGAATATTTTATGGATTCTTGGTTTTATGCTTAAAGGGCATTTACCAAGCTTATGAAGTTTATAATTTTTATTTCCATGCTTTTATGGTTTCTTTTTTTACTTTTATAAACCATGCATTGAAATGTATTTATATCAAAATGTATTTATATCAAAATATCAAAAGAATGCAAAAAGGACTCAACTTTTTTTTTTTTTTTTTTTGAGACGGAGTCTTGCTCTGTCGCCCAGGCTGGAGTGCAGTGGCACCATCTCGGCTCACTGCAACCTCCGCCTCCCAAGTTCGAGCAATTCTCCTGCCTCAGCCTCCCAAGAAGTTGGGGTTACAGGCGCCCGCCAATATGCCCGGCTCATTTTTTTTTTTTTTTAAGTTTAGCAACTCAGGCCGGGCGGAGTGGCTCACACCTGTAATCTCAGCACTTTGGGAGGCAGGCGGATCACAAGGTCAGGAGTTCAAGACTAGCCTGGCCAACATGGTGAAACCCCATCTCTATTAACAGTACAAAAATTAGCCTGGCATGGTGGCTTGTGCCTGTAGTCCCAGCTACTCAAGAGGCTGAGGCAGGAGAATCGGCTGAACCCGGGAGGCGGAGGTTGCAGTGAGCCGTGATCTCGCCACTGCACTCCAGCCTGGACAACAGAGTGAGACTCTGTCTCAGAAAAACTTTAGCAACTCAGACCAGGCATGGTGGCTCATGCCTGTAATCCCAGCACCTTGGGAGGCCGAGGAGGGTGGATCACTTGAGGTCAGGTGTTCGAGACCAGCCTGGCCAATGTGGTGAAACCCCATCTCTACTAAAAATATAAAAAAATTAGCCAGGCGTGGTGATGCGTGCCTGTAGTTCCAGCTACTCAGCCATATGAGGCAGGAGAATCGCTTGAACTCTAGGGGGCGGAAGTTGCAGTGAGCCGATATCAGGCCACCGCACTTTAGCCTGGGCGACAGAGCGAGACTACATATCAAAAAAAAGAAAAAGTATTTAAAAGTTTAGCGACTGCCCTGCCATTTATGCAAAATTGAATTTCCCCCATGATTTGAAACACTACCTTTAGTGTGTTCGGTTCTATTTCTGCAATTTATTTCCTTAGTTTGTCTCACTAGCCAAACTTTTATATCATATGTTGATTAAATCATATTTTATCATATTTTGATAATTGATAAGGGGAGTACCTCTGTTCATAGTTCTTTTTCCAGAATTTGCTCCATTATGCTTACATTTTAATTTTTTCAGATGACCTTGAACATTATCATCAGGCCAAGTTCCAAAATATAAATAATTTTAGTATTTTGACTTGGAACTCATCATTTTTAGATCCTAATCCTCATATGGTCACAATCGTTATATGAGAAGAAACTAATGTTTGATTCCTGTTGTTTTTTTCCATCCTTCTGAACTAGCCCTTTGGCAGTTGTAAAGACTTCTCAAGGATAGGTATTAGGTTGATGGCCTTAAGTGTTATACAGCTTTTTTTCTTGTCTACTCTCCAAGCCTAAAGCTCAGAATGTTATGAAGAAAAGCCTGAACTATACTCTGATTGAGGGTCATGTTGATTATCATTTTGTATTCTCAAGGTCAGAATACTGTTGGAGAAACTACAGGAACTTTTTGCCCTTAACACTGCCCTAATGTCCCTGCAAAATAACCGAAATAAGGACAATCATAATAATGGTTAGCCAGTATTATTTGGTGTTTACCTTGTGCCAGGTAAAGCGCTTTCTTTACACGTGTTACTCATTTAATAATTACAGCAGCCCTATACTATGAGTACTATTGTCTCCATTTTACAGATTGGGGCACAGAGAATTTAAGTGGTTTTCTCAAGGTCCACAGCTGAGCCAGGATTTGAACACAGGTAGTGGGCTGCAGAGCCTGTGCCCTTAAGCACTGTGCTGTTTTAGATTAGGCTTTCAGAAAGACACCTTCACAAGAGTGTTTTAAGGCCCAGAAGATGTAAAACTGGTAGAGAAAGAAGTACAATGGTGTTATTTGAACTGCTTTAAGAAAGTTAACTTGCCTGTAGCTAGTTTGGGCCTTGCTCTTAATCTACCTGTATCATCAAAAGGTAAATCTCACTGTAGTATAGGAGGGAGCATAATGAAAAAGGCTAAAAGGGACCTCTTGTATAGATTTTTTGTTTTGATAATATGACTATGTATTTTTTCTTTTTTTTTTTTTAACCAAGAACCAACATTGTATTCATCTGTTTAAAAAATAGTTAAGAAAACGATTAAGGCTAGGGCATAGTACTATTTCATTACTAATTCAGTTTGGACCAGAGAAGTACTTCAAAGAAGAATGGTAAAAATATTTCCCTATCTGCCAATTAAAAGTGATTTGTGGAATCTCTTTATAAATCATTGTGTGCTTTACATCAACACTATTTTTCCCATTTTTATTGTCTTCTATTTCTTATTTTTCCCATTCTTATGTTTTATAAGCTGATGTTAGCTTTAACTGGTGGTTAATAAATATAATATCATTTTGTGAGGAAATTAGTAGACAGACAATGCCTGAAAGTTTTTCCATGGAAGAAAACACCATGGACTTGGCAAATACAAGGGGAAGTAGTTGAGTCATTTATGAAGCCTGACAAGGGTCAAATGGTTGCTTAACTGGTTCAAAGGTAAATGATATCTATGAAAAGTTATAACAACACCATACAGTGAGGGAAGGTGATCTTCCTATTACAAAAGAATTCTTATATAACATGGGAATTGAAGGAGCATACGAACACATAATTAAAATATGGTCAAGACAGCTGGGTAGAACAAATCAGTTGCCCAAAGACCACATTTCCAGTGCATAATAAATCAGATATATGTCTGGATATGGATATAAAGGAATAGAAATAAGACCAACAAAGTGTTTACTAAATTATTTCTGTTTCCTTTTCTTTTTCTTTTTCTTTTTTTTTTTGAGACAGAGCCTCGCTATGTTGCCCAGGGTGGAGTGTAGTGGCCGCAATCTCAGCTCACTGCAACCTCCACCTCCCGGGTTCATGCCATTCTCCTGCCTCAGCCTCCCGAGTAGCTGGGACTACAGGTGCCCACCACCACGCCCGACTAATTTTTTGTATTTTTAGTAGAGACTGGGTTTCACTGTGTTAGCCAGGATGGTCTCGATCTCCTGACCTCGTGATCCACCCACCTCGGCCTCCCATAGTGCTGGGATTACATGCGTGAGCCACTGCGCCCCGCCCTATTTCTCTGTTTTCTATCTGAAGTGCTCCTGAATTAGTAGTAATTGTAACTGGTTTATTCCACATGTAACTCCTAGTATGCCAAGAAAATTAATCTAGCTTGATTATGATATCATAAAACAAACACATTATATATAGTTATCCCTCCGTATATGAGGGAGGTTGATTCCAGGAACCCCTGAGAATACTTAAATCTGCACATACTCAAGTCCCACAGTTGGCCCTGCAAAACACTCATAGATGAAAACTCAGTTTTAACAGATCACAAACTCTCTTGAAACTAAAATAAAAATATATTTTAAAAAGTCAGGCTTTCCTGTCTACAGATTTTACATACCTTTTCTATCCGCATTTGGTTGGAAAAAATCCACAAAGTGGACCGGTGCAGTTCGAGGCCGTGTTGTTCAAGTGTCAGCTGCACTTAGAAACCCGTTTTATTGGCCGGGCGCGGTGGCTCACACCTGTAATCCCAGCACTTTGCGAGGCCGAGGCGAGTGGATCATGAGGTTAGATCGAGACCATCCTGGCTAACATGGTGAAACCCCATCTGTACTAAAACTACAAAAAATTAGCCGGGCGCAGTGGCGGGTGCCTGTAGTCCCAGCTACTCGGGAGGCTGAAGCAGGATAATGGTGTGAACCCGGGAGACGGAGTTTGTAGTGAGCCGAGATCGCGCCAGCCTGGGCGATAGAGCGAGACTCCATCTCAAAAAAAAAAAAGAGAAACCCGTTTAATTTTCATCTTAATTTCCAGACAGCTATTGGTCACAGTACGGTATTCATTACCTTACATAAATTTCTTTTTTTTTTTTTTGAGATGGAGTCTTGCTCTGTCGCCCAGGCTGGAGTGCACTGGCACGATCTCGGCCCACTGCAATCTACACCTCCTGGGTTCATGTGATTCTCCTGCCTCAGCCTCCTGAGTAGCTGGGATTACAGGTGCATGCCACCACGCCCGGCTAATTTTTGTATTTTTAGTAGACACGGGGTTTCACCATGTTAGTCTGGCTGGTCTCGAACTCCTGACCTAGTGATCTGCCCACCTCGGCCTCCCAAAGTGCTGGGATTACAGGCGTGAGCCACTGTGCCCGGCCATAAATTTCAATTCCATCTTCCTTTTGAAGAGTTTCAAACACTTCACTTATTGTTCCAGTTAGGTTCATAATTCCTGTCAATAGAGTGTGGATGATAGAAACAAGATGTAAAGGAGGCTGGGCAGGTGGATCTTCTGAGGTCAGGAGTACAAGACCAGCCTGGCCAACATGGTGAATCCCCGTCTCTACTAACAATACAAAAATTAGCTGGGCGTGGTGTCAGTTGCCTGTGATCTCAGCTACTCGGGAGGCTGAAGCACAAGAATCACTTGAGCCTGGGAGACAGAGGTTGCAGCGAGCCAAGATTGTGCCACTGCACTCCAGCCTGGGTGACAGAGTGAGACTACGTCTCAGAAAAAAAAAAGAAAAAAGATGTTAAAGGGGTTAAAACATCAAATCAAATATTCAGTCAGAAAGTCATGGTAGAACAATGACTATTGCTGAATGGAGGTTTATAATGTTCTCTATAGTCCCAGGGCTGAGCGTGGTGGCTCAGGCATGTAATCCCAGCACTTTGGGAGGCCAAGGTGGGTGGATCACTTGAGGTCAGGAATTCGAAACCAGCCTGGCCAACATGGTGAAACCCCGTCTCTACTAAAAATACAAAAATTAGCCGAGTGTGGTAGCAGGCACCTATAATCCCAGCTACTCACGAGGCTGAGGCAGGAGAATTGCTTGAACCCAGGAGGCAGAGTTTGCAGTGAGCTGAGATTGCGCCACTGCACTCCAGCCTGGGCGACAGAGCAAGACTCTGTCTCAAAATATATATATATATAAAAAATATAAAATATATATAAAATACATATATATCATATATATTTTATATATATATACACTCTCTCTCTCTCTCTCTCTCTCTCTCTCTCTCTCTATATATATATATATATATATATTGTCCTTGGAACAATCATGTGTTCCCTTATTGCGATGAAATAATGTTGATTTGATTTAGAGGTGGGAAGTTTTTGTCACAGGTTAATTCCCCATAAAACTCTAAGACAGAGATAAAGTGGAAGAGGTTTATTAGGGAGTGCTTTCGGAATCATTTGTGGAAGGGAAGGGGAGGAAGGGAAGAAAGTTGGAGAAGGTATCTTGGGCTGTGATGCAGTCTCAGCTAAGGCCTCAGTTGACCCCATAGGGTATTCTGGAAGCTAGATGGCCCTTCAGTGCTGGGGTGGTAGCCCACTTGGGGTAGGAAATGGCCTTTAAATCTCCCTATTGTGACGTTTCAGGTGAAGTGATCCTTCTCAGCAGATATACTCCCAAAGAAAGATGGCAGCTGAAAGCCATCTTTTGACAGCTGTCTCAGCAAGTGGGGAAATAAGCTCTTCAGTTCTGAAGGGAATGTGGGTGGTACATCCAGGACAGTCACGAAAATTTCGGGATTTGAATTCATATTTTCTTTTTTTTTTTTGAGACGGACTCTCGCTCTATCGCCCAGGCTAGAGTGCAGTGGTGCGATCTCTGCTCACTGCAGCCTCTGCGTCCCAGGTTCAAGCGATTCTCCTGCCTTAGCCTCCCGAGTAGCTGGGATTACAGGTGTGCAACACCATGCCCAGCTAATTTTTGTATTTTTAGTAGAGACGAGGTTTCACCATGTTGGTCAGGCTGGTCTCAAACTCCTGACCTCAGGTGAGCTGCCCATCTCGGCCTCCCAAAATCCTGGGATTACAGGCGTTAGTCACCGTGCCCGGCCTGAATTCATATGTTCAAAGGAATGTACAGGCCAGATACAGTGGCTCACGCCTGTAATCCCAGCACTTGGGAGGCCAAGGGGGGGGATCACGAGGTCAGGAGTTCAAAACCAGCCTGGCCAAGATGATGCAACCCCGTGTCCACTAAAAATAAAAATTAGCCGAGCATGGTGGTGGGCGCCTGTAATCCCAGCTACTTGGGAGGCTGAGGCAGAGGTTGCAGTGAGCCAAGATGGCGCCACTGCAATCCATCCTGGGCGACAGAGCGAGACTCCGTCTCAAAAAAAGGAAAAGGCAACGTACTTGATTCTAAAGGCTGTTTTTTCCGTTTATTTCATTGGCGCTAGAGACTTCTGACACTCCTTACTTTTCCAAGTGACTGGTCTTCATTATAATTTGTTAGGTTGCTTGTTCTCTTTATCTGGCTACTGACGAAGATGGAGGTAAATAATAGCAGAGAATATTCATTGATTTTCAGAAAATAATTGTAGTTATATGCAATCCCTCTGATGTGGTGAGGCTTTGTTTCCCCACCCAAATCTCATCTTAAATTGTAATCCTCATAATCCCCATGTGTCAAGGGAGAGACCAGGTGGAGGTAACTGAATCATGGGGGCAGTGATAGTGAGTAAGTTCTCATGAGATCTAATGGTTTTTAAGGGACTCTCCCGCTTCGCTTGGCTCTTCTTCCTGCCACCTTGTGAAGAAGGTGTCTTGCTTCCCCCTTTGTCTTCTGCCATGATTGTTAAGTTTCCTTAGGCCTCCCCACCCATGCTGAACTGTGAGTCAATTCAACCTCTTTCCTTTATATTAGGTTGGTGCAGAAGTAATTGCGGTTCTTGCCACTGGAAATAATAAATTACCCAGTCTTGGGTCATTCTTTATAGCTGTATGAAAATGGACTAATACACCCTCCCTTTTTAATTACACCCTACACACCTACATCCCTTATACTATTCATACCTCTTTTGGCGCTGCCTAGTTTTATGTTATAGACGTTAGGTTACCTTATTTTATCTACAACTCACCAAAATATTAGCTCCTCAAACACAAATCTTACATCTCATATTTTTAGCCTACAAAGCACCTTCCACATACTTTACACATCACCCACGACCTCATACACAAACTTTTTCACATGCTCAGCATCCTGGGCCAGTTTCTCCTATGCTTTGACATGTCTCATCTGCAGAGAGACATAAAAAATACAGAATTTATTGAGAGAGTTAATGCCCAAATCGAGTTTTTTCGAAGTCTCTTTTAGTAAATATATATTAAAGAATTTACTCAGTTAATGGGAGCAATCCCAAGTTAGCACTCAATTAATATGTGTTGAGTTGGATTTAAATAAATAAAACCAGTAGTTGGCTTTGAAACTAACAAGACATTTTTCTTGATCTCTTTTTAGAGTGTACCATGGCTTCCAGTAACACTGTGTTGATGCGGTTGGTAGCCTCCGCATATTCTATTGCTCAAAAGGCAGGAATGATAGTCAGACGTGTTATTGCTGAAGGAGACCTGGGTATTGTGGAGAAGGTACTCAAACTCTCATATCATTTCATACCAACTTGATTTTTGTTCTTGAGGTTTAGCTAAATGATATAAAAATGTGGACAGACTTTATCAGTTAAAATAATTGATGGCTCCCTTAGGGAGACTGCAAGACGCTTGGTTCTAAAGGGTTCCATCTCTGCTTTGAAAATGATTCCAAGGCCGGGCGTGGTGGCTCATGCCTGTAATCCCAGTACTTTGGGAGACCGAGGCAGGCGGATGATGAGGTCAGGAGTTTGAGACCAGCCTGGCCAACATGGTGAAATCCCATCTCTACTAAAGATACAAAAAATTAGCCAGGCGTGGTGGCGAGCGCCTGTAATCCCAGCTACTTGGGAGGCTGAGGCAGGAGAATCGCTTGAACCCGGGAGGCAGAGGTTGCAGTGAGCCGAGATTGCGCCATTGCACTCCAGCCTGGGCAACAGGGCGAGACTCCATCTCAAAAAAAGAAAAAAAAAAAAGACTCCAGACTTTCTACGTCCAAGATCTTTATTTATATGTCTGAGTCTTCTGAACCATATCTATCCCCAAGGCATTGTAACCGAGCTTCAAATCCTAGAGTAATCTATTACATGCAGTGCCATGCAATCCTTAGTGAACTCAACATGTTCGGTAAAATCTGGCATTTACATAAATATTTGTTATAATCAAAGTGATACATTCTTTTCTTCCTCATGGAAAAGAAACTCAAAGCAAGCGTGTTTTTCCCAGTATAGTAATTACAAACTTAAATAGATTATCAGAAAGTTTATAGTGATAGTCAATTCTTAAAAGAAATACCACCATGTTTGTGTTCCAGTTTAAAGCACAATCTTCTGACCGGGTGCGGTGGCTCACGCCTTAATCCTAGCACTTTGGGAGGCCAAGGCGGGCAGATCACGAGGTCAGGAGTTCAAGACCAGTCTGACCAACATGATGAAACCCCATCTCCACTAAAAATACAAAAATTAGCTGGGCATGGTGGTGCACACCTATACTCACAGCTACTCAGGAGGCTGAGGCAGGAGAATTACTTGAATCTGGGAGAGCGAGGTTGCAGTGAGCTGAGATCACACCATTGCACTCCAGCCTGGGCAACAAAAGCAAGACTACATCTCAAAAAAATATATATATATATGTGTGTTATTATATACATATATAATATATATTATATTTATATATAATTATAATATATATAATGTAATATAATTATATATAATTATATTATATAAAATTTATTATAAATTATTATTTATTATAAATTATTTATTATTTATATATAAGTATAATTATTATATATAATTATTATTTATTATTATAAATTATTATTTATATATAATTATAATAATTCTATATAATTAATAGTTATATTTGTTATTATAAATTATTATTAATTATATATTATATGTTATATATATTATATATATATAAATCTTCCTTGGGATTTGGTAATTACTTCACATTACAAATTTTACACGTAAGTTTTCATATATTGACTTTTAATCCTTAAATTCTTTATTATAATCTTTTTTTTTTTTTTTTTTTAAAGAGACAAGGTCTCACTCACATTGTTGCCCAATGCTGGAGTGCAGTGGCACAGTCCTACTGATAGCTTGTTGCAGCCTCAAGCTCTGGGCTCAAAGGACCCTCTTGGCTTAGCCTCCTGAGTAGTTAGGACTACAGGCAAGCGCCACGACACCTAGCTAATGTTTTTATTTTGTGGAGATGGGGTTTCAGTATATTGCCCAGGCTGGTCTCAAACTCCTGGCTTCAAGTGATCCACCCACCTTAGACTCCCAAGGTGCTGAGATTATGGGTGTGAGTACAGGTATGAGCCATTACACTTCGCCTAAATCTTTCTTTATTATAGCCTTTAAGGAAAAGTGTATTGTAATTTCTTCCAAGTGAGAACATTAATAGGATATGATTTATCATTAGCACTTTAACGATTTAAAATAGAGTGAGTTAAGTCACTCACTTATGAGTGATATATCTATCTAGGGTTGTTACCATAAGAAAAAATGAGATATATGAGTAAAAAACAACTTAGAAAAAAGTTGACGTGAGTTCACTTTTTGAACTCACGTTCAAAAGTTGAATGTAAAACATTCAATGTAATTGCTTTTAAAAAGTTAATGTAAAAATCAGCCTGGGCAACATAGCAAGACCCCATCTGACATGGTGGGACATGCTTGTAGTCCTAGCTTGGGAAGCTGAAGTGGGATAATTGCTTGAGCCCAGGAGTTTGAGGCTGCAGTGACCTGTGATCCCACCACTGTACTCCAGCCTGGGCAACAGAGTAAAACCCTGTCTCTAAAATAAATAAATAATATTAAAAAAAAAAATTCATAAGAACAAATGAAATAAATCTCATTTCCTTTTTTGATAGATTTATGGGCCTGCTCATAGAGGAAATAGAGGGTATCTTGATTTAAGCAAAACATTTTTTATAGTCTGTCATTTTCTATTTAAGAAAATATTCAAGTTATTTTTAGTTATATAGACAACATCTCCCATCCTGAGCCATGATTAGGTGCATTCATAACTGGATGAATAACATTATCCACAAATTTAAATTCATGAGTCATTTTCATCCTGGAAAAGGATCACTGTTGGCTGATCACAGGACTCTGCTCCTGACATTGTACTGTTCTCTTTAATCATTAAATAACATACAGTTTTAAAAAATATGGAATGTGTTAGCTGAAGTGGAAGATGATATAGAAAACATGCTTATCAAATTTGTCAATAAGAGAAAGCTGAGCGGGCTAGTTCATGCATTTGATCACAGAATAAGTATTCAAAATAGTTGCAACCTCTGAGAAAAGTGGACCAAATCCAACAGGATATAACAGGAATAATATAAAGCGCTGTATTCATGTTCAAGTTATGTAAGATAAATCTGATTCAAATTTGTTTGAAAAAGAGATTTTAGTTGACTACAGACATGCTTGGTAATAACCAACGAAATAATACTGCTGCTTTCAGAGGGCTACTACTATTATTATTATTATTATTATTATTATTATTAATTTATTTTTTTTTTTAAGAAGGAGTTTCACTCTTGTTGCCCAGGCTGGAGTGCAATGGCGTTATCTCAGCTCACCGCAGCCTCTGCCTCCCAGGTTCAAGCGATTCTCCTGCCTCAGCCTCCTGGGTAGCTGGGATTACAGGCATGTGCCACCACATCCAGCTAATTTTGTATTTTTTTGCCTTTTTTTTTTTTTTTTTTGAGATGGAGTCTTGCTCTGTCACCCAGGCTGGAGTACAGTGGCATGATCTTGGCTCACTACAAGCTCTGCCTCCCAGGTTCATGCCGTTTTCCTGCCTCAGCCTCCCGAGTAGCTGGGACTACAGGCGCCCGCCACCACACCCAGCTAATTTTTTTGTATTTTTAGTAGAGATAGGGTTCCACCATGTTAGCCAGATGGTCTCAAACTCCTGACCTCGGCATCCGCCCACCTCAGCCTCCCAAAATGCTGGGATTACAGGCATGAGCCACCACGCCTGGGCTAATTTTGTATTTTTAGTAGAGGCAGGGTTTCTCCATGTTGGTCAGGCTGGTCTCGAACTCCTGACCTTGTGATCTACCTGCCTCGGCCTCCCAAAGTGCTCGGATTACAGGCATGAGCCACTGCGCCCAGCCCCTAATCTCATTTTTTATAAAGTTTTTTTTATTATGAAAAGTAGGAAATGGAGAAAAATGCCAAAATAAACAAAAATCATCCATCATGCCACCATTGCCAATATTTTGAATTATTTCCTTTCAGATCCTTTTCCTTAACATCACTTATTTTAAGTTGATCTTATGTTGAGGTTATATTAGACATACAATTTTGAAACCCAGGTAGCTAAAAAGGAACAGAGATGTAATGCTAAGTCGGGAAAAAAGGTAACATTCTCATTGTCTTCTGTAGTGCTCAGGCATTTCTAGTACTTTATATCCTTCCGTTGATACCTTATTTTTAAAAAAACAGCAAAATCAGTTTATCACACAAGGTTCCAATGATGATGTCTGGAACTATGTTGATAGAATAGGAAATATTTATCTTAGCGAGGAAAAGAAAATTGATTTCCTCACATAGTGGAATGGCTTTCAATGTGTCTTTTTTTTCTCTACCGCAGTGGTCTACAAACTTGATTGGTATTTAACTAATCTTCAAACTCAACAATTCTTTTGAGTAGGTTCATTCAAAAGATACTTATAGAGCACCTACTGTGTGCTAGGCACAGTTCTTTAGGGAATAAAATCCTTTTGTGGAGCTTACATTCTAGCAGAATAGTACTTTGCATTGAGATATACAGCAAATCTCAGTGAGGCATAAAACAGTTGCTTTTCATAATGACTTCTTATCTCATTGCAAAGTATTGTTAAAATTCTACTAAGATGAGGCTGGGTGCACTGGCTCACACCTGTAATCCCAGCACTTTGGGAGCCCGAGGTGGGCGGATCATGAGGTCAGGAGTTTGAGACCAGCCTGGCCAATATGGTGAAACCCCATCTCTACTAAAAATACAAAAATTAGCCAGGCATGGTGGGGGACACCTGCAGTCCCAGCTACTCAGGAGGCTGAGGCAGGAGAATTGCTTGAAGCAGAGAGGCAAAGGTTGCAGTGAGCTGAGATCGCGCCACTGCACTCCAGCCTAGGCGACAGAGTGAGACTCCGTCTCAAAACAAACAAACAAACAAACAAATTCTACTAAGATGATATAATCTGTAAATCTACTTAACCAGGCATATATAAATTGCAACATATCATAAGGCTCTGAAAGCAAACTAACAAAGGAGGTTGTGGTTGTCACTTGCAAAACTTTTCTCTTTCACTAGCATGAGTATCTGACATATTGATTGAGTGAGGGTGCCATAGGTGAGCTATATGTTAAATATTACAGCAGTTCATATTCGTGTTTTTTAGATTTTTAGAAACAGGATTTCTTAGGCCGGGCATGGTGGCTCATGCCTGTAATCTCAGCATTTTGGGAGGTCAAGGCGGGTGGATCACAAGATCAGGAGATCAAGACCATCCTGGCCAACATGGTGAATCCCTGTCTCTACTAAGATACAAAAAATTAGCCGGGCATGGTGGCACGTGCCTGTAGTCCCAGCTACTTGGGAGGCTGAGGCAGGGGAATTGCTTGAACCCAGGAGGCAGAGTTTGCAGTGAGCTAAGATCGTGCCACCGTACTCCAGCCCAGTGACAGAGCAAGACTCTGTCTCAAAAAAAAAAACAAATAGGATTTCTTACTCTGTACCTGTGAATCAACTTGAGGACCTGTTGAATTATTATGATTAGGATTAGTGTGGAAGTTATAGAAAGATCCACGGAACACTTTTCTAATAACTATTAACTTTGCCTTGAAAAGTTATACATTTCCTATCTCTTAACCTATTTAAGCAAAAGGTTGATGTCTAGAGATAAGGAATTTCTAAACTAGGGAAGAAAATGTTCTGGATTATTTAAAAGCTCCTTTCCAAACTTTACCCACTATTAATCCTTTGAGAAAAACCAAGGCAAGAAACCAGTTAACTCATTTGGTGTTAAGTTCTATGACTCTAAAAACTGACAGTGTAATCTAAATTATGTAGGCACTCATGCACAAGGAATCAGAGGACAACTTATTTTTCATTAGCTCTGCTAAAATTTGCATTCTTTATTACAGACCTGTGCAACAGACCTGCAGACCAAAGCTGACCGATTGGCACAGATGAGCATATGTTCTTCATTGGCCCGGAAATTCCCCAAACTCACAATTATAGGGGAAGAGGTAAGCGTCATCAGAGACATTTTTTTAAAATCTCTGTTTACCAAATGGATTTATAACTGACACTTTAATGATTTATATACCACTATTATGATTTTAAGCATTATATTTATTGTTTTAAACACAAAAGTAATTATTGTATTCCTTGGACTTGGGGAAAATATCTGATTTTAAGACATTTTGGTCTATTTCTAAGCCAGTTGTCTTAATTATTGACCATAGAAGATATGGTTACTGTTATACCCAGCATACAAACTGTAAGATGGGCAGAGATCTAGAACTTTGGAATAAAATGGGTTTCGTTGTTGTTTGTTTTTAAAATTAGGCTTATTTGCATACTTATCCAAAGACTATAACACTTTGAAAATGAGGGAATTAGGCCAGGCGCAGTGGCTCACGCCTGTAATACCAGCACTTTGGGAGGCTGAGGCGGGCGAATCACGAGGTCAGGAGTTCAAGACCAGCCTGACCAACATGGTGAAACTGAACCCTGTCTCTACTAAAAATACAAAAATTAGCCAGGCTTGGTGGTGAATGCCTGTAATCCCAGCTACTCAGGAGGCTGAGGAAGGAGAACTGCTTGACCCCAGGATGGGGAGGTTGCAGTGAGCTGAGATGGTGTCCCTGCACTCCAGCCTGGGCAACAGAGCAAGACTCCGTCTCAAAAAAAAAAAATAAAAAAAGAAAGTGAGGGAACTGACATCTCATGTAATACAAGGGAACTATCTGCTGTCAGAGACACTTGTTTAAATGAGTGTATAATACTTAAAAATTCTTTTCTTTTTAAACTCTCTTCAGTATAATGACACTGGAACCATTTAGTCAATTTTGATGAGCCACATATGGTTGTTTTTGCAAATTTTTAAGGTTTGCTTTAAAAGCTCTAAATATAAATGGTAAACCAGAAGAACTAGTGAAAACTGTGATGCTGCATTTCTTCTGTTAATGAGACAAAGCATACTCTGTAAACACTAAACAGCTTCAGTAACCATTAGGGTTATCTCTGCTTTAGGATCTGCCTTCTGAGGAAGTGGATCAAGAGCTGATTGAAGACAGTCAGTGGGAAGAAATACTGAAGCAACCATGCCCATCGCAGTACAGTGCTATTAAAGAAGAAGATGTATGACCCATATTTATACTCAACTCTCTATTAACCTGGGCTTTTTGCCATAGTAAAGGAAATAATATTTGCATGTAAGATGAAAAATTGGTAGTTATAAAATAGGGGCAACCAGAAACTTGATATCTTTCAGAGCCAACATGGAAGTATCAGGCAACCATATGGATTTAGAGTTCAGTTTCTCATCCTATGGGTTTCCTTTGCACTCTAAAACCGTTATTTAAAATACTTTTAGGGACAGGCATGGTGGCTCACACCTGTAATCCCAGCACTCTGGGAGGCCGAGGTGGTTGGATTGCTTGAGTCTAGGAGTTCGAGACCAGACTCGGCAACATGGTGAAACTCTGTCTCAACAAAAAATACAAAAATTAGCCAGGTATGGTGGTGCACACTTATAGTCTCAGCTACTTGGGAGGTTGAGATGGGAGGATCACCTGAGCCCATGGAGGTTGAGGCTGCAACCAGCACCATCTCTTTTTTTTTTTTCTGAGACGGAGTCTCGCTCTGTCACCAGGCTGGAGTACAGGGCCGCGATCTTGGCTCACCACAACCTCCACCTCCTGGGTTCAGGCGATTCTCCTGCCTCAGCCTCCCAAGTAGCTAGGACTACAGGCGCGCACCACCATGCCCAGCTAATTTTTTTGTATTTTTAGTAGAGATGGGGTTTCACCATGTTGGCCAGAATGGTCTTGATCTCTTGACCTCGTGATCCGCCTACCTCAGCCTCCCAAAGTGCTGGGATTACAGGCTTGAGCCACCTTACCTGGCCCCAGCACCATCTCTTAAAGAGATTATTTTTTCCCCAGTTGAATGGCCCTGGCACACTTGTGAAAAATCAGCAGGCCATAGATGTATAGGTTTCACGCTGGCCATGGTGGCTCACGCCTATAATCCCAGCACTTTGGGAGGCTGAGGCGGGCAGATCACCTGAGGTCGAGAGTTCAAGACCAGCCTGACCAACATGGAGAATCCCCGTCTCTTCTAAAAATACAAAATTAGCTGGGCGTGGTGGCACATGCCTGTAATCCCAGTTACTCAGGAGGCTGAGGCAGGAGAATTGCTTGAACCTGGGAGGCGGAGGTTACAGTGAGCCGAGATTGCGCCATTGCACTCCAGTCTGGGTGACAAGAGCAAAACTTAGTCTCAAAAAGAAGAAAAAAGAAAAGAAATAGATGTATGGGTTTCATTATGGACTCTCAGTTATATTCTATTGGTCTATATGTCTATCCTTATGCCAGTACCACACTTTCTTGCTTTGCATTAAGTTTTGCAATTGGGAAGTGTAAGTTGTCCTACTTTGTTCCTACCTTGTGCAGTTTTACATGTACCTTACAGCCTGGACAGCAGAGTGAGACCCTGTCTCATTAAATAAATAAATAAATACTTTTAGGAAGAAAATCTAATTTGTTATTTAGTAGATATGTAGTAGATTTGCTAGTAAAACATTCATTGGTAATTGGGGATAGAAGGCTATGAAACAGGTTGCTACCTTATATTTTTAGAAGAACATAAATGTCATCCTGCTTGCTTTTTATAGTTGCTTAAGTTAAACCTGTGACTTCAGATAGCCACCATAATGTCTTTAGTTTTCCAATTTTTAATTATTTAAGGCATATTCATTGGAGACTTACTATGAATAAGACACTTTGCTCTGTGGTATGGAGGAAACAAAGAAAATGAGACATGGTGGGGCTGGGCATGGTGGCTCACGCCTGTAATCTCAGCACTTTAGGAGGCCGAGGCAGGCGGATCACGAGGTCAGGAGATCGAGACCAACCTCCGCCTCCCAGGTTCAAGCAATTCTCCTGCCTCAGCCTCCTGAGTAACTGGGATTACAGGCATGTGCCACCACGCCCAGCTAATTTTGTATTTTTAGAAGAGACGGGGATTCTCCATGTTGGTCAGGCTGGTCTTGAACTCTCGACCTCAGGTGATCTGCCCGCCTCAGCCTCCCAAAGTGCTGGGATTATAGGCGTGAGCCACCATGACCAGCGTGAAACCTATACATCTATGGCCTGCTGATTTTTCACAAGTGTGCCAGGGCCATTCAACTGGGGAAAAAATAATCTCTTTAAGAGATGGTGCTGGGGCCAGGTAAGGTGGCTCAAGCCTGTAATCCCAGCACTTTGGGAGGCTGAGGTAGGCGGATCACGAGGTCAAGAGATCAAGACCATTCTGGCCAACATGGTGAAACCCCATCTCTACTAAAAATACAAAAAAATTAGCTGGGCATGGTGGTGCGCGCCTGTAGTCCTAGCTACTTGGGAGGCTGAGGCAGGAGAATCGCCTGAATCCGCTAACACGGTGAAACCCTATCTCTACTAAAAATACAAAAAATTAGCTGGGTGTGGTGGCAGGCGCCTGTAGTCCCAGCTACTTGGGAGGCTGAGGCAGGAGAATGGCATGAACCCGGGAGGCAGAGGTTGCAGTGAGCCGAGATCGCGCCACTGCACTCCAGCCTGGGTGACAGAGTGAGACTCTGTCTCAAAAAAAGCAAAAAAGAAAAGAAAGTGAGACATGGTGTTCTCCATCAGAAACATGCCCTCACTCAGAAATTCACATAATGTTATCATTGTAGTGGTTAAAGGCAGCATATCCTGAATCATATTAAATGTCCTAAACAGAAGGAATTTTCCTTTTAAATCTGCTGCCAGTTTTATTATTCATTTTTCTTTGGATTGTATGGACTGTGTCCTTAAGATAATCAGACTTGTTTTTTTAAAATCAGCACTTATATATAAAAATGAGTAGCAACTGTGCTTGTTCAAAACATTTTTTTGCCACTTTACAAGTTTTTCCTGTACCATGATCTAGAGATCAGTATATTCATTGTGCTTAGTGTTCAAATGACAACAAACTTTTATCAGTTAAGCATTTCATGTTGAAAATCATTTTTTTGTATTTTTTTTTTTTGAGATGGAGTTTTGCTCTTGTCATCCAGGCTGGAGTGCAATGGCACGATCTCTGCTCACTGCTACCTCCGCCTCCTGAGTTCAAGTGATTCTCCTGCCTCAGCCTACTGAGTAGCTGGGATTACAGCCACCCACCACCACGCCCGGCTAATTTTTGTATTTTTAGTAGAGATGGGGTTTCACCACTTTGGCCGGGCTGGTCTCGAACTCCTGACTTCAGGTGATCCACCCGCCTCGGCCTCTCAAAGTGCGGGATTACAGGTGTGAGCCACCGTGCTTGGCCTGAAAATTCTTAAATCAGACTTTTTTCTTATTCAAATGGACTTTTTCCATGATTACAAAAGAATAAGCTTTTTGTACTATCTCAAAACAGATGACATTAATTTAAGCCATCCATAATACAATTTCAAACAGGAAAAAAAGAGTAATTTTAATCTATTTAAATCTATTTTTAGAATTTTGTGTGCTTGATTTAGATATTTTCCTTCTCTCTTTTTAATTTTAGCTCGTGGTCTGGGTTGATCCTCTGGATGGAACCAAGGAATATACCGAAGGTTGATATCTCTTTTGTATTCATATTTGACAGTAGTGGGACAAGGATATGATGTTAGTTGTAAATATTTGATATTTTGTATGTTGTATGGAAAGCTACTATCATGTGTTATGTTTACCCCTAAAGCTATATTTGTGCTCATGGTTATCATACATCGTTGATTGTTAAGACAGGAGAATAAAATTCATCTCCTTCAAATACCACCCCCCACATACTCCACCAGCCCCACACTTCTAATGTCTCCCAGATGAGAATAACATATTAAACCAGTGTTACCAAAATGACTATACTGAACCCAGCTTTATTGGGGTAGAAAAACGATAACGAGTACAACTGTGTAGCTCTTGCTCTGCCACCACCACCATCCCATGCCCTCCCCATTCACTCTCCCCTAATCTGTGAACTGCTTTCACATTTCATAGCCTCACCTTCTAAAGGTGGGTTTTGAAACACAGTACAATATTTCTCCTTATCTAAGATGAGAACAATTAGAGAGCAACAAATTAAAATAAAATTGGCCATATAAATGTAGGAATGAACAAGCTCAGAGCCAGAGTTTTAGGTTTTGTTTTTTCTATTAGACAGTCTTGCTCATTGCCCAGGCTAGAGTGCAGTGGCACCATCTCGGCTCACTGCAACCTCTGCCTCCCAGGTTCAAGCTGTTCTCCTGCCTCACCTCCCAAGTAGCGGGGATTACAGGCACCTGCCACCACGCCCAGCTAATTTTTGTATTTTTAGGAGAGATGGGGTTTCACCATGTTGGTCAGGCTGGTCTTGAACTCCTGACCTCAGGTGATCCACTCACCTGGGCCTCCCAAAGTGCTGGGATTACAGGTGTGAGCCACCGCACCTGGTAGGTTTTAGGTTTTAAGCTTAGAGTTTTATTTTTAAACTTAAGATCTAGGCCAGGCGTGGTGGCTTATGCCTGTAATCCCAGCACTTTGGGAGGCCGAGGTGGGCAGATAATTAGGTCGGAAGTTCAAGACCAGCCTGGCCAACATGGTGAAACACCTTCTCTCCTAAAAATACAAAAATTAGCTGGGCCTGGTGGCACACGTCTGTAATCCCAGCTACTTGTGGGGCTGAGGCAGGAGAATTGCTTGAATCCAGAAGACAGAGGTTGCAGTGAGCTGAGATCATGCCACTGCACTCCAGCCTGGGTGACAGAGCAAGACTCTGTTTCAAAAAAAGAAAATAAGAATAATAATGATGATGATGATGATAAAATTAAATTAAGGTCTACATAAATTTTCTTGTATTGGCTCTCAGGACATGGCTTAAAAAATTTATCATAATTACTAGAAAAAAACTATTTTACTGTTCTTGAATGAGACATCGCTATAATGGGTGAATCACAGTGTGTGTATACATGTGTATGTATGTGTGTGTGCTGAAAACATCTGTAGAACCCATTGTGAAATAAGGAAGCTCTAGACAACTTTAATGTGTATAAAAGCACCTAGAAAGCTTATTTAGGTCTTGTCCCCCACTCTCAGATTTTGATTCACTAGTTCTGGGAAGGAGCCTGAGAAGATCTGTATTATAAAAAGTACATCAGTTAATTCTAATGCTGCTTGATAGTCCTTGGGCCTCCCTTTGAGAAACTCTGTTTTAAAGGCTTGAAATACAAGTCTAGAGTGTAATCCAGGAATATAAAGTGATTCGGCAGGTAAGGATGAGTTGGATGATGGTGGAAGAGGCACAGAGGAATCTGATGATGATGGCTGCAAAATTATGGCTGCTTTATTTAGTTGGTTTACACATTGTACTAATGAGACCATGATAGCCAATTCAATTAAGTGGCCATAGATCCTATGGCTGTTTCTGGCCAGCTTATCATTTATGCCTTTCACTATAAATAGGATTGATCACGGATGAATCATTGCAAATTCCATACCTTAACTGCAAAACTAACTTGGAGCAATTGATGTAGTAATGATGAGTCATAATATGAGCAAGTTATATAACTGATATTTATTTCTTCTTTGCAGGTCTTCTTGACAATGTAACAGTTCTTATTGGAATTGCTTATGAAGGAAAAGCCATAGCAGGAGTTATTAACCAGCCATATTACAACTATGAGGTATTACTATAAATGATACAAAGTAATTTCATTAGATAAATAATTATAGTGTTATCTGATTCTTTATGTTACCTAAGCAAGTGGTTTTTAGCTTGGTTGCATATGCAATCATCTGGGGAACTTTTCATTTTTTAAATTTTATTTATTTATTTATTTATTTTTAACTTTTTTTTTAGCTATGCTATTAACTGATGAGAAACCTTTAAAAATACGGATTCCCAGGCCATACCCCAGACCTACTGAATCAAAATCGCTGGGGGCATTGGTACTGGGTATGTATATATATGCATGTGTATGTACACAGACCCACTAAATGCATTATATATTTTTTAATTTATTCCTTATGATTCAAATATAAATGTTGAGAGAATTACTGATAGGGTTCTTGATTAGCTTGGGCATCAAGACACCTGATTTATGATTGGTTCCTGAAGCACATTCAAGAAATGAACCATTTCAACTAAGAAAAGATGCTAGGCCTGTTGTTTTCCAGGTAACGCTGTGTAGCGCCTAAGTTACAGTCAGTGTTGGTAACAGAACGTACTATGCTCTTGCATTCTTTTTTCTTGTCTCTTCTAATCTGCTTTGATTTTCTATTATACATCAGATAAATTGCCTTCCATAGAAGCAAGGGACTAGTGTAATTTCAAAGCAAGAATTTACCATTAAATTGCATTAAATTGTATAGGAAATTGTTGAGATAAAGTAGTTAAGGTATTTATATTAATGTGACCTTGATAGAACTTTAGAGAAACAAAGTAATCAGAGTGGGCAATACTACTTCTGAATTTCCACTCTGAGTTAAAAGCAAGGTTAAGCTTTATTTCTAATATAAATTTGTTTTTTCCTGCTGTTTGTATGATTATAAATTATATTAAGAATCGTGTTTCTTAGGATTTACCAAAAGAGTTATATGTTATTGAGAAAGTCTCTGGGGTTAAATTGCTTGTGTCTATTAATTCTTTAAATATGATTTTAATGTTGATACTGTTATATACAGACATAAGTTTGTGGTTTTTATGTAAACTTTAAGTTAATACTATTACTTTCAAAAGGGGCATTTAATTCATATAAAGCATTGTAATGCACGGTACCTTTCATCAAGAAAAAATCTAAGTGCTTAGGAGTTAATAATTTTCACCACTTCTTTCTGAGATTAGAAAAATTGTATTCATTTTCCACAGAACAATGAAAAACAGCAGTTAAGGGAACACAGGAATGAAGCAAAGGTGAGAAAAATAGCTAGGGTTTTGGCTCCACTAGTAGGTAGAAAAGAAGCAGGCAACTTGTGGTACCCCAGGTGGTCATTGTACATCCCACATACCAGTTCATTTTCTCCAGTTCTGCTTCTCTTCATTACCTCTCTCTGTACCACTTCCCTTCTGGACACTCTGTTTATCCTTTCTCTTGCTTCTCTTGCTTATGCCTTAAAATTCATTACCACAAATGGAAGTAGAAAAGTTGCTCAGCTGTGTTGGTGGTATTCAGGCTAAAGATTCAATTTTAAATAATAATCATCATCACCATAATAGCTAAAATTTATTAAGAGTTTACTGTATGCTGCCAGGTTCAAGGGTTTCAAATGTATCCTTTCATTGAATACTAACCACAGCCCTTTAAATAAACTATTATCCCCATTTTAAAGAGGAAACTGAGGCAATTAACTTTCCTGTGGTCACCCAGCTGGTAAATGGCAGAACTGAGATTCAAACTCAAATCCAAACCTTGCTACTGTATTACTTTATATTGCCCTCCTGAGCCAGAGAAAAGACTTAGCAATTCAAACTTTATTATTGCTTCCAACATATACTGAAACTAGTAGACACTTAAAGGAAATAGCATGAAGAAACTCAGTCTATCTTCATACTGAAGCCAGTTTCTTAACCATTGAAGCTTAATTGTCAGAAAATTTTCGCCTTTATTACCCTCCCAAAATTGGTGTGGAGCCTTTGAAAGAGAGAGACAATGCCAGAGCCTGAGAGTCAGGAGCACAGAAGAAGGCAAGCCAGCTGCATCATGGGATTGCATTTACCACACCAAGACACCAGAGTCCTTGATCCCATCCTTTTTGCCTAGATGTTCATTTACAGAGGCAATATGACCTTGTAGGGCCCAAAATATTCGTGTCCACTGTTTTCTTTCCTTTATTTTTTTCCAGAATAACTGGAGAACTGCATTAATAAATAGGTTTCTTGGTTGGGCGTGGTGGCTCACGCCTGTAATCCCAGCACTTTGGGAGGCCAAGGCAGGTGGATCACAAGGTCAGGAGTTCGAGGCCAGCCTGACCAACATGGTGAAACCCCTGTCTCTACTAAAAAAATACAAAATTAGCCGGACATGGTGGCATGCACCTATAATCCCAGCTACTCAGGAGGCTGAGGCAAGAGAATTGCTTGAACCCAGGAGGCAGAGTTTGCAGTGAGCCGAGATCGCACCACTGCACTCCAGCCTGGGCGACACAGTAAGACTCTGTCTCAAAAAAATAAAAATAAAAAAATAAATAGCTTCCTTAGATTCCAAGCCTCTCCTGTAGTGTAAACTCAGATGGGAACAGAGGAAGCACATTAACATATACTGAGTACCCAGTGCTTGTTCTTTGGCTCCTTTGTTGCCCCATATGCCATCAGACTCTTCTGGGATTGCCCTACCAATGGAGAGCTGTCTCACCTAGGACCACCCCTCTTCCCAATGCAGTCCATTTCCAGTGACTGATTATTGCAGGAGTTTAAAGACCTGACATCTCATCCCAATTTGGGACTACCCTGAAAGGCTATTGTAGCTCCAGACTCCCCGCATAGGAACAGCTCCCCGTAGGGTCAGCTCTTGCTGTACCTGCATCACAGCTTATTTCTTCCCTCTGCCCACACCCTCCTCCTCCTTCCACAGGTGTTGATACCAAGCGCACTTCCTAACAAACATACCACCTGCCTCAGAGTCTGCTTCCCAGGGAACCCAACCTGCGACCTAAGTATATTTCACAATAACAACACCCAGGGTACTGCTCTAGGACAAATAAGATGATGTGTGTGAAAACATTTGACAGGTAAACATAGGCAGTCTAATTTAGTGTTTAAGAATATCATCTTTGAAGACAGATGAGCCAATCTTTGGTTGTGAACTTCTTAGAACCTTTAGTCAGGTTACTTAATGGTTCCACATTTCATTTTTCTAATCTTTAAATTAAGGATGAGAATACCTACTTCATGGGGGTGCTTTGAGGATTGAAAGAGAGATAATACATGTAAAGCACTTAGAATGGTGCCTGGTACATGTTTGGTGTTCAGTACAATATGTATATCTCTATAATATATGTCTACTATATTAATATAATTGTATTTTGATGACTTTGCATCAATCATTTTATGTATCAGTTTTACTTTCCATGAAATACAGATTTTTTTTCTATATCAAGTGTATAGTTATAACAATGTAGTTGAAATTGAGTTCTGCAAAGGAAAATATAGATTCTAAGATTGCATTATCATTGTCATTTTGCTGTTAAAATTGTCAGCAAAATCTTAACTCTGATCCCATTATCCATGGCTACTCTTCAATATTGTATTGGCCTATTCAGTTGCCCTATCTCCATAGCAGCCAAATACATTGTCATCATTACCTATTCCTGTAGCAACATGATTTTTAATATTTCTTGGATAATGAAAAGTAGTTATCAATACATGGTATTTCATTTCCTGGGGATCTTAGTACCTTCTGAAAATGGCCATTTTCAAATACAACAAAGAGATCATTAGATAATTCAGAGAAACAGTAATCAGTTTATGATGTTTCAGCACATTATAAACAGAAATCAGTTTATAAGGATTCCAGGGAATAACCAAAAGTTCTTTGAAACTGTTAACCAGAACAGTAATGATAATAATCAGCAGATTCTCTCAGGAGAAGTTCTTTGCCAGTGATATTGTTCTTGTACTTTATAACATTATCATGTTTTTTGAGACGGAGTCTTGCCCTGTCGCCCAGACTGGAGTGTAGTGGCGTGATCTTGGCTCACTGCAACCTCCACCTCCCAGGTTCACGCCATTCTCCTGCCTCAGCCTCCCAAGTAGCTGGGACTACAGGCACCCACCACCATGCCCGGCTAATTTTTTGTATTTTTATTAGAGACGGGGTTTCACCGTGTTAGCCAGGATGGTTTAGATATCCTGACCTCGTGATCCGCCCGCCTCGGCCTCCCAAAGTGCTGGGATTACAGGCATGAGCCACCGCGCCCGGCTATCATGTTTTTATTTTTTAAATCATGATGCTAATATAACTGAATATTCCATTTATGGGCTAACGTTCTTCTCCAAATAACCACAAGTCTTGTTGTTTCACTCGTTTACACAGGCAGGACCAGATGCTGTGTTGGGGAGGACAATCTGGGGAGTTTTAGGTTTAGGCGCCTTTGGGTTTCAGCTGAAAGAAGTCCCTGCTGGGAAACACATTATCACAACTACTCGATCCCATAGCAACAAGTTGGTTACTGACTGTGTTGCTGCTATGAACCCCGATGCTGTGCTGCGAGTAGGAGGAGCAGGAAATAAGGTATGAAAAATGTCTGTCATCTGCTCTGAAGTGCAAGTGAATCATTGAAATACTCAACTTCTAAAAACATGAAATAAGAGTTTAGCCATCCCATTACTGGGTATATACCCAAAGGACTATAAATCATGCTGCTATAAAGACACATGCACACGTATGTTTATTGTGGCACTATTCACAATAGCAAAGACTTGGAACCAACCCAAATGTCCAACAATGATAGACTGGATTAAGAAAATGTGGCACATATACACCATGGAATACTATGCAGCCATAAAAAATGATGAGTTCATGTCCTTTGTAAGGACGTGGATGAAATTGGAAATCATCATTCTCAGTAAACTATCGCAAGGACAAAAAACCAAACACCGCATGTTCTCACTCATAAATGGGAATTGAACAATGAGAACACATGGACACAGGAAGGGGAATGTCACACTCTGGGGACTGTTGTGGGGTGGGGGGAGGGGGGAGGGATAGCATTGGGAGATATACCTAATGCTAGATGACGAGTTAATGGGTGCAGCACACCAGCATGGCACATGTATACATATGTAACTAACCTGCACATTGTGCACATGTACCCTAAAACTTAAAGTATAATAATAAAAAAAAAAGAAATAAGCGTTTAAAGAGATGGGAGTAAAGACTATAATTTGTACATTTCAGCAGCATTTAAATTTTAAAAATAAATTTAAGAATCAAGTTTTTTTTTTTTTTATCTGAGAGAGTTCAATGTTAATGAAAGTCATCAGGATGACTCCATGCTTCTTGCCAAAGACCTTATTTTCCCAAGGACCCTCTTAGATTATTTCCTAGCCCTTCTACAGACTCTAAGATCTGGCCTGCCTGCCCACTTCCTATCTATTTCCCCCATTCTTTCATCCAGGTTTCCAACCTGCTGAGAGAATTATGAAATGGGACACAATTTGATCTACATCCCTAGCCCTGATCTCTTCTCATCTGATTGTCCCCTAGATATCATTATGATGACATCCCTCAGGTATCTCAAATTTAGCGTGTCCAATTTGAGTTCATCCTCTTTCTACCCACCTCTGGATGTGTTTCTCTCCCTGTTTTACTATCCCACTAATGGCACCACCATTTTTCTAACTGATCCAGCCAAACACCTGAAAGTCATCCTAGACTCCTTCCTTCCTCACAGCCTATCACTCTGGTCCTACTTATGTATCTTCTGAATAGTTTTTTGTTTTTTTTTTTTTTTTGAGACGGAGTCTTACTCTGTTGCCCAGGCTGGAGTGCAATGGCACAATCTCGGCTCACTGCAACCTCCACCTCCCGGGTTCAAGCGATTCTCCTGCCTCAGCTTCCTGAGTAGCTGGGATTACAGGCGCCTGCCACCACACCTGGCTAATTTTTGTATTTCTAGAAGAGTCTGAGTTTTATAATAATAATTATTTTACACTATAACCAAAAAAAGTCAATTGACTAATGAAAGTTTGATAGCAGGTTACCATTTAGAGTCATGCAAGTTCTAGCAGTGATCTCAGTTGTGTGTCAGTATTAGAGGAATTGTTAGGATGACTCTATAAAAGTTTGTATTTTGTGGCGCTGCAAAGCTGTTCTTTGTGGGGAAAAATCTGCATCTGTAAAGCATCTCTATTAACATAGCTAGCTCTTTTTCTTTCAGACCCTCCAAATCCTAAACAGATTAACTAAAATCTGATTAGGAAACATTTGTCACCTATTGTATCTAAGGACAGCCACTATAAGACTTCAAAGGAATTTTGGTCTCAACAATCTTTATCTTAATCTGAACATTCTCTTTCTATAGATCCCAGGTCTTTAGACAAACCCAATCAATTGTCAATCAGAAAATACTTAAATTCACCTATATCCTGGAAGCCTCCCCGCCCCCACCGCTTTGAGTTGTTCCACCTTTCTGGACCAAATCAATGTATTTCTTAAATGTATTTGATTGATGTCTCATGCCTCTCTAAAATACATACAACCAAGCTGCTCCCCACTGCCTTGGGCACATGTTCTCAGGACTTCCTGAGGGCTGTGTCATGGGCCATGGTCACTCATATTGGGCTTAGAATAAATCTCTTCAAATATTTTTAAAAAAAAAAGTTTGTATTTTGGTAGTGAAATGGCAATACGTGTGATCCCAAGACTTATGAAAGTATTTGTTAGACTAGTCACATTGCACATCTGTTAGGATCTATTACAATTTATACATTATGGTACTGCTTGATACTTCTCTGTCCTTTATTTAATAATGGTCAGGGTTTTTTTTTGAGGGGAGTGCTTTTGTTTGTTTGAGACAGAGTCTCGCTCTGTCGCCCAGGCTGGAGTGAAGTGGTGCAGTCTTGGCTCACTACAACCTCCACCTCCCAGGTTCAAACGATTCTCGTGCCTCAGCCTCCCAAGTAGCTAGGATTACAGACATGCAACACAACACCCAGCTAATTTTTTGTATTTTTAGTAGAGATGGGTTTTGCTATGTTGGCCACGCTGGTCTCAAACTCCTGGCTGCAAGTGATCCACCTGTCTCAGCCTCCCAAAGTGCTGGCATTACAGGAGTGAGCCACCATGCGCAGCCCTCTAATAAATGGTCAATTTTTTAGATGTTGAAAAAACTTGAATTAATTCTGCTGTAAATGTATATTGCTTTTACACTAAAAAAGAAAAACAACGTGAATAAAAGGAACATGTTACTTTATGTAACTTGGAATATGGAGACAGTTCAGATATCCTCTTTGTAGCTTTTTTGACCATTATTTTTCCTTCATATCACTATATTATTATGCATTTATTCTATGTATTTCTTCATAATACTGGTATAATTTAAACCTGCTAAAAGCTTTAACTAAATTTAACAGAGGAACTGATTAAATGTCCTTGATAGAAACAAGCAGTTTTTCTTATCTGTACCTCAATCTTTTCATGACTTTCAATTATTCTTTCTATTATCAAAGGATAATTCTTATTTTTACCCTTACAGATTATTCAGCTGATTGAAGGCAAAGCCTCTGCTTATGTATTTGCAAGTCCTGGTTGTAAGAAGTGGGATACTTGTGCTCCAGAAGTTATTTTACATGCTGTGGGAGGTTAGTCTGTTTTATTTGAGGAAATTCATAGTTTTTCTACAATTATATCATGCTAAGACATAATATCTCAGTAATATTATTTTACTTAGACTGTTACG